>NT_187577.1:0-624492 GCF_000001405.40 Homo sapiens
AGTTTGCTAGTATTTTGTTGAAGATTTTTGCATCTGTGTTCATAAAGGATATTGGCCTGTAATTTTCTTTTCTTGTGGTGTCCTTGTCTGGCTTTGGTTTCAGGGTAATGCTGGCCTTGTAAAATGAGTTTGGAAATATTCCTTCCTCTTCAAGTGTTGGGAAGAGTTTGAGAAGGATTGCATTAGTTCTTCTTTAAATGTTTGGTAGAATTCATCTGTGACTTTATCAGGTCCTGAGTTTCTTTAATGGGAGACTTTTTAAAGTTACTAATTCAATCTCCTTACTTATTATTGATCTTTTCAGATTTTTTATTTTGTCTTGATTCAGTCTGGATAGGTTGTATGTTTCTAGGAATTTATTTTTTTCTAGGTTCAATTTGTTGGTGTATGATTGTTCATAGCAGTCTCTTATAAAACTTTCTATTTCTGTGGTATCAGCTGTAATGTCTTCTCTTTCATTTCTGATTTTGATTCCTCTTTCTTTTTTTCTTAGTCTACTTAATGGTGTGTTAATTTTATTTATCTTTTCAAAAAACCAACTCTTAGTTTTATTGATTCTATTAATACTATTTTTCCAGTATTTCATTCATTTTTGCTCTGAACTTCACTATTCCCTTTCTTCTACTAACTTTAGGCTCAGATTGTTCCTCTTTTTCTAGGTCTTGAGGTGTAACATTAGGTTATTTGAGATTTTTTAAAAAATGTAGGCACTTATTGGTATAGACTTGCTATAAACTTCCCCCTTAGAATTGCTTTTTCTGTGTTGCATACATTTTGTTATGTTGTGTTTCTATTTTTGTTGTCTCAAGATATAGTTGTTTCTTGGTACACATTGGGGATTGGTTCCAGGACCCCTACATATAGCCCAATCTGCCTATACTCAATTAATTCTGTTGGCCCTGTAGAACCCACATATAGGAAAAGTTGGCCCTCTGTATATGTGGGTCATGAATACTGTATTTTCAATCTGTGTTTGGTTGAAAAATATCTGCATATAGATGTACCTGTGCAGTTCAAACCCGTGTTGCTTAAGTGTCAGCTATATTTTAAAATATTTCTTTTTATCTGTCATTGACCAAGTGATTGTTTAGGAGCATGTTGTTTAATTTTCATGTATTTGTGACTTTCCTAAATTTCTTCAGTTATTGATTTTGAGTCCTAATATTGTAGTTGGAAAACATACTTGATGTCAGTCTTTTAAAATTTGTTAAGGCTTGTTTTGCAGTTTAACATATTATTTGTCCTGGAGAATGTTCTGTGTGCGTTTGAGAAGAATGTGTATTCTGCTTTTGTTGGATGGAATGTGTCTATTAGATCTGTTTTGTTTAAAGTCTAGTTTGAGCCAAATGTTTTCTTACTGATTTGTTGTCTGGATGACCTATCTGTTGTTGAAAGTGAAGTATTGAAGTTTCCTAGTAGTATTGGGTTGCTATTTAGCTCTCTCTCCAGATTAATTAATATTCGCTTTATATATTTAGGTGCTCTAAATTGGCTGCATATGTATTTACAGTTGTTATATCCTTGTGATGAATCGACACCTTTACCATTAATGCACTTTTTCATCTCTGTTTTTATTGTTTTTGATGTTACATCATTTTGTCTGATGTAAGTATTGCTATCCTTGTTCTCTTGGTTTCCATTTGCACAGAATACTTACTCATATTTAAAAGAATTACTGATAGATGGGGACTTACTATTGCTATTTTGTTTTTGACCCTTCCTTCTTCCCTTGCTGCATTCTTTTGTATTTCTTTTTAATTAAAAAAATCAATTATGGATACATAATAGTTGTACATATCACATGGGGTACATGTGATATTTTGAAACAAGCATATAGTGTGTAATGATCAAATCAGGGTAATTGGGATAGTCATCACCTCAAGGATTTATCATTTCTATGTTAGGAACATTCCAACTCTACTCTTTTAGCTATTTTGAAATATACAATAAATTAATCATTTTCTTTGTTTTTTTGTAGTAATATTTTGATTCTCATTTTCCTTTGTGCATATTCTATAGCACATATATTGTGATATCTTTGCAATTACATAAAATATTTTATAAATTTATAGCAATCTATTTTAAACTGATTACTTCAATCACAAAAACTCTACCCCTTTATATTTCTTCTTCTTCCACTTTATGTAACTGATGACACAAAATTACCTCTTTTTATATTGCTTATCATTAACACAGATTCATTACTTTTTATGCTATGCTTTTAACATTCTAACAAGATTTAAAAGTGATTTTCACACTCACATTACAGTACTACAGGATTCTCTGTCTATACACTTACCATTATTATCGAGTTTTATATTTTCATATGGTTTTGTGTTGCTATTTATTTTCCTTTCTCTTCACCTTTTTTGCTCCTCTGCCACTTTGATTTTGAATATACTAGTCTTTGAGTCCACTGATGCTTTCTTCTGCCTCATCATGTTTGTTGTTGAATCCTTTTAGTGAATCTTTCAATTTAGCATTACAGTAGTTTTCAGCTCCAGAATTGCTGTTTGGTTCTTCTTTATAGTTCCTGTCTCTTTGTTGATATTCTCATTTTGTTCATACATCATTTTCCTGATTTCTTTTAGTTGTCCATCTGCATTCTCTTTTAATTTTTTGAACATCATTATGATGGTAATTTTTGAATTCTTTGGTAATTTATATATATCTGTTTCCTTAGGGTCAGTTTCTGGAGATTGAGTTTGTTTCTTTAAATGTGCCATGTTTCTATTTCTTTGTATTATTTGTCATTTATTATTGGGATTTTGGCATTTGAAGAATTAGCTGCCTTTCTCAGATTTTGCAGCCTTGTTTTGTACAAGGAGGACTTACGCTACTCAGCCTGGCTAGAGATTCTGGTAGCCTCTCAAATCTTTTTTGGGGATGTGTCCTCTGTGAGGTTTTTTTCTGCAGTCTCCTAATTGTGGAGGTTTGCTAGTTTCTACTCAAGAGCACCCCCAGGTGTCTGTGATACTGTGGTCTCTCTGACTTTTTTTTTTTTTTTGAGACAGAGTCTTTCTCGGTTGCCCAGGCTGGAGTGCAGTGGTGCCATCTCGGCTCATTGCAACCTCCGCCTCCCAGGTTCAAGCAATTCTCCTGCCTCAGCCTCCTGAGTAGCTGGGAATACAGGCATGCGCCACTACTCCCAGCTAATTTTTGTATTTTTTAGTAGAGATGGGGTTTCACCATATTGGCCAGGCTGGTCTCGAACTCCTGACCTCGTGATCCGCCCGCCCTGGCCTCCCAAAGTGCTGGGATTACAACTTGAGCCACTGAGCTTGGCCTGTTGTCTAGTATTTTAAGTCTTTTTTTTAAAAAAATTCTACAATATAGATATGACTATTGAATTATGAAATGTTTGTTTAGGTTTGTGAGGCCATACACCAATTAAATTAATTAAGAGGATGGACTGTGAGCCAAACTGCCCAGTTTGAGTACTGCCTTTGTCACTTTATAAGCTGTGACTTTAGGCAAGATTCTCAAACTCTTTCTGTACTTGTTTCCTCATCTGTAAAATAATAATAGTACTAATCACAAATGACTTTTGTGAAAATCAGAGGGATTCGTATGTGTGGAGCACTGAGAAGTGCTTGTGGCACATGTGAAGTGCTCTGTGAGCTTTAGCTATTTTCCCATGTGTTGATTGTCTGCTTTCAACCTTATTGAATCTCAGCTTATTTTTCTGATATATCTACTTCAACTGGGTATCTTTTAGAAGTTCCCTTAGCGAAGGTATTTTGGTAGTAAATTCTGTCAGTTTTTGTCTTTTCCGGATGTTTTTGGCTGACAGCTTTTTTTTTTCCTAAGAACTTTAAATAGACTATATTTTAACATCCTTTGTTGCAATTTAAACATTGTCTGTTACTCTAATTGATGCTGTAGATGATATCTTTTCCATGTGGCTTTTTCTTCTGTATCTTTAGACTATTTGGTGTAGATGTGGACTTAAAAAAACTCCTTTGCCAGTAAATAGACTTCCGGAGTTGATTTACATTTTTCAGTTCTAGCAAATTCTTAGCAATTATTTCTTTATTGCCTCTGTCTCATTATCTAATTAACTCTTTCATGCATTTCTTGCATGTTAGACTTTTTACTATCTCTGTTTCTTAACCTCTCTTTGGTATTTCCAATATTCTTGTGTATTCCATTCTGATTATATTGGATCTACCTTCTATTCACTAAGTCTCTACTAAACTATGCCAAATCTACTTAACCAACTCATTGAATATCTCATTTCACTAGTTTTATAGTACATTTAATTCCTGTAGTTCTACTTAGTTCTATTTCGAATCTGCCTGGTTATTTGTGATTGTTTGTTATAGTTTTATTATCTGTTTTAAAGCTTTTATTTCTTAAAGCATATTCAAACACCTAATTTTTGTGCTGTATCTGATCATTTTAATATGTATGCCCTTGGTGGGTTCTCAGGTTTGTTATTTCTGCTGACTCTCGTGATGGCTCATTTCTTAGTGCCCTTGTGATGTTGATTGTAAACTCACCTTCTTTGGAACTTTATATTGGAAATAAATATATTTGAATCCTGAATTATAGTGGGTTCCTACCGAGAGTATTTTTCTTTGCCAGATGCTTGGGGGCATGGTCAATCTTTGATGTCTTTAAACTGAAATTTTTGTTGATATATATATATTTTTTTGCCACACAAATGTTAGGAACTCTGGTCCCCAAACTCTTATGAGGATGGGTGTGTGGTAAGAATTTCTCCATGGAGACTATTTTTTTAGTTCCCCATCTATCAGCACCAAGGCAGTATCACCACGGGCCTTCCTTGAGGCAGGTTTTTGTTTTTCTAGTTAACCCATGGGGATACCACCCTTCATATGTCTAGGCTTTGTATAGGGCCTTGTATTCACCATTCCATCCAGCTCAGGCCCCAGCTTTTGCCTCCTTTATCTATGGGTCACTGAAAACGCATACTGCCACCTGCCAAGGATAGGAAGATTTCCACAGGACAAAGGCAACTCCGTAGTTTGGACTCTTTCATACGTTCTTGGTTTTTTTTTGGCCTGTAAGATGTTTCTTACTTCCCACCAACCCAGCCAAGTGTTTCAAAATACCTTTTAAATATTTTAGGCAGCATTTTAGGTGTACTGTACTGGGAAGTTTCCTCTGGACATTTGGTCCACTATTTGCAAGAAGTGAACATGTACTTCATTGTTTTTAATAACCGCATGCTGTTCCCTCTTATAAATTTACCAGAAATTTAAAAACAGGTTGTTTCCAGTCTTATACCATAAAAAAATGTGGCACCAAGCATCCTTGTAAATAGATCTTTGCATACATTTAAAAGTATATGTCAGATAAATGCCAAAAAAGATTAAAATTTTTTTAAATTAATTTTAGTTTTAATTGGCAAATCATAGTTGTATACATTTATGGGGTACAGCATGATGTTTTATGTAAACAATGTGGAAGTGATTAAATCAAGCTAATTAACATATCCAGCACCTTGCTTGCTTGTAATCTTTAGCTTGTTTTCATTAATTTATATTTAATTGACAAATAATAATTGTGTATATTTTGGGGTATCGTGTTTGTTTTTTTTTTTTTTTTTTTTTTGAGATGGAGTCTCGCTGTGTTGCACAGGCTGGAGTGCAGTGGCATGATCTCGGCTCATTGCAACCACTGCCTCTCGGGTTCAAGCAATTCTTCTGCCTTAGCCTCCTGAGTAGCTGGAATTACAGGCGTGCGCCATCATGCCCGGGTGATTTTTTTGTAGAGACGGGGTTTTGCCATGTTGGCCAGGCTGGTCTTGAACTCCTGACCTCATGTGATCCACCTGCCTCAGCCTTCCAAAGTGTTGTGATTACAGGCGCCTGGCCACAATGTGATGTTTTGGTCTATGTATACCTTGTTGTAAGATTCAGTCGGCTGGGCGCGGTGGCTCATACTTGTAATCCCAACACTTTGGGAGGCTGAGGTGGGCGGATCATGAGGTCAGGAGATGGAGACCATCCTGGCTAACATGGTGAAACCCCGTCTCTACTAAAAATACGAAAAAAAAATTAGCCAGGCGTGGTGGTGGGTGCCTGTAGTCCCAGCTACTCGGGAGGCTGAGGCAGGAGAATGGTGTGAACCTGGGAGGCGGAGCTTGCAGTGAGCTGAGATCGCGCCACTGCACTCCAGCCAGGGCGACAGAGCCAGACTCCGTCTCAAAAAAAAAAAAAAAAGATTCAGTGAAGCTAATTCCCATACCCATCACCTCACCACATTGTCATTCCAAAAGTGGACTTGATCCCTTTAGAGTGCTGTTCCTATGGCTTGTGGAAAGGGATGGAGACATTTTGTTGCATTTTTCACCCATTTTCACAGTACATATAAATCATTCTGTGGGGAAAAAAATTGCAGATGATAGACCACCTGTTCTATGGTAGAAGCCAGAGGGTGCTCAAGGTCTTCACCACCACTGTGCATTCTCTGCCAGTCATAGAACTTTAGGAGTTAACAGTAGATAGTAAAGAACATCTTGGTCAAGGTCACTTCATCATTGATTTAGTAATTCCATCTGATCATTCCTAACGTCTTATAGTGTAATGTGATATGTGAAAAATATTACTTTTACTTTCTTATTTGAGGCTAAGTTATACAGTTTCACTTTGTTGTAAACTTCAACTACTTCATCAAGGAAGGATATAATGAATTCCAAAACCGAGGATTCTAGCTGAGTGGTTTTTATAGTATTAGTTAGATACTGTATAGGTTTGGCAATACATTTTGGAAGATTTTATTTAAAATACATTGACATAGGAAATATGTTACCTTCTAACTAATACAGTTGGTTTGAACCAAGATCTTAGTACTTTGGTATTACTGAATTTAAAAAAATACCTTAAAAGAATTAAGTATTCCACATTCAGTGGTAAAGATATGTCAAATAAGCAAAATATTTTTGACTGTCAGCATTATAAATAAATACAGGTTGAGCACCCCTAATCTGAAAATCCAAAGTGCTCCAAAACCCAAAACTTTCTGAGCACCAACATGATGCCACAGGTGGAAATTTCCACACCTGCCCTCATGTGATGAGTTGCAGTCAGAATGCACTGTTTAGTACTTATATGTGAATAAATCTAAGAAAATGATTGCTTACCAGTAGTATATAAATTCAGAGTCAGGAGTGATGGTGAGCCAAACAACCACAGATTGTCCACATGAGGGGCTGAGAGAGTAACACCTTTGCTTTCTGATGGTTCAGCATACACAGACATTATTTTATGCACAAAATTATTTAAAATATTGTATAAAATTACCCTGAGGTTATATGTATGAGGCCTATATGAAACATCAATGACTTTTCTGTTTAGACTTGGGTCCCGTCCCCAAAATATCTGATTATGTACGTGCAAATATTCCAAAATTGGAAAAAAAATCTGAAATTTGAAACTCTTCTGGTTCTAAGCATTTCTGATAAGGAATATTCAACTGTAGTCTGTTTATTGATTTTAAATATGTAGATTTCTTCTATTTAGAAATCATATTTATGAGCACATAGTGGTAATAACCTTATTTTTTTTTTCTTTTTAGCCTATATATGCAAACAGATTTGCAGTACCAACCTATGCAGCCAAGCAACCTCAGCAGTTCCCATCAAGGTCAGAAGAAAATTTGCTTAGATTTTTTGGCCAGAATAAAACCTAGGGGTTAATGTCTAATAATTTCCCCTGTATTTTAATGTAATTTAGTGAAAGGTATTTATTGTCAACAGTTTACAAGAATATGATTTGCAGAAAGGTTTTAAAATAACTTTATATAAATTTTATCATATTGGTACAGGGTCAAAATGAAATATTAAATAAGCTTGAGCAAGACAGATTCTGCTGCCACAGCTTTCATGTGCATACGATTTAGAAGCAAGGGCCTTTGAGATAACCAGCAGTAGGAAACCAGATGGGTTGGAACAGCCTTCCCGTCAAAAACAGCTAAAAAAGCTGGACAATATAAGAAAATATGTGTTTGAAGGCATAGAAGACTAAAGAAGTGAGGAATTGTGGGGGTAAGGTCAGGAGAGGAAGGAAATCTAGAAATGATCCCAGCTTTGGGGGCCACTTTTCCTTCCTAGATGAGTTTACCTGTTCTGACAACAGAGAGGCTAGGAAGCTGAGGAGAGCTTTCTACAAACTCACAGGGCAGAGGGGACAAAATTTAGAATCCTGCCAAAGAGGAGGCACCCTGGCAAACATCTCAGGGTCTGTGCTGGGACCCAGAAGTAAGAGTGAACTAGACCTTCAACTGATTTCTACAATTTCTTATGTTTTGCTCATGATCAAAAAAAGCCAAGTGTAAAAGAAAAGAAAATATGACTAAAACCAAGAAACAATAGACCATAGAAACAGACTGAGATGGTATCCAGTTAATAGACATGGACTTTAAAATAACTATGATGTCATGGAATTAAAAGTCAAGATTGAGAATTTCAGCACAGAACTAAAAACTAAAAGAATCAATGCAAATTCTAGAACTGAAAAACACAGGAACTGAAGTGACTCAATGGATGGGCTTAAAATCATCAGGAAGGAAGATAATTTATTACTTCATTTTGTATCACATAAAATGCAAATGCATGTGACCCTCCCATCCCCTAGAAGTCTTTCAAATTACAATTGCGTTGCAACTCTGAGGACTATCTTCATATGTAATCTTTATTATACAGTAAGAATACATTGAAATCCGACTGAGGATCAGGGAAAGAGTATATAAATTGTGAGGGAAACATTCACCAGGTAGTGTTCTAGTGTTACTGGAGTAGAGGTGTACTAGAATTGGATGATGAGGTTAGGAGCGGGTGTCCACAGGTGGAAGTATGAGGTTTGAGATGGACAGGTATAGAAGTCATAACACTTTTAATTCTCAGAGTGAATCTCATGTTGAGGGAGCTATAAACAGCTAGGTTTACACCAGCAGTAATTTGCTGCCCTCAAATTCTAACAGCACAGGCAAGTGCTTGATCACTTAGTGTACTCACTTGTCTTTTACAGTTTATCTTTACCATTTCATGTGCTTTTTTTTTTTTTGAAAAAACATGTAAACTAGAACCTTCATACAACATTGTTGATTATGGAGTAATATTATTTAAAGTAGTTATTCCATTTTAGACTCTAATTGGAGCCTTTTAGCCATTGAATATCACCCTAATACTGATCTCAGAATGTACAGTACCCTTTCCTGTTGTCAGAGATGTTGAGGATGGTGTTATGTTGAGCTTGTAATGAATATGGCATTATTTCACCCAGTCTAAACACTCTATTAACTATCTCTTTTCCCCTCGCAGGCCACCTCCACCACAACCGAAAGTATCATCTCAGGGAAACTTAATTCCTGCCCGTCCTGCTCCTGCACCTCCTTTATATAGTTCCCTCACTTGATTTTTTTAACCTTCTTTTTGCAAATGTCTTCAGGGAACTGAGCTAATACTTTTTTTTTTTCTTGATGTTTTCTTGAAAAGCCTTTCTGTTGCAACTATGAATGAAAACAAAACACCACAAAACAGACTTCACTAACACAGAAAAACAGAAACTGAGTGTGAGAGTTGTGAAATACAAGGAAATGCAGTAAAGCCAGGGAATTTACAATAACATTTCCGTTTCCATCATTGAATAAGTCTTATTCAGTCATCGGTGAGGTTAATGCACTAATCATGGATTTTTTGAACATGTTATTGCAGTGATTCTCAAATTAACTGTATTGGTGTAAGAGTTTTGTCATTAAGTGTTTAAGTGTTATTCTGAATTTTCTACCTTAGTTATCATTAATGTAGTTCCTCATTGAACATGTGATAATCTAATACCTGTGAAAACTGACTAATCAGCTGCCAATAATATCTAATATTTTTCATCATGCACGAATTAATAATCATCATACTCTAGAATCTTGTCTGTCACTCACTACATGAATAAGCAAATATTGTCTTCAAAAGAATGCACAAGAACCACAATTAAGATGTCATATTATTTTGAAAGTACAAAATATACTAAAAGAGTGTGTGTGTATTCACGCAGTTACTCGCTTCCATTTTTATGACCTTTCAACTATAGGTAATAACTCTTAGAGAAATTAATTTAATATTAGAATTTCTATTATGAATCATGTGAAAGCATGACATTCGTTCACAATAGCACTATTTTAAATAAATTATAAGCTTTAAGGTACGAAGTATTTAATAGATCTAATCAAATATGTTGATTCATGGCTATAATAAAGCAGGAGCAATTATAAAATCTTCAATCAATTGAACTTTTACAAAACCACTTGAGAATTTCATGAGCACTTTAAAATCTGAACTTTCAAAGCTTGCTATTAAATCATTTAGAATGTTTACATTTACTAAGGTGTGCTGGGTCATGTAAAATATTAGACACTAATATTTTCATAGAAATTAGGCTGGAGAAAGAAGGAAGAAATGGTTTTCTTAAATACCTACAAAAAAGTTACTGTGGTATCTATGAGTTATCATCTTAGCTGTGTTAAAAATGAATTTTTACTATGGCAGATATGGTATGGATCGTAAAATTTTAAGCACTAAAAATTTTTTCATAACCTTTCATAATAAAGTTTAATAATAGGTTTATTAACTGAATTTCATTAGTTTTTTAAAAGTGTTTTTGGTTTGTGTATATATACATATACAAATACAACATTTACAATAAATAAAATACTTGAAATTCTCTTTTGTGTCTCCTAGTAGCTTCCTACTCAACTATTTATAATCTCATTAATTAAAAAGTTATAATTTTAGATAAAAATTCTAGTCAAATTTTTACAGATATTATCTCACTAATTTTCAGACTTTTGCCAAAGTGTGCACAATGGCTTTTTGTTAATAAAGAACAGATTAGTTTTGAAGAAGGCAAAAATTTCAGTTTTCTGAAGACAGCATGTTATTTTAACAATCAAGTATACATATTAAAAATTGTGAGCAATCTCAAATGAAGGTCCATCGTTTCATTTTAAATCTCTAAATGAATTCATATAAGACTCAAACGTTTGTGCTGTTCACTCATGTAGCCTCAGTTTTTGCAATTGTGATGCATATCACTGAAATTTTACAGTTGGTAATGTATTAACTATGTAACTTAACACTTGGAATTAAATAGTTCTTTGGATATTTGACTAGTTAAGTTTTTAAAAAGACTATTGGATCTGAACTTCTTTTATATATTTTTTAATATGCTTTATGTTTTTTACTTACTTGGTCATGGATGCCACTTCAAAATTTGAAAATATTAAAGGACATCCTTTCTTTCTTCAAAAAGAATAAATAAGGGTAAATTATATGCAAGTTTGACATCTCTGTTTGACTCTGTATGTCAAACTGACCTTGTTCAGAGTATTGCATTCTCGCTTTCTCCTGTGTCTGTAACCATAGAGTTAAGCACAATTTGGGTTTTCTAAACTCAAATCAGATTTTATTAAATTTCATAAATGTTTACTAAAACCTACCATTTTTCAGGCACTGTATTAGGT
Source organism: Homo sapiens (assembly GCF_000001405.40). NCBI lineage: Eukaryota > Metazoa > Chordata > Mammalia > Primates > Hominidae > Homo > Homo sapiens. The sequence continues at coordinate 11,482 of NT_187577.1, forward strand.
ACTGTGATATCTAAGTTCTGGATAGGATATGTTTCCCGACTTTTAGAAGTGCATCCTCTGTTATGAAGAGAGGCATACACACAAGAATAATACAAAATCAACCCTATTAAAGATACAAACCAGAAAGGTTGAGGAGTAAGAAAGAACAAAATAATACAAGAGCCAGAAATTCATTCAGAATACTTACCACTAATTGATGAGTTGAAGCATTTACTGTAATTGCTCTTCTGTTTGTTACAAAGCAAGGTGAAACTAGCTGTGGCTCAGCAGCTGCCTAAAAGCAGTGTTAGCTTAGCATTGGCTGTTCCTATTGAGATACAAGCTCAGTGTATTTTTTTGTTGCCTTGTTCCCCACCCCACCCCTCCACCTGCCCCAGATGGAGTTTTGCTCGTCACCCAGGCTGGAGGGCAATGGCACAATCTCGGCTCACTGCAACCTCCACTTCCTGGGCTCAAGCGATTCTCCTTCCTCAGCCTCCCCAAGTGCTGGGATTACAGGCGCCCACAACCATGCCCGGCTAATTTTTGTATTTTTTAGTAGAAACGGGGTTTCACCATGTTGACCAGGCTGGTTTCAAACTCCTGACCTCTGGTGATCCAACCACCTCGGCCTCCCTAAGTGCTGGGATTACAGGCGTGAGCCACCTCACCTGGCCTGTTGCCTTGTTTTTGTTCATGCTATTAATTTCAGGTGTAGATTGCCCTGTTGAAATTGCGTGCATCCATAAAAATCACATCTTCACTTTAAATGTCTTAGTTCCCCAAGTGAGATTTTTCTCTGTTCCCATGAGGCCTTTTAGTTTATGTGTTGGCCTATTATGTAGTATGAGAAATTAATCCATTCTTTGGGATTTGAAAAGAATGAAAAGCTAATGCATACAGATGGAGACCAGGTGTGAGGCTGGGAAGGAGGAGGCATTGCAGTTCCAGGGAGTAAAGCAGTGTTTAGGAAAAACCCAAAGTCAGAGCTGCTAAAACACGGGATAGGAGAAATTAAGTGGCAGGTTCCGGTCTGAGTTCAGAAAAATTACTATGCTGAGGCTAGAATTTTCTACTGGAATGTAATTACTGTAATTGTGGGCAAGAATCTCTAAATCTTTCACTACATGAAATAAGTATTTATTGCACTGAGAAGTTTCTGAACAATAGAATGACATCACATGAGTTTTAGCCAATGGCCTGCGGAGAACCAGATTGGAGGAAAAAGCCTGGTTGTGAAGTCCATTTGGGCAGCGTCAGTGGGGAAAAAAATGCAGCTGGCGCTCTTCAAAAATATGAAGAGCTGGCATTTCATATTGAAAAGCGGCTCACTTTTCCCTTCTTTGGAATGTTCACACATCTGGCTAAATAGTTTTGAAAAAATATTAGAAACAGGTTTGGCAAATATGAATATATATTTAGGTGTGTATATAGATTTTAATTCAGAAAGTATTACACATTCGCTTTTGAAAGGACCTAGGAAGCCCCGAACGGTGGCAGATGCCTGTAATCCCAGCTACTCAGGAAGTTGAGGAGGGAGGATCACTTGAACCCAGGAGTTCGAGACCAGCCTGGGCAGAATAGTGAGCACCCCCGTCCCAAAAAGAAAAAAAAGCAACTGGGAAGTGTCTGGTGCAGGAGAGCACACGCTGACTGTGAATAAGTGTGTCAGTTCTTAAGGTCCAGCAACACAAAGCGAAAAGTTAGTGGAGGACTACGAGCGCGATCTCGACAGAGGGCGCTGGGTGGTCAGTGGCTCCAGCAACCACGCGGCTGGGGTGCGCCGGGAAGGGAGCTGGATGTTTTAGCCTCGGGGCGCACGCTGCGGGCCCTTCGTGTTCCGGACGCTAAACACCGAGAGCACCCCGTCTCCGGGGCCTCCGGAGAACGCTGTCCCATGAACGTGCGGGGAGCGGCCCCCGGCGTCCGCGCGTCCCCGCGTCCCTGGCAATTCCCGACTTCCCAACGGCTTCCCGCTGGCAGCCCCGAAGCCGCACCATGTTCCGCCTCTGGTTGCTGCTGGCCGGGCTCTGCGGCCTCCTGGCGTCAAGACCCGGTGAGCCAGCCCAGACCCTGACACTAGTCCGGGCGCTCGTCACACTGCGGCCCGACTCCCTGCAAAGCCCGGGGCCCTCCCTGTCTGGGTCCCTTTGGTCCTGTCACCCTGGCAACGGGGCCTTTTCCAGGGGATTAGGCGCCCCGTCCGGATGGAGAAGCGACTCAGGGCCCAGCACCAGGGCTCACGCCTGTAATCCCAGGGCTTTGAGAGACTGAGGCGAGCTGATTGTTTGACCTCGGAGTTGGAGACCAGCTTGGGCAACACAGCAAGACCCCATCTCTACAAAAAAATTTAAAAAAATGTTCCGAGGTGGTGGTGCGCACCTGTGATCCCAGCTACCCGGGAGGCTGAGGGAGGAGGACCACGTGAGTCCAGGAGGTGGAGGCTGCAGTGAGCCAAGATCGCCCCCACTGGACTCCAGCCTGGGCGACAGAGATCCTGTCTTTTTTATAAATTAAAAAAATTATTTTTGTGTGTGACCGAGTCCCTTCTGTCGCCCAGGCTGGAGTGCAGTGGGCAACAGTAGGCAACAGAGGGAGACTCCAGATCGTAGTTCTCCAGAACTATGAGGAAAATAAATTTCTGTTGTTTAAGCCATGCAGTCTACACTATTTTGTTATGGCAGTGGGAGCTGACTAATATAGTACTTAACAGCAAAATGATTGAAAAACTGTAAAAGTTCATTAGTAAGAGAACTGCTAAATAAACTGTGGTTATCTCCAAACAATGCAAATGGACCACTGTGGAGAGGGAGGAAGTAAGACATGCCATGTACTGACTCTGGCTGACAAGATTCAGAATAGTATGTAATAAGAGAAGGAAAAAAATACGGGCATATCCAAACATTTTACTTGCATGTAAGCCTCCCTGGTGATACTGTAAATTTTTGAGAACTCTTCCTACTCTTCTTCCTATCCTGCCATAATTACCTCTGCAGCATAGCAGAGGTGTGGTCAAGGCCAGGGTGTCAGCCTGGTTAGATTAGGGTGAGTGTTCTCTTCCTGGCTTGTAAACAGCTACCTTCTCCCTGCGTACTCACAGGACCTTTTCTTTGTGTACAGGGAAAGACAGGAGGAGGAAATTCTCTGATGTCTCATCTTATAAGGGCATGAATCTCATCATGAGGGTCCCACTCTATGCCTAAAACCCTGATTACCTCCCAAAGGCCATAACCAAATACTGTCACATTGGGGGTTAGGGATTCAACATAGAATTTTGTGGGATACATTCAGTTCATAACACATACAAAATTTTAATGCAGTGGTTGTCAAAGTTTTTGGGTTCAGAACTGCCTTATACATGAACAATTTTTGAGATTCTCAAAGAGCTTTTGTTTATGTGGATTTATATCGATGTTTAACATATTAGAAATTAAAATAGAAATGTAAGAATGTGTATTTCATTCATTAAAAATAAAAGTAACGGCCAGGCGTGGTGGCTCACGCCTGTAATCCCAGCACTTTGGGAGGCTGAGGCAGGTGGATCACCTGAGTGAGGTCAGGAGTTTGAAATCAGCCTGGCCAACATGGTGAAACCCCATTGCTACTAAAATACAAAAAAATTAGCTGGGCGTGGTGGTGCGTGCCTGTAATCCCAGCTACTCGGGAAGCTGAGGCAGGAGAATCGGTTGAACCCAGGAGGCAGGAGTTGCAGTGAGCTGAGATGGCACCATCGCACTCCAGCCTGGGTGACAAGAGCAAAACTCCATCTCAAAAAATAAAATAAAAAAAAAATATTAATGAACATTATTTTTTAGAGTACGTTTAGGTTCATAGCAAAATTGAGCTGAAAGAGTTCCCATATAGCCCCTGATCCCAAATATGAACAGCTTCTCCCACTATCAACATCTGGCACCATGGGATCCATTTGTTACAATTGAGCCTACACTGACACATTGTTATCATCCAAAGTCCACAGTTTGTTTGCATTAGGGTTCATTCTCCACATTGCCCATTCTATGGTTTTGACAAATGTACAATGACATGCATCCACCATTGTAGTATTATACAGAATAGTTTCACTGCCCTACAAATCCCATGTGTTCTGCTTATTTATCCCTCCCTCCCCACTGCCCCTGGCAACAACTCATCTCCTTAGTCTTCTTAGTTTTGCCTTTTCCAGAGTGTCATGTATTTGAAATCATATGTAGCCATTTTGGATGGACTTTTTTTTTACTTAATAATATGCATTTAAGGTTCTCCCATGCCTTTTCATGGCTTGATAGCTTATTTACTTACTTAATTGTTTTTTTGAGATGGTGTCTTACTCTGTCGCCCAGGCTGGAGTGCAGTGGCAGGATCTTGGCTCACTGCAAACTCCGCCTCCCGGTTCAAGCAATTTTCCTGCCTCAGCCTCCCAAATAGCTGGGATTACAGGTGCCTGCTACCATGCCCAGCTAATTTTTTTGTATTTTTAGTAGAGATGGGGTTTCACTGTGTTGACCAGGCTGGTTTCGAACTCCTGACTTCAAGTGATCCACCCACCTTGGCCTCCCAAAGTGCTAGGATTACAGGCATGAGCCGCTGCACCCGGCCGCTTTTTTATTTTTAGTGCTGAATAATATTCAATTGTCTGGATCTACCACAGTTTATTTATCCATTTACCTACCAAATGACATCTTGGTTGCTTCTAAGCTTTGGCAGTTATGAATAAAGCTGCTATAAACATCTATGTGCAGGTTTTTGTGTGGACATAAGTTTTCAACTCATTTGGGTAAATACCAAGAAATGCTATTGCTGAATCATATGATAAGAGTATATTTAGTTTTTAAAGAAACTGCCAAGCTGTCTTCCAAAGTGGCTGTACCATTTGCATTCACCCCAGCAATGAATGAGAACTTCTTTTATTAATGCTGTCATATTATAAATTATATGCATAACTACAAGTGCAAGAAATCCTGGCTGTCTTTTTTATTATAACTCAGAAGAGAGAATTTAAACTTTCAAATGAAAATGCCAGCTCCAAACTGCTGATGGTCCCATCAGCTGAGGGATCTTGCTCAGCAATTTGGGGATGGCATTTTCACATTAAGCAGTCACTCCTCATGTCCTCCTGCTTCCAGCCCCTGGCAGCCACTGATCTGCTTTGGATTTATCTGGCAGCCACTGTCCCTTTGGATTTATCTATTCTGGGTATTTCGTATAAATGGAATCATACAAAATATGACCTTTTTTGTCTGGCTTAATTCACTTGCATAATGTTTTCAAGGTTCGTCTCTGTTGTAGAATGCATTAGAACTTCATTCCTTTTTGTGACTGAATAATATTTCATTGTATATATTCACCCGTTTGTTTACTGATTCATCAGTTGATGGACATTTGATTGTTTCCAACTTTTGGCTGTTAGGAGTAATGCTGCTAGGAACCTTCATGTACCAGTTTTTGTGTGGACATATGTTTTCATTTCTCTTGGATATGTACTTACAAAGAAACTGTTAGGCTCAGTGGTATAGGTATGTCCATTTCCTCTTCTGGACTTTGTTATCCCCCAATAATGAGTTGGCTATTCTGGGTCTTTTACCTCCTCATGTAAACAGTAGAATATGTTGGTTGATATCCACAAAATAGCTTGCTTAGATTTTGATTAGGATAGTCTTGACATAGAACAAATTGGGAAGAGGCTGGGAATGGTGGCTTATGCTTGTAATCCCAGCACTTTGGGAGGCCAAGGTGGGTGGATCACTTGAGGCCAGGAGTTCAGGACCAGCCTGGCCATGGTGAAACCCCATCTCTACTAAAAAAAATACAAAAATTAGCTGATTGTGGTGGCACATGCCTGTAATCCCAGCTGAGGCAGAATTGCTTGAACCTGCGAGGTGGAGGTTGCAGTGAGCCAATATCGCACCTCTGCACTCCAGCCTGGGCAACAGAGCAAGACTCTTTCTCAAAAAAAAAAAAAAAAAAAAAAGGAAAAAAAAAAAGAACAAGTTGGGAAAAGCTGACATCCGATGGAGTGGCAGTGACTACCTACCATGTTTTGTTGAAAATGATTCTGAGGCTTTGCCTAAATTTGATGTAAAAGCTATGATACCTGCTAGATTTTTGAAGTGACATACGCATTTATGTATCAGTCTTTTCCTAAGGTGGGATAGTTGAGGCCAAATTTGGCTTTACATCAGAATAATCTCTGGATATTTATAAACATATATATTTCTGGATCAAAATCCTGGAACTTTAAAAATAATTATAAACTTGTTAATAATTTTTATTTAGTAATATGTGATTACATTCAAAATGAAGTAAAAGAGGCTACCCTATATGTTACCATCTTTCCTGATTGTCAATTTTACTATATTTTTAAAGAAAACGACTATGTTTAACAGTTTGATGGTACTCTTCTGGACTTTTCTCTAGACACTTAGATATAAATATGTGTAAATGTAGACATATACGGTCCTTTTGAAGTAAATTATAAATGACAAAAGCATATTGTATAAATTTATGTATGTCATCTATTTTTAATATATTTTGGATATTAATCATTTTATTTTTTCTATATCTTGCACAAGTTTTCTTCAATGTGTTATTGATCTTTTCACTTGTGATATCCTGATTTTTGTACTAAGTTTATCAACACTTTCTTATGGCTTCTGCATTTTGTTTTCCGTATTAAGGCTTCCCTTGGTACAATGATTAAAACAAATAGTTTCCCATACTTTCTTAAAGTTATTTTACAACTTTAGACAACGTAGCCTTTCAGTCTTTCTAATAGTTTTGTAACTTTGTACATGAAGTCTTGTAATCCACACTGTGGTGCTAGATAGGAAACTATATTTGTATTTTTCCAAATGGATAAATACTGATATTACATCATTCCCCCATTCATTTGAAATGCCACATTTAGTAGATGTTAAACTATCACCACCCCCTTGCCCCCAAAGTACACAGGTAGGTCTCACTTAGAGACCTGTCATGAGACTGAGGATACACTGAAAGGGTTTAAATAAAGAGAGTTTAGCTATGGGACTATCTATAGAGATGTGGGCATCAATAATTAACGATGAAACGCACAGACTAGTAACAGTAGAAAGCCATATCACATGTGTTGAATTGATTGTTTGCAAAGATGACAATGGCCTTAACACTTCCTCCATCCCTGTGTGTGCTTCCATTTTGCAACATTTCTTTGTCATTCCTCCCATTGAGAGGTAGAATGTATTTCTTCACTCTCTGAATCTGGTTGGCCTCATTACTTGCTCTGGCCATTTGAATGTGGTAGAAATGAGTTGTGAGACTTCCAAGTCTATGCCTCAAGAGGCTTTGCAGCTTCCTCTCTGCTCTCTTGAAGCACTGTCTTGACTGCTACATGAAGAATCCTAGACTAGGACGATAAGAGGATGTGTGAAACAGAGATGACTCAACCTAGGCCGTTCAGTCAAAAGACATGAATGGGGTCGTCTTAGTCTCTCCAGGCCTAGGCGAGCTGCCAGATGACTGCAGCCACATGAGTAACATTATGAGTGTCAGTGCAGTGGGTACTGCAGGGTGTCCTGTGTCATAACACTGAAGCAGGGCAGTGCCATCTATATCTTGAACTTGCTGCAGATTCTTCTCTTGCGCTGGGTCCAAGTCAATTTTGACAGTTTTACCAGTCACCCGATGAATGATTCAGGCTCTCACACCCCAAAACAGTATGTATTATCTCTGAATTCAAAAACTCAAAACGGCCTGCCACTCGTTGTGACTCTTTTTTTTTGTGGTGGACTATGCAAGGTGTAGCCACTAGCATCTCACTTTGTACAGGATATCTCAGCATGCTGCAACCACTGGACCCCAAGAAACTTTGGGGTTGTAACTATCCCTTAACCTCCATAGGTTCTTCTACCACATTCTGGCATGCATGTATCTTACTGAAACATCTAGGGCACTTGCTACTTCTTGCTCACTAAATATATAAGCATGATGTCTTTCACATCATGCAACTTGACCAGCATGATGTTCTAATGGGAAATCAAAACGGTCAGTGTCCCTCTGAGCTACGACAGGACAGTTGACAGCTTGAAGGGAAGGTGGTGAAAATAGTATTATTGTTCTTGTCAGATGAAGGCATTTGTCACCATTGCTGATTGGAATTGAAAATAACATTTTCCAGGTCAATAACTGCATATTAGGTATTAGGAGACGTGTTGATTTTTTTCAACAAATCAACACATTGGAATCTATATTTTTTTCACTAATCAACTATAATTTCACATGAACTAACTAATGAGACTTTAATTTCAACGAGCTAGTTCATTTCACAAAATCTATAACTTCGTTCACCATTGATGGATCCAGGTCACAATTTATCCCTTGATCTATATAAGTCCCTATTCTGATCAATGGACCATGCTGGTATTTTGAGTCCTCAGGATTAGTGTCAGTTCAGAGTCAGTAAATAATACTCCCTGAAAGTCTGGCTATTTCCCCTCCCCTGGGCATAGTCATCATGGTAAAAGGACACAGGACACTATGGAGGAGTCTGCAGGGGAAGATTCGCAGCACATTCCTGTGGTTGCATGGCAAGGTCCTTCCTAAAGAGGACTCCCTCACTCCTTAATGAAAAGGCTGCAAGCCTCTGAACTGGGTCAGGTGTAGGAACCAGGGAAGAGGCTGTGAGTCCTCGTGGTGATTGCATCAGTTTCTGCGCACCACAAGCTAGAATTTTCTTGACTAGACTGCTCATCTAGTTCATTCCTAGGGACTCTGTGATCAGTTAGATACTACCAAGGATCTCTGTAGGTGAAAGCATTTTGTTTTTCACTCTGTCCTTGTGGCTTCTTCTGGTAATTGTGCTCACCTGTCTCTGAGAGTCAATTGTCTGCCACTTCAGAATTCCCTGATTCCCAGTCAAAGCAAGGAATCATGTTTAAAAATTTTTTTCATAAGTTTTATTTTATTTTTTCTTCCAACTTTAATTTTAGGTTTGGAGGTACATGTGCAGGTTTGTTACATGGGTAAATTGCGTGTCACTGGGGTTCTATGTACAAATGATTTCATTACTCAGGTAGTGAGCACAGTATCTGAGAAGTAGTTTTTCAGTCCTCTCCCTCCTCCCATCCTCCACCTTCAAGTAAGTTCTGGTTCTATTGTGCCCCTCTTTGCATCCATGTGTACTCAATGTTTAGCCTCCGCTCATAAGTGAGAATATGTGGTATTTGGTTTTCTGTTCCTGTGTTAATTTGTTTAGGATAGTGGCCTCCAGCTGCAACCATGTGGCTGCAAAGGACGTGATTTCATTTTTTTATGGCTGTATAGTATTCCATGGTGTATATACACAACATTTTCTTTATCCAGTCCACCACTGATGGATGTCTAGGTTGATTCCATGTCTTTGCTATTGTGAAAAGTGCTGCAATGAATATACGTGTGCATGTGTCTTCATGGTAGAATGATTTATATTCCCTTGGGTATATACTCAGTAATGGGACTTCTGGGTAAAATGGGAGTTCTCTTTTAGGTTCCTTGAGAAATCACACTGCTGGGTAAAATGGGAGTTCTCTTTTAGGTTCCTTGAGAAATCACACTGCTTTCCACAGTGGTTGAACTAACTTACATTCTCCCCAGCAGTGTATAAGCATTCTCTTTCCTCTGCAACCTTGCCAACACCTATTATTTTTTGACTTTTTAATAAGTCATTCTGATTGGTGTGACATGATATGTCACTGTTGTTTTGACTTTCATTTTTCTAATGATAAGTTTTTCATATGCTTCTTGGCCACATGTATGTTTTATTTTGAGAAGTGTCCATGTCATTGGCCCATTTTTTAATGGGTTTTTTTTTTTTTGCTTGTTGAATTGTTTAAGCTCCTTATTGAGTCCAGATATTAGACCTTTGTTGGCATAGTTTGTTGATATTTTCTGCATTCTGCAGGTTGCCTATTTACTTGGTTGGTAATTTCTTTTGCTGTGCAGAAGCTCTTTAGTTTAATGAAGTCCCACTTCTCAATTTTTGTTTTTGTTGAAATTGCTTTTGGAGTCTTCATCATGAAACCTTTGCCAAGACAAAGATGTCTAGAATGGCATGTCCTGGGTTTTCTTCTAAGGCATTTATAGTTTTAAGTTGTACATTTAGGTCTTTAATCCATCTTGCATTGGTTATTGAATATGGCAAAAGGTTCAGTTGCAGTCTTCTGCATATGAGTAGCCAGTTATCCCGGCACCATTTATTGGATAGAGAGTCCTTTCTCCATTGCTTGTTATTGTTAACTGTCAAAGATCAGATGGTTATAGGTGTGTGGCTTTATTTCTGAGTTTTCTAACCTGTTCCATTGGTCTATGTGTTTGTTTTTGTACCAGTACCATGCTGTTTTGGTTACTGTAGCCTTGTAGTATAGTTTGAAGACAGGTAGTGTGAGACCTCTTGCTTTCTTCTTTTTGCTTAGGATTGCTTTGGCTCTTTGGGCTCTTTTATGGTTCCATATGAATTTTAGAATAGTTTTTTCTAATTCTGTGAAAAACTGACATTGGTGGTTTGATAGAAGTAGCACTGAATCTGTAAATTGCTTTGAGCAGTATGGGCCTTTTAACAACGTTGATTCTTCCTATCCATGAGTATGGAATGTTTTTTCATTTGTTTATGTCATCTCTGATTTCTTTGAGCAGTGTTTTGTAGTTCTCCTTGTAGAGATCTTTCACCTCCATGGTTAGCTGTATTCCTAGGTATTTTGTTCTTTTTGTGGCTATTCTGGATGGGATCCTGTTCTTATTTTGGCTCTTGGCTTGGCTGTTGCTGGTGTATAGAAATGCTAGTGATTTTTGTACATTGATTTTGTATCCTGAAACTTTACTGAAGTTGCTTATCAGATCTAGGAGCCTTTGGGCAGAAACTATAGGGTTTTCTAGGTGTAGAATCATATCGTCTGTGAAGAGAGAGAGTTTGACTTCCTCTCTTCCTATTCGGATGCCTTTTATTTCTTTCTCTTGCCTGATTGCTCTGGCTAGGACTTCTAGCGCTATGTTGAATGGGAGTGGTGAGAGTGGGCATCCTTGTCTTGTTCCAGTTCTTAGAGAAAAGGCTTTCAACTTTTCCCCATTCAGTATGATGTTAGTTGTGGCATTTAATGATTATGGTTACTTTTTTTTTTTGAGACAGAGTCTTTCTCTGTTGCCCAGGCTGTAGTGCAGTGGTGTGATCTTGGCTCACTGTAATCTCTGCCTCCTGGGTTCAAGCGATTCTCCTGCCTCAGCCTCCGGAGTAGCTGGGACTACATGCACATGCCACCATGCCCGGCCAATGTTTGTATTTTCAGTAGAGACGGGGTTTCACTATGTTGGCCAGGCTGATCTGGAACTCCTGACCTTGTGATCCACCTGCCTTGGCCTCCCAAAGTGCTGGGATTACAGGCATGAGCCACCATGCCCGGCCCTGTTAAGCAGATTTAAGGAAATCAGTATGCTTATGTGATCTTCCTCTTCTTCTGCTACAGTTCCTGAAGTTGTATATATTATGTTTATGTAACCAGAGCTTTTAACATTTGCATCTGTTATGTAACTGTGATTCCCACAGTTGTTTTAGCCTTTAGTCTATATTTAAGATTTTTTTTTCTCACTGTTAGGCATTTTACCACAACTCTGCTGATATTTTTATTGGGAGAAATGTCTCTGACTTTTGTGGTAGACACATGTGAACTTTTTTTTTTTGAGTTTTGCTTGTAAATATCTATCTTCTGACTTTATATTTAATGGCCTTTTTGCTGGGTATACATTTATAGGGTCTTCACTGTCTTTTCTTAAAGTTCTTTTTTAGACATTGTTCTTTAGTCTTTTAACATTAAATACTGTGGTAAAAATTCTCAAGCCAGCCTGCTTATCTCCCCTTATACATAACATGATTTTCTTTTTTTTTCTTTCTATCATATTTTCAAGGAATTCTTTATCTTGGAAACCCAACAATTTCAGTAGAATATGTTTTAGTTTAAAGTAATGATTAGTTATTCCTGAAATACAGTATACTTTCTAGTCTATTGTTTTGAATCTTTTATTTCAGGAAAAAGTTTTTGAAGTATGTCTTTGATTTTTTTGGTGTGTATTTTCTATTTTCTTCAGAACCACACATTTTGTGCGAGCTGCATACCTCTTCCCTTCTCCTTTTTTGTTCTTTCATAAGTATCTTGTCTGTTTTTCAAATTAAGTGTTTTCAAGCTTTTTATAGAAGTACACAGTGATGAGCCACCCATACCTGCACAAGTAAACTTTATGAAAGAAACTGAACAGATATTTAATCAAATTAAGGCAAGGTTACTAACTTTTTTTTTTTTTTATCTCTTCAGGTTTTCAAAATTCACTTCTACAGATCGTAATTCCAGAGAAAATCCAAACAAATACAAATGACAGTTCAGAAATAGAATATGTAAGAGATATTTTTTCACAATCTAAATGTTTATATGAAATTTCATATTTTTATTATATAGCTATGAAATATGTCAAGCCCATTTTAATATGAATATAATGTCTCTTGTATTTCTACTGATAGGAATTAAAAGCTTTGATGGTAAAAGCAAATAGGTAAATTAGAATGTTCTGTATTTTTTTAATGTTTGTCATTTTCTTATGGTAAATTATTTTTAAAAGTTTACATATAGAAGAGAATGTAGAATTAAGTGTTTTATCTGAGTGATATCTAGGACATCAGCACAAAGAGAATAATTTTCTCCAAAATGTCTAAGACAATTTCTTTTAACTAAAGCCTGTTTCTCAATCTCCACCCCTACACCTAGCAATTCTCAGACGAGAAGAAACATTTCATTCTACTATTTTTATTAGAAAGGGAAATACTTTATTTTGTTCATTGATTTATTTAGCAACTATTTCTCTAGACTTGCCATGTGCATACCTATATGCCAGGTGTCTTAGGAGATTTAAAAAAAAGAAATATAATTAAGCAAGCTTTGCTTATAAGTGACCAATCTTTTGGTAACATTCTATTTTTAGCAGTTTTGTTGAGGTGCAATTTACAACACCATAGAGTTCACCCATTTTAAGGGTACAACTCAACAATTATTACAGCAGTACATAAATAGAATTGTGCAAACATTACCACAGTCCAGTTGTAGAATGTTGCTATCAATCCTAAAAAGATCCCTTATGCACATTTGTAGTTCTTCTCCAGCCCTTGGCAACCGCTGATCTGTTGTCTATCTCTATGTATTTGCCTCTTTAGGGGCATTTTATATAAATGGCAGCATGCAATATGTAAGCTTTTGTATTAGACTTTTTTCACTTAGGATTATCCATTTTGTAGCATTTATCAGGTTATTAATTTTTATATCTTATATGTGGATATACCACATTTTGCTTATCCATTCTCATTCTCCAGTTGATGGACTTTGGATTGTTTTCTGATATTGAGTATTATGAATAATTCTTTTATGAACATTCATGTATGGACATATATTTTCCCTTGGGTAGATTCTTAGGAGTGAAATTGCTGGGCACATGATAAGTTTGTGTTTAACATTTTTAGAAACTGCTACACTGTTTTCCATAGTGACTGTACCAATTTACATGTCACATCAGCAATTTTTGAGTGTTCCAGTTTTTTCACATACTTGTGAACATTTGATGTTTTCTGTCTTTCAGATTAAAGCTATTGTAGTGGGAGTGTAGTGGTATGTAATTGTGGCTTCAATTTGCATTTCTTTAATGAATAATTATGCTGAGTATTTTTCATGAGCCTAATAGCCATTTATATGCCTTTTCTGTGGAATGTCTACTCAAATTATTCTCCTGTTTTAAAATTTAGTTGTTTATTTATTTTTGAGTTCTATGAATTCATTATATATTCTGGACACAACTTCTCTATTTGGAATTATTTTCTCCCAATTTCTGGCTTGCTTTTTCATTTTTCTCAGTGGTGTTTTCTCAAACACAAACATTTTCAATTTTGATGACATTCAGTTTATCAAATTTTCTTTTTATGGATCTTGTTTTTGGTTTTGTATCTAAGAACTCTGTTATGGACTGAACTGTGGCCCCTCAAAATTCATATGTTGAATCCCTAACCCCTAATGTGACTATATTTGGAGATAGGGCCTTATGGAGGTAATTAAGGTTACATGAGGTCAAGGGCCTTATGGAGGTAATTAAGGTTATATGCTGTCACAAGGGTAGGGCTTTAATTAATCTAATAGGACTGATGTACTTATAAGAAGAGGAAATATACTAGGGGTTCATGCATACAAACTGAAGGTCATGAAAGGATACAACAAGAAGGCAGCTGTCTGCAAGCCAAGAGGAGAGGCCTCACCAGAAATCAGCCCTGTTGGCACCTTGATCTTGGACTTCCAGCCTCCAGAACTGTGAGAAAATACATTTTTGTTGGTTAAGCCACCTTGTCTGTGGCATTTTGTTTGGGTAGCTTGAGCAGAGTAATCCGATTTTGGTATTGTGAAGTGGGGTGCTGCTGTAACAAATACCTAAAAATGTTGAAGTGGATTTGGAACTGAGTGAAGGGTAGAGGCTAGAAGACTGGTGAAGTACATGCTAAGAAGAAGCCTAGATTGCCTTGAAGGGACTGTTGGTAGAAATATGGATGCTAAAGGTAATTCTAATGAAGGATCAGAAAGAAAAGACTTATAGAGAAAGCTTTTATCGTCTTAGGGAATATACATATCATTATGAACAGAATAGAACTGGTAGAAATATGAACATTAAAGGTGTTCCTGGGCCGGGCACGGTGGCTCACACCTGTAATCCTAGCACTTTGGGAGGCTGACGTGGGCAGATTACCTGAGGTCAGGAGTTCAAGACCAACCTGGGTAACATGGTGAAACCCTGTCTCTACTAAAAATACAAAAATTAGCTGGACGTGGTGGCAGGCACCTGTAGTCCCAGCTACTCGGGAGACTGAGGCAGGAGAATTGCTTGAACCCAGGAGGCAGAGGTTGCAGTGAGCCGAGATTGGGCCACTGCACATTAGCCTGGGTGACAGAGCAAGACTCCGTCTCAAAAAAAAAAAAAAAAAAAGTGTTTCTAGTGAGGTCACAGATAGAAATGAGAAATGTTATTGGAGACTGGAGGAAAGGAGATCCTTGTTAAAAAGTGGCAAAGAACTTGGCTGAATTGTGTTCTAGTCTTTTGTAGAAGGTAGAAATTGTGGGGGAAAACCTTGGGTATTTAGCTGGGGAGATTTCTAAGCAAAATGCTGAAGATGTGGCTTGTTTTGTCATCACTGCTTATAGAAAATGCAAAATGCAAGAGAAGAGAGGTAAATGGAAGGAATTATTTAGCAAAAAGGAACAAGAACTTGAAGATTTGAGAAATTTTCAGCCTACTTTGTATTTTTTAAAATGAGAAATGATGTTTTAGAAAGAACACCAAAGGTGTAGCTGGACAATCAGACAATAAAAAGATTCCTCATGATTTAATCCGCCATGTCAAGTGAAGCCAGGATCAGAGACGGGATTACATCAGCAGAAACACTGCCAGCTGGAACTAAAGGGAACAGAGAAAATTGGATAGAATGAAGGAAGGCTGTTTAACTTCTGGGATTCTACAGGATAGGACGATAGAGTTGTCTGGCTTCAAACATGCATCATTCTTCACAAACACCGCATGTTCTCACTCATAAGTAGGAGTCGAGCAATGAGAACACATGGACACAGGGAGGGGAACATCACACACTGGGGCCAGTCGGGGGGTGGAGGGCTAGGGGAGGGAGAGCATTAGGAGAAATATCTAATGTAGATGACGGGTTGATGGGTGCAGCAAACCACCATGGCACGTGCATACCTATGTAACAAACCTGCATGTTCTGCACATGTACTCCAGAACTTGAAGTATAATAAAAAAAGAAAAAGAGAAGAATGACCCTGAAAGCAATTCAGAGATCATCAGGGCTGCCACTCCTGCTACAGGCCCAGGAGGCAAGGCTGCATTCTCTTTGGTTTCAGAGAGTGGGGCCACCTCCTTGGTTTCAGTAGTCTAGGATGTCACTGTTTATTACCCCAGGAACAAGGCTGTCACCCAGAGCTGTGGGGGCAGAGCCGCTTTACAGAGCTGAGGGGATGGGGCCAGTCCCTAGGGCCATGGGAGAGTTGCTGTCCAAGTGGGCCCAGCAGGGTAGAGCATCCTGTCAAAGAAGAGTATTCTTGAACCTTAAGATCTAACGGAATTTGTCTTGCTAGGTTTTGGACTTTGTTGGGATTGTCACCCCTTTCTTTTTTTCTGGTTTCTCCTTGTTGGCATGGGAATAGCTATTCTATGCCTGTTCTACTATTGTATTTTGGAAGCACATAACTTGTCTGGTTTCACAGGTTCACAACTGGAGAGGAATTTTGCCTCAGGATGAGTCATAACTTGTATCTCAACCATACCTGATTTAAGTGACATTTAGATGAAATTTTGAACTTGGAATTGATGCTAGAATGAGTTAAGGCTTTGGGGCTTTTCCATGCAAGAAGGAAATGAATTTGGGGGGCGCACCATAGGGAAGAATGTTATGAATTGAATTGTGTCCCCCGCCAAATCCATATGTTGAAAACCAAACTCCCAGTATGGAGATAGGACCTTTAAGGAGATAGAGTTAAATGTGATCATAGAGGTGTGACCTTAATCTGATTGGACTGGTGTCCTTATAAGAAGAGGAAGAGATACAAGAGGTCCTTGTCTGTCTCCATGCATACACAGAAAAAAGGCCATGTGAGAACATAGTGAGAAAAGAGCTACCTACACGCCGTAAAGAGAGGCCTCACCAGAAACCAACCTGCTAGCATATTTATCTTGGATTTCTAACATCCAGAACTGTGAGAAAATAACATTTCTGTTTTTGTTTTTGTTTTGAGACAGAGTCTTCCTCTGTTGTCTAGGCTGGAGTGCAGTGGTGCTATCTTGGCTCACTGCAACCTCTGACTCCCAGGTTCAAGCAATTCTCATGCATCAGCCTCCCAAGTAGCTGGAATTACAGGCATGTGCCACCACGCTTGGCTATTTTTTGGTAGAGATGGGGTTTTGCCATGTTGGCCAGGCTAGTCTTGAACTCCTGACCTCAAGTGGTCTGCCTACCTTGGCCTCCCAAAGTGTTGGGATTACAGGCATGAGCCACCACACCTGGTCCTAAAATTTCTGTTGTTAATGTCACCATGCCTGTAATATTTTATTATGGCAGCCTAAGCAGACTAATGTAAGGTCTTTACCTAACCCAAGCTCACAAAGATTTTCTTCTGTGTTTTCTACTAGCTCATAGTCTATGAGCCAATTTGAGTAAACTTTTGTATATGGTGTGAGGTCAGGATATAAGTTCAGTTTTTTTTGCCTGTGGATCCAACTTTCCCAGCACTGTTTGTAGAAAAGACTATACTTTCCCCACTGAATTGTTTTGATACCTTTGTAGATCAAGTAAATAAAAATGTAAAGGTTTATTTCTGGACTTTCATGTCTTTGCCATTTATCTAGCTGGCTTTCTTTGCACCAAGATCTCATTGCTTTGATTATTGTGCATTTTAGGGCAAGATTTGGAATTGGGTAGTGTAAATCCTTCATTATTCATCTTTTCCAAAATTGCTTTGACTATTCTAAGTCCTTTTTATTTCCATATATATTTTTAGAACAACTAAAAATACCTCTATGATCACATTTAACTCTATCTCCTTAAAGGTCCTGTCTCCACACTGGGGGTTTGGTTTTCAACATATGGATTTGGTCGGGGGGCACAATTCAATCCATAACATTCTTCCTTGTGGTTCCCTCCAAATTCATTTCCCATATTGCATGCTCATTTTTACAAGAAAAACTGCTTGGATTTTGATAGAGATTACATTTAATATGTATCGATTAATTTGGGAGAATTGCTCTTTTTACAATATTGAGTGCTCTGATCTATGAACATGTATGATACTTTCATTTATTTAGAGCTTTAATTTCTGTCATTAAAGTTTGGTAATTTTCTTTCCTTTTTTTTTTTTTTTTGTTTGAGTTGGAGTCTCACTCTGTCTCCCAGGCTAGAGTGCAGTGGCGCGATCTTGGCTCACTGCAACCTCTGCCTCCTGCGTTCAAGTGATTCTCCTACCTCAGCCTCCCAGGTAGCTGGGATTACAGGCACACGCCATGACACCCAGCTAATTTTTGTATTTTTAGTAGAGACGGGGTTTCGCCATGTTGGCCAGGCTGGTCTTGATGTCCTGACCTCAGGTGATCCACCTCCGTCAGCCTCTCAAAGTGCTGGGATTACAGGCATGAGCCACTGTGCCTGGCCTTCTTTTTTTTTTTTTCTTTAACATTTATTTTAAGTTCAGGGGTGCATGTACAGGTTGTGCAGGTTTGTTATATAGGTAAATGTGTGCCATGGTGGGTTGCTGCACATATCATCCCATCACCTAGGTATAAGCTCAGCATCCGTTAGCTATACTTCCTAATGCTCTCCCTCCCCCAGCTCTCTGACAGGGCCCATTGTGTGTTTTTCCCCACTATGCGTCCATATGTTCTCATCATTCAGCTCCCACTTATAAGTGAGAATGGGCAGTGTTTGGTTTTCTGTTCCTGCATTAGTTTGCTGAGGATAATGGATTCCAACTCTATCCATGTCTCTGCAAAGGACATGATCTTGTTCCTTTTTATGACTGCATAGTATTCCATGGTATAGATTTACCACATTTTCTTTTTCTTTTTTTTTTTTTTTATTTTTGAGACGGAGTCTTGCTCTGTCGACCAGGCTGGAGTGCAGTGATGTGATCTCTGCTCACTGCAAGCTCCACCTCCCGGGTTCATGCCATTCTCCTGCCTCAGCCTCCCGAGTAGCTGGGACTACAGGCACCTGCCATCATGCCCAGCTAATTTTTGTATTTTTAGTAAAGACGGGGTTTCACCGTGTTAGCCAGGATGGTCTTGATCTCCTGACCTTGTGATCCACCGCCTTGGCCTCCCAAAGTGCTGAGATTACAGGCATAAGCCACCGCGCCCAGCCAATATACTACATTTTCTTTATCCAGTCTATTGTTGATGGGCATTTGGGTTGCTTCCATGTCTTTGCTATTGTGAATACTGCTGCAATAAACATACATGTGTATGTATCTTTACAATGGAATAGTTTATATTCCTTTGGTTATATACCCAGTAAAGGGATTGCTAGGTCAAATGGTATTTCTGCCTCTAGGTCTTTGAGGAATTGCCACACTGTCTTCCACAATGGTTGAACTAATTTACATTCCCCCCAACAGTGTAAAAGTGTTCTTTTTTCTCTGCAACATTGCCAGTATCTGTTGTTTTATGACTTTTTAATAATCACCATTCTAACTAGTGTAAGATAGTATCTGATTGTGGTTTTGATTTGCGTATCTCAAATGAGCAATGATGTTGAGTTTTTTTCATATGTTTGTTGGCCACATGTATGTCTTCTTTTTGCAAGAGTCTGTTCACATCCTTCGCCCAATTTTTAATGGAGTTTTTTGTTTTTTTCTTATAAATTTGCTTACGTTCCTTGTAAACTCTGGATATTTGTTGTTTGTCAGATCTTAAGATCTAACGGAATTTGTCTTGCTAGGTTTTGGACTTTGTTGGGATTGTCACTCCTTTCTTTTTTTCTGGTTTCTCCTTGTTGGCATGGGAATAGCTATTCTATGCCTGTCCTACTATTGTGTTTTGGAAGCACGTAACTTGTCTGGTTTCACAGGTTCACAACTGGAGAGGAATTTTGCCTCAGGATGAATCATAACTTGAATCTCAACCGTACCTGATTTAAGTGATATTTAGATGGAATTTCGAACTTGGAATTGATGCTAGAATGAGTTCTTCATCCTAGGGGTACTCGATTCTTCATCTGGTAATTTTTAGTGTACAGTGAGTAGATTGCAAAAATTTCTCCCATTCTGTAGGTTGTCTGTTCACTCTGATCATACTTTCTTTTGCCCCACAGAAGCTTTTTAGTTTAATTAGATCCCATTTGTTAATTTTTGTTGCAATTGCTTTTGGTGTTTTCATCATGAAATCTTTATCCATACCTTTGTCCTGAATTGCCTAGATTTTCTTACAGATTTTCTTACTTTGGGTTTTACATTTAAGTCTTTAATCCATCTTGAATTACTTTTTGTATAGGGTATAAGGAAGGAGTCCAGTTTAAATTTTTTGCATATGGTTTGCCAGTTCTCTTAGCACCACTTATTAAATAGGAAATCCTTTCCCCATTGCTTGTGTTTGTCAGGTTTGTCAGAGATCAGATGGTTGTAGGCATGCGGTCTTATTTCTGAGTTCTCTATTCTGTTCCGTTGGTCAATGTGTCTGTTCTTGTACCAGTAACATGCTGTTTTGGTTACTGTAGCCTTGTAGTAGTTTGAGGTCATGTAGCATGATGCCTTCAGCTTCGTTCTTCTTGCTCGAGTTCGGGTCTTGGCTATTTGGGCTCTTTGGGCTCTTTTTTGGTTCCATATGAATCTTAAAATAGTTTTTCTAATTCTATGAAGAATGTCAATGGTAGTGTAATGGAAATAACATGGAATCTATAAATTATTTTTGGTAGGCCATAAATTACCATTTTCATGATATTGATTCTTCCTATCCATGAGCATGGAATGTTTTTCCAGTTGTTTGTGTCCTCTCTGATTTCTTTGAGGAGTGGTTTGTAGTTCTCCTTGAAGAGGTCCTTCACTTCCCTCGTTAGCTGCATTCCTAGGTATTTTATTCTTTCTGTAGCAGTTGTGAATGGGAGTTAATTGATGACTTGGTTCTCTGCTTGCCTATTGTTGGTGTATAGGAATGCTAGTGATTTTTGCACATTGATTTTGTATCCTGATACTTTGCTGAAGTTGCTTATTAGCCTAAGAAGCTTTTGGGCTGAGAGGATGGGGTTTTCTAGATATAGGATCATGTCATCTTAAGGACAGTTTGACTTCCTTTCTTCCTATTTGAACATCCTTTATTTGTTTCTCTTGCCTGATTGCCCTGGCTGGAACTTCCAGTACTGTATTGAATAGGAGTGAGACAGTGCATCCTTGTCTTGTGTCAGTTTGCAAGGGAAAAGCTTCCAGCTTTTGCCCATTTAGTATGATACTGACTGTGGGTTTGTCATATATGGCTCTTATTATTTTGAGGTATGTTCTTTCAATACCTAGTTTACTGAGGGTTTTTAACATGAAGCAATATTGAATTTTATCAAAGGCCTTTTCTGCATCTATTGAGATAATCATGTGGTTTTTGTCTTTAGTTCTGTGTATGTGATGAATCACACTTGTTGATTTGCATATGTTGAACCAACCTTGCATCCTGGGGATGAAGCCTACTTGATCATGGTGGATAAGCTTTTGGATATGCAGGTGGATTCAGTTTGCCAGTATTTTATTCAGGATTTTTGCACTGATTTTCATCAGGGATATTGGCCTGAAGTTTTCTTTTTTTGTTGTATCTCTGTCAGGTTTTGGTATCAGGATGATACTGGCCTCATAAAATGAGTTAGGGAGGAGTCCCTTTCTTTTCAACTGTATAGATAGTTTCAGTAGAAATGGTACCAGCTTTTCTTTGTCTTCTTTTTACCTCTGGTAGAATTCAGCTTTGATTCCATCTGGTCCTGGGATTTTCTTCGTTGGTAGGCTATTTATTTCTGCCTCACTTTCAGAACTTGTTATTGGTCTATTCAGGGATTTAGTTTCTTCCTGGTTCAGTCTTGGGAGGGTGTATGTGGCCAGGAGTTTTTCCATTTCTTCTAGATTTTCTAGTTTATGTGCATAGAGGTGTTTATAGTATTCTCTGATGATTGTTTGTATTTCTGTGGGGTCAATGGTGATATCCCCTGTATCATGTCTGATTGTGTTTGAATCTTCTCTCTTTTTCTTCTTTATTAGTCAAGCTAGTAGTCTATCTATATTATTATTTTTTTCCCCAAAAACCAGCTCCTGGATTTATTGATTTTTTGAAGGATTTTTCATATCTCTATCTCCTTCAGTTCTGCCCTGATTTTGGTTATTTCTTGTCTTCTTCTAGCTTTGGGGTTTGTTTGCTCTTAGTTCTCTAGTTCTTTTTGTTGTGATGTTAGGTTGTTAACTTGAGATCTTTCTAGCTTTTTGATGTGGGCATTTAGTGCTATAAATCTCCCTCTTAAAATTGTTTTAGCTGCATTCCAGAGATTCTGGTATGCTGTCTCTTTTTTCTCATTAGTTTCAAATAACTTCTTGATTTCTGCTTTGATTTGATTATTTTCACAACAGTTATTCAGGAACAGGTTGTTCAATGTCCATGTACTTGTGTGGTTTTGACTGAATTTCTTATTCTTGAGATTTCTGTAGATATCTATCAGGTCTGCTTGATCCAGAGCTGAGTTCAGGTCCCATATATCTTTGTTAATTTTCTGTTTCGATGATCTGTCTAATATTGACAGTGTGCTGTTAAAGTCTCCCACTGTTATTTTGTGGGAGTCTAAGGCTCTTTGTAGGTCTCTAAGATCTTGCTTTATTAATCTGGTTGTGCCTGTATTGGGTGCATATATGTTTAGGATAATTAGCTCTTCTTGTTGAATTGAACCCTTTAGCATTATGTAATGCCCTTCTTTGTCATTTTTTATCTTTGTTGGTTTATAGTCTGTTTTGTCAGAAACTAGGTTTGTAACCTCTGCTCTTTTCTGTTTTCTATTTGCTTGGTAAATTTTCCTCCATCCCTTCATTTTGAGCCTATGTGTCTTTGCACTTGAGATAGTCTCTTAAAGACAGCATACTGATGGGTCTTGGCTCTTTATCCAGCTTGCCAGTCTGTGTCTTTTAATTGGGACATTTAGCCCATTAACATTTAATGTTAGTATTGTTATGTGTGAATTTGATCCTGTCATCATGATGCTAGCTGGTTATTTTACAGACTTGTTTATGCAGTTGCTTCATAGTGTCACTGGTCTGTGTACTTCAGTGTTTTTGTAGTGGCTGGTAACAGGTTTTTGTTTCCATATTTAGTGCTTCCTTCAGGCATTATTCCAAGATAGGCCTGGTGGTGATGATTTCCCTCAGCATTTGCTTGTCTGGAAAGAATCGTATTTCTCCTTCAGTTATGCAGCTTAGTTTGGCCTGATATGAAATTCTATGTTGGAAATTCTTTTCTATAAGAATGTTGAATATTGGCCTCCAATATCCCTTGACTGGGAATGCTCAGTTCTTCATTCTGGGGATACTTGGTTCTTCATCTGGTAATTTTTAATGCACAGGAGGACCTTCACTTGTTTTGGTAAATTTATCATCAAGTATTTTATTATTTTTCATGCTATTGTGAACTGAAATGCTCCTTTAATTTGATTTTTCAGATTGTTTCTAGTATATGGAAATACACATACACATTGATTTTTGTTTATTAATCATGTGTCTTGCCACCTTACCTAATTTGTTCATTGGTTCTCGTTTTTTTTTGTCTTTTTTTTTTTTTTGTGGATTCTTTGGGAGTTTCTACAAACAGGATCATGCCACTGCAAATACAGCATTATCCTGTTTTATGCCTTATTTTCCTTTTCTTTCTAGATGTCTTTAGTTTGTTGAATGGAAATGGTAAGAGGGGGCATTTCTGCTTTGTTTCTATCTTGGGAGAAAGTACTCAGTCTTTTAACACTGAATTTCTTGTTAACTAGTGAGGTTTTTGTAAAGGCCTTTATCATGTTCAGGAGGTTCCCTTCTATTCCAAATTTGTCAAATTTTATTGTAAACGTTTATTGGGGTTTTTCAAATGCTTTTTCTACATTTATTGTAATGATCATGTGTTTTTCTTCCTTTAGTTTATTGATGTGGTGTACCATATGAATTAATTTTTGGATGTTAAACCATTCTTGCATTTCTGTGATAAATGGTGTATAATTCTTTTTATATGTCACTGGAATTTGTCTGCTAATATTTCAAGAGGGCTATTGGTCTATAGTTTGTTTTTTGTAATGTCTAGATTTAATTGTTGTATAATTGTATAACCACCATAATTCTGACCTCATAGACTATATTTAGAAATGTTTCTTCTCTATATTTTGAAAGAATTGTGAAGGATTAATATTATTTCCTTAAACATTTGATAGCATTCATCATTGAATTCATCTGCACCTTGGCCTTTCTTTTTGGGAAGATTTATAATTATGAGTGTAATCTTTGTTATAGGTCTATTTGGATTTTATTCAGTTTTGGTAACTTGTTTCTTTTTAGAAATTTATTAATTTTATCTAAGTTATCCAATATGTTGGCATAAAATTGTACATCACATTTCCTTTTTTTTTTTTTTTTCAAGACAATGTCTCACTCTGTCACCCAGGTTGGAGTGCAGTGGCACAGTCTTGGCTCACTGCAACCTCAGCCTCCCAGGTTCAAGTGATTCTCCTGCCTCATCCTCCCAAGTAACTGGGATTACAGGTGCCTGCTACCATGCTCACCTAATTTTTGTATTTTTAGTAGAGATGGGGTTTCACCATGTTGCCCCAGCTGGTCTTGAACTCCTGACGTCAAGTGATCTGCCTGCCTACATTTTCTTATAATACTTTAAATTTCTAAGGGACAGTAGAGAAGTACCTTTTTATTTCTTATTTTGGTAATTTCTTATTTTTCTTCGTCAGTCTAGTTAAAGGTTTGTCCATTTTGTTGATCTTTTCAAAGAATAATCTTGTTTCATTGATTTTCTTTGTTTTTTTGTTTTCATTTCATTTATTTATGGTTTAATTTTTTTTGTTATTTCTGCTTGCTTTTGGTTAGTTTGTTATCATTGTTTAAATGTCTTAAGATGGAAATTTAAGTTACTGATTTGATACCTTCCTCTTCTCTTCTTTTCTTTTCTTTCTACATAGGTACCTAAAGCCACACATTTCTCTACAAGCATTGCTTTAGCTGGATTCCATAAATTATGCTATGGTGTGTTTTTGTTTTCATTCAGTTAAAATATTTTCTAGTTGTCTTTGCAATTTTTTTGATTCATGGGTTATTTAGAAGTGTGTTTTTAAATTTTCAAATTTTTGAGGATTTCCTAGGTTTTGTCTCTTGTTGATTCTAATTTAATTCAATTGAAGCAAAAAATGTACTTTTGTGACTTCAGTTTTATTTTCTGAGACTTTTTGTGGCCTAGAATATGGTCAATCATGAAGAATATTAATTATGCACTTGAAAAGAATATGAATTCTGCAGTTGTTGGGTTAGTAGTCAGTTAGCTTGTGTTGGCTAATAGTTTCATTTATCATGCCTATAATCCCGGCATTTTGGGAGACTGAGGCAGGAGGATGTCTTTTTTTTTTTTTTTTTTGAGACAGAGTCTTGCTCTGTTGCCCAGGCTGGAGTGCAGTGGCGTGATCTCGGCTCACTGCAAGCTCCACCTCCCGGGTTCACACCATTCTCCTGCCTCAGCCTCCCAAGTAGCTGGGACTACAGGCGCCCGCCACCACGCCCAGCTAATTTTTTGTATTTTTAGTAGAGAGGGGATTTCACCGTGTTAGCCAGGATGGTCTCGATCTCCTGACCTCGTGATCTGCCCGCCTCGGCCTCCTAAAGTGCTGGGATTACAGGCGTGAGCCACCGTGCCTGGCCAGGAGGATCTCTTGAGGCCAGGAGTTTGAGACCAGCCTGGGCAACATAGTGAGATCTCATCTCTCCAAAAAATAAAACATAAAAAAATAGCCAGCCATGGTGGCACATGCCTGTAGTCTCAGCTACCTGGGAGGCTGAGGTGGGAGTATCACTTGAGTCCAGAAGGTAGAGCCTGCAGTGAGCTGAGATTGTGCCACAGCACTCCAGTCTGGGTGACAGAATGAGACTGTCAGTAGTTTCATTCAAAGATTTTTTTGTGCTTGTTGATTTTTTGTCTAGTTGTTCTCTCCATTATTGTGAGTGGAGTACTTAAGTTTCCAAATAGGATTATTGAATTGTCTATTTCTCCTTTCAGTTCTGTCAGTTGTTCTTTCATGTATTTTGAGGCTTGGTATTTAATGTGTGTGCACTTACAATTTTTATGTCTTTGGGATGCAGTGATGATTTTACTGTTGTGAAACGTCCTTCTTTCTTTCTGATAATATTTCTTGTCTTTAAGCCTATATTGTCTGATATTAGTATAACTTCTCTTTATGGTTACTATTTACAATATATATATTTCCATTATTTTATTTTCAACCTATTTGTGTATTGAATCTAAGGTGTTTCCCTTGTAGACATCATGTAATTGGAGGGTTTTTGTTTTTTATTTTTTGAGATGGAGTTTCGCTCTTGTCGCTCAGGCTGGAGTGTAGTGGCACGATCTCGGCTCACCTCAATCTCCGTCTCCCGGGTTCAAACGATTTTCCTGCCTCAGCATCCTGAGTAGTTGGGATTACAGGCATGCACCACCACGCCTGGCTAATTTTGTATTTTTAGTAGAGACAGGGTTTCTGCATGTTGGTCAGGCTGATCTCGAACTCCCGACCTCAGGTGATCCGCCCACCTTGGCCTCCCAAAGTGCTGGGATTACAGGCATGCGCCACTGCGCCTGGCCCAATCGGAGGTTATTTTTGAGATAGATAGATTGTACCAATCTATTTCTGCTTTTTGGTTTGGATTTCTAGATCATTTGCATCAAATATAGGTATTTATATGGTTGAATTTATACTCAATATTTTGCTATTTTTACTACTTATTTTCTTTGTGGTGATCCAGGTATTATAATATATCTTAACTATCATGATTTACTTTAGATTAATACTTATTTCTGGTAAAATATAGCAACTTTGCTCCAATATAATGGAATTCTTTCTTCTCTGTACTGTTCTTGTCACATTATTACATCCATATTTTTTAAACCCAACTATATATCATCATAATTATTGCTTTTTCACAATGCTATATCTTTTAAAGACATTGAAAAGAGAAATTAGAAAAACTATTAAAGTCTTTTTATGTTAACTCACACATTTACCATTTCTGCTTTTTGAGTTACCATCTGGTGTTATTTCCTATTAGCCTAAATAAATTTCTTCAGTATTTCTTGTAAGACAGGACTTTATTTCACCATTTTAAAAGCAGATTTTGCTGGATATAAAATTGTTAGTTGACAGATTTTTTTTTTTCTTTCAGCACTTTTTATGTCTTCACTGCCTTCTGGCCTACATTATTTCAAATGAACAATCTGCCACTAATTGTATTAATGCAGCTTCCTTGTATGTGATGAGTTTTTTTCTTGATATTTTCAAGATTTTCTCCTTATGTTTGACTTTCAACATATTAAATATGATGTATCTTGGTGTGTATCTTCTTGTATTTTTTTCTTCTTGAGGTTGGCTGGAATTTTAGATGTGTAGACTACTGTTTTCCTTCAAATTTTGAATGGTTTTGGCCATTATTTGTTCAAATACTTTTTTTCGGACCATGCTATTGTTGGGATGTTTGTTCTCCCAAACCTCATGTTGCAATTTGACCTCAGTGTTGGAAGTGGGGCCTCATGGGAGGTGTTTGGGTCATGATGTCCCTCATGAATGGCTTGGTGCCATCCTTATGGTAATTAGTGAATTCTTGATCTGTTAGTTGAGACCTGGCACCTCTCCCTCTCTCTTTCTTCCTCTCTCACCATGTGATCTGCTCCCCTTTACCTTCCACCATGGATGGAAGCTTCTTGAGACCCACATCAGAAGCAGATATTGTTGTCATGTGCAGAGATGTAATATCTATATGATTTCTTCAACTATAATCAACATCAGTGATGTCTGTGAGTTTCCCAGTGGATTAGGCTATGTTTGTGACTGGGGACTGTGGCGAGGCTTTACTGGGGATGGGGAAACCAGGCAAGCCAGTCTACAGTGGTGGCAGTGGCAGGTCAGGTGGATGGGGCCTTGGGCCCTGGGCAGTGTGTGACACCAGCAGTGGCAGTAGCAGTAGTGGGCCAGTCCTCAGGCTGTCTGGTGGTGCATGTGAACACCATTACGGGTGGCAGTAGGCTGGGTCAGCCAGTTCCCAGGCTCCTGGCTGGTGCATGTGGGTGGGCACTGGTCAGGGTTGTGGCAGACTAGGCGGGCCATTTTCCAGGCTCCTGGGAGGCATGCATGGGCACTGGTGCTGATAGCAGGTGGGGCTGGCCAGATATCAGATCCCCGGATAGTGCATGTAGGCACAGTGGTGTTGGGTAGCCTGAGCTTGCCCTCAGGCTCAAGGACTGCGTTTGGGTGGGCCGGTCCTCAGACTTACTGAAGGCCCATGCAACTGTGCTGTGTCCCTGCTGCTGGGAGCGCGTGAGGTTGCTGTCAGTGCTGGCAGCCCCAGGCAGGTAGCTCTCAGGTTCTGGGGAGTGCATGCTTCATCTCCCTTTGTCCAGGTGGCAGCCTTCCCAATGTGCTACATCGCCCCTTCTCTGGGGTGTAGGACATTGTGTGGGCTAGAGTGCTGGGGACCCAGCTGCCCCACTTGTTCCAGCTGGCGTTGCGCTGCTGCAGCCCTCTGGGTGGACATGGGGGGATGTCAGCAGGGCTCCAGGGCTGAGGAAATGGGGCTGTTGGGTCCCAGGTCAGGATGTAATCTGTTGGGGCTGGGCTTTCAACATGGTACTGTGCTGCCTCTGCTTGGGTATCGAAGGGTGAGTGGGACTCAGTGTGAATTCCCAGTCTGAAAGAATTCAGTCACCAGGAGTGCAGGTAGGCAGGGCCCGTGAAGGCTCAGGGGCTCTCCTGTGGCTTGTATTGCAGAGCATTCGTGGTGGGACCCTGGACTGTGGAAGATCTCTTGCTTGCTTCTTCCCTACAATGGGGACTTCCTCCTGGCTCTCAGCCAATCCTGGCCAGGCCAGCTGCTTATTTGCTTGTCTTTCCTTCTAGGCCTCAGAGGTTCCCTGTCACTTCCCTGCTGAATTCTAGTTCTCTCTCCTAGATTCTCTGTTTGACATGTGCTTATCTGCTCACTGTTTTGGTACCTCTTTGTTGAGGAGGCAAACACAAATTTACCATTATTGTTTAGTAAATTATCTCATGGCCTCCGATAATCAACTCCTCTACACTCTTTAAAGATCTACCTAAACTTCTGTATATAGTCTGCAAATAAAAGGTATTTCATGATAACTCCCATAGTGAAAGTACAGCTAAACAAAGTATTATCTGGGACACTAATAATAATTACTAAGTTTTGGGTTTGAGAAAAATATTCATCCAAGAACTGCTTGCACATCAAATCCACCTTAAAAAAAGATAAAGATGGGGCCTGGTGTGGTGGCTCAAGCCTGTAATCCTAGCACTTTGGGAGGCCGAGGTGGGCGAGTCACCTGAGGTTGGGAGTTCGAGACCAGCCTGACCAGCATGGAGGAACACCGTCTCTTCTAAAAATACAAGATTAGCCAGGCGTGGTGGCGCATGTCTGTAATTCCAGCTCCTCGGGAGGCTGAGGCAGGAGAATCACTTGAACCCGGGAGGCAGAAGTTGCGGTGAGCTGAGATGGCGCCACTGCACTCCAGCCTGAGCAACAAGAGCGAAACTCTGTCGCAAGAAAAAAACAAAAACAAAAAACGATAAAGATGCTCAAGCATCTGTGTTCAGTTATCACATTCAGATCAGGCTCACTAAGGAGCTAGTGTCACCAATGCAAATTTAAAAAGTAGGATGCCCTGCTGTTTCAGGGTTAGGGTTTTCTCTTTGGTCCTTCTGCCTTATATTTGCCATATGCCTGTTATGCTTCTTTTGTTTTCTCGATTTATGTCTGGTTTTTCTTTTTTAAAAATAAACTTCTGAAAATTTGGAATAATTTTAGATATACAGAAAAATTGCTAAAAGACTACAGAGTTCCCATATATACTGTTCACTCAGTTTCCTGTAATGTTAGCTCTTATATAGCCACATGAATACATTATATTTATTAAATACAAGAAATTAGTATTGATACATTACTAGTAAGGAAACTACTTTCTTTGGATTTCTGGATTTCAACTAGTTTGTCTTCTACTGTCCATTTTGTTCCGGGATCCAATCCAGAATACTACCCAGCATGCCCCCTCCCAGGCTCCTTTGCTCTGTTTCTCAGTCTTTCCTTGAATTTCATGACCTTGACAGTTCTGAGGAGGTCAGGTACTTTGTAGAACACCCCTCAATTTGGATTTGTCTGATATTTTCTCATGTTCAGTGAATTTTAGGGAAGATTAACATAGAGATGAGGTGCTCTCCTCATGACATCATATCATGGGGTACATGATATCAAGTTGAGTTATCACCAATAATGTTGACGATCTGGTTTCATTTCTGACCTGGAAACAAACTGCCTCATTCTTCTTTGATCTGTATGGTACCCTGGTTGCTTCTTATTTTCAGAGATCCTGGAATGCTTATCCTTTTTCTGTGTTTTGATATTTGTGTCCTTTTCATTTCTATATGTTTTAACTAATTTTTTCTCTGTTTCTCTACCTCTTGCTTTTCACGTGTTCCCTTTTGCTCTATAAAATCTCATCACTGAGGTTCACTGACCTACAGATATTCCAACCTATTGTCATCCATATTCTAACTTGAAAATAGTAGAGATAAAGTCAAAGACAATATTAAATTTTGTTCAATAATCTTCTGTTTAAAATATAGGGAACAGACAATACATCTTAGGAGGGTTTTTAAGAAAATGGTTAAATAATTTTTATGGTGGACAGAGTAAGCTTCACTGATGTAGAATATCCTCTTATCCCAATGATGCCACCTAAATAGGTATTTTAGTGTAGCACGTGACCTATTCATTCATAAGAGGTTACAGGTTAGTTACAGGTAGATTTTTAATCCTATGTAAATCCTTAGACTGGGTTTATTTGTGTGGAAATAGTAAAAACCATTATAAAATAAGTAAATATTAAATTTTTTGATGTGTTGTTGCACATTTTAAATCACATGTAGTCTGAGAAATGTAATGAAGATGTTTTAAGCATTGTTTGGACAGATTAATTGATATAAAACTGTTGTTTTGCTTCTTGTATTAAATTTGTCTTCACTCTCAGTTGTTTTGAATTCTCTAGGAACAAATATCCTATATTATTCCAATAGATGAGAAACTGTACACTGTGCACCTTAAACAAAGGTAAATTTTTATTCTTTAGTTTTGGATTTTATTTTATTTCTATGAAGCTGTTTACTTGCAATAGAAAATGGAGTATGAGAAAAATACATGGAATTATTAACTTTTTTAATTGTCTTAAGTGAAGAGATGCTGTCCTGTGACTTAATTAAATTTTGGTTTTAATGTCTCAAGTATTCTTTGGTAAATGGGAGTTAGGACAAAAAACAGGGACTTATCTCCTGAAGACTGATTTATGATATTAAGTTGGCAGGACCAGCAGGACCTATATCATCAGGGCAGATGTCACAAAAATAAGTAAATCTGTAGCTGGTTTATATCAGTTAGGGTTTTATCAGAGAAGTGGGATGACCATGAGTAATATGGGACAGGGATTTAATACAGACCTTATAGTGTTGCAGAGCTGGCGAATAGTTTATGGAAAATAGTCCTAGCTATATGCCACTCTTCAGAGAATTATTAAATAATTGAAATAATTTTCTATAGGGTTTAATTCTCTGATGCAAGCCCAGTTGGGAAAGGCTGGCTTGGAAGTAATTTGTGACATTCAAGAGGACAGCTTCAGCTAAACTAGTAAAACTAGACTACATGGCATTGGAGAGAGGTGGATTATGAGAAACTAGAGGTAGCAATTATAGACTTTTTCAAAAACATCCCTCAGAGAAAAAAGAGGCTTACATGAATATTTTTGAAGAAAGAGAAAACAAAGTATTTTGATTGATGGAAAATTTCTTAAGGAGAAGAAAAGAGAGATGAAAGATGTAAACAAGCTGGGCGCGGTGGCTTTCGTCTGTAATCCCAGCACTTAGGTATGCTGAGGCAGGTGGATCAAACTCCTGAGGTCAGGAGTTTGAGACCAGCCTGCCCAACATGGTGAAACCCTGTCTCTACTAAAAAATACAAAAATTAGCCAGGCATGGTGGCGTGCGCCTGTAATCCCAGCTACTCGGGAGGCTGAGGCAGGAGAATCGCTTGAACCTGGGAGGCAGAAGTTGCAGTGAGCCGAGATGGTGCCACTGCACGCCAGCCTGGGTGACAGAGTGAGACACTGTCTCAAAAAAAAAAAAAAAGGTGTAAACAAGTGGTTTATTGTGTGTAAGATACTAAATAATTTTCCCAAAGAAAAGGTTAACTTACTCTTTTAGGCAGAAGAGAAAAAGAATATGGTGGATGATAACGCAAAGATCTTTGTGAAGAGTATGAAGGAAAGTTAGAGAGCTCACATTGCATTTGAACATCTTACTAAGACTATAAGCAGTGTTGAGAAATTGAGAGACCAGAGCTTGGGAGAGGGATAGGGCATGTGTATATCGTTTTGAGAAATTAACTGCTTAATGATTATGATAGCCTAACGACCATTAGGAAGCTACTGCAAATAGTTTATATGAAAAATAATGAGAAGCAGAACTATGACTACATAGAGATAGGGAGTTTCCTTTTTTTGTGTGTATGTTTTTTTAGTTCTTTTTTTATTATACTTTAAGTTCTAGAGTACATGTGCACAGCGTGCAGGTTTGTTACATAGGTATACATGTGCCATGTTGGTTTGCTGCACCCATCAACTTGTCATTTACATTAGGTATTTCTCCTAAAGCTATCCCTCCCCCAGTCCCCCACCCCCCAACAGGCCCTGGTGTGTGACATCCCCTGCCCTGTGTCCATGTGTTCTCATTGTTCAACTCCGACCTATGAGTGTGAACATGCGGTGTTTGGTTTTCTGTCCTTGTGACAGTTTGCTTAGAATGATGGTTTCCAGCTTCATCCATGTCCCTGCAAAGGACATAAACTCATCCTTTTTTATGGCTGCATAGTATTCCATGGTGTATATATGCCATATTTTCTTTATCCATTCTAGCATTGATGGACTTTTGGGTTGGTTCCAAGTCTTTACTATTGTGAATAGTGCCACAATAAACATATGTGTGCATGTGTCTTTATAGTAGCATGATTTATAATCCTTTGGGTATATACCAAGTAATGGGATCGCTGGGTCAAATGGTATTTCTAGTTCTAGATCCTTGAGGAATCACCACACTGTCTTCCACAATGGTTGAACTAATTTACACACCCACCAACAGTGTAAAAGGGTTGCTATTTCTCCATATCCTCTCCAGCATCTGTTGTTTCCTGACCGCTTAAAGATTGCTGTTCTAAGTGGCGTGAGATGGTATCTCATTGTGGTTTTGATTTGCATTTCTCTGATGACCAGTGATGATGAGCATTTTTTCATATGTCTGTTGGCTGCATAAATGTCTTCTTTTGAGAATTGTCTGTTCATATCCTTTGGCCACTTTTTCATGGGGTTGTTTGCTTTTTTTCTTTTAAATTTGTTTAAGTTATTTGTAGATTCTGGATATTAGCCCTTTGTCAGATGGGTAGATTGCAAAGATTTTCTCCCATTCTGTAGGTTGCCTGTTCACTCTGATGATAGTTTCTTTTGGTGTGCAGAAGCTCTTTAGTTTAGTTAGATTCCATCTGTCTATTTTGGCTTTTGTTGCCATTGCTTTTGGTGTTGTAGTTGTGAAGTCTTTGCCTATGCCTATCTCCTGAATGGTATTGCCTAGGTTTTCTTCTAGGGTTTTTATGGTGTTAGGTCTTACATTTAAGTCTTTAATCCATCCTGAGTTAATTTTTTGTATGGTGTAAGGAAGGGATCGAGTTTCAACTTTCTATATATGGCTAGCCAGCTTTCCCAGCACCATTTATTAAATAGGGAATCCTTTCCCCATTTCTTGTTTTTGTCAGGTTTGTCAAAGATCAGATGGTTGTAGATGTGTGGTGTTATTTCTGAGGCCTCCGTTCTGTTCCATTGGTCTATATCTCTGTTTTGGTACCAGTACCATGCTATTTTGGTTACTGTAGCCTTGTAGTATAGTTTGAAGTCAGGTAGTATGATGCCTCCAGCTTTGTTCTTTTTGCTTAGGATTATCTTGGCAATGCGGGCTCTTTTTTGGTTCCATATGAACTTTAAAGTATTTTTTTCCAATTCTGTGAAGAAAGTCATTGTAGCTTGATGGGGATGGCATTGAATCTATAAATTACCTTGGGCAGTATGGCCATTTTCATGATATTGATTCTTCCTATCTATGAGCATGGAATGTTCTTCCATTTGTTTGTATCCTCTTTTATTTCATTGAGCAGTGATTTGTAGTTCTCCTTGAAGAGGTCCTTCACATCCCTTGTAAGTTGGATTCCTAGGTATTTTATTCTCTTCGTAGTAGTTGTGAATGGGAGTTCACTCATGATTTGGCTCTCTGTTTGTCTATCATTGGTATATAGGAATGCTTGTGATTTTTGCACATTGATTTTGTATCCTGAGACTTTGCTGAAGTTACTTATCAGCTTAAGGAGATTTTGGGCTGAGATGATGGGGTTTTCTAAATATATAATCACGTCATCTGCAAACAGGGACAATTTGACTTCCTCATTTCCTAATTGAATATCCTTTATTTCTTTCTCTTGCCTGATTTCCCTGGCCAGAACTTCCAACAGTATGTTGAATAGGAGTGGTGAGAGAGGGCATCCTTGTCTTGTGTGGGTTTTCAAAGGGAATGCTTCCCGTTTTGGCTGTGGGTTTGTCATAAATAGCTGTTATTATTTTGAGATACATTCCATCAATACCTGGTTTATTGAGAGTTTTTAGCATGAAGGGCTGTTGAATTTTGTCAAAGGCCTTTTCTGCATCTATTGAGATCATCGTGGTTTTTATCATTGGTTCTGTTTATGTGATGGATTACATTTATTGATTTGCATATGTCGAACCAGCCTTGCATCCCAGGGATGAAGCTGAGTTGATCGTGGTGAATAAGCTTTTTGATGTGCTGCTGGATTCAGTTTGCCAGTATTTTATTGAGGATTTTCGCATCGATGTTCATCAGGGATATTGGCCTAAAATTCTCTTTTTTGTGTGTGTCTCTACCAGGCTTTGGTATCAGGATGATGCTGGCCTCATAAAATGAGTCAGGGAGGATTCCCTCTTTTTCTATTGATTGAAATAATTTCAGAAGGAATGGTACCAGCTACTCTTTGTACCTCTGGTAGAATTTGGCTGTGAATCTGTCTGGTCCTGGACTTTTTTTGTGGGTAGGCTATTAATTATTGTCTCAATTTCAGAACCTGTTATTGGTCTATTCAGAGATTCAACTTCTTCCTGGTTTAGTCTTGGGCGGGTGCACGTGTCCAGGAATTTATCCATTTCTTCTAGATTTTCTAGTTTATTTGCATAGAATTTATCCATTTCTTCTAGATTTTCTAGTTTATTTGCATAGAGGTGTTTATAGTATTCTCTGATGTTTGTATTTCTGTGGGATTGGTGGTGATATCCCCTTTATCATTTTTTATTGCATCTATTTGATTCTTCTCTCTTTTCTTCTTTATTAGTCTTGCTAGTGGTCTATCAATTTTGTTGATCTTTTCAAAAAACCAGCTCCTGGATTCATTAATTTTTTGAAGGGATTTTGTGTCTCCATATCCATCAGTTCTGCTCTGATCTTAGTTATTTCTTGCCTTCTGCTAGCTTTTGAGTTTGTTTGTTCTTGCTTCTCTAGTTCTTTCAATTGTGATGTTAGGGTGTCAATTTTAGGTCTTTCCTGCTTTCTTTTGTGGGCATTTAGTGCTATAAATTTCCCTCTACACATTGCTTTAAATGTGTTCCAGAGATTCTGGTACATTGTGTCTTTGTTCTCATTGGTTTCAAAGAACATCTTTATTTCTCCCTTCATTTCATTATGAACCCAGTAGTCATTCAGGAGCAGATTGTTCAGTTTTCATGTAGTTGTGTGGTTTTGAGTGAGTTTCTTAATCCTGAGTTCTAATTTGATTGCACTGTGGTCTGAGAGACAGTTTGTTGTGATTTCTGTTCTTTTACATTTGCTGAGGAGTGTTTTACTACCAATGATGTGTTCAATTTTAGAATAAGTGTGATGTGGTGCTGAGAAGAATGTATATACTGTTGATTTGGGGTGGAGAGTTCTGTATATGTCTATTAGGTCCACTTGGTCCGGAGCTGAGTTCAAGTCCTGGATATCCTTGTTAACCTTCTGTCTTGTTGATCTGTCTAATATTGACAGTGGGGTGTTAAAGTCTCCCATTATTATTGTGTGGGAGTCTAAGTCTCTTTGTAGGTCTCTAAGGACTTGCTTTATGAATCTGGGTGCTCCTGTATTGGGTGCATATATATTTAGGATAGTTAGCTCTTCTTGTTGAATAGATCCCTTTACCATTATGTAGTGGCCTTCTTTGTCTCTTTTGATGTTTGTTGGTTTAAAGTCTGTTTTATCAGAGACTAGGATTGCAACCCCTTCTTTTTCTTTTTTTGTTTTCCATTTGCTTGGTAGATCTTCCTCCATCCCTTTATTTTGAGCCTATGTGCATTTTTAAGTGGCACGTGAGATGGATTTCCTGAATACAGCACACCGATGGGTCTTGACTCTTTAAATCCAATTTGCCAGTCTGTGTCTTTTAATTGGGGCATTTAGTCCATTTATATTTATGGTTAATATTGTTATGTGTGAATTTGATCCTGTCATTATGATGTTAGCTGGTTATTTTTCCCATTAATTGATGCAGTTTCTTCATGGCATTGATGGTGTTTACCATTTGGCATGTTTTTGCAGTGGTTGGTACCGGCTGTTCCTTTCCATGTTTAGTGCTTCCTTCAGGAGCTCTTTTAGGGCAGGCCTGTTGGTGACAAAATCTCTCAGCATTTGCTTGTCTGTAAAGTATTTTATTTCTCCTTCACTTATGAAGCTTAATTTGGCTGGATATGAGATTCTGGGTTGAAAATTCTTTTCTTTACGAATGTTGAATATTGGCCCCCACTCTCTTCTGGCTTGTAGGGTTTCTGCCGAGAGATCTGCTGTTAGTCTGATGGTCTTCCCTTTGTTGGTAAGCCAACCTTTCTCTCTGGCTGCCCTTAACATTTTTTCCTTCATTCCAACCTTGGTGAATCTGACAATTATGTGTCTTGGGGTTGCTCTTCCCGAGGAATATCTTTGTGGTGTTCTTTGTATTTTCTGAATTTGAATGTTGGCCTGCCTTGCTAGGTTAGGGAAGTTCTCCTGGATAATATCCTGAAGAGTGTATTCTATCTTGGTTCCATTCTCCCTGTCACTTTCCGGTACACCAATCAAACATATATTTGGTATTTTCACATAGTCCCTATATTTCTTGGAGGCTTTGTTAGTTTCTTTTCACTCTTTTTTTCTCTAATCTTGTCTTCTCACTTTATTTCATTAATTTGATCTTTAATCACTGATATTGTTTCTTCCACTTGATCGAATCGGCTATTGAAGCTTGTGCATGCATCATGAAGCTCTCGTGCCATGGTTTTCAGCTCCATCAGGTCATTTAAGTTCTTCTCTACACTGTTTATTCTAGTTAGCCATTTGTCTAACCTTTTTTCAAGGTTTTTGGCTTCCTTGTGATGGGTTACAACATGCTCCTTTAGCTTGGAGAAATTTGTTATTACCGACCTTCTGAAGCCTACTTCTGTCAACTCGTCAAACTCATTCTCCGTCCAATTTTGTTCCCTGGCTGGCGAGGAGCTGTTATTCTTTGGAGGAGAAGAGGCACTCTGTTTTTTTGGAATTTTCAGCTTTTCTGCTCTGGTTTCTCCCCATCTTTGTGGTTTTACCTACCTTTAGTCTTTGATGTTGGTGACCCACAGATGGGGTTTTGGTGTGGATGTCCTTTTTGTTTATGTTGATGCTATTCCTTTCTGTTTGTTAGTTCCTTTTAATAGTCAGACCCCTCAGCTGCAGGTCTGTTGGAGTTTGCTGTAGGTCCACTCTAGACCCTGTTTGCCTGGGTATCACCAGTGGAGGCTGCAGAACAGCCAATATTGATGCCTGATCCTTCCTCTGGAAACTTCATCCCAGAGGGGCACCTGCTTGTTTGAGGTGTCTGTCGACCCCTACTGGGAGGTGTTTCCCAGTCAGGCTACATGGGGGTCAGGGACCCACTTGAGGAGGCAGTCTGTCTATTCTTGGAGCTCAAATGCTGTGCTGAGAGAACTGCTGCTCTCTTCAGAGCTGTCAGACTGGATGTTTAAGTCTGCAGAAGCTGTCTGGTGCCTTTTGTTCTACTATGCCCTGCCCCCAGAGGTGGAATCTATAAAGGTAGTAGGCCTCGCTGAGCTGTGGTGGGGTCTGCCCAGTTCGTGCTTCCTGGCCACTTTGTTTACACTGTAGGCTATTCAAGCCTCAGTAATGGCAGATGACCCTTCCCCCAATTAAGCTGCAGTGTTGCAGGGCAATCTCAGACTGCTGCACTAGCAGTGAGAAAGGCTCCATGGGCATGGGACCTGCTGAGGCAGACACAGGAGGGTATCTCCTGGTCTGCTGATTGCTAAGACTGTGGGAAAAGTGCAGTATTTGGTCAGGAGTGTACTGTTTCTCCAGGTACAGTCTGTCACAGCTTCCCTTGGCTAGGAAAGGTAAATCCCCTGACCCCTTGAGCTTCCCGGGTGAGACAACACCCTGTCCTGGTTCAGCTTTCCCTCCGTGGGCTGTACCCACTGTTGATCCAGTCCCAGTGAGATGAACCAGGTACCTCAGTTGGAAATGCAGAAATCACTGCTCTTTTGTGTTGATCTTGCTAGGAGCTGCAGACCAGAGCTGTTCCTATTCAGCCATCTTGGAAGCAAGCCTCCCTTTTCCTGTTTTTGAGAAATGCTGATGTGGCAGAAAAAAGATGTAGTAACAGATTGACTATAGTGGTGGCAGGGATTTGGTAGGGTAGAGGGAGGATGAGAACAGACCTGAGTCAGGTATTATGGCTCCCTGTTGGAGATGCTGGGTATGAAGTGCTTGTGGGATATCCCACAGGGGGAAATATCCTGATGGCAGTTAATTTAGTTTAGAATGGGGGAGAGAAGTGTGAGTATCCACATTCTTTCATGATGTAAACTCTCTGCAAATTAGGCCTAGAAGAGATATACCTTAACACAAAAATGTCATATATGACAAAGCCATAGCTAACATCATACTCAGTGGTAAAAAGTTGAAAGTTTTTCATCTAATATCAGGAACAAGATTAGGATGCCTATTTTCCTTCACCTCTTCTATTCAACATAGTATTGGAAGTCCTAGCCACAGCAATTAGGCAAGAACAATGAATAAAAGGCATCCTAATGGGAAAGAGAAATGTTAAATTGTTCCTGTTGCAGGTGACATGATCTTATATGTAGATTACTTATAGAAGACCCTAAAGACTCCACCAAAATTTGTTAGAACCAATAGACAAGTTCAGTGAAGTTGTGGGATATAAAATCAACATACAAAAATCATAGCATTTCTATACATTAATAAGAAATTTTCCAAAAATGAAATCAAGAAAACAACCCCATGTACAATAGCTACAAAAAATAAAATACTTAGGAGTAAGTTAACCAAGGAGGTGAAAGATCTGTATACTGAGAGCTAGAAAACATGATGAAAGGAATTGAGGAAGACACAAATATATGGAAAGAACATGGATTGGAAGAGTTAATATTGTTAAAATGTCCATACTGTCCAAATTGATACACAAATTCAACGCAATCCCTACCAAAATTCCAATGACATTTTTCACAGAAATAGTAAATTCCTATGGAACCCCAAAAGGCCCTGAATAGCCAAGGCACTACTGAACAAAAAGAACAAAGCTGGAGGCATCACACTACCTGAATTCAAATATATTGCAAAGCTATAATACTAAAAGCAACCTTTTTATATAAGTAGTAAATTAAACCACAGAAATGAACAAGATAAATCTATACAGGTGGGGGTGAATGTTAAAAGTAAGAAAGAGAAACAGCCTAGAATTGAATGCCATGGAAACATTTAAGGGATGAAGGAAGGATCCAAATAAAGGGACTTAGAAACGTAGAAAGACAGGAGAACCAGGAGGAAGTGGTATCTATCATTATCACTGAAGAAGAGATGGTTTCAAGAAGGGGAATGTGGTCCACAGTATGAAGTACTTGAGAGTATTTTATTTATTTATTTTTTTGTTTAATGTATTTTAAAATTATTTTTATTATTTATTTATTTTTGAGACAGGGTCTCTCTCTGTCACCCAGGTTGGAAAGCAGTGGTGGCATCTCAGCTCACTGCAGCCTTGAACTCCTGGCTCAAGTGATCCTGTTGCCTCAGCCTCCCAAGTAGCTGGGACCACATGAGCAGACCACCACACCTGGCTAATTTTGGTATTTTTGGTAGAGATGAGGTTTCGCCTTGTTACCCAGGCTGGTCTCGAACTCCTGAGCCCAAAGCAATCCCTCCACCTCGGCCTCCCTAAGTTTTGGGATTACAGGAGTGAGCCACCCCGCCTGGCTGCTTCAGAGTATTTTTACTTGACATAATACTGTCTTTTGGATTGGACACTCAGGAGGTCATTAGTAATTTTTGTGAGATCAGTTTGAGTGGAGGCTTTCCAACAGAAGCTAGTGTGAGTGGCCTAATTAAGTGACGGTGGGTTGAAGAGTGAACATGAAGTGAGGAAGCATAACTAAAATAGCATCATGAGTACAGGGATTAATACCAAAGTTGAACTTAGACTGGACGTTTCAGTACATATGCTCAGATGAATATGACCTTTATGCAATACTCTTCCACTTCATTATCAAAGTAATATATGTGCATAGTAATAAAGCTTTAGAAAGAATGTAAGAACAGAAAACTCTTACAATCCAACATCCAGTTTATGTCTATTAAATTTTTTTTTTTTTTTTTGAGACGGAATCTTGCTCTGTCACCCAGGCTGGATTGCAGTGGTGTGATCTCAGCTCACTGCAACCTCTGCCTCTTGGGTTCAAGCAATTCTCCCACCTCAGCCTCCTGAGTAGCTAGGATTATAGGCACCTGCCACCACACCCGACTAATTTTTGTATTTTTAGTAGAGACGGGGTTTCACCATGTTGGCCAGGCTGGTCTCAAACTCCTGACCTCAGGTGATCTGCCCACCTTGGCCTCCCAAAGTGTTGGGATTACAGGTGTGAGCCACCACGTCCAGCCTCTTTTACATTTTAGAATGCTCTTCTTTTAGTCTCTTCTTTTTTTCTTAAAAGGAGTCCATTAAGGTAGGAAAACTATTTTGAGTAAACGTATATTGCTTTAAGTAAACATTAAATATATGTCAAAAGAAAATACTACCTTTATATCAGGTTGACAGACGTTTTCTCTAAAGATTCAGATAGTAAATGTTTTAGACTTTGAAGGCCATATGTTCTTTGTCAAAACTAGTTAATCTCTCATCTTACAGCATGAAAAGAGCCATGACAATATGTGGGTGAATGGGTATGGCTGTGTTTCAATAAACCTTTATTTACAAAACAGAGGGTGGGTCAGATTTTGGCTGAGAGTGTTAAGTTTACTATGTTTTTATATGTTTCAAAAAGAATAATTAAAAAAATTTCCTCTTTTTTTATATTCAGATATTTTTTAGCAGATAATTTTATGATCTATTTGTACAATCAAGGATCTATGAATACTTATTCTTCAGATATTCAGGTAAGATTTAAATTCTGTGTTTTATAGTTTTTTTTAAATTTTTTTACATTAAATAAATGCTTTATTATACAGAAGGCTCTCAAGATTCACAGGGGATATATTTAAGACATTTGTTGATTAATGATCAGGGTTTCCTGAAGTTTTGGTAAAGACAAATTAGATTGACTTAGCACCTTTCCCATTGCTGAGAACATAGTCACTATTTTTTAATTTAATTGATATTTTGTTAAATAAAATATTTATTATTTATATTTTGTTTGTAAGAATATAAATTAAATAACAAGAAAAGTGGACATGAATGTTATGAGACACAAATCACAGATCAAAAACTCTTTGTTTTTTTCTTAACTCTTCCTCATCTCATCCATTATTTATACATCCATAAATCCTACTGACCCTGCCCTTCAAACTAAGTGTCCAGCATCCACCTTCTTCCTCTGCCTTCACCCACTGAGACCACCCATTTCCAAGTAAACATCATCTCTAGTTTGGATCATTGCCATAACTTCCTGAATAATCTCCCTGCTTCCTCACCTGTCCATCCCTTCATTTTATTTATTTATCCCTTTATTTTATTCATTTATTTTTGTTTTTATTTATTTATTTTGCCCAGGCTAGAGTGCAATGGTGCGATCTTGGCTCACTGAAACCTCCACCTCCTGGGTTCAAGTGATTCTCCTGCCTCAGCCTCCCGAGTATTTGGGATTACAGGCATGCACCACCATGCCCAGCTAATTTTCTATCTAAACCCTATCAAGAGATAGGGTTTCACCATGTTGGCCAGGCTTGTCTCGAACCCCTGACCTCAGGTGATCCACCTGCCTTGGCCTCCCACAGTGCTAGGATTACAGGTGTGAGCCACCGCACCCAGCCTCAGTCAGTTCTCAACATGGTGACCATATTGATCCTGTTAAGACATAGTCAGATTACCCTGCTTCTCTGCTCAGAACCCTGCATGAATGGCTTCCCACCACTTACAGAGTGAAAGCCAGAGTCACCTGGTTCCCTTTTACCTCTCTGACCTCATTTCCTATTATTCTCTACCTCATTCACTTTGTTCCAGCATTGTTGTTCTTCAAATATAATAGCTATGTTCTCCTTTCAAAGACTTCATACTTTCTATTTCCTGGTATCCAAATGCTTGTTCTTTCCCAACAGACCCATATGTTTTTCATCCTCATTTCCTTCAGGTCTTTACTCAAAATCACCCTATTAGTCGTTGACTAACCCCTACTTTAAATTGGTCTCTTACTCTTAATACTCTATTTCCTTTACCTTTTTTTTTTTTGCCTTTTTCCCATGGCAGTTATCAATACATGATGTATCATATATATTCTATTTATTTACTTTATTTTCTGTCTCCCCAGTGCAATATAATCATCCCGAGGGCAGGGCTTTTGGTCTGTTTTATTTACTGATGTAACACCAGTGCCTAGAAAAGTGCCTAGCACATACTTGGAATATAATAAAAATTTGCTGAAATATTAAATTAGATATGTTGCTTCACTTACATTGGATGGGATCATCATTTTGCTTTATTGCTCCCTTTTCCTTCCCTTAGTTCCATCATAAAGCAGTGTGTTAATAAGAAATCTTAACCTTATTTATAATAAAATTTATAGCACCATTGAATATTGGAAATTATATAATTTTCACATCTGTGACAATGTTTGTGACTCTGTGTGTCTCTAGCTTGATTGTACTGTGCTCAGAGACCAACTCTATACAATTTAATTCCTTTGTAATCTATTGAGTCCTGCTTTATGGCCTGGAGTATGGTTTCTATTTTGTAGATGTTCCATGAGTGTTTAGAAAGCATATATTCTAAAGTTTTTAGGTATAGTATTTTGCATATGTTAACTAGGTCATACTAACCACGTTGTCCAAACCTTCTGTAGATTCTGAACACTTGATCTATCAGTCACTAAGAGAAATTAACTTTAAAAAACTTTTTTATAACTGTAGATTTTTTAATTTTTACTATTCTTTCAATTGTGACTTTATATATTTTGAAGCTGTGTTATTAAGTGAATGCCAATTTGGAATATTTATGTCTTCCTGGCAAATTGAAATGCTTATCATTACCAAATGTCCCTGTTTATCTCTAGTAATGTTTCTGGCCTTAAAGTCCACATTTCCTCTCTTAGTGCAAATTCAGCATCATCCTTTTGGTTTGTGTTGGCATCTAGCCCTTCAATCTTCCTGTGTCATTGCATTTTTATGACTCTTTTTTAGCATCATATTAATTGAGTTTTTAAAGAAATCCAGATTCATCATCTTTGTCTTTTAATTGAGGATCTAAATTTATGTACTGGAAGATATTTTTACCTAAAACATGAGACAACATTTTGGAAGCAGGGTGTAAAATAGTAATCTCAAGTCATAATCTATTATAAAGTGTAGTTAACATAGTGTAAGTGGCAATTATGGGGAGAATTTTTTTCTGAATTTCACCTTACTTGTACTGATATAAATCACGGAGCCTGTGAAAAATATTCAGAAGGTTCTATCAAGTATAGAAGTAGGAAATCACTAGAAAGTTTTGTTACTTCCTAAGTGACTACTTTACTTTTTTTCTTTCCTAGACTCAATGCTACTATCAAGGAAATATTGAAGGATATCCAGATTCCATGGTCACACTCAGCACGTGCTCTGGACTAAGGTTGTTTTCTGTTGTTGATTACAGAACACCTTAGTTATGATATTTGGCTGCAGTGAATTTGTTCTCTTTGTATTAAGTGTGGGGTTGAAGGAGCTTTCCTATGTGGAGATTATTTAATGATATCCCCCTCTGAACATGTTTCCAATTCTCTTATTTCTCCTCACTTTCCTCAGTGACCAGAGACATTTCTAACCTTTTCAAAGGTTTAGATTTCCTAGTCTCCTTGCTCTATGTCTTACGTTTCCTTAACCACAGAAAAGACAATTGAACATGTTTGACTACAAGTGTTTTAGGAGCTAAGTTTAGGACAGCTCAGTCACTGTCTTGGAAAACAGGGAAATTAATCACTGTAATGCTGTATACTTGCACACTTAGCAATTGATTAGGTAATTTCTGCTGCTTTTGTAACTATAAAAAAGTGAAATGGAGAGCTGGTTTTGTAGATTAGGGTAATCTTTTATCTTCTCAGAGTCATCTCTAAGACAGGTTTGAGTCAAAATACTGGACTGAAAATGTATTTATGT
This sequence comes from Homo sapiens, assembly GCF_000001405.40. Lineage (NCBI taxonomy): Eukaryota > Metazoa > Chordata > Mammalia > Primates > Hominidae > Homo > Homo sapiens. Next base: position 56,075 of record NT_187577.1, read on the forward strand.
TACCCACCATGTGTTTTAATGTTGGAGATATGAAGATAAAGAAGAGATGCTTTTTCTCAAGGAAATCATCTTCAGACTGAGGAGGCAAATTATATAAAAACAAATAATTTTTAATACTCATAAAAATACTCATTTTTCTGATGATATTATTATCTTGAGCTCTTCAAGAATTACTGGGTTTCCTCCTTACGGCTTAGGGAGTTTTCCATTCTGTCAGGAAATTTTCCACCTTCATTTTGTAGTGTAGGGTGTTTGTTTTCACAAACAAATGTTCTTCTTCAGTGCTTCCTACATAGAAGCCTGAAATTTGGATCTGAAATTTATATTTTAGGGAGTAGTGACTTGGGCTGCCACCTGTATTCACAGAAAAATAGTGATACAAGTCATTTACTCTTTAAAATCTTGCTTTTAATTTCTTATTCAGACTATATAAGCAAAAGTAACAAATATTTCATAATTCTGCCAAATTTTATTTTTAAAAGTAAAGTTTCTTATTATATACATTTGTCATATATGCAGTATAATCATTTTTCAAAAGCATGGCATATTTCATAATTCTGCCAAATTTTATTTTTAAAAGTAAAGTTTCTTATTATATACATTTGTCATATATGCAGTATAATCATTTTTCAAAAGCATGGCAAACCAGAGAGAAAGTCATCATGATTTCTGTTTACAATTGCTTTAATTGAGACACTGACTTGGAAAACAATAGAATTACTCAATTACTGTTATGCTATATACTTGTGTACCTAGCAATTGATTAAGTGACTTCTGCTGCTCTTACAACTATACAAAAACGAAATAGAAAATGGGTTTTGTGGATTTGGGAAATCTTTTGTCTCTTCAGAGTCATCTCTAAGACAGAATTCAGAAAAAAATACTGGACTCAAAACGTTTTATTTTTTTTTCTTTTGGATTTTGTCAGAAATTCATTATATAGATTTGATTAAAAGCACTTAAAATTGTATTCATAATTTCACAGAGGAATACTGCAATTTGAAAATGTTTCTTATGGAATTGAGCCTCTGGAATCTGCAGTTGAATTTCAGCATGTTCTTTACAAATTAAAGAATGAAGACAATGATATTGCAATTTTTATTGACAGAAGCCTGAAAGAACAACCAATGGATGACAACATTTTTATAAGTGAAAAAGTGAGTTGTATATGTTTTATTACTACTTTTAAAGCAGTTATTACTTCCATTTAATTTATTTAAAAAATAAATTTATAAGCCCACTGTAGAATTGTAGCAAATATCCTTTCCTTGTGAACATCTTATCTTTTTTTTTTTTTTTTCTCACTCTCTCACTCAGGTTGGAGTGCAGTGGACTGATCATGGCTTGCTGCAGCCTCTGTCTTCTGGGCTCAAGCAATCCTCCCACCTCAATCTCCTGAGTAGCTGGGACCACAGACATGCACCACCATACCAGACTAATTTTTTGTAGAGACAGAGTCTCTACAAAAAAGAGACAGACCATGCTGGTCTCAAACTCCTAGGTTCAAATGATCCACCCGCCTCAATCTCCCAAAATGTTGAGATTACAGGCATGAGCCACCGTGCCTGGCTGTTCATCTTTCTGTTACCTAACAATTTCCTTGAAACCATACTTTTTATGATTCACTTTATTTTTGTTCTTATTTTGCTTGTTACATTCTTATTACTTTCCAAAAATTCCCTCTTGTATATGCAATATAAACTTTAAAAACTCAGTTCCTGCTTTTGCTCCTACATTCCTGGAAGTTACTCAATAAAGTCAATAATTTTAAAGGTTATATTCATGACCAACGAGTCAGCATTAATTAAATCATAGATATAATTAAAATGTCATAAACAGAATTGCCGGTTATGGTCATGTAAATTGTTCAGTGAACACACTATGTAACTGCATGTGTTGGTGCTTACACAAGCAATTGTGAAAGAGAAAATTTTTATACCAAGTAACATTGGCATAACTATGCATAGTTTATACAAGAGTATGTGGCAGTATTCATTGTTTCCAGTATATGCTCTCCCTGTTTTCTGTCAGTAAAGAAAAAAATACCAGGCCAGGCATGGTGGCTCACACCTGTAATCCCAGCACTTTGGGAGCCCAAGTTGGGTGGATCTCCTGAGGTCAGGAGTTCAAGACCAGCCTTGCCAACATGGTGAAACCCCGTCTCCACTAAAAATACAAAGATTAGTCAGGCATGGTGGCAGACGCCTGTAATCCCAGCTACTCGGGAGCGGAGGCTGAAGAATTGTTTGAACCTGGGAGGTGGAGGTTGCAGTGAGCTGAGATCACACCACTGCACTCCAGCCTGGGTGACAGGGCAAGACTCCATCTCAAAAAAAAAAAAAAAAAAAAAAAAAAAAAGAAAGAAAAAAGAAAAAAACACCAAACCTCAGAATTTAGCTGGGCATATAAACAAAGACAATATTTCTCAACCTCCCTTACCTCTAGGTAGGGCCATGTGACAAAATTATGGCCAATGACGTGTGAGCAAGCATAATATGTGTTACTTCTGGCTTGAATATTAAAAGGAGGGGTTTTATCTTCTTTCCCTTTTCTGCTGGGTGGAGTGTGGACATACTGACATGTAATGGTCCACAAGGATGAGGCTGACGCCATACAGGTAGCAGAGAAACAAGGTAAAATGAGCCTTGCTTTTGAAGAATTTTCAGAATGGAACTACCATACCTCTTCACAAATTTATGTGAGAGAGAAATAGACTCTAAGTTTGCTTAATTCACTATTATTTTCTGTCTCTGTGTAGACGGCAATCCTATATCTTAAATAATACAGGGTCCAAATGAGAGTGCAGTGCCAGAGTTTTCAATGCTAGCAAATATATATGTATAATTTCAAATAATGTTTGTGAACTAGATGCTGAACTTTTTTTTCTTGCCTTGTGAAAATTTCTAATTTACAATGACTGAGATGACCCAGTGTAGCGAACAATGTCAGTGCCCTGCCCAGAACCCCTCATATTCCTTTCTAGTATATTTTTGTGGGGATGATGCAGGAGGGTGGGACACCATGTCTTTGTTTATGCCTTTGCTTTGAACATGTGCCACTTGTAACTCTTTTTTATGTGGGCTGCCCTTCAGCCAACTGAAACTGCTTTGCCCAGATGGCAAGGTAAACATAAGTACTGGAGATTTACATTTCCCCAGGGTGGTCCTTAGCCAGCACCTCACCAGTGTGGGAAAGGGTGAGTTTGGTTTCTTGTTACAGGTCAGGACAACTCTGTAGCACAACTTACACACCAGATTTTCTCTGTGGGACTGTGTCTGAGAGCACACTCTTGTGTGGATTCCTCCTGATCCTAATCCTGCTTCTCCCACTCATTAGCTGGTCTCTCCTGGGAGAACTTTATTAGTAAATTATCTACATATAAATCCTGTCTCAGATTTGTCTTTGGGTTTCCTTTGAAAATCAGGAAGTTTTCACATACTTATTTTACAATGAAGTGATAATTACTACAATAAAGTTATTTGAGCACATATGTCAGCCAAATTGCATTTGTATGTATCATTTGGAAAGTGGCATGATCTGGAAAGCTGGGAAGCTCTGGATCCCCACAGATATCATCGTTTGTCTGGACAAGTGTTGGAGGAAAGAAAAACAGCCAAGTAAAAGACAAACAGAAAGTTCCTCATATATATATATATATGTAATTATACTTTAAGTTCTGGGGTACATGTGCAGAACGTGCAGGTTTGTTACATAGGTACACACGTGCCATGGTGGTTTGCTGCACCTATCAACCCGTCATCTACATTAGGTATTTCTTCTAGTGCTATCCCTCCCCTACCCCCCATCTCCCCGACAGGCCCCAGTGTGTGATGTTCCCCTCCCTGTGTCCATGTGTTCTCATTGTTCATCTCCCACTTATGAATGAGAACATGTGGTGTGTGGTTTTCTGTTCTTGTGTTAGTTTGCTGAGAATGATGGTTTCCAGCTTTATCCATGTCCCTGCAAAGGACATGAACTCATCCTTTTTTATGGCTGTATAGTATTCCATGGTGTATGTGTGCCACATTTTCTTTATCCAGTCTATCATTGATGGGCATTTGGGTTGGTTCCAAGTCTTTGCTATTGTGAACAGTGCAGCAATAAACATATGTGTGCATGTGTCTTTACAGTAGAATGATTTATAATCCTTTGGGTATATACCCAGGAATGGGATTGCTGGGTCAAATGGTATTTTTGGTTCTAGATCCTTGAGGAATTGCCACACTGTCTTTCACAATGGTTGAACTAATTTACACTCCCACCAACAGTGTAAAAGCATTCCTATTTCTCCACATCCTTTCTAGCATCTGTTGTTTCCTGACTTTTTAATGATTGCCATTCTAACTGGCATGAGATGGTATCTCATTGTGGTTTTGATTTGCATTTCTCTTAATGACCAGGGATGATGAGCTTTTTTTTTCATATGTTTGTTGGTTGCATAAATGTCTTCTTTTGAGAAGTGTCTGTTCAAACCCTTCACCCACTTTTTGATGGTTTTTTTTTTCTCATAAATTTGTTTAAGTTCTTTGTAGATTCTGGATATTAGTCCTTTGTCAGATGGGTAGATTGCAAAAATTTTCTCCCATTCTGATTATCTCAATAGATGCAGAAAAGGCCTTTGATAAAATTCAACACTCCTTCATGCTAAAAGCGCTCAATAAACTAGGTATTGATTGAACGTATCTCAAAATAATAAGAGCTATTTATGACAAATCCACAGGCAATATCATACTGAATGGGCAAAAACTGGAAGCATTCTCTTTGAAAACTGACACAAGACAAAGATGCCCTCTGGCATCACTCCTATTCAACATAGTATTGGAAATTCCAGCCAGGGCAATCAGACAAGAGAAAGAAATAAAGGATATTCAAATTGGAAGAGAGGAAATCAAATTGTCCTCATATGCTTTCTTAGTTACTGCATGTCATTGTAATTTATGGTAATCTGTGTCAAGAATTTCAATAGCCTGGATGGATGCATAGAGCAAAGTGGCAATAATGGTAGTAACAGAGGCAGTATAGCTCTACCTTTATGTGACAATAGCATGACATTGAGAGAGGCCAAACATGTGAGGCTTCCTGAACTGACAGACTCAAGATATAGTTGCTTATACCAGTAAAATAGTCAATGGATGGATTAATTTCTGAAGTAGTAGGGTTTTCCTTGATGTGCAGAAGCAAGATGACACAATAAATATAAAGAGCAGTGTGGCAGTAGATTCAGGAAAAGAGATGTCTAAGCCATACAGAGCACCAGTTGTGGATCTCGACTCACTGCAACCTCTGCCTCCTGGGCTCAATAAAGACTTAATTTGACATTTGCTAATCGTTTTCTATATGTCTTCTATCTTTTTTTGTCTCTATTTCTCTATTACTGCCTTCTTTTGTTTAGTGGATTTTTTTCTAGTATGTCATTTTGATTCCCTTCTCATTTATTTTTCTTTATGTAATTTTGATTATTTTCTTAGTGGTTACTCTGGATATTACAATAACATCTTAAATTTATAACAATCATAGTTTGAATTAATACCAACTTAGCCTCTATAGTATACAAAACGCTGCTGCTATACAGCTTTGTCTTCTTTATGTTTTTATTATCACAAATTATCTAATAACATTAAGCTATGTTAATGATAATACAATGTACAAGCTATTGTATAGTAATACAATAGCTTAATAATTATTGTTTGATACATTTTCTCTTAAATAATTTGGGGAAAAGTGAGGAATAACAAAACAAAAATATAATAATAGTATCTTTTTTTTTGGAGGCAGGGTCTTACTCTGTCATCCAGGCTGGAGTGTGGTGCTGGTGCTGTGATCACAGCTTACTGCATCCTTTACCTCCTAAGCACAGGTGATCCTCCTGCCTCTGCCTCCCAATTAGCTGGGACCACAGGCATGTGCCACCATGCCCAGTTAATTTGTTTATTTGTAGAGACTGGGTCTTCCTTTGTTGCCCAGGCTAGTCTCAAACTCCTGGACTCAAGCAGTCCTCCCATTTTGGCCTTCCAGAGTGCCAGGAGTATAAGTGTAAGCCACTGCACCCAGCTATAATAATATCTTCTATAGTTACCAATGTATTTACCTTTACTGTGTTTTTAATTTCTTTTATTGCTTCTTGTTACTGTTTTGTGTGCTTTCATTTTAAACTGAAGGACTACCTTTGGCATTTCTTGTAGGGCAGTGTATTAGTTTACTACAGCTGCCATAACAATTTACCATGGACTGGGTAGCTTAAACAAGGATATGTATTTTTTCACAATTCTGGAGCCTGGAAGTTTGAGATCAAGGTGTTAACTAAGTTGTAGTTTCTTCTGAGGACCCTCTGCTTGGCATATAAGTAACCACCCTCTCCCTGTATCTGCACAAGGTCTTCCTTCTGTGTTTGTGTTCTAATTTTCTCTTATAAAGATACCAGTTACATTGCATCAGAGCCCATCCTAATGACCTAATTTTCAATCTAATTACCTCTTTAAAGGCCCTGTCTCCAAATACAGCCTCATTTTGTGACATACTGGGGTTAGATCTTTAACATATGAATTTTACTGGGATACCATTTGGCCTATAATAAGCAGGCAAGTCTACTAGCAATGAGCTTTTTCAGTTTTTATTTATCTGGGAATGTCTTAATTTCTCCTTCATTTTTGAAGGATAGTTTTGTCAGATATAGAATTCTTGTTTGACAGTTTTTTTCCCTCCAGCACTTTAAATGTCATCCCACTGCCTCTGGCCTCCCTGGTTTCTAATAAGAAATTAGATATTACTATTATTGAAGATCTCTCATTTGTGAGGAATTGCTTTTCTCTTGCTGTTTTCAAGGTTCTCTTTTTATCATTAACTTTGGACACTTTGATTATAATATGTTTTGGTGTGAATTCTTTTGAGTTTATTCTACTTGGAGTTTGTTAAGCTTCTTGGATGTGTAGATTCATATATTTCATCAAACTGGGGAGGTTTTCACCCATTATTTTTCAAATTTTCTTTCTGCCCCTTTCTTCTCTTCTGCTAGGAACTCTTCTTATTTATGAGCTTGATGGTGTCCCACAGGTCTCTTAGGCTCTGTTCATTTTTCTTCACTCTTTTTTTTTCAGTGTCAGATAACTTTTATTGAGATCCCATCAGCTGTACAATCTGTTCCTGGCATTAAGCTCCTTCTTCCTTTGCAATCTGGTCTTTCTTGAGTGGTCCCATGAATGCTTCTTCTCCATGGTTTGGAAGCGGCCATGGCCAAATTTAAAGGTAGTGTCAATGAACTTAAGGTCAGTCTTCTCCAGAGCCTGCTGCTTGGTCTGCATCAAGACTTGTGGAGGATGAGCGCTTGCCTCTTAGTTCCCACCACACAGCACTTCAGCATGACAAAGTCATTGGTCACTTCACCATAGTGGACAAAGCCACCCAGAGGGTTGATGCTCTTGTCAGGTTATAGTCAGTGGAGGCACTGATCAATTTGCCATCCTTGATGAAGTAGCCCTGACTGATATTATAGATCTTCTTGTTGATCTCAGTGCAGTGATAGTTTGTGTCTAGTACGTGCCACAGAGAAGGTCATATGGGCAGGATGCCATGCCCCAATATAGGCAACCTTCCACAGCCCTCAGTGGGTCTTGTAGGGCAGCTTCTTGGTATGCCAATGACTGGTGACCTCTTTGTAGCCTTTGCCCTTGGTCACCCGTTTGATGTCAATCATCTTGTCCTGCCCAAACGCTTGCTTCACAGGTACCTGGTCCTCTAGCCTCTCCAGAGACCAGTCCAGTTTCTCGGTCACAGTGCCTCTGTTCACCTGGATGTCCATTAGGTGGGTCTTCTTCATACATAGAGGAAGCAGGTGCATCTGGGTGTAGATATTCAAGCATGCTGTTGAAGTCCTTCTTCAGCTGCTTCTTGTCATCCTCACCCTGCAGTTTCTTGCAGTACTTGGTAAAAGCCTTCTACTTCGCTTTATGCCAGTTCCTATAGAAGTGCCTTTTGCACTCATTGCTAATGTGCTCAACAAAGATGGTCTTGGAAATTCAGAGGCCTTGAGGGGTTTCCATGTAGCCCAGGATGCCTACTACCACCATGGGCAGTGTCTCCACAATGGTCATAGCCTCTACCCCTTCCTTCTTGTTCACCTTGGGTCCTAGCCGGCCAGCTTCCCACACGATGTGTCATGCCAGCCTTGTATCCCAGGAAAGCTGTGAGGTGGACCAGTTTAGAAGGGTCATCACTGGGGAAGCTCTTCACCTTGCCATGATGCCTACTGCTGTGTTTCCAAGGCAGGAAGCCCGGGGACCCATGTCTTGGAGCAAAAGATTTCCTGCGAGACATCATGCCATCAAATCCTGCTTTATTCTTTGATTGTGCTCCTCAGATTGAATAATCTTGATTGATTTGTTTTGAAGTTTGCTGATTCCTTTTTTCTGCTTGCTCAACTATGTTATTGAATCCTAGTGAATTTTCATGTGTTTTACTTTTTAGCTCCACAATTTCCTTTTTATAATTTCTATATTTTTATGGATACTCTCTATTTGGTGAAGTATCATTCTTCTGGTTTCCTTTAGTTTTTTTTACATAGTTTTTCATAGCTTTTTGAACATATTTTAAAACAATTAATTTACATTATTTGTCTAGTAAGTACAATGTCTGGGCTTCCAGTGGTACCATTTCTGTTTCTTTATTTTCTGAGAATGGGCCATACTACTTTCTTGTTGTTGTTGAAATTTGAACATTTTGAATATTTTGATGTGGTAATGCTGGAAATCAGATTCTTCCTCACTCCCCAGCAAGGTGTGTTGTTACTGCTTGTTGTGGGTTGTAGTTGTTTGCTTGTTTACTGACTTTTCTAAAGTAAAGAAATATTTTGTGAACAATATTGTTTAGTAGTCACCAAGTGATTTGATAGAGATTTCTTTAAATTACTGGAGCCAAAAAAGAGAAAAGACTTCCTTGGTTTTTACAGATTGACTCTGGGTTTGGATATACATGCAACACTTATTCCAGATGTTGACAACTCACCCTTAGCCTTGACTCTTGCTTGTACAATGTCTGAAAGCCAGGCAGAGGAGAAAGCTTAGTGTCTTTTCAAGTCTATTCTGAGCAAGTGTCCAGCCTTGGACATGTGGGTGGCCCTCTAGATTTCCCAGTATATGCCTGAGGTTTTCAAAGCCTTCATTTCTCCACCCATTTCCTTCCTCAGCCTCTTTCTTCCTAGACTTTTTAGTGTGCTTGCTGCTTTTCTTGTCCGTTTTTCCTTGCTCCAGGTGGCTGCAGCCAGTGTATTTGCCTTGAAATGCTTTTTATAAACACTGCCTTGGAGTCCACTCCAACCCTGTGAAATTTCATGGTGGAGGAAACAAAGGAAAGCTCTTGAGCAAAACCTTTAGGGAGCCACTGGACAGCTCAAAACACATAACCATAATTCTTTGAGAACAAATTTGGTATTTCTTCCTCTGGCACGGGAAAGCCACACCAGGAATATGGGCCTCTATCTTAATGGATGCCAATGAGCTGGATGTGTGAGATGGGATGGTAGGTGGGTCAGTTCAAGGACCACAATACTCCCTTATAGAAACCCAGCAGCTTTTTTCCCCCCTCAAGCATTGTCCTGTTTTTTATTTTTATGTTTTTTTCTGGGGCAATTGCGTGAATAGGCCATTTGCTCTTATCATCTGGCAGTCTGGCCAGATGTGTACAGGCAGGGATTCCAAGATCAGGAATGGCAGTATGAAAGGCGACTTAGGCTCAAGATTGGCAAAACAACACTTCTATTGCCTTTATTGGCTCAAACAAGTTACAAAGCCCAGCCCAGATTGAGAGAGAGGAAAAATGAACTCACCTCTTGATGACAGGCACTGAAAAGTCATATTGCAAAGGACACAAATACAGAAAGGAGCGCGGTGGCTCACGCCTGTAATCCCAGCACTTTGGGAGGCCAAGGCGGGCGGATCGCGAGGTCAGGAGATGGAGACCATCCTGGCTAACACAGTGAAACTCCGCCTCTACTAAAAATACAAAAAATTAGCCCGGCGTGGTGGCAGGCGCCTGTAGTCCCAGCTACTCCGGAGGCTGATGCGGGAGAATGGCGTGAACCAAGGAGGCGGAGCTTGCAGTGAGCTGAGATCGCGCCACTGCACTATAGCCTGGGCGACAGAGCGAGACTCCATCTCAAAAAAAAAAAAAAAAAAAAAAAAAAAAAAATCCTCCACACACATATAGTTTTTAAAGCAAAAGTTTATTTCTGATATGCAGATGAAGTAGATGGAAATGCTAGGTGTTTTTTCTTAGTTCATAAATTGGAAGTTGTAGATATACTGAGATAGATGTTACAACTTCATGGGCAATCTTCTAACTACTTGAGTACATTGCCATAAAACTTAAAACTTTATTTATTAATTTTAACCAATTTGATAAAGCAAACACCTCTGCATATCTTGTAAGTGCTGTGGTATTAGCTTTAAAGAAGAGTTCAAGTAAAAAAATTATGAAATTTTTCATGTATTATATGCTGTTTTCCTTTTTTCTAGTCAGAACCAGCTGTTCCAGATTTATTTCCTCTTTATCTAGAAATGCATATTGTGGTGGACAAAACTTTGGTATGTGTTTTGCTTTTTCTTTGCTTTGAAATATTTGATCCAAATGTATGATTATGCCTAGCTAGCTAGACAGAAACTAAAAGATTCCAATGTTCTTACTCACATGTCATAGAGACAATAGTGGAAAAATGTGCAAACTGAGAAACTAAATAGTCAAAATGATACTAGTTTTATCAGAAATGTTTTATTTGAAATACTTACACAACAGTACTGCAGAACAAAATGTATTTTTTTCCCTGGCACTTCACATTTCTAGAGTCCCTCTCAATCCATACTACCATTTAATGGTGATTTTGGTGGAAGTGAAATTCTATTTTAGGGAAGTTTGAAGAGCAGAATGTAGTCTAGGGAACATTCCACCCTAGAATATTTATTGGAACAAAAGTGATGATAGTATAACTATCTACTAGAATGACTTTCACTAATGTGTCAAGAAGTTTTTTAGCAGTTTTTGGTGGGGCACCCATTCTAGTCCATTGTTTACCTGTTGAAAAGAGTACCTCGAGATTCCTAATTTCCATAAACAGTCTGAGGCCTCTGAATTTCAGAACGTTAGGGTGACAACTTAGTTTGCAGTCAACTAGGTATGTCTTTATTTCTTTTAATAGTTGAAAGATTTCAGAAAATAGAGATTAAAAATATACTTTCTAGGTTTTATTCTGATGATAAGCCTTTATTTGTGTATACCTATGGAATACCACAGCGGGTATGACTAATACTCTTTACCAATTCTATTCCTAGGGTTTAGAGCTTGTCAGGAAGCCAGAGTTAAGGTCAGGGACCAGGATTTGGAGAAAGAGATGAAAATAACTTGATTAATTAGAGTACAGGGAAAAGGGAAAAGGGAACATTTAAGAGAACATTGAGACATTGAGATAGTTGAGAGAAAATTGAAGTATTTCTGATAAATATGACTAAGTTTCCAGGGAATATTTTGGATTTTGAAACTCCTTTTGTTTTTGGATTATGTTATATATCTTGAGAGTAGTTTCAAAAGCTTCTCCAAATTGCCAGGTTTTCTTTTTTATTTTATTTTATATATATATATATATATATTTATTATACTTTAAGTTCTAGGGTACATGTGCACAACGTGCAGGTTTGTCACATATGTATACATGTGCCATGTTGGTGTGCTGCACCCATTAACTCATCATTTACATTAGGTATATCTCCTAATGCTATCCCTCCCCCCTCCCCCCACCCCACAATAGGCCCTGGTGTGTGATGTTCCCCTTCCTGTGTCCTAGTTTTCTCGTTGTTCAATTCCCACCTATGAGTGAGAACATGCGGTGTTTGGTTTTTTGTCCTTGCGATAGTTTGCTGAGAATGATGGTTTCCAGCTTCATTCATGTCCCTACAAAGGACATGAACTCATCATTTTTTATGGCTGCATAGTATTCCATGGTGTATATGTGCCACATATTCTTGATCCAGACTATCATTGTTGGACATTTGGGTTGGTTCCAAGTCTTTGCTATTGTGAATAGTGCTGCAATAAACATACGTGTGCATGTGTCTTTATAGCAGCATGATTTATATTCCTTTGGGTATATACCCAGTAATGGGATGGCTGGGTCAAATGGTATTTCTAGTTCTTTTACACTGTTGTGGGACTGTGAACTAGTTCAACCATTGTGGAAGACAGTGTGATGATTCCAAATTGCCAGGTTTTCAAGTCATATAATGCTGATTAAACATTTCTTCTTTATGTTCTTATACATTTTTACATATTCTTTAGTAAAAAAAAACCCTTGGTCGGGTGTGGTGCATGCCTGTAATCCCAGTACTTTGGGAAGCTGAGGTGGGTGGATCACCTGAGGTCAGGAGTTCCAGACCAGCCTGGCCAACATTGTGAAACCTTGTCTCTACTAAAAACACAAAAATTAGCCAGGCGTGGTGGTGGACACCTGTAGTCCCAGCTACTCAGGAGACTGAGGCAGGAGAACTGCTTGAACAAGGAAGGTGGAGGGTGCAGTGAGCCGAGATCGCACCACTGGCCTCCAGCCTAGGCAACAGAGGAAGACTCCATCTCAAAAACAAAGAAACAAACAAACAAACAATCATAGTATTCATATTTTCTTCAGTGACTTTATAATTTGTAAATCCGTAATTATGGCATAGTGAATTCATTGCCATGATTGTAGAAAGCATATGGTTCTATATATACACAGTTTAATAATGGAGACAGACATGGAAACACAACTGTAAGTTGTTATACTATAAGAGCATCCAAGTGGGTGTTTTAAAATGTAGGTTTTATTACTACTCAGGTATATTGAAGCCAACAGATCAGTAGATGGTTGCTATTGAAAAGACAGGCTGTTACTCAGTTTCCAATGGTAGGGGGCACTCTCCATCATTCAGGGCCCACAAAGGGAAGGAGGGAAGATGTCATTGAAATATTTTAAATAGGGGAGTGACATATTTCTATTTTACCTTAGAATAATCATTTTGGTAATAGTGTAGGGACGAGATTGCTGGTGGGAAAATTGGGGAAGGAGGAATCATTTAAGAGACTGTTCTAGTAATCAGGGTGAAAACTTATAAATTAGTGGCATCAAGAATAAAAATAAAGGAACAACTTTAAAAGTTACTGATTGGGTTGAATTAGAAGAACTTGATTTGATTGATTTATTCGTTTACTTAACAAATTCATTGAGCATCATCTAGATAACAGTTGCTGTTCTAGCCATTGGGGATATAGCAGTGAATAAAACAGAACAATTTCCGCTCTCATGGAGCATGTAGTGTAATAAATGTAGGATGTGTTAGATAATAATACCATTCACTAAAGTAGTGAAAATATAAGTAGGAAGAGATTTTTGAAGGAAGACGATGAGTTTAGTTTTGAATATATTTATTTTAGTTTTGGATATGAGTTTACTCTGGGATAATTTGAGGATCCTGTGGAACATCCAAGGTGATGTACTATAGAGAGTTTGTCTATGGATATATACAGTTTGACATAGTTGCAATCCAGTTTTTCAGATTTCAAGAGCGATGTATATGTATGTATACATACACACACACTCATTTGTGTGTGTGCATTTATGTACAGTTTTATGCAATGGTATTACATAGGTAGCCTTCCATAACCATTGCCACAATTGAGACACTCAACAGTACCATCACCACAGCACTCTCCTGTGTGATCCCATTAGAGCCACACTGATCCCCTGCCCGCTTCTGAGCCTTTGGTGTCCACTAAGCCATTCTCCTTCTTTGTGATTTCACACACATTGCATAAAGTTATCAAGCAGTCTGTATCCTTTTGAGATTATGTTTTCATGCTGAGCATAATTTTCTTGAGATTTATCCAGGCAGTTCCATATATCAACATTTGTTTCTTTTTATTGCTGAGTTTATGGTAGGAATGTACTACAGTTTATTTAACCATTTAACCACTGAAGGATATATGAGTTATTTCTAGTTTTTAGCTATTATGAGTAAAGATGTTATGGACATTCATGTACAAGTATTTGCGTGAGGATCAGTTTTTTGAGATAAATGCTCAGAAGTGAGATTGCTGGGCCATATAGTAAATCCATTCTTTGTTTTGATTTCAAAGAAGTTGAAGTTACCAAATTATTTTCCAGAGTGGCTGTACCATTTTACATTCCCATCAGCAATGCATGAGGGATCCAGTTTATATTCAGTTTTTACTTATTAATGTTTTATTTTGAACTGTTGAAACCCAAAGCAGCCTTACACCTCTGACAGTAGATGGAAAAGAATCTTAAAAATACTACATAATAATTTGTACTTAAATATAAAATTAATTCTGTTTTTCAGTATGATTACTGGGGCTCTGATAGCATGATAGTAACAAATAAAGTCATCGAAATTGTTGGCCTTGCAAATTCAGTAAGTGTTTTCCTTTTCATATTAAAATAATTGTTGTTTTGAAATGATAATTTGCCTAAACTTGATGCGGTATTCCTGGATAATTAACCCACCCATATAAACTGAGTGTGGGATTGTAAAAACTTTGAATTTCTGGGTTTTTATAAGATAACATAAATATTAATTATGCATGTATTTATCTCTTCTGTTTTTAGATGTTCACCCAATTTAAAGTTACTATTGTGCTGTCATCATTGGAGTTATGGTCAGATGAAAATAAGATTTCTACAGTTGGTGAGGCAGATGAATTATTGCAAAAATTTTTAGAATGGAAACAATCTTATCTTAACCTAAGGCCTCATGATATTGCATATCTACTAATGTAAGAATAATGTTTCATTATTCCTAGAAAGAAAACAAAGACCTGTGATAATTATGTGGCTTAATGTAAGGAATTATTATTCATTTCTGAATATCCATGCTTTGATTATTTAGTATGTGCTTTATTCAGGCTTTATGCTCAATTTCTAGTTGTCAGGCAATAAAAAACATTACTAACATTTATTTCTATGCTAATAAAGCTTTTATAAATGAAGACATTGAGAGTTTCAAGAGGTTAAGCCGTCTCAGGACTCTTGGATCTGGTGGTACTACTAGGTTTGAACCCACAGTTCGTAACTCTAGAGCCAAAACTCTTAACCACTACTTAAAGAGATGGGATTTATCTTGAGAGGTTTACATTCTTAAATAAGCTTTGACCAAAGACTTGGTAAATGTGGCTACAAAGACTTTACCCTAATGAATTTTCTGAGTAATTTTAAAATGTTAGTTTTCTAATTATAAATTATAGCTATATATTTATAATTGTATTCATATTAAATTTATTAGCAATAATTAGCAAGTGTCTTTCAATGAAACTATACATGTCTATATATGTATTTAAGTTTGGTATGTCAGTGTTTTCTTTTGCTTGTGTGAGACTAATCTTTCCCTCACATCTCTGCCAGCCATAAATGTTACTGCTCTTTTAATTTTTGGTAGTCTGATGGATATAACTTAATGTCATTGTCATTTTAATTTGCTTTTTTTCTGATGACTGGTGGATTTGAGCATCTTTTCAAATGCTTGTTGATCATTTGTATCTGTCCTTCTGTAATTGCCTTTTCTTGTCATTTGACTACTTCCCTATAATTTGTAAGGGTTTTTAAAAAATAATTTCATTATCTTTAATATTTATATTTTTTCCCCATAAGTTATTGGGGTACAGGTGATATTTGGTTACATGAGTAAGTTCTTTAGTGGTGATTTATGAGATTTTGGTGCACCCATCACCTGAGCAGTATACACTGCACCATATTTGTAGTCTTTTATCCCTCGCCCCACCTCCCACTCTTCCCCCCAGTCCCCACAGTCCATTGTATCATTCTTATGCCTTTGCCTCATAGCTTAGCTCCCACATATTGGTCAGAACATACGATGTTTGGTTTTCCATTCTTGAGTTACTTCACTTAGAATAATAGTCTCCAATCTCATCCAGGTCGCTGCAAATGCAGTCAATTCATTCCTTTTTATGGCTGAGTAGTATTCCATCACATTGCCACAGTTTTTTTATCCACTGGTTGATTGATGGGCATTTGGGTTGGTTCCATGATTTTGCAATTGTGAATTGTGCTGCTATAAACATGCGTGTCTAAGTATCTTTTTCAATTAATGACTTCTTTTCCTCTGGGTAGATACCCAGTAGTGGGATTGCTGGATCAAATGGTAGTTCTGCTTTTAGATCTTTAAGGAATCTTCACACTGTTTTCCATAGTGGCTGTACTAGTTTACATTCCCACCAGCAGTGTAGAAATGTTCCATGATCACTGCATCCACACCAACATCTACTGTTTTTTGATTTTTTGATTATGGCCTTTATTGGAGGAGTAAGGTGGTTTTACATTGT
Source organism: Homo sapiens (assembly GCF_000001405.40). Taxonomy (NCBI): domain Eukaryota; kingdom Metazoa; phylum Chordata; class Mammalia; order Primates; family Hominidae; genus Homo; species Homo sapiens. The sequence continues at coordinate 72,440 of NT_187577.1, forward strand.
GGTTTTGATTTGCATTTCCCTGCTCATTAGTGTTGAGCATTTTTTTCATATGTTTGTTGGCCATTTGTATATCTTCTTTTGAGAATTGTCTATTCATGTCCTTAGCCCACTTTTTGATGGGATTGTTTGTTTTTTTCTTACTGATTTGTTTGAGTTCATTGTAGGTTCTGGATATTAGTCCTTTGTCAGATGTATAGATTGTGAAGATTTTCTCTCACTCTGTGGGTTGTCTGTTTACTGTGCTGACTGTTTCTTTTGCTGTGTGAAAAGCTCTTTAGTTTAACTAAGTCCCAACTATTTATCTTTGTTTTTATTGCATTTGCTTTTGAGGTCTTTGTCGTGAAATTCTTGCCTAAGCCAATGTCTGGAAGGGGTTTTCCAATGTTATCTTCTAGAATTTTTATAGTTTCAGATCTTAGTTTAAGTCCTTAGGTTAAATCCATCTTGAGTTGATTTTTGTATAAGGTGAGAGATGAGGATCCAGTTTCATCTCCTACATGTGGCTTGGGAATTATCCCAGCACCATTTGTTGAATAGGGTGTCCTCTCCCCACTTTATGTTTTTGTTTGCTTTGCTGAAGATCAGTTGGCTGTAAGTATTTGGGTTTATTTCTGGGTTCTCTATTCTGTTCCATTGATCTACATGCCTATTTTTATACCAGTATCATGCTATTTTGGTGACTATGGCCTTACAGTATAGTTTCAAATCAGTTAGTGTGATGGCTCCAGATTTGTTCTTTTTGCTTAGTCTTGCTTTGGCTATGAGGGCTGTTTTTAGGTTCCATATGAATTTTAGAATTTTTTTTCTAATTCTGTGAAGAATGATGGTGGTATTTTGATGGGGATTGAATTGAATTTTTAGACTGCTTTTGGCAATATGATCATTTTCACAATATTGATTCGATCCATCCATGAGCATGGGATGTGTTTCAATTTGTTTGTGTCATCTATGATTTCTTTCAGCATTGTTTTGTAGTTTTCCTTGTAGAGGTCTTTCTACTCCTTGGTTAAGTATATTCCTAAGTATTTTATTTTTTTGCAGCTATTGTGAAAGGGGTTGAGTTCTTGATTTGATTCTCTGCTTGATCACTGTTGGTGTTATAGAAGAACTACTGATTTGTGTACATTAATCTTGTATCCGGAAACTTTGCTGAATTCTTTTATTAGATCTAGGAGCTTTCTGGAGGAGTCTTTAGCATTTTCAAGGTAAATGATCGTATCATCACCAAACGTGACAGTTTGACTTCCTCTTTACCGATTTGGATGCCTGTAAGGGCTTTTTGAATGCTTAGATACTAACATTGTTTATCTTTATGACAAATACTTTTTCCATATCTATAATTTTTCTATAAACTTTTTTTTTCTCTGCTACATTGCAGCAGACCTTGCTGGACTGAACAAAGGAGGACGAATGCAGGAATAAAGACAAAGAGAAAAGAATATATTTGCAAGAAGGGGTCAGGGGGCTCCTTGCTTTTAGTGAACAGGGGCCCTGAACTTCTAGAGCCCTTCATATTTATTGAGTAAAGGAGATAGGGAGAAGGGGGTGGTTGTGGTCAGCCGCTTGACTTAGTGCAGGCCTGCATGACTGCATTCTTTGAACAGTAGGCTCCAGATGTTCCAGTAGATACCCTCAAGGAGCACGGCACCAGGGAGTGACTGCCCTCAGCATACCTTCTGGTGGCAGGCACAGATGTGAATTTGCCCACATTATGCATTCATGATAAACAGTTTGCTGTTTAATCATATAGCCTCCAGGGGAATGCTGAGTTGGTCATGACCCTCAGGCTTTCGGCTCCCAACACTACATGAAAACTTTTACATTTCATATGGCCAAATTTGTTAATATTTTCTTCTTACTTTTTGGTTTCCTGTATAGTGTAGAAGGTCTCTTCCACCCCCAACTTTTAGTCTGCTAGAGTTTTCTTTAGGATTAATATTATTACCTTTTATAGAGTATGGAATTCATAGTTAGAACTGGAGCTGAACCTTTGAAGGAGGGAAAGGAAACAAACACTGACAAAGCAAGGTGGTAGATCTTGACAACTGATTTGATGTGGAGTGGGCACGTCAAAAGGTGTCAGTATGAGGTAAAAAATATATTACTGAGCTTGTCAGGAGTATGTGTAGAATTTTAGGGGAAGTCTAAGTTGTAAAAAAAGGGCTTATTAAAGTATCTGTGGGAGGGAGAAACAGAGTAAACAATACTTAGATGTTGGAACATAAAACCAATGTTGGGCATTAGGAACAAATACTTGGAAACAAATGCTGGAAGGGTTAGGTATAAACAATATCAGAGAGACAGAATAAAAGTAGTGGAGAGGCAGTGCGATTGTGAAGTGAAGTGCAATTGAGACAGAAGGGGCATTTCAAATTGAGAATTGAATTCCAAGCTTCTTAAGCTTCTTTACTCACATCCTGGCTTATTCGTTTTGGTGGGGGCTCTAAATAAGGCAGTAAATGCTTGGAGCATCTATACCTTAGTAGTTGAGAATATGGCTCGGATTCAGACTGTGTAAGTTCAGATCCTTCAGTAGGACGTATTAATCATGCTACCTTGAGAGAGTTACTTATACTTCGCATCTGATACTTGATTTGCTCAATGGGGACAAAAATAATATCTACTTCACTAGTTTGTTTTGAGTGTTAAATGGATTAGTTAATGTAAAGTTCTGAGAATAGTGCTATTATTATATGACAGTTTAAATGGCTCCTTACTCAAGGCTGAAATAATAATGTTTGGGTGTGAAACAATAAAGCACTCCTATTGGAAACTGTTGAACTTTACTACCTGGGAGCAACATATTTTAATCTATACATTGAAACGATTTGTCACTGTCACTCAACAAAGTATTTTTTATCAGAATATTGGAGCAAAGCCTTTGGCAAACATAGCCAGATGTGATGAGAACACTAAAGGCATTAAAAACTTTGATCTATTAGATATGTTTCAGATATCAAGAGTGTTTAATCTAATTAATACTAATATGTCATATTAGATAATATTCCAAATTTGAAACAATTGAGGACATATGGAAAGATCATACCTCAATTTGCTTCAGATTTGGATTTTATGAACTGCAGACTTAAATTATTAGCAGGAATTCTCATTTTTAAATTGTCTGTTAAAATCAATTATAAATGTAAATTTATTTATTTAGTTATATGGATTATCCTCGTTATTTGGGAGCAGTGTTTCCTGGAACAATGTGTATTACTCGTTATTCTGCAGGAGTTGCATTGGTATGTAACTATTTAATCTTATTTTTTAAATTAACACGTTTAAAAATTATTTGACATGATAGTATATATTTTGTACAATTTATGTGCATGTTTCCATTTACAGATTGCATTTTTTTCCATTACTGTTAAAATTTTTAAGTGTGTAGAAGGAAGAATATTTTGTAGATCAATATCTTGTTGCAATTAATTATGTTTCAGAGTTGGAATAAAAATATCATAAATACGCATGCTGTTCTTGATATACAGAATAATGCATTGTGAAAAATTATCTGCAGTAAAATTTCTATAACCCAAAATAGATTTTTGCTTGCAGACATAAAATTGGAGAAATATTCTTATAGATAAAATAGATTCAAAATCAAAACAAAAACCAGATTAAGGATTCCTTAAGATGTTTCAGAACTCTGAAAGACAGTAAAATAAACTTTTATGTGTATTTTAAGCATTTATAATACGGATAAATGTGATTTTATATATATAATGGGTAAAAATAAATGCATTATTGAAAAGTTGATGCATCTCTTTGTGCCATTTTCTCACCCTACTCATTTTTAAAAAAACAAGTTTAAGTACTATTTTTTTAACTTACAAAGTAATTTATGTTAATGATGTCAAATTTGTTAAGTATATATATATAGGAACATATAAGAAAATTCATATAATTTTGCATTTTGCCACCAGGTGGAGATAACCACTATTAACATTTTGATTGATATATATATCTTATTGTTTTCTTAAAAGAGTTTTAAATAAAAAAATTTTTAGAACATGTTTTTAGAAACTGTTATTCATTTTTTTATTGACACATAATAGTTGTATGTAAAGGCAGTGAGCAGAATGGTGATTACCAGAGGTTGGGAAGGGTAGGGGGAAGAGGAGATGAAGAGAAGTTGAGTAATGGGTACAAAATTACAGTCAGGTAGAAGGAATAAGTTCTAGTATATATATATATATTTTGACAGAGTCTTGCTTTTATGCCAGGCTGGAGTGCAGCAGCCTGATCTTGGCTCACTGCAACCTCCGCCTCCAAGGTTCAAGCGATTCTCATGTCTCAGTCTCCCTAGTAGCTGAGATTACAGAGGTGACCCACAACAACCAGCTAACTTTTTTGTATTTTTAGTAAAGAAGGGTTTTGAACATGTTGGCCATGACAGTCTCAAACTCCTGGCCTAAAGTGATCTGCCTGCCTCGGTGCTGCCTGCCTCCCAAGGTGCTGGGATTACAGGCATGAGCCACCATGCCTGGCCAGTTCTAGTATTCGATAGCACAATAGGGTGACTATAATTAACAATAATTTATAGTATATTTCAAAATAGCTAGAGGACAAGATTTGGATTGTTCTCAGAACAAATAAATGGTATATGTTTGAGGTTATGGATAGCCCAGTTACCCTGATTTGATCATTACATATCACCTGCATGTATATCTTCTACTTCGTGTGTTTCTCTGTTTATCTGTTACTGTAGCTCTCTCTCTATATATTTTTTTGCAAAATGTGATTTTGCAGCACCTATTTTTATTTCTAATACTTAAACATTTTTTATTACTGAAATAATGAATGCACATGGTAAATTGTTTAAACTATAGATATACAAAGCAAAAAATGATAGTAAAACTGTCTACCTCTTCATTTAGTCCTATTTAAGAATTTAATAATTTCCATTTAAGTTCTTCTGTTGGTTAAATTTATTTATTTAAAAATATATATGCCCTTACCTCTATTTTAATTTATAAACTGTAGACAATATTGGTAATATTACATTTGATATGTTGAGTCCACTCTCTCTACTTGTTGCTTATGTTTAAATATATATATTTAAATATTGGTTCTTATTTTTAATTTTATGTAATATCTATATATATGTTAAACAATGTCCACTGTTTGCTTGCTGTGAACAGTAAGAGGTGTAATGTAGTTGTATGTTTCTTATACCCATTGTCAATATTTAGATAATTTATAACTAATTCTGTAGGGCTTTTGCACTTTGTCTAGAGATTGATGTAAGAATTAAATAAATAAACAGCATTTTATAGTATTATAAATATATAAATAATATTAACTATTGAATAAAGAAATAAATATTTCTTATGACAGTAAAGCTTTGATGGTCAAAGGAGGACATTTTAGGCATCAGAATCTAATGGAGCACTGAATTTTTTTCTAACTTCTTTTACTTGTTATGGGTGAAACCAACTGCCACAGAAAATGAAATCCCATCTTCCTTTTCTTGGAATCTTTTACTACTTTTCTGGAATAACTCTTGATTTTTTTTTTAACACAGTGTATATGAATTGCAAACATTGAGCTATTTTATCAATGAAAGCACTTTTTTTCTTCAGCGTTTAAGTTCTTGGGTACATATGCAGGATGTGTAGGTTTGTTACATAGGTAAATGTGTGCCATGGTGGTTTTCTGCACCTATCAACCTATCACTTAAGTATTAAGCCCCACATACATTAGCTGTTTATCCTGGTGCTCTCCCTTCCCTGGCCCCCTGACAGGCCCCAGCGTGTGTTGTTCCCCTCCCTGTGTCTATGTGTTCTTATTGTTCAGCTCCCACTTATAAGTGAGAACATGCAGTGTTTAGTTTTCTGTTCCTGTGTTAGTTTGCTGAGGATAATGGCTTCCAGTTCCATCCTTGTCCCTGCAAAGTCTTTCCTTTTTTCGACTGCATACATAGTATTCCATGGTGTACATGTATCACATTTATATATGTATCACATTTGCTTCATCCAGTCTATCATTGATGGACATTTGGGTTGATTCCATGTCTTTGCTATTGTGACTAGTGCTGCAATGAACATAGAGGTGCATGTGTCTTTATAATAGAATGATTTATATTCCTTTGGGTATATACCCAGTAATGGGATTGCTGGGCTAAATGGTGTTTCTGCCTCTAGGTCTTTGAGGAATTGCCACAGTGTCTTCCACAATGGCTGAACTAATTTACATTCCCACCAACAGTCTAAACATGTTCCAGGCCGGCCGCAGTGGCTCACGCCTATAATCCCAGCATTCTGGGAGGCTGAGGCGGGTGGATCACGAGGTCAGGAGTTTGAGACCAGCCTGACCAACATGGTGAAACCTTGTCGCTACTAACAATACAAAAATTAGCCAGGCATGGTGGCAGGCACCTGTAATCCCAGCTACTCAGGAGGCTGAGGCAGGAGAATCACTTGAACCTGGGAGGCAGAGGTTGCAGTAAGCCGAGATCGTGCCACTGCACTCCAGCCTGGGCAACAAGAGGGAGACTCTGTCTCAAAAACAAACAAGCAAACAAACAAACCAAACAAAACAAACATATTCCTATTTCTCCATAGCTTTGCCAGCATCTGTTGTTTCTTGACTTTTTAATAATCGCCATTCTGACTGGAGTGAGGTGGTATCTCATTGTGATTTTAATTTGCATTTCTTTAATGATCAGTGCTGTTGAGTTTTTTTTTTTCATGTTTTTTGCCCACATGAATGTCTTCTTTTGAGAAGTGTCTGTTCATGTCCTTTGTCCACTTTTTAATTTTTTTTCTTGTAAATATGTTTAAGTTCCTTGTAGACTCTGTAGATTAGACCTTTATGAGATGGATAGATTGCAAAAATTTTCTCCCCCTCTGTAAGTTGTCTATTCACTCAGATGATAGTTTCTTTTGCTCTGCAGAAGCTCTTCAGTTTAATTAGATCCCATTTGTCAGTTTTTGCTTTTATTATGATTGCTTTTTTCATTTTTGTCATGAAATCTTTTCCCATGCCTCTGTCCTGAATGACGTTGCCTAGATTTTCTTCAAAGGTTTTGATAGTTTTGGGTTTTACATTTCAGTTTTTAATCCATATTGGGTTAATTTTTTTTTTTGAGACAGGGTCTCACTCTGTAGCCCAGGCTGGAGTGCAGTGGCACAATCTAGGCTCACTGCAACCTCTGCCTCCAAGGTTCAAGCGATTCTCTTGCTTCAGACTTGCCAGTAGCTGGGATTACAGACGTGCACTGCCACACTTGGCTAATTTTTGTATTTTTAGTAGATACAAGGTTTCACTGTGTTGGTCAGGCTGGTCTCCAACTCCTGTCCTCATGTGATGCACCTGCCCTGGCCTCCCAAAGTGTTGGGGTTACAGGCGTGAGCCACCATGCCCAATCAACTTAATTTTTGTATAAGGTGTAAGGAAGGAGTCCAGTTTCAATTTTCTGCATATGGCTAGCCAGTTCTCCCAGGTCCATTTATTAAATAGGGAATCCTTTCCCCATTGCTTGTTTGTGTCAGATTTGTTGAAGATCAGATGGTTGTAGGTGTGTGGTCTTATTTCTGAGTTCTCTATTCTGTTCTATTGGTCTATGTGTCTGTTCTTGTACCAGTACCATGCTGTTTTGGTTACTGTAGCCTTGTAGTATAGTTTGAAGTTGGGTAGCATGATGCTTCCAGCTTTGTTCTTTTCTCTTAGGATGGTTGTGGCTATTTGAACTGTTTTTTGGTTCCATATGATTTTTTTTTTGCCTCAGTTTCCTTATTTATTTATTTATTTGTTTATTTTTTATTATTATACTTTAAGTTTTAGGGTACATGTGCACAATGTGCAGGTTAGTTACATATGTATACATGTGCCTTGCTGGTGCGCTGCACCCACCAACTCATCATCTAGCATTAGGTATATCTCCCAGTGCTATCCCTCCCCCCTCCCCCGACCCCACAACAGTACCCAGAGTGTGATAGTTTTTTTTTTCTAATTCTGTGAAGAATGTCAATGGTAGTTTAATGGAAATAGCATTGAATCAATCTATAAATTGCTTTGGGCAGTATGGCCATTTTCATGATATTGATTCTATTTATGAACATGGAATATTTTTCAATTGTTTGTGTCCTCCCTAATTTTCTTGAGCACTGATTTGTAGTACTCCTTGAAGAGGTCCTTCACTTCCCTTGTTAGCTGTATTCCTAGGTATTTTATTCTCTTTGTAGCAACTGTGAGTGGGAGTTCATTCATGATTTCACTCTCTGCTTTTCTGTTGTTGGTGTAGGAGTGCTAGTTATTTTTGCATATTGATTTTGTATCCTGAGACATTGCTGAAGTTGCATATTAGCTTAAGGAGCTTTTGGGCTGAGAGGATGAAGTTTTCTAGGTATAGGATCATGTCATCTGCAAACAAAGACAATTTGACTTCCTCTCTTTCTATTTGAATTCCCTTTATTTTTTTATTTTGCCTTATTGTCCTGGCCAGAACTTGCAATACTATGTTGAATAGGAATGGTGAGAGAGGGAATGCTTGTCTTGTGCCAGTTTATAAGGGGAATGCTTCCAGCTTTTGCCCATTCAGTATGACATTGGCTTTGGGTTTTCCATAGATGGTTCTTATTATTTTGAGGTATGTTCATTCTTTCTACCTAGTTTACTGAGAGATTTTAACATGAAAATTTTTTCAAAGGATTTTTCTGCATCTATTGAGATAATCATGTGGTTTTTGTCTTTAGTTCTGTTTATGTGATGAATCACATTTATTGATTTGTGTGTGTTGAACCAACCTTGCATCCTGGGGACGAAGCCAACTTGATCATAGTGGATAAGCTTTTTGATGTACAGCTGGATTCAGTTTGCCAGTATTTTATTGAGGATTTTTGCATCGATGTTCATCAGAGATATTGGCCTGAAGTTTTCTTTTTTTGTTGTATCTCTGCTGGGTTTTGGTATCAGGATGACGCTGGGTTCATAAAATGAATTGGGGAGGAGTCCCTTCTTTTCAATTGTTTGGAATAGTTTCAGTAAAAATGGTACCAGCTCTTCTTTCTACCTCTGGTAGAATGTTAGCTGTAAATTCTTCTGGTCCTGGGCTCTTTTTGGTTGATAGGCTATTCATTAGTTCTGCCTCCATTTCAGAACTCATTTATTTGTTTATTCAGGGATTCAATTTCTTCCTGGTTCAGTCTTGGAAGGGTGTTATGTGTCCAGGAATTTATCCATTTCTTCTAGATTTTCTAGTTTACGTGCATAGAGGTGTTTACAGTATTCTCTGATGGTTGTTTGTATTTCTGTGGGTTCAGTGGTGATATCCCCCTTATCATTTCTGATTGTATCTATTTGATTCTTCTCTCTTTTCTTCTTTACTAGTCTAGCTAGTGGTTTATCTATTATATTAATTTTTTCAAAAAAGCAGCTCCTGGATTCATTGATTTTTTGAAGGTTTTTTTGTGTGTCTCTATCTCCTTCAGTTCTGCTCTGATCTTGGTTATTTCTTGTCTTCTGCTAGCTTTGGGGTTCGGTTACTCTTGGTTCTCTTGTTCTTTTAGTTGGCATGTTAGGTTTTTGATTTGAGATATTTCTAGCTTTTTGATGTGGCCATTTAATCCTATGAATTTCTCTCTTAACATGGCTTTACCTGCATCCCATAGATTCCGGTACGTTGTCTCTTTGTTCTCATTAGTTTCAAAGAACTTCTTGATATCTGGCTTAATTTCATTATTTACCCAGGAGTCCTTTGGGAGCAGGTTGTTCAATGCTTATGTAGTTGTGCAGTTTTAAGTGAGTTTCTGAATTTTGAGTTCTAATTTGATTGTGCTGTGGTTTGAGAGACTGTTTGTTATGATTACAGTTCTTTTGCATTTGCTGAGGAGTGTTTTACTTTTGATTATGTGATTGATTTTAGAGTAAGTACTGTGTGGCGATGAGAAGAATGTATATTCTCTTGATTTTGGGTGGAGATTTCTGTAGATATCTATCAGGTCCACTTGATCCAGAGCTGAGTTCAAGTCCTGTATATCTTTGTTAATTTTCTGTCTCAATGATTTGTCTAATATTGTCAGTGGGGTGTTAAAGTCTCCCACTATTATTGTGTGGGAGTCTAAGTCTCTTTGTAGGTCTCTAAGAACCTGCTTTATGAATCTGGGTACTCCTGTATCGGGTGCTTATGTATTTAGGATAGTTAGCTCTTCTTATTGAATTGAACCCTTTACCATTATGTAATGCCCTTCTTTGTCTTTTTTGATCTTTGTTGGTTTAAAGTCTGTTTTGTAAGAAACTAGGATTGCAACTCCAACTTTTTTCTGTTTTTCATTTGCTTGATAAATTTTTCTTCATCTCCTCCTTTTTTTTTTTTTGGAGACAGGAGTCTCACTCTGTTGCCCAGGCTGGAGTGCCATGGCATGATTTCGGCTCACTGCAACCTCTGCCTCCCAGGTTCAAGAGATTCTCTTGCCTCAGCCTCCCAAGTAGCTGGGATTACAGGCACACATCACCATGCTTGGCTAATTTTTTGTGTTTTCAGTAGAGACAGGATTTCACTATGTTGGCCAGGCTGGTCTTGAACTCTTGACCTCAAGTGACCTGCCCACCTTGGTCTCCCAAAGTGCTTGAGTGATTACAGGCTTGAGTGATTGCTCCCAGCCATCCCTTTATTTTGAGCCTATGTGTCTTTGCATGGGAGATGGGTATCTTGAAGGCAGTATACCAGTGGGTTTTGACTCTTTATTCATCTTGTCATTTGTGTCTTTTAATTTGGGCATTTAGCCTATTTACATTTAGCCGATTTACATTTAAAATTAATGTTGTTCTGTGTGAATTTGATCCTGTCATCATGATTCTAGCTGGTTATTTTGCAGACTTTTTTATGTGGTTGCTTCATAGTGTTACTGATCTGTGTACTTCAATGTGTTTTGGTAGTGGCTGATAATTGTTTTTCATTTCCATATTTAATGCTTCCTTCAGGAGCTCTTGTAAGGCAGGCCTGGTGGTGATGTATTCCCTCAGCATTTGCTTGTCTGAAAAGGATCTTATTTCTCTTTTGTTTATGAAGCTTAGTTTGGCTAAATATGAAATTCTGGGTTGAAAATTCTTTTCTATAAGAATGTTGAATATTGGCCCCCAATCTCTTCTGGCTTGCAAGGTTCCACTGAAAAGTCTGCTGTTATTCTGATGGGCTTCCTTTTGTAGGTGACCTGGCCTTTCCATCTGACTGCCTTAACATTTTTTTTTTTTTACTTTCAGTTTGACCTTGGAGAATCTGATGATTGGGTGTCTTGGGGCTGAACTTCTCATGGAGTATCTTACTGGGGTTCTCTGGATTTCCTGAATTTGAATGTTGGTCTGTCTTGCTAGGTTGAGGAAGTTCTGGATGACATCCTGAAGTATGTTTTCCAACTTGGTTCTGTTCTCCCCATCTCTTTCAGGTATCTTAATCAGTTGTAAGTTCAGTCTTTTAATATAATCCCGTATTTCTCAGAGGTTTTGTTAATTCCTTTTCCTTCTTTTTTCTCTGTTCTTGCCTGAATGTCTTATTTCAGAAAGACAGTCTTCAAGCTCTGATATTTTTTCCTCCTCTTGGTCTGTTCTGCTATTGATACTTGTGATTGCATTGTGAATTTCTTGTGTTGTGTTTTTCACCTCCATCAGGTCAGTTATGATCCTTTATAAACTGGCTATTCTGGTTAACTGCTCCTGTATTGTTTTATTATGATTGTTAGCTTCTTTGCATTGGGTTAGAACATTCTCCTTTAGCTCAACAAAGTTTTTTATTACCCACCTTCTGAAGACTACTTCTGTCATTTCAGCCATCTCTGCCTCAGCCCAGTTCTGTGCCCTTGCTGGGAGATATTGGGGTCATTTGGAGGAGCAGAGACATTCTGGCTTTTTAAGTTTTCAGTGTTTTTGCATTGATTTTTCTCATCTTTGTGGGCTATCTACCTTTGATCTTTGAGGTTGCTGACCTTTGAATGGGGTTTTTGTGGGGCCTTTTTTGTTGATGTTATTTTGATGTTATTGTTGTGGCTTTCTGTTTGTTTTTCCTTTTAACAGTCAGGCCACTCTTTCATAGGGCTGCTGCAGTTTGCTGGGGGTTCACTCCAGACCCTAGTTGCCTCAGTCTCTCCCACACCTGGAGGTATCACCAGTGAAGGCTAGGAAACAGCAAAGATGGAAACCTGCTTCTTCCTCTGTGAGCTCCATCCCAGGAGGGCACTGACCTTATACTAGCCCATATACTCCTGTAGGTGATATCTGTAGGAGGTCTCACCCAGTCAGGAGGAATGGGATCATCAGGGACCCGCTTAAAGAAGCAGTCTGGCTGTCCCTTCACAGAGCAGATGTGCTGTGTTTGGGGGAGCCCTCCTCATCGAGACCACCCAGACTCTCTAGAGCCAGCAGGCTGGAAAGGCATAGTCGGCTGAACCACAGAGACTATGGCCATCCCTTCCCCCTGGAAGCTTCATCCCAGAGAGAGATCAGAGTTCTGGTCTGGACTACCTGGAGTCTCCAGAGACAGCAGGCTAGAATGGCCAACTTGAAGCACAGAGATGTGGCCGCTCCTTCCCCAAGGAACTTAGTCCGTCTCAGTCAGTCTCCAGCCTGCTGCTACTGGCTGGCTCGAATTCCAAGCCAGTGGGTCTTAACTTGAGAGGTGCTGTGGAAGTCGGGCCTGCAGAACAACACTACTTGGCTCCCTGGATTCAGCCCCCTTCCTACAGGAATGCATGAATGGATCTCCCGCCTGGCAGGAATTCCTGGGGCTAGGGTATTCAAAACTCCTGGGTGTCCATAGTATGCCCAAATGGCTGCTTCCCTGAGGCTCCACACTCTCTGTGCTTTGGACCCAAGGCCCTGGTGACATGGGCTCATGAGGGGATCTCCTGATCCATGGGTTGCAAAGAGCCATGAGAAAAGCACGGTTTTCAAGGTAGGGCTGCACAATCACTCATCACTTCCCTTAGCTGGGGATGTGGGCTTCCCTGGCTCCATGCCACTCCTGGGTGGGCCATCACCCCACCTTGCTTTTCCTTGCTCTCCGTGGGTCAAGCCGTCTGCCTAGTCAGTCCCAGTGTAATAACCTGGATACCTCAGTTGAAAGTGTAGAATTTGCTTGCCGTTTTCATTCCTTTCCATGAGAGCTGGGGACTGTAGCTGCCTCTAATCAGCCATCTTGGTCCTACCCGCTTCAATGAAAACACTTTTATTTTGTCTTAATGAGAGGTGACAGCTTGCTGGCAGTCCTCAGAGCCCTCGCTTGCTCTCGGTGCCTCCTCTGCCTGGGCTCCCACTTTGGCAGCACTTGAGGAGCCCTTTGGCCCACCGCTGCACTGTGGGAGCCCCTTTCTGGGCTGGCCAAGGCCAGAGCTGGCTCCCTCAGCTTGCAGGGAGGTGTGGAGGGAGAGGCGCGAGTGGGAACTGGGGCTGCGCGCAGCGCTTGCGGGCCAGCTGGAGTTCCGGGTGGGCGTGGGCTTGGCGGGCCCCGCACTCGGAGCAGCGGGCCGGCCCTGCCGACCCCAGGCAGTGAGGGGCTTAGCACCTGGGCCAGCGGCTGCAGAGGGTGTACTGGGTCCCCCAGCAGTGCCAGCCCACGGGTGCTGTGCTCGATTTCTCGCCGGGCCTTAGCTGCCTTCCCATGGGGCAGGCCTCCGGACTGCAGCCCGCCATGCCTAAGCCTCCCCCGCCTCAGCCTCCCCTGCCTCTGTGGGCTCCTTTGCGGCCCGAGCCTCCCTGACGAGCGCTGCCCCCTGCTCCACGGCGCCCAGTCCCATCGACCACCCGAGGGCTGAGGAGTACGAGCACATGGCGCGGGACTGGCAGGCAGCTCCACCTGCAGCCCTGGTGCGGGATCCACTGGATGAAGCCAGCTGGGCTCCTGAGTCTGGTGGGGAGGTGGAGAGTCTTTATGTCTAGCTCAGGGATTGTAAATACACCAATTGGCACTCTGTATCTAGCTCAAGGTTTGTAAACACACCAATCAGCACCCTGTGTCTAGCTCAGGGTTTGTGAGTGCACCAATTGACACTCTGTATCTAGCTGCTCTGGTGGGGCCTTGGAGAACCTTTATGTCTAGCTCAGGGATTGTAAATACACCAATTGGCACTCTGTATCTAGCTCAAGGTTTGTAAACACGCCAATCAGCACCCTCTGTCTAGCTCAGGGTTTGTGAGTGCACCAATCGACACTCTGTATCTAGCTGCTCTGGTGGGGCCTTGGAGAACCTGTGAGTCCATACTCTGTGTCTAACTAATCTGATGGGGAGGTGGAGAACCTTTGTATCTAGCTCAGGGATTGTAAACGCACCAATCAGCACCCTGTCAAAACAGGCCACTTGGCTCTACCAATCAGCAGGATGTGGGTGGGGCCAGATAAGAGAATAAAAGCAGGCTGCCCTAGCCAGCAGTGGCAACCCGCTTGGGTCCTTTTCCACACTGTGGAAGCTTTGTTCTTTCACTCTTTGCAATAAATCTTGCTACTGCTCACTCTTTGGGTCCACACTGCTTTTATGAGCTGTAACACTCACCGCGAAGATCCGCAGCTTCTCTCCTGAAGCCAGCGAGCCCATGAGCCCACCAGGAGGAACGAACAACTCCAGACGTGCCGTCTTAAGAACTGTAACACTCACTGCGAACGTCTGCAGCTTCACTCCTGAGCCAGCGAGACCACGAACCCACCAGAAGGAAGAAACTCTGAACACATCCAAACGTCAGAAGGAACAAACTCCAGACACGCCACCTTAAGAGCTGTAACACTCACTGCGAGGCTCCGCGGCTTCATTCTTGAAGTCAGTGAGACCAAGAACCCACCAATTCCGGACACATTAACATTTGATTGATAATTGGGCTAGGTATAGAATCTTTGTCCTAACATCTTCCTACCTCAGCATTTTGAAGACTAATGTATCATATTTTTGCCAAGTCATTATGAAGTGAAAAGATGGCAAGGAAATTCAGGGTGTATGTAAAGGAATTTGAACTGATGAGTGAAAGAGAGAAGTTAGTAAGGAAGTTAGGAACAGTGAAAATGTGGTTGGAACCATGAGTTAGATGTGCTGGCTGGTTCATGAATTGTTGGAGGTGCTAGAGGAGTAATCAGGAAAAAATGCAGATGATCAGTCTGTGAGATGAAGTTACTAAGATGATGGAGGGGTGGCAGTTATTGATAAAGATCTGTTGACAAGGGCTAGAGTGTGAAACATAAGAATGAGTGGCTGAGGCAAGGCATACGATAAAATTGTGGGAGGAGATAAATTCAAGGAAGTGTAAAACACAATTTTTATACTTACACTTTTACAAAGCCACAATAATTTTGAAGAACGACAAAGTTGAGGGACATATTATAGTTTATATCAAGACATTATAAACACTTAGTAATTAAGACAGAGACAGGTGCAGTGATAGACCAATAGACCAGAGAGTTCAGAAACAAAAAAATGTATAGGCATACACTAAATTTTTTACAAAGGCGACACTGTAGTGCACTGGTTAGCAGATGGGCTTTTTGATAAAAGAAACTCTACTTTGACTTGATGCTATTTGAAAGACAGAATATAAATAGATTATAGCTCTATATGTGCAAGTTAAACAGTAAAGCTCTGGAAGATTAAAAAAAGGAACAAAGATTCATGACTATGTGAGTAGAGAAAGATTGTTTTTTCTTTTATTTCAAATTCATTTATTTTTTAAATTGACATATAAAATTGTCTGCCTTTACCATGCACAACATGATGTTTTGAAGACTGTATACATTATAAAATGGTTAAATCTAGCTAACAAATGCATTGCCTCACATACTTATCATTTTTACGGTGAGAATGCTTAACATTCACTCTCTCAGCATTTTTCAAGAATACAATTTATCATCATTAACTGTAGTTACCAAGCGGTACAATAGAACTCCTGAATGTATTCTTCCTTTCTGTCTTTAAATATCCATTCTTTGACCAACATCTCCCAGAAGAGGATTATTTTGAATTCTTTGTCAGTCATTTCATAAATATCCTTTCTTCTGGGTACACTGCAGGAGCTTTATTAGTTTCTTTCTGTGATGTCATATTTTCCTGATTTTTCGTAATCCTTGTGTCCCTATGCATTTGAGGAGATGTTCACGTCTTCTAGCTTTTGCAGGTGTTCTTTTCTGGTAACAGACCTTTACTTTTACTGTAACCTGGGATTCTGGATGCCATTGGTTACAACCGTGGACAGGCAGACCTTGGTGTTGGGTTCTCTAGTTGGGCTTGGTTGCTTCCCGTACTCTGAGGTCAAATGGTATAGTTGGCTGTGCTCCGTGGTCTAGTGAGACCACTGGCTGGACTCTAACATCAGGTGGGGATACTGGCTGGGTTCTGTGATTGTTTCTGATGGAGCAGTATTGTAGGTTGTCTTCCCTGGCTAGGCAGTATTTTTGTATGTTTGGAATCTGTATCGTGTTTCCTGCAGCATGATGCTGTTGGCTAGTCTTTCTGGCGTGGCACCTCCATTGGCCAGAATGAAGAGCAACCCCAAAGAATCATGTGCTGATCACTGTGAGCCCCACCACTATTTTTCATCTCCAACTGACCCAGATGGCTTAGCCCTACCAGCACTCCCAGTGGTTCCTGTGTGATGAGACAGGAGTGAGCCTCTCACAAATGGTCCCAGAATGGTGGGGAAGTTAAATGTCTGCCTCTAATTCACCCCTACCATACCAGAAACCTTAGGCCCAGAGTAACTCTGCATGCAGTGCCGCACCAGCCTGGGGCTATTCCCAATATAGTATATTCCCAATATAGTATAGTAAGTCACCACAGCCTCTGCCAGCTAGTATGCAGCAACTTATCTAGCAATTCCCATCCCATCTTTCCTCATCATCACTCACTCTGTTCTCAGACTCAAGCCTAATGGCTATGGGGGAAATGGCACCAAGTTTTGGCTGCTGCTTTAGGATATTTAAAAAATCATTAGTGACATCCTTCCTACCTCTCTGGATGTTGTTCCTTAGCTGGTGCCACAACTGAATCTTTAGCCAGCCATTACAGTCTTGTATTAAGCCAGTTGCTTCTGTGTTACAGGACATGTGATAAGTAAATCTTGTAGTAATGAACCCATTTCTATAAATACTAGGCCACAAAATGTGACCCTGGTCAGAAACAATAGTGTGTGGTGATGTAGAAGACATTCTTTAAGCGCAGGAATGTCGTGCTTCAGAATCACTGCAGACAGGCAAGGAAAATCCATACCTGGGATACACGAGGACAAATCGTTCCTCCTTCAATGAATGAGCAGTCCACTGTAATAAACCTATCTCCAGTTTACTGGCTAATCCAACAGGGGCATAGTGCTATGGTGGAGGCTTATCACTGGCTTCTGTTGATGGCAGGTAGAGTGCTCGAGCTGTTTAGAAAGGCAGATCGGTTTCAGATGATAATTTACAGTCATTATCTATCTTTTGCTTTTGCACCAGGCAAACAAACAAGTTAAATGATTATGTGACATGTATCATTACTCCTACAATTTCAAACTTTAATGGCAACACTAATATAAGTAGTATGCAATTCCCCAAGGGATGCCATATTACTCTTGATTTATCATCTTGGGAGCAGTTCCAGGCACTTCCTCTTGGCCCTCCCTATCATAACATGTCTCACTCCATTGGTCAGCAGACAATATGTGCTAGTATTTCTATTCCAGCCATAATTCTGGGATTTGGAAAATAATAGTAGGACATATCTGAAGTTCTTTTGGATTTACTGTTAGATGAACTTGAAACAAGTTTCTTCTGACTACCTGACCTCCATAAGCCTGCACTTAGACCAGTAGACTAAGGTGGTATTCAGTTTTTCAGGGTAACTTTAGTTCTGACTCAGAAACCAATAAGCCCCAGAAGTCCTAGCTATTTTCTTTTCCTGTGTGCACAGTTATTCTAGTGAATAGCTACAGGTCCCTCTGTGGAAGGCTTGGGGGAATAGTCAGTTTCATCTGTATGGCAGGTTCCTGACTTAGTTGTGAATCCCTGAGGTTGTGAATTGGTTTAGTTCTGGGAATCTGCATCACAGCAACTCATGTTAAGTTTTTGCCACCAGACCTAGAATGTCAAGAAAATCTTCAGTATGATGCTCATATATTTTATTTTTAGGGTCCCTGAAATAATTATCATAATCCCTGTAGGTCAAAGCAGCTTTGATAATCTGTAAGCCCCTTTAGCCTATGGTGGTAATTGCACCCACCTTGTCTCAGTTAAGCTGTGCCGCATGGCCTGTAACACTCCTGGTCCCAATGCTCCTGTTGGGGCTGGGCGTGGTGGCTCATGCCTCTAATCCCAGCACTTTGGGAGGCTGAGGCAGGTGGATCACTTGAGGGTCAGGAGTTCGAGACCAGCCTGGGCAACATGGCAAAACCCAGTCTGTACTAAAAATACAAAAATTAGCCAGGCATAGTGGTGGGTGCCTGTAATCTCAGCTATTCGAGAGGCTGAGGCAGGAGAATCACTTGAACCCAGGAGGTGGAGGTTGCAGTGAGCCAAGATCATGCCATTGCACTCCAACCTAGGCAACACGAGTGAAACTCCATCTCAAAAAAAAAAAAAAATTCCAACTGGTTTCAGAGAACCAAGATCCATTGCACTATGCTACTGTCATCTCCAGTCTACAAAAAAAAAACAAAAAACAAAAAACAAACAAACAAACAAAAAAACAGCAGAGATTTTTGACGATATTGGTGTGTCTTTCAGCAAAGCATTTCCAAGTGTCTTGAAGGAAATATCCTCCCAGCTCTCTTTGAATGTTTGATCAAGGGTAGTTTCCCAACAGGTTTCACACAGTAGATTCATTCAATATTACCATATTCCTGAAACTCAGCACTTTTTCACCATACAGTATGCCAGGAAAGCTCTAGTATTTTGACCTTACTGACAGTAGGCTCCCATTAAGTCTAATTTCAGTTAACATGACTCCTGCTTTTACTTGGCACATTAAATACAAAATCCCAGGTGAGTCATGAATTACAATAAATTTGTTCCAGTCCAGCCTTCTATTTCATACTGTCTGATCAATCCCTTTCAAAGTATAAATTATCCCCTTCCAGAGCAGTACATTGATACTTCTCCTTCAAGACCATGTTGATAATTAATTCTTGATTTGGACCTAGAGGCAATGTGGGGTAGTGAGACTAATGTTCCAGCTATCGTCATTAAAACTTTTTTTTTTTTTTAAATGCAGGGGCTCTCTCATTGTTTGGAGAGGGCTTCCTCTGCTGGCAAGGGAAGTAAAGAGATGTTATTCCAATTGTTCGCCTCCCAAGTTTCAGATTCTAATGCTTTTCCCACCAAATCTGGTAGGTTCCAGCTTGGTCCTCAGCCATGTCAATCCATGACTACAGATGAGTTACTTCATTGCTGCTGCAGAGGCTTTCTGATTCCGTTTGCATTTTCCATTGCTCATTTGCAGCGTTCCCTTTCTGTTCTTCATTATGTGCATCCTTTAGGGCTGTTATAAGAAATTAATTGACTGCAAAATCTTTATTATCCCTATTGTCACCATAGCAATTAAATGTCTTTATCTTCCTCCTCCTGCATCATATCCTATGCCAGCTTTGGTGATAATTTGAGAAATCATGATGTCATTGCATACCATGAATTACCAATGCCCCATTTCTTTTTCGCAAGGAGGTTATCTGTGTTAAATATATAAACAGCCTAATCCAATAGTGCAATCTGAAGGATCTGTTTTCTGTGGCTTCTTTTCATACCAGTCACTGTGTCAATGAAGTTCCTAGTAGGCAGCAGGGTGAGCACTTAAATTGGGTAATTTGGTTAGTGGCCATTTCATGAGCTGGAGGTTAGGGGAGATTATACGGATTATCCAAAATGAGTATTAGAGCTCTTGTAAAAAGTTAGATGAGTTGAAGATTATGGTCCATATAACCAACAGTGTAATGTAGATTTTCTTTATCAAAACAATTTTTTTATATATTGATACTAACTACCTAAGAATTATGTTAGGTGTTCAGTTGTTAAATTATCACAAAGCTTGGCATACACTCAATGTGCTTCTATCTCAGTAAAACTTCATAAGAAGAGCTTCAGCTTCTCACCTGTTCAAGGATCCATATCTCCCTAATTCTTTAGCATTTGATAAAATAATAAAATATTCATAATTAGAAAATTATTTTTACCACCCTTTAGAGAATTATCTTTCCTTAGAATTTTCTTTGTTGTTATTATAGTACCCCAAGGAGATAACTCTGGAGGCATTTGCAGTTATTGTCACCCAGATGCTGGCACTCAGTCTGGGAATATCATATGACGACCCAAAGAAATGTCAATGTTCAGAATCCACCTGTATAATGAATCCAGAAGTTGTGTAAGTTTTAACAATTTATTTATTGCTTATGTTTATTTCATTTTAAATATTCAGAGTGTGAAAATTTAGTATTTACTTAAAGCACAAATTAGCTATCAATGGACCAAATTCACCAAGTATAAACATGTAATTTTAAATGTAAAAGTAGTATAAAGTATAAACTAAAGATAATCAAAGATAACAAATCCAATCTGAAAGATATATTAGCCAAAGAATATGAAAGCACTTAGTATGGATTTTTTTTTGAGATGGAGTCTCGCTCTTTCGCCCAGGCCAGACTGCAGTGGCGCTGTCTCGGCTCACTGCAAGCTCTGCCTCCCGGGTTCACACCATTCTCCTGCCTCGGCCTCCCGAGTAGCTGGGACTGCAGGCACCCGCCACCGTGCCCAGCTTATTTTTTGTATTTTTAGTAGAGACCGGGTTTCACCATGTTAGCCAGGATGGTCTCGATCTCCTGACCTCATGATCCGCCCGCCTCGGCCTCCCAAAGTGCTGGGATTACAGGCGTGAGCCACCGCGCCCGGCCAGGATCTTTAAAAATATGTCAGCAGAACATAATAAGTGGCCTTTGTTTTAGACAAGGTGTTTTTGGTTTTGCTTTTAGAATTGTTTGATTTTATGAAAAAAAACCCCTAACATCCAAAAGAGTAAGAAGTCCTAGTTGGAGACCAAAATATATATATATATATGTTTGTGTGACTTTGGATAAATTACTTGACTTTGCCTAAGTTTACTTTTCTCATCTTTAAATGGGAATAATTATGCCTATTCTTTTATTTCACAGGGTGATGTAAGAATAAAAGAAAAAATGAAATAGGAAAGGGTTTTCTAAACTGTAGAATTCTATAAGTATGTGATTGATTAGCTACAGTGATTTCTAAACTTATTAATCTTCCCCAGATGATATATCAGACAAGAACTACAGCAGGTGTCATTAGCATTTTGTAGTTTTTCTGTTTGCAAATATGGCCTATGACGTGGGTAACCTATCATAGGTTAAAAGGTCAAAGGTCAAAAGTGAAAATAAGACATTAAATTTTGAAAACATTATTTTTATGGGTACTCCTAAGCACCTTTTAAGGGTTAACTCTTATGTTCTAAAAACAACTCAAACTCAACATATATACCCACAAAAATAGCTCAAACTCAACATATTTTATATGTGTATACACATGCAATTATATTACAAATTAGCTCTGAAAGGAATGTGTGTATATATGTACATATACACACACAAACACACATAATCACACATATCCATATATGTATATATATAATTGATATGCATATGTCCATATAGATGGATAAATGGAATCTGTCTATCTATCTGTCTGTCTGTCTGTCTGTCTATCTATCTATCTATCCATCCATCTATCACAACAACATAAGAATAATTATTTTGGGCTCATTGTTCATATGGCCAGCTATTCTCAAGTATGCTAGGACAATGTTTTGTGTAGGTCACCCAGAGCCTAAGATTAATGATAATAAGATGAACAAATATTTACATTGTACTTACTATGTTCTAGAGACCATTCCAAGCACTTTACATATATTAACTTACTTGATTCTCACAATATCTCTACAGGGCAGTTCCTATTATTCCCATTTTTACAGATGAGAGGCTAAGTTATAAAAAGGATAATTACTTATGGTCAGATGGCTAGTTTGTGGCAGACTTGGGTTTTGAGCCTGTATTAGTAAACCTTTAAGTTCATGTGGTACTTTATATTTAAAATGCTTTCATATATAATCTCCAATTTCTTACAAATCTCTGGTGTATGAGTAGAGTATTATATTAATTTTTACAAAATCTAATAATAGCAGACGTGTAACTCTTTTGCATATCCACAGTACATCTCACACATTATGTTAGTTCTCAAAGAAAGCATGTAATTAGTTACATATTTCAATTTAATGTGTTTATTAAAAAGCCCTGGAGTATAAGTAGCTGAAGTGATCTACATTTACTAGATATACAGTTAATTAGTGTACACACTTTAGCAGGTGCCAGTAATACTAGCAGTGATTTACTGTGTACCTATTAAAAGCCAGATAATTGAATTAGACACTTCACTTATTTAATTATACTTAATTCTCACAGCCTCACCTATCTATGAGGTAGATAGGCATTATCCCTATTATGCAGATGAAAATACTAAGACTTAGATAATTTAATCACTTTGCCTAAGGCCTCATAAGTCATAGGGTTGGTATTAGTCAACAAGTTTATCTAATTTCAAAGCCTTGTTTCATTCTCTAGTCTACACTTCCTTCATGTAGAAGACTTAATATATTGGCATTCGCTTAAACTAAGTAGCAAGAGAATATTCATATGTATTTGTTCAAAATTCACTTTTATACTTAAGCGCTCCTTCCATTATATCATTTTTTTTGGGGTAAAACTGTGTCTAAATGTATTATTATTATTGAAAAAATTCTATTGATATATAATAATTGTACATATTTATTTGGTACACGTGATATTTTCATATCTGTATACGTGTGTGATGATCAAATCAGGGTATTTAGAATATCCGTCCTCTCAAACATTTATCATTTATTTGTGTTGAAAACATCAAATCTCCTCTTCTAGCTATTTTGAAATATACAATAAATTACCATTAATTACAGTCACCCTACTTTGCTATTGAACACTAGAACTTATTCTTTCTATCTAACTGTGTCTACTTATTAACCAACCTCTCTTCATTCCCCTACCCACTCTTCCCAGTCTCTGGAAAGCATTATTCTACTCTATATCTTTTTTTTTTGAGATGGAGTCTCGCTCTGTTGCCCAGGCTGGAGTGCGGTGGCGCGATCTCGGCTCACTGCAAGCTTCGGCTCACTGCAAGCTCTGCCTCCTGGGTGCACGCCATTCTCCTGCCTCAGCCTCCCGAGCAGCTGGAACTATAGGCGCCAGCCACCACGCCTGGCTAATTTTGTTTTTGTATTTTTAGTAGAGACGAGATTTCACCATGTTAGCCAGGATGGTCTCGATCTCCTGACCTCGTGATCCGCCTGCCTTGGCCTCCGAAAGTGTCTACTCTATATCTTTATGAGTTAAACTTTTAAAGTCCTGCACATGATTGAGAATTGTGATATTTACCTTTCTGTGCCTGGCTTTTTTCACTTAACATAATGACCTTCTGTTCCATTCATGTTGTTACAAATGAAAAAGTTTACTTCTTTTCTATGGCTGAATAGTATTCCATTGTGATGTATACCACATTTTCTTTATCCATTCATCCACTGATTCACACTTAGGTTTATTCCATGTTTTGGCTATTGTGAATAGTGCTGCAATAAACATGAAGGTTCAGGTATCTTTCTAATATACTGATTTCCTTTACTTTGGATAAATACCAAGTACAAAGATTGCTAGTTTGTATTGTAGTTCTAGTTCTAGTTTTTTGAGAAACCTCCACAATACTTCCTATCATGGCTGTATGAATTTACATTCCCACTGACAGCGTATGAGTTGCCTTTTCTCAACATCATCACCAGTATTTGTTAGTTTTTATGTTGTTTGATAATAACCATTCTAACTGGGGCAAGATGATATCTCATGGCGGTGTTGATTTAAAAATTTCCAATGATTACTGATGCTGAATATTTTTTCGTGTCAGAAAAGAGAGCAGTTTGGCAATTTGTATGTCTTCCTTTGAGAAATGTCTGTTCAAATCCTTTGCCCACTTTTAAGTGAGATTTACTTGTGTGTGCGTTTTTAAATTTTTATTTTAGGTTCAGGTGTACCTGTGCAGTTTGTTATATAGGTACACTTGAGTCATGGGGGTTTGTTGTACAGATTATTTTGCCACCCATGTACTAAGCCTAGTACCCAATAGTTTTTTTCTGATCCTCTCCCTCCTCCCACCTTCCACCCTCAAGTAGGACCCAGTGTCTATTGTTCCTCTGTATGTGTCTATGTGTTCTCATCCTTTAGCTCCCAAATATGTGGTATTTAGTTTTCTGTTCCTGTGTTAGTTTGCTAAAGATAATGGCCTCCAGCTCCATCCATCGTCCTGCAAAAAACATGATCTCATTCTTTTTATGGTTACATAGTATTCCGTGGTGTGCGTGTACCACATTGTCTTCATCTAGTCTACCACTGATGAGCATTTAGGTTAACTTCATGTCTTTGCTGTTGTGAATAGTGCTGCAATGAACATATACATGCATGAGTCTTTATGATAGAACGATTTATATTCCTTTGGGTATATATCCAGTAGTCACATTGCTGGGTTGAATGGTCATTCTATTTTTAGCTTTTTGAGGAATCAACACACGTTTTCTACAATGGTTGAACTAATTTACACTCCCACCAACAGTGTATAAGTGTTCCTTTTTCTCCACAACCTCACCAGCATCTGTTATTGTTTGACTTTTTAATAATAACCATTCTGATTGGTATGAGACGGTATCTCATTGTAGTTTTGATGTGCATTTCTCAAATAATCAATGGTATGGAGCTTTTTTTCATATGCTTGTTTGCTGCATGTATGTCTTCTTTTAAAAAGTGCCTATTCATGTCCTTTGCCCACTTTTTAATAGGGTTGTTTTTTCTTGTAAATTTGTTTAGGTTCCTTATAGATGCTGGATATTAGACCTTTATCAGATACATAGTTTGAAAATATTTTCTCCTGTTCTGTAAGCTGTTTGTTTACTCTGTTGATAGTTTCTTTTGCTGTGCAGAAGCTCTTTAGTTTTAATCAGATCTCATTTGTCAGTTTTTGTTTTTGTTGTAATTGCTTTTGGAGTCTTCATCATGAAATGTTTCCAGTTCCTATGTACAGAATGATTATTGCCTAGGCTGTCTTCCAGGTTTTTTACATTTTGGGCTTTACATTTAAGTCTTTAATCAATCTTGAGTTGATTTATGTATATGATGTAAAGAAGGAGTGTCAGCAGGAATGGTACCAGGTCTTCTTTGTACATCTGGTAGAATTTGGCTGTGACTCTGTCTGGTCTTGGGTTTTCTCTTTTGGTTAGTTGGCTATTTATTATTGAATCAATTCCAGAACTTGTTTTTGGTCCGTTCAGGGATTTAATTTCTTGCTAGTTCAGTCTTAGGAGATTGTATGTGTCCCAGAATTTATTCATTTCTTCTAGATTTCCTAGCTTGTGTGCATAGAGGTGTTTGTAGTAGTCTGTGATGGTTATTTGCATTTCTGTGGGGTCAGTGTAACATCCCCTTTGTCATTTCTAACCTTTACCATTATGTAATGCCCTTCTTTGTCTTTTTTTATCTTTGTCGGTTTAAAGTCTGTTTGCCTGAAATTAGGACTGCAACACCTGCTTTTTTCTGTTCTCCATTTGCTTGGTAGATTTTTCTCCATTCTTTTATTTTGAGCCTATGGATGTGATTGTATGTGAGATGGTTTTCTTGAAGACAGCATATCATTGGGTCTTATTTCTTTTTCTAGCTTACCACTCCATGCCTTTTAATTGGGGCATGTAGCCTGTTTACATTAAGGGTCAATATAAATATGTGTGAATTTGATCCTGCCATCATGTTGTTAGCTGGTTATTTTGCAGACTTGTTTGTGTGGTTGCTTTATAGTGTCATTGCTCTGTGTATTTCAGTGTGTTTTTGTAGTGGCTGGTAACGGTCTTTTCTTTCCACATTTAGTGCTTCTCTCAGGAGCTCTTGTAAGGCACATCTGATAGTAACTAATGCCCTCAGCATTTGCTTGTCTGAAAAGGATCTTTTTTTCACCTTCGCTTATGAAGCTTAGTTTGGCCAAATATGAAATTCTTGGTTGGAATTTCTTTTCTTTAAGAACATTGAATATTGGCCTCTGGTCTCTTCTGGCTTGTGGGGTTTCTGCTGAGAGGTCCACTGTTAGTCTGATGGGCTTCCCTTTGTAGGTGACCTGTCCTTTCTATCTGGCTGCCTTTAACATTTTTTCTTTCACTTTGACCTTGGAGAATGTGATGACTATGTGTCTTGGGAATAATTTTCTTGTGAAGCATATTGTGGAGGTTCTCTGGATTTCTTGAATTTGAATGTTGGCCTCTCTAGCTAGGATGATATCCTGAAATATGTTTTCCAAGTTGCTTCCATTCTCCCCATATCTTTCAGGGTTGCCAATGAGTTGTAGACTTAGTTTCTTCACATAATCCCATATTTCCTGGAGGTTTTGTTCTTTCCTTTATATTCTTTTTTCTTTATTCTTGTGTTACTGTCTTATTTCAGAAAGCCAGTCTTCAAGCTCCAAGATTCTTTCCTTGGCTTGGTCTGTTCTGCTCTTAATAGTTGCAATTGCATTATGAAATTTTTATACTGTGTTTGTCAGCTCTATCAGGTTGGTTATGTTCTTTTCTATCCTGACTATTTTGTCTGTCAGCTCCTGTATCATTTTATTGTGATTCTTAGGTTACTTGAATTGGGTTCAATGTTCTCCTGAATCTCAATGATCTTCATTCCTATCTATATTCTGAATTCTGTTTCTGTCATTTCAGCCATCTCACCTTGGTTAATAACCCTTGCTGGAGTACTAGTTTGGTGTTTGGAGGAAAGAAGACATTCTGGCTTTTTGAGTTGTCCGAGTTCTTCCGCTGGTTCTTTCTCATCTTTGTGGGCTGGTGTTCCTTCAATCCGTGATGTGGTTGTCCTTTGAATTTTTTTTCTTTTATCATATTTGATGACCTTGGGGGTTTGATTTTGGTATCAGGTGGGTTCAGTCGACTGGCTTTGTTTTGGAAGATTTTTAGGGGGCCAAGGCTAGGCTCAGGATTCCTGGACTGCATGCTTTAATTCTGTGGGACTAGTATCATGCCCCAGCTTTGTTCTCTGGCTCCTTGAGATTAGGAACCTGCTTCTGTGGAGGAGCCATGGTGCTCCCAGACTGCTGGCCACAACATTCCAATAGGTGGTGCCAGCCAAAGTGCTTCCTAGGGCAGTGGCAGCAGGATCCATCTTTATTTGCATGTGCCAACAGCAGTGGCGGTGGCGGTGCAGTGGGGTGCATGCTTGTCAGTTGCAGGAGGGTGCTAGTGTGTACTGGGGTGCTGGCTTCCATACCAGTGTTTGTAGCAGCGATGGTGACAGCATAGCTCAGGGTGGGGTGGGAAGCCCCCAACAGCTACTGTTCATGTATTTGTGCTGGTGGTGGTGTTAGCATGGGGGCACTGGTGGGTGCAGGACAGTGTGTGCCCTCTGTGCACACTCAAGTGGTTAGCAGTGGCTGCTCAGTGAAGGGGTGGGTTTGCTGTTTTTAATGCCTAGTTTTACGCTGATGTCAGTGTCAGTGCAAGGGTGGGGCTCATGGGCTCTGTGCCTTCCAATGCTCCAGTGGCAATGGTGGTGCAGCAGAGGGATGGTATGGGGTACACCGATGCTGGCAGCAGTGTTTTGGCAGGGTGCACCTGAACTGACGGGGAAGGGGAGGCAAGGTTCTCCTGCACACACAGACACACACACCAGCAAAGCACTGTAGGTGGTGGCCATGGGTGAGTGTGTATAGGTAAAGCATCATAGACAGGCTGCAGTGAAGAGAGGGCACAAGCAAGCTGATATTTGTCTGTGGGGGCTGCTCTGCTGGTCAGATGCAGTCCACCAGTGCAGGAGCTATGATGCAGGTCCCTAGGAGGTATCCTCCCTGGGCAACTGAGGCTGTGCTGCAAGCAGTCATGGCCATGCTGGGTCCGTGGGAGAGGCCACCAGTTAGAGGGGTGCTCAGGTCAGACTGGCCCCATCTCATGGGCAAGACTGCTTTGCAGACTTCAGGTACGACAGTTCCCCTAGGGCTAAAGTCTCGTACGGAAGGAAGTTAAGCCTAGGCAGATGGGTGACGCTGGTCATGCTCTACTACTGACACTCCTGCACCAAACCTCTGGGCTCTACACCGGTTGGAGTTCTGCCTCTGCCACTTCTGTAAGCAGCTCTCCTGGCCAACTCAAGCATCTGTGGTGGTTGGGGGCTCTCCTCCTGCTGGGATTCCAGGGGCCTGTGGTGAGAGCAGGTTGCTTCTTGCCTGTTAAACTCACCCTTTCCCCAGGAGTGTTTTGGGGCCAGGAAGAAGTCTCAGTGCATAGTAGCCTCGTGTAAGGTTTCCGGCTTCCTCCCCCTTCAGCCCAGCATCTGTGTCTTCCCTCTGTCTGCTCTTATTGCCTTCTCTGAAGATCTGCTAGGAGCCCACCAGTCTTCCTAATGTCCCAGTCCCTCAGTGGCAGATGTTATTCCTGGCTGCGTCTAATTGGCCACCTTGCCACCTCTCCCCTTAAATGCGATTATTTTTTTATTTGCCGTTGAGGTTTTTGAGATCCTTGTATATTCTGGATATTAACCACCTATTGGATGAATAGTTTGCAAATATTTTCTTTTATTCTACAGATTGTCTCTTCATTCCATTGATTGTTTCTTTTGCTGTACATAAGTTTTTTAGTTTAATAGAGTTCCATTTGTCTATTTTTGTTTTTGTTGCCTGTGCTTTTGAAGTCTTAGCCATAAAATCTGCCTAGAACAATGTCCTGAAATATTTCTGTTTTCTTCTAGCAGTTTTACAGTTTCCGGCCTTATGTTTAAGTCCTTAATCCGTTTTGAGTTGATTTTTGTATGTGGTTAGAGATAGGGCCCTAGTTTCATTCTTCTGCATATGGATATCCAGTTATTCCCAGCACACGTATTATGTTCTTGGTATCTATGAAGAAAATCAGTTAGCTGTAAATAGATGGGTTTATTTCTTGGCTTTCTATTCTGTTTCATTGCTCTGTTTGTCTGTTTTTATACCAATACTGTTCTGAATTTATTCCTACAGACTTACAGTATATTTTGAAGGATCTTTTGTGGTTCCATATTAATTTTAGGATTGTTTTTTCTACTTATGTGAAGAATATTATTGGTATTTTGTTATGGATTTTGTTGGATCTGTAGATCGCTTTGGGTGGTATGATCATGATAACAGTATTAATTTCTCTACTCCACATGGGTGGATGTTTTTCCATATGTTTTTGTTCTCTTTAATTTTTTTATATCTCTGTTTCGTAGTTTTTGTGTAGAAGTCTTTTACCTCCTTGGTTCAGTTTATTTCTAGGTATTTTATATTTTTCATGGCTATTGTAAATGAGATTGCTTTCTTGATTTATTATTCAGCTAGTTTGTTTCTGGAGAATAGAGAGGCTACTAATTTTTGTATGCTGATTTTGAATCCTGCAATTTTACTGAATTTGTTGATCAGTTTTTAGAGTTTTTTGGTGGAATCTTTGATTTTTCTATATATAAGAGCATGTCACCTACAAGGAGGGAAAATTTGACTTCTACATTTCCAGTTTGGATGCCTTTTATTTCTCTTCTCTAATTCCTCTGGCTAGGATTTTCAGTACTATGTTGGTTAAAAGTGGTGAAAGTGGTATTCTTGTCTTGTGCCAGTTATTGGGAGAAAGGCTTTAAGCTTTTTCCTGTCCAGTAGGGTGTTAGCTGTGGGTTTGTTATATATGGCCCTATTATGCTGAGGTACATTTTTTCTATATCTAACTTATTGATAGTATTTATCATGAAGCCATGTTGAAATTTGTCAAATGCATTTTCTGTGGCTATTGAAATGATTTTGCGGTTTTTGTCCTTCATTCTGTTGATGTGATGTATCATATTTACTAATTCATATATGTTAAACCATCCTTGCAATCTTGGTATAAATCATACTTGATCATTATATAATATATCTCCTTGATGTGTTGTTGGATTAGGTTTACTAATACGTTGTTGAGAATTTTTGTGTCTATGTTCATTGGGGATATTGGCCTGTAGTTTTCTTTTTTTTTGTTGTGTCCTTGTCTGATTTTCCTATCAGGATAATGCTGGCCTCCCTCAAGACTGAGTTAGTGAGAATTTCCTTTTCTTTGATGTTTTGGAATAGTTTGAGAAAAACTGGTGTTAGTTCTTCCTTATATGTTTGATAGAATTTAGCAGTAAAGTCATGTGGTTATGGGCTTTCTTTGTTGGGAGACTTTTGATTATTGATTCAGTCTCATTACTTGTTATTAGATTGTTCAGGTTTTCTATTTCTTCCTTGTTCAATCTTGGCAGGTTGTATGTGTCCAGGAATTTATCTGTCTCCTCTAGGTTTTCCGATTTGTCAGCATAGAGTTGTTCACGATAGATTCTAATGATTTTTTGTATTTTTGTGGTATCTGTTGTAATGTCTCGTTATCATTATTTAATTTATTGGGTCTTTACTCATTTTTTCTTGTTTAGTCTAGATATCTGTGTATCAATTTTGTTTACGTTTTCCAAAAATTAATTTTTGCTTCTTTAGTTCTTTTTATTTTTTAGGTTCTATTTCATTTATTTCTGCTCTGGTCTTTATTTTTTTCTACTAATTTTGGGTTTGGTTTTTTCTTGCTTTTCTAGTTCCTGAAGTACATCATTAGGTTATTTGAAATATTTCTACTTTTTTGATGACATTTATTGTTATAAAATTCTGTCTTAGTACTTCTTTTGTGTATGTCACTAGTTTTGATATTATTTTGTTTTCATTTTCATTTGTTTCAAGAAATTTGTTGTTTCCTTCTTAATTTATTCATTGACCCAATGGTTATTCAGGAGCATTCGTTTACCTTTCATGTATTTGTACAGTTTTCAAAATTCCTATTATTATTGATTTTTACTTTTATTTCATATGGTCTAAGAAGGTACTTAATATGTATTCAGTGTTTTAAAATTAATTGAGACTTCTTTTGTGGCCTAACATGTGGACTATGCTGGAGAATGTTCCATGTACTAATGAAAAGAATGTTTAGACTGCAGCTATTAGATGAAATCTTCCATATATATCTGTTAGGTTTATTTGCTTGATAGTGCTGCAGATTAAATCTGATGTTTCTTTGTTGATGTTCTGCCTAGATGATCTGTCCAATGCTTCAAGAGGGGTGTTGGAGTCAACAACTATTATTGTATTGGGGTCTATTTCTCTGTTTACTTCTAATAATATTTGTTTTATATATCTGGGTGCTCCATTGTTTGGTGCATATATATTTATAATTTTTATGTACTCTTGCTGAATTGTTCTCTTTATCATTATATAATGACTTGGTTTTTTTTATGTGTTTTATCCTATAATCTATTTTTTTTCTGACATAAGTATAGCTACTCTTTCATGCTTTTGGTTTCTGTTTGTGCAGAATTTTTTTTTCCTATTCCTTCACTTTTGGTCTACATGTCTTTACAATGTGAGTTTTTATAGGCAGCATATATATTTTTAAATCCTTTCAGCCAGTCTATATTTTTTAATTTAGAAATTTAAGCCATTTACATTTGATATTGTTATTAATAAATTAGGACTTACTCCTGTCATTTGTCAATTGTTTTCTGATTGATATATTCTTTCTTTCATTCTTCCTCTTTTTTTCTTTTAGGCAGGGTCTCACTTTGTCATTCAGGCTGGAGTGAAGTGGTGTGATCTTGGCTCACTGCAACCTCTGCCTCCCGGGTTCAAACGATTCTCCTGCCTCAGCCCCTCAAGTAGCTGGGACTGCAGGTGTGCACCACCATGCCTGGCTAACTTTTGTGTTGTTAGTGGAGATGGGGTTTCACCATGTTGGCTATGCTGGTCTCGAACTCCTGACCTCAGGTGATCCACCCACCTTGGCCTTTCAAAGTGCTGGGATTACAGGCGTGAGCCATCATGCTCAGCCTTTCTTCCTGTTTTATTGTATACCTTTACATTAGATAATTTGGGTTGTGATAGCGTTTAACATTTTTTTTTCTCTTCTCCTTTTCTTTTCTCTTCTCCTTTTCTTTTCTCATCTATTCCACCAGTGAGTTGTACACTTGTATGTGTTTTCAGGATGGTAGCTATTCTCCTTTTACTTCCTGGTTTAGGATTCTCTTAAGCATTTCTTATAGGACTAGTCTAGTGGTGACAAATTCTTTGTTTTTTTCTTGTCTGAAAAAGACATTCTATTTCTCTTTCATTTTTGAAGGATAGCTTTGCTGTGTATAATATTCTTGGCTGATAGTTGTTTTCTTGCAGTACTTTGAATATATACTTTCATTCTCTCCTGGCCTATAAGGTTTCTGCTGAGAAATCTACATTTATTCTCATGGGTAGTCCTTTATACATGACTTGACATTTTTCTCTTTCTGCTTTTAGAATTCTCTCTTTGTTTTTGAATTTTGGTAGTTTGACTATACGTGCCTTGAACAAGACCTTTTTGGGTTGAACATATTTCAAGATCTTTAGTTACCTGTATCTTGATGTCTATATCTCTTGCAAAACTTTGGAGAGTTTCAGCTATTATTCCTTACATAAGTCATCTATGCCTTTACGTCTCTTCTCCTTCTAGTCCCAAAATGTGAATATTTTGTTCCTGTATGCTGTTTCATGTGTCATGTAGGCTTTCTGTCATATATGTATATAATTTGTCTGATCAGGTCATTTAAAAAGCTCTGTCTTCAAGTTCAGAAATTCTTTCTTCTGATTAATCTGGTCTACTATGGAAACTCTCATTTGTATTTTTAATTTTATTTATTGAAATAATCACTTTCAAGGTTTCTGTTTGATTCTTTTTTATGATATCTATCTCTTTGTTAAATTTCTCATTGAAATTATGAATTGTTTTCCTGATTTCTTTTTTTTTAACTTTTTAAAATTATACCTTAAGTTCTAGGGTACATGTGAACAATGTGCAGGTTTGTTACATATGTATACATGTGCCATGTTGGTGTGCTGCACCCATTAACTCATCATTTACATTAGGTATATCTCCTAATGCTATCCCCCCCACCACCCCCCACCCCACAACAGGCACCGGTGTGTGATGGTCCCCTTCCTGTGTCCAAGTGTTCTCACTGTTCAATTCCCACCTATGAGTGAGAACATGCGGTGTTTGGTTTTTTGTCCTTGCGATAGTTTGCTGAGAATGATGGTTTCCAGCTTCATCCATGTCCCTACAAAGGACATGAACTCATCATTTTTTATGGCTGCATAGTATTCCATGGTGTATATGTGCCACATTTTCTTAATCCACTCTATCACTGATGGACATTTGGGTTGGTTCCAAGTCTTTGCTATTGTGAATAGTGCTGCAATAAACATATGTGTGCATGTGTCTTTATAGCAGCATGATTTATAATCCTTTGGGTATATACCCAGTAATGGGATGGCTGGGTCAAATGGTATTTCTAGTTCTAGGTCCTTGAGGAATTGCCACACTGTCTTCCACAATGGTTGAACTAGTTTACAGTCCCACCAACAGTGTAAAAATGTTCCTATTTCTCCACATCCTCTCCAGCACCTGTTATTTCCTGACTTTTTAATGATTGCCATTCTAACTGGTGTGAGATGGTATCTCATTGTGGTTTTGATTTGCATTTCTCTGATAGCCAGTGATGATGAGCATTTTTTTCATGTGTCTGTTGGCCGCATAAATATCTTCTTTTAAGAAGTGTCTGTTCATCTCCTTCGCCCACTTTTTGATGGGGTTGTTTGTTTCTTTCTTGTAAATTTGTTGGAGTTCTTTGTAGATTCTGGATATTAGCCCTTTGTCAGATGAGTAGATTGCAAAAATTTTCTCCCATTCTGTAGGTTGCCTCTTCACTCTGATGGTAGTTTCTTTTGTTGTGCAGAAGCTCTTTAGTTTAATTAGATCCCATTTGTCAATTTTGGCTTTTGTTGCCATTGCTTTTGGTGTTTTAGACATGAAGTCCTTGCACATGCCTATGTCCTGAATGGTATTGCCTAGGTTTTCTTCTAGGGTTTTTATGGTTTTAGGTCTAACATTTCAGTCTTTAATCCATCTTGAATTAATTTTTGTATAAGGTGTAAGGAAGGGATCCAGTTTCAGCTTTCTACATATGGCTAGCCAGTTTTCCCAGCACCATTTATTAAATAGGGAATCGTTTCCCCATTTCTTGTTTTTGTCCGGTTTTTCCAAGATCAGATGGTTATAGATGTGTGGTATTATTTCTGAAGGCTCTGTTCTGTTCCATTGGTCTATATCTCTGTTTTGGTACCAGTATCATGCTGTTTTGGTTACTGTAGCCTTGTAATATAGTTTGAAGTCAGGTAGCGTGATGCCTCCAGCTTTGTTCTTTTGGCTTAGGATTGACTTGGCAATGAGGGCTCTTTTTTGGTTCCATATGAACTTTAAAGTAGTTTTTTCCATTTCTGTGAAGAAAGTCATTGGTAGCTTGATGGAGATGGCATTGAATGTATAAATTACCTTGGGCAGTATGGCCATTTTCACAATATTGATTCTTCCTACCCATGAGCATGGAATGTTCTTCCATTTGTTTGTGTCCTCTTTTAGTTCGTTGAGCAGTGGTTTGTAGTTCTCCTTGAAGAGGATGTAGTTCACATCCCCTGTAAGTTGGATTCCTAGGCATTTTATTCTCTTTGAAGCAATTGTGAATGGGAGTTCACTCATGATTTGGCTCTCAGTTTGTCTGTTATTGGTGTGTAAGAATGCTTGTGATTTTTGCACATTGATTTTGTATCCTGAGACTTTGCTGAAGTTGCTTATCCGCTTAAGGAGATTTTGGGCTGAGACGTTGGGGTTTTCTAGATATACAATCACGTCATCTGCAAACAGGGACAATTTGACTTCCTCTTTTCCTAATTGAATACCCTTTATTTCTTTCTCCTGCCTGATTGCCCTGGCCAGAACTTCCAACAGTATGTTGAATACGAGTGGTAAGAGAGGGCATCCCTGTCTTGTGGCAGTTTTCAAAGAGAATGCTTCCAGTTTTTGCCCATTCAGTATGATATTGGCTGTGGGTTTGTCATAAATAGCTCTTATTATTTTGAGATACATCCTATCAATACTTAATTTATTGAGAGTTTTTAGCATGAAGGGCTGTTGAATTTTATCAAAGGCCTTTTCTGCATCTATTGAGATAACCATGTGGTTTTTGTCTTTGGTTCTGTTTATATGCTGGATTACATTTATTGATTTGCATTGATGAACCAGCCTTGCATCCCAGGGATGAAGCCCACTTGATCATGGTGGATAAGCTTTTTGATGTGCTGCTGGATTTGGTTTGCCAGTATTTTATTGAGGATTTTTGCATTGATGTTCATCAGGGATATTGGTTTAAAATTCTCTTTTTTTGTTGTATCTCTGCCAGGCTTTGGTATCAGGACGATGCTGGCCTCATAAAATGAGTTAGGGAGGATACCCTCTTTTTCTATTGATGGGAATAGTTTCAGAAGGAAGGATACCAGCTTCTTCTTGTACCTCTGGTAGAATTTGGCTGTGAATCCATCTGGTCCTGGACTTTTTTTGGTGGGTAGGCTCTTAGTTATTGCCTCAATTTCAGAACCTGTTATTGGTCTATTCAGAGATTCAACTTCTTCCTGGCTTAGTCTTGGGAGGGTGTATGTGTCCAGGAATTTATCTGTTTCTTCTAGATTTTCTAGTTTATTTGCGTAGAGGTGTTTATAGTATTCTCTGATGTTAGTTTGTATTTCTGTGGGATCGGTGGTGATATCCCCTTTATCATTTTTTATTGCGTCTATTTGATTCTTCTCTCTTTTCTTCTTTGTTAGTCTTGCTAGCAATCTATCAATTTTGTTGATCTTTTCAAAAAACCAGCTCCTGGATTCATTGATTTTTTTGAAGGGTTTTCTTTTGTATCTCTATCTCCTTCAGTTCTGCTCTGATCTTATTTCATTCTTGCCTTCTGCTAGCTTTTGAATGTGTTTGCTCTTGCTTCTCTAGTTCTTTTAATTGTGATGTTAGGGTGTCAGTTTTAGATCTTTCCTGCTTTCTCTTGTGGGCATTTAGTGCTATAAATTTCCCTCTACACACTGCTTTGAATGTGTCCCAGAGATTCTGGTATGTTGTGTCTTTGTTCTTGTTGGTTTCAAAGAACATCTTTATTTCTGCCTTCATTTTGTTATGTACCCAGTAGTCATTCAGGAGCAGGTTGTTCAGTTTCCATGTAGTTGGGTGGTTTTGAGTGAGTTTCTTAATCCTGAGTTCTAGTTTGATTGCACTGTAGTCTGAGAGACAGTTTGTTATAATTTCTATTCTTTTACATTTGCTGAGGAGTGCTTTACTTCCAACTATGTGGTCAATTTTGGGATAAGTGTGATGTGGTGCTGAGAAGCATGTATATTCTGTTGATTTGGGGTGGAGAGTTCTGTAGATGTCTATTAGGTCTACTTGGTCCAGGGCTGAGTTCAAGTCCTGGATATCCTTGTTAACTTTCTGTCTCATTGATCTGTCTAATGTTGACAATGGGGTGTTAAAGTCTCCCATTATTATTGTGTGGGAGTCTAAGTCTCTTTGTAGGTCTCTAAGGACTTGCTTTATGAATCTGGGTGCTCCTGTATTGGGTGCATATATATTTAGGATAGTTAGCTCCTCTTGTTGAATTGATCCCTTTACCATTATGTAATGGCCTTCTTTGTCTCTTTTGATCTTTGTTGGTTTAAAGTCTGTTTATCAGAGACTAGGATCGCAACCCCTGCCTTTTTTTGTTTTCCATTTGCTTGGTAGATCGTCCTCCATCCCTTTATTTTGAGCCTATGTGTGTCTCTGCATGGGAGATGGGTCTCCTGAATACAGCACACTGATGGGTCTTGACTCTTTATCCAATTTGCCAGTCTGTGTCTTTTAATTGGAGCATTTAGCCCATTTACAATTAAGGTTAATATTGTTATGTGTGAATTTGATCCTGTCATTATGATGTTAGCTGGTTATTTTGCTCGTTAGTTGATGCGGTTTCTTCCTAGCATTGATGGTCTTTACAATTTGTCATGTTTTTGCAGTGGCTGGTACTGATTGTTCCTTTCCATGTTTAGTGCTTCCTTTAGGAGCTCTTATAAGGCAGGCCTGGTGGTGACAAAATCTCTCAGCATTTGCTTGTCTGTAAAGGATTTTATTTCTCCTTCACTTATGAAGCTTAGTTTGGCTGGATATGAAATTCTGGGTTGAAAATTCTTTTCTTTAAGAATGTTGAATATTGGCCCCCACTCTCTTCTGGCTTGTAGAGTTTCTGCTGAGAGATCCGCTGTTAGTCTGATGGGCTTCCCTTTGTGGGTAACCGGACCCGTCTCTCTGGCTGCCCTTAACATTTTTTCCTTCATTTCAACTTTGGTGAATCTGACAATTATGTGTCTTGGAGTTGCTGTTCTCAAGGAGTATCTGTGTGGCATTCTCTGTATTTCCTGAATTTGAATGTTGGCCTGCCTTGCTAGATTGGGGAAGTTCTCCTGGATAATATCCTGCACAGTGTTTTCCAACTTGGTTCCATTCTCACCATCACTTTCAGGTACACCAATCAGACGTAGATTTGGTCTTTTCACATAGTCCCATATTTCTTGGAGACTTTGTTCATTTCTTTTCACTGTTTTTTCTCTAAACTTCTTTCTCGCTTCATTTCATTCATTTGATCTTCAATCACTGATACTCTTTCTTCCAGTTGATCGAATCAGCTACTGAAGCTTGTGCATTTGTCACGTAGTTCTCGTGCCATGGTTTTCAGCTCCATCAGGTCATTTAAGGACTTCTCTACACTGGTTATTCTAGTTAGCCATTCGTCTAATATTTTTTCAAGCTTTTTAGCTTCTTTGTGATAGGTTCAAACTTCCTCCTTTAGCTTGGGGAAGTTTGATCATCTGAAGCCTTCTCTCAACTCATCAAAGTCATTCTCCATACAGCTTTGTTCCATTGCTGGCGAGGAGCTGTGTTCCTTTGGAGGGGTAGAGGCACTCTGATTTTTAGAATTTTCAGCTTTTCTGCTCTGTTTTATCCCCATCTTTGTGGTTTTGTCTACCTTTGGTCTTTGATAATGGTGACGTACAGATGGGGTTTTGGTGTGAATGTGCTTTCTGTATGTTAGTTTTCCTTCTAGCAGTCAGGACCCTCACTGCAGGTCTGTTGGAGTTTGCTGGAGGTCCACTCCAGACCCTGTTTGCCTGGGTATCAGCAGCGGAAGCTGTAGAACAGCGAATATTGCTGCACAGCAAATGTTGCTGCCTGATCATTCCTCTGGAAGTTTTGTCTCAGAGGGGTACTTGGCCCTGTGAGGTGTCAGTCTGCCCCTACTCAGGGGTGCCTCCCAGTTAGGCTACTCGGGGGTCAGGGACCCACTTGAGGAGGCAGTCTGTCTGTTCTCCGATCTCAAACTCCATGCTGGGAGAACTACTACTCTCTCCAAAGCTGTCAGACAGGGACATTTAAGTCTGCAGAGGTTTCTGCTGCCTTTTGTTTGACTATGTGCTGCTCCCAGAGGTGGAGTCTACAGAGGCAGGCAGGCCTCCTTGAGCTGCGGTGGGCTCCACCCAGTTTGAGCTTCCAGGCAGCTTTGTTTACCTACTCAAGCCTCGGCAATGGCAGGCGCCCCTCCCCCAGCCTCGCTGCCACCTTGCAGTTCCATCTCAGACTGCTGTGCTAGCAATGAGTGAGGCTCCGTGGGCGTGGGACCCTCTGAGCCAGGCGTGGGATATAATCTCCTGCCGTTTGCTAAGACCATTGGAAAAGCACAGTATTAGGGTGGGAGTGACCTGATTTTCCAGGTGCCATCTGTCACAGCTTCGCTTGGTTAGGAAAGGGAATTCCGTGACCCCTTGCACTTCCTAGGTGAGGTGGTACCTTGCCCTGCTTCGCCTCACACTTGGTGCGCTGCACCCACTGTCCTGCACCAACTGTCCGACAAGCCCCAGTGAGATGAACCTGGAACCTCAGTTTGAAATGCAGAAATCACCCATCTTCTGCGTTGCTCAGGCTGTGAGCTGTAGACTGGAGCTGTTCCTATGCTGCCATCTTGGAACCTCCTTAAAATTATATTTCCTGATTTCTTTGTATTATTTATCTGTGCTCTGTTTTGTCTCACTAAGTTTCTTTACTATCATTATTTTGAATTCTTTTTCAGACGTTTCATAGATTTCTTTTTGTTTTGGCTCTGTTACTGCATAATTTTTGTATTCCTTTAGAGGAATATTTTTTCTTTCTTGTTTCATTCATATTTTTGTGTCTTTACATTAATATTGGCACATCTGGTGTATCAGTTGCTTCTTACAATTTAATGAGTTGACTTTCATGGGGAAATACTTTTCCCTGTAGATGTATTTATAGTATTAGTTGGATAGGATATTTTGGCCTTATTTATTGGTGAGCACAGAATTGTAGTCTCCATAGGATTTCTTTGTCTGTTAGCAGCATCAGTGGTGTTTATGAGTTCCCCAGTAGCTTGGTCTGTGTTTGTTAGTGGAGGCTGTGGTGAGGTTCTGCTAAGGACAAGGATGCCAGGTTTATTGGTCCTTCAGCACCCGTGGTGGTGGTAGTAGGCAGGGCTTGCTGGAGCCTTCAGGTGGCATAGAAAGGCACCAGTGATGGTGGTTTTGAGTGGATTGTTCTTCTGGCATCCAAGTGACATGCTCAGGTGCCAGCAGTGGTGGCAGTTGGTAGACTGGGCCTGTTCTCAGGTTTCCAGATGGTCTGCATGGGCACTGAAGTCAGCAGGTGGGGCAAGCTTGTCCTCAGGCCCCAGGACAGCATGTTATCAGGCCAGTCCTAAGTCCCTCTGAAGGTAGATGCAGGTACACAGTGACCTTGACATTGGAGGGTTCTGGGTTGCTGTCAGTTGCAGCAGACCTGGGTAGGAAGCTTTCAAGCTCTGGGGAGCATTTGTTTGGTTCCCTTCATCCTTGAGGTCACCTTCTTGGTGCACTGCACCACTCATTTCCTGGGCTATAGACACTGAATCAGCTAGAGTGCTGGAGACACAACTACATTCCTGGGTCAATCCTGTTTTGTGACACTGCAGCCCTCTGGGTGGATGTGGGGGTATGTCAATGGGATGATAGGGATGTGGAGATGCTGGAACTGTTGGGATTCAGTTCAGGATCTGAACCTGAATCTGGTGGTTTGGTGGGGCTGGGCTCTCAAAATAGTATAGTGCTGTGTCAGCTTGGGTCTTGGTGGGTGGGGGATGGGGGTGTTTGGGATCCAGCACAAACACCGTCTGTGGAACAATACCAACTTGTGGACTCGAAGCACCTGCCTATACTAATCTCAGAGCCTGTGTGGACTGAGGCACTGTCCCACCGCTAGGACTGTAGCTGTCCACAATAGGAATGTGGATGGCTGGGGATCTTGTTTACCTTTTCTTGCAGTGAGGATTTGCTTCTGGATTTGAGCTTATTATGGCCAGGCTGGCTTCTCTGCTCCTCTGTCTTTCTACATCTCAGAAGTTTTTTTTGTCACTTCTCCAATGAATTCCAGTGCTTGCTCTTAGAACCTCTATTTAATGCCTGGTTATTTACTTGCTCTTTTGGTCTTTTTTGTGCATGAGAAAAGTGCCAGGCTCCCCTACTCAGCCATTTTGAAGCCCCCTCCTATTCCTGATATATCATTTTGATAATTTGATTTATATATACTTTTTAAAAGTGACAACTCATGTCTTTTTTTATTCATACATTTTAAAAATTTATAATGGACCAAAATTTTTACGTGTATATGGGGGTACAGTGTAATGTTTCAACATATGCATATATTGTATAATGATGAAATTAGGGTAATTCCCATATCCATCACTATAAACATTTATCATTTCAGCATGACAATAACATTCAAAATCTGCTCTTCTAGCTATCTTGGAATATGCACTACATTGTCATTTGGTATAGTCACCCTACTGTGTAATAAAATACCAGAACTTATTCTTCCTGTTTAACTAACTTTTACACATTAACCAACCTCTCCCAGTCTTCCTCTCTCTCTTTCCCTCACCAGCCTCTGGTAACCACTATTCTACTCTCTATTTTTATGAAATCAACTTTTTTTATGAAATCAACTTTTTAAAAATTTCACACGTGAGTGTGATCATGAGGTGTTTGTCTCTGTGTCTGGCTTATTTCACTTAACATAATGTCCTCCTGCTCCATTTATATTGTCAGAAATGATAAGATTCCATTCCTTTTTATGGTGGAATAATATTCCATTTATATATATACCACATTTTAAAAATCAGTTTATCTGTAGATGGGCATTTAGATTAATTTCATGTCTTGGCTATTGTGAATAGTGCTGCAGTAAACATGGGAGTGCAAATATCTCTGTGACATTCTGATTTTTTTTTACAGATATATACCCAGTTGTGGATTGCTAGATCATATAGTAGTCCTATTTTTAGTTTTTTGAGGAAGATTCATATTGTTTTTCATAATGGTTGTGTAATTTACATTTTCACTAAGAATGTTCAAGATATTGCCTTTATCCTCATCTTTTATAGTGTGTAATTTTTTGTCTTTTTGATAATACCCACTTTTTGATCACAAAGAATGAAACAAACACAACCTGAAAAACTCTACACTTTAACTCCCTTCTCCCCAATTTTGACTTTTTGATCTCTAAATTCACATATTTTTATATTACCTATCTCTTAAAAATTGTTGTAGTTATTGTTTTCAATATCTTTGGCTTTTAATCTTTATACCAAAGATATGAATGGTTTACACACCATAGTTACAGTGTTAGAGTGTTCTAAATTTGTTTGTTTACTTTTATACCTTCACATGTGTTCTTGTTGCACATTAGCATTCTTTTCTGTCAGACTGAAAAACTTCTTTTAGCATTTCTTATGGTTTGGTGGTGATGAATTCCCTCCACTTTCATTGGTCTAAGACTTTTGAATCACTTCTTCATTTTTAAGGATAGTTTTCCTGGGTACAATATTCTTGGTTGAAAGTTTTTTCCTTCAGGACTTGGAATATGTCATTCCAGTCCTTCCTGGTCTTTAAGGTTTCCATAGAGAATTCTGCTGCCAGATGTACTGGCACTCCTTCATATGTTATTTGCTTCTTTTCTCTTACTGCTTTTAGGAGTCTCTATTGTCTTTGACCTATGAGAGTTTGATTATTATATGCGTTGAGGTAGTTTTATTTCGGTTGACTCTTCTTGGTGATCTTTGACCTTCTTGTAACTGGATATTTATATTGAGGTTTGGACAATTTTCCATTATTATTTATTTGAATAACCTTTCTACCCCCTTTCTCTTCCTCTACTCCCTTTGAAGGTCAATGACTCTTACATTTGCTATCTCACTGATCCAATAACTGTTCTTTGTTCTTTTAAATAACTTTTCTACCCCCTTTCTCTTCCTCTACTCCCTTTGAAGGTCAATGACTTGTACATTTGGTATCTCACTGATCCAATAAGTGTTATTTGTTCTTTTAAATTCACTTTTTCTTTTTTCTTCTTGACATATTTTCAAATAGCCTGTGTTTGTGCTCGTGAATTCTTCCTTTTGTTTGATCACTTCTGCTTTCGAGACCCTCTAATACATTTTTCAGTTTATCTATTATTGCTCCAGGAATTCTGCTTGATTTTTAAACTTATTTCAATCTCTTTGTTAAGTATCTCTGATAATTAATTTTCTGAATTGTTTCTCTGTGTTTTCTTGATGTTATTTGAGCTTCCTCAAAACATCTATTTTGCATTCTCTGTGTAAGAGTTTACACATATTTCTCCAGGTTTGGTTACTGGTGCCCTATTTATTATACTTGATGGGATCATATTTTCCTGAATGTTATTAATGCTTGTGGCTGTATCTGGGCATTAAATAATTAAGTATTTCTTCTCATCTTTACAGTCTGGCCTTGTTTGTATTGGTCCTTCTTCAGAGGACCTTACAGAAATTCCAAGAGTACTGACTGATGAGTTAAGACCATGGTCACTGCTGCCATTTCAGCACTAGATAGCACCTTAAGCTCAATTACGCTGTGGCTCTCTTGAAGATTCCTATGCATCCAACCCTGATGGACTTGGGGAATATCAGAGACAGTTCTGTGGGTTTCCAAGCCCAAAGTCTCTTGCTCACTTCCTTTTTCTTCCCCTAGCAGAAGGAGTTGCTCTCTATACTGCACTGTCTGGAGTTGCTGGAGAGGTGATACATGCACTTTCATGGCCACTGCAACTGGCAGCATACTGGCTTACACCTGAAGCTCATGGCCTCATAGACCAGCACAGTAATGGTTAGGGTTTGCTCACCTAACACCCACAGTCACTATTACCTGACTGCTGCTGATATTTATTCATGGCCTAAAGCTTCTTTCATCAGCCAGTGGTGAAGCTGGCCAAGGCTTGGCTCTATCCTGCTGGGGTGATGAATTTTCTTCTTAGCTGGGGCAGGTCTAGAAATCTGTGGGCACCAGCCTGGAATCAGGGACCATGGGGTTCAGCCTGGTGCTGTGTTTTACGGTAGTGGGGCTGGTACAGGCTTTTCAGGCAAAGTCCCATGCACACTTCCTTCTCCCTCTCCTAAAAAGACAAATTCACTCTCTATGTGCATTGCTTCAGATTGGGGACGGGATGGTGTAGGCAACGCAAAACTGTCATTCCTATGCTCTTCAATGTGTCTTTTCTTGTTGTTATGCCAAAACCAGTTACTGTGATCTTTTACCTCATTCTTTTAGCTCTTGTGAAGGTGTTTTCTTGCATGGATAATTGTTCACTTCAGTGTCCCTACAGAGGGATGATCACTGGAGGGTTCTATCCCGTGCTCTTACTCTGCCTCCTCTTCCACATCTGATATCTTAAATCGTCACTTTCAAGACAATGTGCACAGCCAAATCAGTAATGAAATCTGGCACATAATAGGTACTCAATAAATCTCAGTTTCTTCCTTGCCTTACAGATGTTTACTACATACAAATATAGTAAAAATGGATTTCCTATGGAACTAGTCAATGAATTCTCTTTATTATTGGTATATGGACATAATAATATATAATTTTGATAAATATACACTGTTTTTCTGAGATCTTCAGGACTAAGCACATTATCATTTGTTTAATAAAATTTTGTGGTTAATTGGGTGCTAATTTTTATTTGAAGTGATGTCTGTCCAAATCTGGGTGCTGATTTTTATTTGGAATAATATCTGCTCAAATCCTTTGCCTATTTTAAAATTGGATTACTGTGTGTGTGTGTGTGTTGCTATTGAATTGTACTTAATTTTGTTTTATTAAGAACATGTATTCCAGTGAATAAAATCACATGACATCCTCAAGTATGATTTTGGCCTCTAAGCACTTATTATAAACATTTGTAACAGCCAATTGAATTTAACATTTTGAAATTAATTTATATCATATAGAAATGTGTTTCCAGAAGTATACTGCCAATGACATTATATGGATTCATCTTTAGGCAATCCAATGGTGTGAAGACTTTTAGCAGTTGCAGTTTGAGGAGCTTTCAAAATTTCATTTCAAATGTGGGTGTCAAATGTCTTCAGAATAAGCCACAAATGCAAAAAAAATCTCCGAAACCAGTCTGTGGCAATGGCAGATTGGAGGGAAATGAAATCTGTGATTGTGGTACTGAGGCTGTAAGTATGATAACTAGGAAAATTGATTAATAAATTTATTGTTTTAGTTTATCTTTTTCATAAATGTCATATATCTCAAATGT
Source organism: Homo sapiens (assembly GCF_000001405.40). Lineage (NCBI taxonomy): Eukaryota > Metazoa > Chordata > Mammalia > Primates > Hominidae > Homo > Homo sapiens. The sequence goes on from NT_187577.1 coordinate 117,099, forward strand.
GAATGAGTACCATGCAGAATGTTGACAGTAAGTGAAGTTGGGTCGAAATACATACAAGAAAATACTGTTTAGATTTTGTAGGTTGAAGAATTTTGAACAAGTTTATAATGTACTGCAAAAAATTATTGGTAATGGGAAACAGGAGAGTCTAGAATAAGCTTTTGAGTTTCAGACTAAATATATAGGGTTCTTTACAAATCTCTGCTTAATCTTTGGACATTTTACAGATGTCTTAATGAAGATTGATTAAGCAGCCCAATGTGTCCTTTAGGTTATTACTTCACAATGGAATCAGTAGTACAGGAATCTGTATCAATATCAATATGAACACTAGATATTTTGATTATTCACTTGATAGGGAAACCCTGAAAATATAATGAATTCAAAAGGCCTAGGGTTTAATGCTTTTATATAATTCAGTATTTGTAGCAGTACTGCAAATGTTATAAATTTCCTTGGTTACAAGGTAGACAGAAATTTTTTAGGGTCTGTTACATCCATAGGTCTGAATTACTTGAACCATATCACATTATTTTAATTACTGTGTTTTTGTATTATGTTTAACTATTTGGTAGAACAAGTCATCTTTCTTTATTTTTTATTTTATTTTAATTAATTTATTTTTTGAGATGGAGTTTTGCTCTTGTTGCCCAGGCTGGAGTGCAATGGAGCAATCTCGGCTCACTTCAACCTCCGCCTCCTGGGTTCAAGCGGTTCTCCTGCCTCAGCCTCCCAAGTAGCTGGGATTACAGGTGCCTGCCATCATGCCTGGCTAAGTTTGTATTTTTAGTAGAGACGGTTTCATCACGTTGGTCAGGCTGGTCTCAAACTCCTGACCTCAAGTAATCCACCTGCCTCGGCCTCCCAAAGTGCTGGGATTGCAGGCATGAGCTACCACACCTGGTTCTTGATTTTTTTTAAAAAAATCAATCTTATTGGGGTATAATCCACATACAATAAAATGCACCCATTTTAAGTGTACGGGTTGATGAGTTTCAACAAATGTATATAACTATTGGTAAAATTAAGATGTATATTTTCATCATCCCCAAAAGCTTATTCATATTTGCAGTCATTTCTACCTCCACCTGTCTCCAGATAATTTCTGATTCTGTTACCTTTGCCTGGTCTAGAAAGTCATATAAATGAAATGAGACAGCACATATTTTTTTATGTCTGGCTTTTTCCTTTCAATATAGTGTTTTTGAGATTCATCCATTTATTTCATATCACAATAGTTTCTCCCTTTTAATTTTGAGTAATATTTAATTGTGTGGATATACCACAATCTGTTTTAACCATTCACCTGCTAATGGACATTTAAGTTGTTAAACTATTGGTCCATTATTCTTAATTTGTAGAAGTACAACTTCTAGGTCATATGATATGTGTATGTTTATAAGAAATTGCCAAAATATTTTCCAAAATGGTTGTATCTTTTTACACTCCTGTCAGCAGCATATGAAACTTTGAGTTCCTTCATATCTGCACTAGAATTTGTTATTATCCACTTCTTAAATTTTAGCTATTCCAGTGGTTTTGTAGTGGTTTAAATTTGCAGTTTCTTGATTACTTTAATGATGTTGAGCATGCTCTTACTGGCGATTTTTTAAAAACAATTATTTTCAATGGACAAATAATAATTGTGTATATTTCTGGGATACAGTGCAGTTTGGATATACATTTACTTTCTGTAATGATTAAGTCAAGGTTATTAACAAATCCATCACCTCACATACTTATTATTTTTTTTGTGGAGAAAACATTTAAAATTTACTTTTTAAGCAATTTTTTGATATATAATAGTTGTATACATTTTGGGGGTACATGTTATATTTTGATACCTGTATAGAATGCGTAATGATCAAATCAGGGTAATTTGAGTATGTACCACCTCATATATTTATATTTTATTTGTGCTGGGAATATTATAATTCTTCCCTTCTAGCTATTTTGAAGTATACAATAAATTATTAACTATAATTTCCCTACTGTACTATTGAGTGCTAGCACTAATCCCTTCCATTTACCTGTATTTTAGATCCCTTAACCAACTTTTCTTTTCTTTTGTCTATATCTTTTTAAAAAATTTCTAATTTTTGTGGGTAGTAGATGTGTATATTTATACATACATCTATTGCACATACATCTACCATATATTTATGGGTTACATGAGATATTTTGATACAGGCATGCTATGCATAATAATCACATGAAGGTAAATGAGGTATTCATTCCCTCAAACTTTATTTTTTTGTGTTACAAACAATCCAATTATACTCTTTTACTCATTTAAAAATGTACAACTAGATTATTTTTGACTGCAGACACTTTGTTGTGCTATGAAATGCTAGCTCTTATTCATTCTTTCAAACTAATTTTTCATACCCATTAACCATCCTTACTCCCTTGTCCCCTCCCCACCTGCCCAACTACCCTTCCCAGCCTCTGGTAACCATCCTTTTACTGTCTATCTCCATGAGTTCAATTGTTTTAATTTTTAGCTCCCACAAATAAGTGGGAACATGCAGTGTTTGTCTTTCTCTGCCTGGCTTATTTCACTTAATATAATGACCTCTAGTTCCATCCATGTTGCAAATGACTGAATCTCATTCTTTTTTATGGGTGAATAGTACTCCATTGTGTATATGTACCACATTTCCTTTATCCATTCATCTGTAGATGGACAGTTAGACTGCTTCCAAATCCTGGCTATTGAGAATAGTGCTGCAGTAAACATGGGCATGCAGATATCTCTTCGACGTAATGATTTCCATTCTTTTGGGTACATACCTAGGAGTGGGATTGCTAGATCATATGGTAGCTCTATTTTTAGTTTTCTGAGGAACCTCCAAACTGTTATACATAGTGATTGTACTAATTTATACTCCCACCAACAGTGTACAAGTATTCCCTTTTCTCCATATCTTCACTAGCATTTGTTATTGCCTGCCTTTTGAATAAAAGCCAATTTAAATGAGATGAGATGATATCTCATTGTAGTTTTGATTTGCAATTCTCTGTTACTCATTGATGTTGAACCCCTTTTCATATACCTGTTTGCCATTTGTATGTCTTCTTTTGAGAAATGTCTATTCAGACATTTTGCCCACCTTTAAATCAGATTATTAGGTTTTTTCCTATAGAGTTGTTTGAGCTCCTTTTATGTTCTGGATATTAATCCCTTGTTGGATGGGTAGTTTGCAGATATTTCCTCCCATTCTGTGGGTTGTGTCTTCACTTTGTTGATTGCTTTCTTTGCTATGCAGAAGGCTTTTAACTTGATGTGATCCCATTTATTCATGTTTCGTTTGGTTTTGTGTGCTTGTGGTGTATTACTCAAGAAATCTTTGTCCAGTCCAATGTCCTGGAGACTTTCTCTAATGTTTTCTTGTAGTAGTTTCATAGTTTGAGGTGTTAGATTTAAGTCTTTACTACATTTTCATTTGATTTTTGTATATGGTGAGAGGGAGGGGTCTAGTTTCATTGTCATGCATGTGGATATCCAGTTTTCTCAGCATCATTTATTGAAGAGACTGTTCTTTCCCAAGTGTATGTTCTGGGCACCTTTGTCAAAAATGAGTTCACTGTAGATTAATGGGTTTGTTTCTGGGTTCTCTATTCTGTTCCACTGGTCTATATTTCTGTACCATATCATTTTGATTAGTATACCTCTGTAGTATAATTTGATATCAGGTAATGTGATTCCTCCAGTTTTGTTCTTTTTGCTCAGGATAGCTTTAGCTATTCTGGGTCTTTTGTGATTCCATATAAATTTTAGGATTTTTTTTTCTATTTCTGTGAGGAATGTCACTGGTATTTTGATAGAGATTGCATTGAATTTGTAGATTTCTTTGGGTAGTGTGGCTATTTCAACAATATTGGTTCTTCTAATCCATGAACATGGAATATTTTTTCATTTTTGGTGTTCTCAATTTCTTGCATCAATGTTTTATAGTTTTCATTGTAGAGATCTTTCACTTATTTGATTAAACTAATTCCTAGACATTTTATTTCATTTATAGTTATTGTAAATGGGATTACTTTCTTGATTTTCAGATTGTTCACTGTTACCATATAGAAATGTTTTTCTTCTTTTTTGATATAAGTGCGTAGAGCTATAAACATACCTTTTAGTACTGTTTTGCTCTATCCCATAGGTTTTGGTATGTTGTATTTCCATTATCATTTGTTTCAAGAAATTTTTAAATTTCCTTGTTAATCTCCTCATTGACCCACTGTGAATTCAGGAGCATATTGTTTAATTTCCATGTATTTGTAATAGTTTTCAAAATTCCTCTTGTTATTCGTTTCTTGTTTTATTGCATTGTGGTCAGAGAAGATGCTTGATATTATTTAATTTTTTTGAATGCTTGAAGATTTCTTTTGTGACCTAACATATGGTCTGTCTATACTTGAGAATGATTCATGTTCTGAAGAAAAAAATGTGTGTTTTTCAGCTGTTGGATGAAATGTTCTGTAAATATCTATTAGATTCATTTTATCTATAGTGCAGATTAAGTTTGATGTTTCTTTATTGATTTTATTGATTTTCTGTCTGGAAGGTCTGCTGAGTGCTAAAAGTGGGATGTCAAAGTCTCCAGCTGTTATTGTATTGGGGTCTAGCTCTCTCTTTAGCTCTAATAATATTTGCTTTATATATCTGGGTGCTCCAGTGTTGGGTGCATATGTATTTACAATTGTTATATACTCTTGCTGAAATGACCCCTTTGTCATTATATAATGACCTTCTTTGTCTCTTATAGTTTTTGTCTTGAAATGTGTTTTGTCGGATATGAGTCTAGCTACTCCTGCTCTTTGTTTAGTTTCCATTGGCAAAGGATCCCTTTCCATCCATTTATTTTCAGTCTGTGTATGCCTTTATAGGTGAAGTGTATTTATTGTAAGCAACAGATCATTAATTTCTTTTGTTTTTAAAATTCGTTCAGCCACTCTTTGATTTTTGATTGGAGCATTTAGTTGATTTACATTCCATGTTATTATTGATAAATAAGAACTTCCTCCTGCCCTTTTGTTATTTGTCTTTCTTCTTCCTTTCCTTTCCCCTTTCTCCTCTTTCCTTTCCTTCCCTTCCCTTTCTGTTTCCTTCATCTTCCTCTTTCCTTCATCTTCATTTTAGTAAAGGTGATTTTCCTCTGGTGATATGATTTAATTTCTTGCTTTTTATTTTCTGTGTATCTGTTATATGTTTTTAGATTTGAGGTTAGCATGAGACTAGCAAATACTATCTTCTAGCCCATTATTTTAAGCTGATAGCAATTTAACACTGTGCACAAACAAACAAGCAAAAAGAAGGCTAATAAAAACTCTGATTTTACTTCCTCCCCCTGCTTTTCAACTTTTTGTTTTTTCTATTTATATATATCGTACTGACTATGTCTTGAAAAGTTGTAGTTATTATTTTGATTGGTTCATCATCTAGTCTTTCTGCTTAGAATAAGAGTAGTTTTATGCACCCCAGTTAAAGTGTTATAATAATAAAGTGTTATAATAATAAAGTGTTTTTCTTTGTAGGTACTCTTACCAGTGAGTTTTGTACCTTCAGATGATTTATTATCACTCGTTAACATCCTTTTTCTTTCTGATTAAATAATTCCCTTGTACATTTCTTGCAGGACAGGTCTGGTGTTGATGAAATCCCTCAGCTTTTGTTTCTCTGGGAAAGTCTTTATTTCTCCATTATGTTTAAAGAATATATATATATATTTTTTTTACCAGATATGCTATCCTAAGGCAAAAGTTTTCTTTTTCCAGCACTTTTAAATATGTCATGCCACTCTCTCCTGACCTGTAAGGTTTCTGCTGAAAAGTCTGCTGCCAGACATATTGAATCTCCATTGTATATTATTTGTTCCTTTTCTCTTGCTGCTTTTAGGATCCTTTATCTTCGACCTTTAGGAGTTTGATTATTAAATGCTTTGAGGTAGTTTTCTTTGGGTTAAATCTGCTTGGTGTTCTATAACCTTCTTGTACTTGGATATTGATATCTTTCTCTAGGTTTGGGTAGTTATGTTATTATATTTTTGAAAAAAGCTTTCTACCCCCATCTCTTTATCTACCTCCTCTTTAAGGCCAATAACTCCTAGATTGGTCCCTTTGAGGCTATTTTGTAGATCTTGTAGATATGCTTTATTCTTTTTTATTCTTTTTTTATTTGTCTCCTCTGTGGATTTTCAAATAGCCTTTCTTCAAGCTCACTAATTCTTTCTTCTGCGTGGTCAGTTCTGCTATTAAGAGACTCTGATGCATTCTTCAGTAGGTCAATTGTGTCTTTCAACTGCAGAATTTCTGCTTGATTTTTTAAATAATTTCAATTTACTTTTAAAATTTATCTGATAGAATTTTGAATTCCTTCTCTGTGTTGTCTTGAATGTCTTTGAGTTTCCTCAAAATAGCTATGTTGAATTCTCTGTCTGAAAGGTCACATATCTCTGTTTCTCCAGGATTGGTCCTTGATGTCTTATTTAGTTCATTTGGTGAAGTCAGATTTTCCTGGATGGTCTTGATGCTTGTGGATGTTCTTTGGTTTCTGGGCATTGAAGAGTTAGGTATTTATTATAGTCTTTGCCATCTAGGCTTATTTGTAGCCATCCTCCTTGGGAAGGTTTTCCAGAGTATTTGAAAGGACTTAAGTGCTGTGATTTAAGCCATATTTGCATTAGGGGTCACCCCAACCTCAGTAATGGTGTGGTTTTTTGCAGACTCTTAGAGGTACTGTCTTGGTGGTCTTGGATAATATCCAGAAGAATTCTCTGGATTACCAGGCAGAGACACTTATTTTCTTTCCTTACTTTCTCTCAAACAAATGGAATTTCTCTTTCTTTCTGTGCTGACTTTCTGGAGCTGGGGTTGGAGAGACACATTCCTGTGGCCACCACCACTTAGATTGTGCTGGATCAGACCTGAAGTCAGCATGGCACTGGGTCTCACGCAAGGCTTGCTGAAACCACTACCTGACTACTGACTATGTTCACTCAAGGCCCTGGAGCTCCACGATCAGCAGGTGGCAAAGCCAACCAGGCTTGTCTCCTCCCCTTTAGGGAGCAAGTTCTCACAGCCCCTGGGCAGGTGCAGAGATGCCATCCTGGAGCCAGGGATTGGAGTCAGAAACCTTAGAAATACACCTGGTGTTCTGTTCTACTGTGGCTGATCTGGCATTCCAACCACTTGACACAGTCCTTCCTACTCTTACTTTTTTTCCCATAGGCTAAGGACCCTCACCCTATGGCCTCTGCCACCACAGGCCCACAGGGAGTAATGCCAGGCCACCACTGATGTTGAGTTTAGGCCCAGTGATTCCTTAGTCAGCTTGTTGTGGGTGTGCAAGGCCTGGGACTCACTCTTCAGGGCAGTGGGCTCCCCTCTGTCCCAGGACAGGTCCAGAAGTGCTATCTAAGAGAAAAGTCCTGGAATAAGGGAACCCAAGAGCCCTCTTGGTGCTCTACCCCACTGTGGTAGAGCATGTACCTGAAGTCAGCATGACTAAGTTCTACTCCAGGCCTACAGCATACTACCTGGGTATCACTGTTCATTCTTTAGGGCCCAAGGGCTGTTTAGTGAGTAGGTGATTGATCCTTCCCGGATGGGGTCCTTCCATTCAAGGCAGCAGGTTCCCTTCTGGCCAGGGTGTGTTTAGAAATATCTAGGAACTAGGACCTGGAATGGGGACTTCACCACCCTGATCAGTGCCCTATCTTATTGTGGCTGATCTGGTATTCAAGATGCAAGACAAAGTCTTCTTTACTCTTCCCTTTTCTCTCAACCAGAAGGACGGGGTCTTTTTGGCGCTGTGCACTCTGCTGCCTGAGGCTGGGGGAAGGATGGCACAAGTGTTCTCTTAGCTTCCCTGGCTGGTGTCTCTACAGGTCACTTGCCCCTGCAGTCTGGCTTAGAGCCCAGCTCACCACTAGGACTTGCCTAGTCATTGCAGTCCTTGTGTCATAGATTGCCCCTCAAGTTCACTTAGGGCCCCAGAGTACTCCAGCCCATGGTGGTGAGGCTTGCTGGAACTCAAGCTCTGACTGATCAGAAGGATGATTCCCCTCTGGCTAGGGCTGGTTTATATGCCCCCTCTATGGATGGGTGTCAGCTGAGTATAGCCTGATTCTGCTTTACACTGTGTCAGGGCAACATTGAATTCAATGCAAAGCCTCATAGACACTGTGCTCTCCTCCCTGAGTCACACAGATTCTCCGCACCATGAAGCTGCTGCTGGGGGATAAGGGATGGTTGCTGTTGACAATTCAAGACATTCTTTCCCACCCTCTTTGGTGCCTCTTTCAGCAACATGAAGTCATTCAAGAGCAAGTTGTTTAATTTCCATGTAATTGTGTGGTTTTTGAGATATCTTCTTGGTATTGATTTCTATTTTTATTTCACTGTGGCTTGAGTGTATGGTTGGTATAATTTCAATTTTTAAAAGATTTATTTAGACTTGGTTTATGGTTGAGCATGTGGTTGATCTTAGAGTATGTTCTGTGCACGGCTAAGAAAAATGTATATGCTATTGTTGAAATGTGGAGTACTTTGTAAGTGTGTATTAGTATTAGGTCCAATTGGTCAAGTGTTAAATTACATTCAGAATTTCTTTTTTAGTTTTCTGTCTTGGTGATCTGTCTAACACTGTCAGTGGGGTATTAAAGTTCTCCACTATTATTGTGTGACTAAGTGTTTTTGTAGGTTTAGAAGTAGTTAGAATCTAGGTTCTACAGTGTTCAGTGCATATATATTTGGTACCATTAAGTCTTCTTGTTGAATTGAACTCTTTATCATTATGTGATGTCATTATTTATCTTTTATTACTGTTTTTGGTCCAAAGTTTGTGTTATCTACTATAAAAATATTGACTTCTGCTCTTTTTTGTTTTCCATTTGCATGATAGATCTTTCTGCAGCCCTTTACTATTAGCCTACTGGCTTTGTTACATATAAGATGGATCTCTTGAAGACAGCAGATGGATGGGTTTTGTTTTTTTATTCAACTTGCACTTAGAGTCTCTTACTTATTTCTGCTTGGATCTATATTATTTCTTTTGTTCCACTAATTTTAGGTTTAGTTTCTTCTTGCCTTTCTAGTTCCTTGAGGTGCATCATTAGGTTGCTAATTTGAAAATTTTCTCCTTTTTTGATGTAGGCATTTATTCTTATAAACTACCATCTTAGTATTGCTTTTGCTGTATCTCATAGGTTTTGTTATGCTGTGTTTCTATTTCATTTGTTTCAAACAATTTTTTATTTTTATTCTTTATTTCTTCATTGACTATTGATCATTCAGGAGCATGTTGTTTAATTTCTGTGTGCTTGTGTAGTTTTCTAAGTTCTTGTTATTGATTTCTAGTTTTATTCCCTTATGATCAGAAAAGATACTTCATATGATTTTAATTGTTTTTTGAATTTGTTGAGATCTGTTTTTTAGCTTAGCATATGGTCTATTCTGAAGAATGTTTCACTTGCTAATGAAAATAATATGTATTCTATAGCTGTTTGAAGAAATGTTGTGTTAGGTCCATTTGGTCTAGAGTGTGGTTTAACTCTGATGTCTGTGTTGATTTTTTTTTTTTTGGTCTGGGTGATCTTTCCATTACTGAGTGAGGTGTTGAATTGTCCAGGTATTATTGTAATTTATTCTTTCTTTCTCTTTATGTCTATTAATGTTTGCTTTATATATTTGGGTTCACCAGTGTTGGGTGCACTGTATTTAGAATTATTATATTCTCTTGCTAAATGGACTACTTTAGTAGTATATGGGGACCACCTTTGTTTCTTTTTACAGTCTTTGACTTGAAGTCTATTTTATCTAATATAAATATAGCTATTCCTGCTCTTTTGTGTTTCCATGTGCATGTAATATATTTTTCCATGCCTTTATTTTCAGTCTATGTGTCTTCATACATGATGTATTTTTATAGGTAGCATATAGTGAGGTCTCGCTTTTTATCCATTCTGACATTCTCCATGTCTTTTAAGTAGAGAATATAGTCCAGAGGAAGGTAAGTAGGTTACTAGTTACTCTCTTGTGACTGGTAGTAAAAGTCCTACATTAGTGTTTTAAATATTTAAAGATGTTAAAACCTGTAACTATCAGCAGCATTCATATCCTTTTCCAAATTCAAACAGTAAGCCCATCAAAATATAACTCCTAGTAAAGATTTTACTATTGTCATGATGTATTTTTACTTGTACATTTCACTAATTCATAGCAATGTGGACCTGCAAGCTGTTGTGATTTTCGAACTTGTGTACTGAAAGACGGAGCAAAATGTTATAAAGGACTGTGCTGCAAAGACTGTCAAGTAAGATTTAAGCTTATGAACATCTTTCAAATATATAACAAATCATGTGCAGGGTACTTTACAACACAGACCTACAGCTGTAATTACATCAATTAAATTACTTTTCAGATAAAGAGAAAGATAATAAATTCAGAATCAGATTTCTGATTTTTATTAACTTTTCTTAGGTGTTCTATATGCCAATATTTTCACTAAGTTGATGCTGTTTTTTTAAGCCTTGATTTAGAGATATTATTGGATTCTTCAATACGGAAGACCTCTATTGAATGGAACAATTATTTATTTGCATGATACAATATTTATATTATTGTAAATAAAAACGTTTTTATGGGTTGTGAATAAGTATCTATTTATGTGTAATTGAAAGATATAGCAGATTTCCTTAAATGTATAAGGAAGGAAACTCACTAGAAGTAACATTTTCCACATGGTACATGTAGCATAACATTTAAACTTTGAACTTATTATTCAAAGATCATTTGACTTAAAGATTATGTTTTAGTTTATACAGTGAAGACATTGGCTCCTGTTTTCTGTTTTTCTTTTCAGCTCTTCTAAAATATTATTAACAGGTTTCTCATAAGAGAATACCTCTGTTGAATTATCCATAATGCAGTCTACCTTCATGACTGTCCTGGACTGATGCAGTTTTATGTATTCTTTCCTTAGGATGTTATTATCTGATTGCATTCTTACTTCTGTAATCTTTTTAGTGTCAGCTGGAAGTCATCAATTAAGAATTATGAGATAGATGTTTTATTTGAGATTCTTTTTGTAAATTTCCACAATTCTATGTATGAAAGAGTCTACGTATTTCCATGATTTGAGAGAAAGATTCTAGTTGTGTTCCTTCCTCTCCAAAGACTCTCATAGTTGAACTGCATTTTTAATAACACTTCTGTTTCCCTCTGCAGTTTTTTATGTTTCACAGTTGTCATAGAATTTTAAAGTATTCCACACTTAAAAACCATGGCTTGAAAAAGTATATTTCATTTAGAAATGGACTAAATTACATTATTTTCACCCAAAAGAAATAAATTTCCTAAGCTTAAAGTGAACATTCTTCTCTTACATTGAGACTACAAATAAAACTTTGGCTTTCATCACATCAGATTTTTGTTTTGCATTTTCTTGTACATATGTCTTATCTCCTATTTTAGTCAATAACATTCCATTTATATTTTTATATTATTAGCATAGTAATTTGTACAAAAAAGTATTAATATACATTAATGGATAGACTAAAGCGAAAATGATTAACACAATTTTGAAGTAAATATTAACAAACAGTAATCCTATTTGTAATGCTTTATTTTTTATGTTCTAACTTCTCTTAGATTTTACAATCAGGCGTTGAATGTAGGCCGAAAGCACATCCTGAATGTGACATCGCTGAAAATTGTAATGGAAGCTCACCAGAATGTGGTCCTGACATAACTTTAATCAATGGACTTTCATGCAAAAATAATAAGTTTATTTGTTATGACGGAGACTGCCATGATCTCGATGCACGTTGTGAGAGTGTATTTGGAAAAGGTAATATCTTTTTGTTACATCTCAATAGCCCTTAACATTGTTATTAACATTACCAGGATAATGGGGAATATTTTCATATATATAAAATGTGGAATGTTTTATATAGTATAAAATGTGGAATATTGTTTATATATATTTTATTATATATATAAGCAGAATGTTTTATATAGTATAAAATGTGGAATATATATATTTTATTATATGTATAAGCAAACATATACGCGCTAATTCTTCTTGTTAATGTTTATATTTTTTCCATCTTTGCTGACGTATAATTGACAAAAATTGTATGTATGTTTTTAGGTGTATGATTTTGTTTTGATATATGTATACATTGTGAAATATTTGCCACAGTTAAGTTGATTAACATGTCCATCATCTCATATAGTTACCATTTTCTTTTTTATCCTTTAAAAGAATTTTTGTATCTATCCTTTTTGCAGATTTCAAATATATAATAGAATGTCGTTTACTAAAGTCACATTGTTGTACATTACATCTCTTGAACTTATTTATTTTGCATAACTGAAATTTTGTACCCCTTGACTAGCATTTTGCCATTTCTCCCCTTACCTCAGCCTCTTGCAACCATCATTCTACTCTCTGCATTTTTGAGTTTGACAATTTTAGATTGTATATATAAGTGAGATCATGCGTTATTTACCTCTCTGTATCTAGCTTATTTCACTTAGCATAATGGCCTCCAGGTTCATCTGTGTTACTGCAAATGGCAGGATTTTCCTCCTTACTCTGACTGAATAATATTGCATTTTGTGTGTTTGTGTATATGTATATATCTATATAAACACAGACATATATATATCATATTTTTAATACATTTATCTGTTTACCTAAGCTAAAAGTGAACTTTCTTCTCTTATACTCAGAACACAAATAAAACTCTGACTTTCATTCCATCAGATTGTGCTATACTTTTTCAATCAAATAGACACTGGTTGTTTCCAAATCTTGGTTATTATGAATAATGTAGCAATAAACATGGGTGTGCACATATCTCTTTTGCAATATTGATTCATTTCCTTTGAATCTATACTCAGTTGGGATTGGTGAATCATAAGGTAGTTCTACTTTTGATTTCTAAGGATGTTCCATATTGTTTTCCTTAGCAGCTGTACCAACTTATATTCCCACCGATAGTGTATGAGGGTTTCTTTTCTCCACATCTTCACCAACATTTGTTATCTTTTATCTTTTTGACAATAATCATTCTAACAGATGTGAAGTGGTATCTCATTGTGGTTCTGTGATTAGTGATGAGCATCTTTTCATATATGTCTTGATGAGTTGTATGTATTCTCTGGAGAAATGTTTATTCAATCTTTTCTCCATTTTTGATTGGGCTTTTTTTTTGCTACTGAGTTTTATGAGTTACTGATATATTTTGGAAATGAATTCCTTATTATATATATGATCTGCAAATACTTTATCTTATTTTATAAAAGTTGGCTTTTCACTATGTTGATTTTTTCCTTTGTTGTGCAAAAGATTTTTAGGATGCTGGTCTTCATCCCCTCACAAAAAACAAAAAATAGAAAACTATTTATGAAGGATAATAGTCTTGTGAAGGCTCCAAGGTCCATCTAAGAACCCTCTGGCAGCACGGCAGAGAAAAAAATGGGAAAAACTGTAAAGAAGGATTGCTGATTACAGCAGCATATCTGAGATATATGGAGGTGGTTATGAACAAAGAAGGGAGGAAGCTATCAGTATTAGCCACTCAGCATGTGCCATTGTCATCTCCAGTGGCCTCTGCAGAGGACAGAGGCGTCTTTTATCACTGAGGTAACCAACAGTCATCCCTGCCTCTGGCTCCATGGAAAATGAGATCCAAATGTGCCTTTCCTCCAAGAATCAGCTACTATTTTATAGCTCTGGGACTTGAGTGACTACCCCTCCCAACCCTGTGCACACCCCTGACCCTGGAGCTGTGGCTCTTGTCTGCACTGTGTGCACTCATACGTCAGTCTCAGAGACAGTGCAGCTATGTGTGAGTCTTCACACTGAACCTAGGAACTTTTGTTGCTCTACACCCACATGTGCTTGAGACGCTGACTCTCCATCTGCTCCACAAACACCCACTCTACTTCATACATCATTACTTATGTGGAAGCAGGGCTGTCTTCACCCTAGGCACCAGTGTGACTGCTGCCCTGTACCCTTTGGTCTCTTCATGTGTGTTTGTGATTCAGACCCTGGCTCTGTGGCTACTGCATGGTCACTGTGCATCAGACATCAGTGAGGGAATGCCCTCAAACCAGACCTTGTGCCAAATGAAATTGCCCGGGGCCATGACCTCCCTGGTGGGAGAAAAAGAGATTGAGGGCCCCAGGATCTTTCACCATTGAAAACCCAACAGTCTCACTGCCCCTGCAGATACCACAGCTTTAGCTGCTCAGGACCCCCTGGAATCTTTGTTAATGTTGACCTCAGCTGACAGAAATGCATGGAGGGTACACTGCTCTGTCTTCACCAAAGCTGGAACCATCCAACTCTACCCTTCTAACAGCCTTTTTCCCACCCATGGAGTAAGATTTTTTTTTTTAAATCAGTGAAAGCATTCTGTAAAGTTTCAAAATGGTGACTGCTCCATCGAATTTGAAGGTATCAATGCAATACAATAAGAAACATGAAAAACTGGGGAAACTTATCACCATTAAATGACACAATAATTTTCTAATAACTGATCCCAGAGAAATAAAGATCTTCAAATTGCCTGAACAAGATTCAAAATAATTGTTCTAAGGATACTCAGCAAACTTCAAAAGAACACAGAGAAACAACATACATTTTTATAAAAAAAAATCAAATTATTGGGCTGAAGAACACAATGAATAACATTAAAATGCAATAGATAATATCAACAACAGAATTCACAAAGCAAAAGAAAGATCTGTGAACTTGCAAACAGATTACTTGTATATATACAACTAGAGGAGAAATAAGAAAAAAGAATGAAAAGGAATGAAGAAACAAACACTATGGGATTTTGAAACAGCATCAAGAAAGCTAACATTCTCATTATAAGAGGTAAAAAAGGAGAAGAGAGACAAGGACAGAAAGCTTATTTAAAATAATAATAACTGAAAACTTCCAAAATCTTAGGAAAGATATAAGTGTGCAGGTACAGGAAGCTCAAAATCCTTCAGTCAGGTTTAATCCAAAGAAGGTTATACCAAGCTCAAAATTCTTCAGTCAGGTTTAATTTGAACAAGACTACACCAAGACATATTATAATAAAACCGTCAATAAATATAATGACATTTTGAAAGAAGCAAGAGAAAAAAAAAGATTAAGTAACATAATCCAACATGTAAGTTGGATTTTCTCAGCAGATACTTTGTCAGTGAGGAGAGTGGAATGATATCGTGCTGAAAGAAAAAAAAAAAGTCAATCAAGAATACTTTATCTGGCAAAGCTCTTCTTCGGAAATAAAGGAAAGATAAAACTTTCTAAGACAAACAAAAGCTCAAGGAGTTCATTGCCACTCAATCTATCTTACAACAAATGTCAATAGGAGTTCTTCCATGTAAACAAAAAGACTAATATGTAGTATGGAAATATATAAAAATATAACGTTCACTGGTAAAAGTAAGTATATAGTCAAATTCAGAATACCAAATACCGAAATGGCGATGTGTCTCTAGTATAAAGGTTAAAAGACAAAACTACTGAAATAATTATTACTATAATAATTTGTTAAGGAACATGCAACATAAAAACTTATAAATTGAGATGGATCATCATGGCGGATGGGAGGCAGGACTAGATTACAGCTCCGGAAGGGACAGGGTGTGGTGGCTCACATTGTGAATTTTAGCTCCAAATCAACTGCAAGAACAAACCAACAATCCTGAGAGGACCCACAGACCCTCTAAAGGAAGTGGACTGCTCCTGCAGGACCTGGGAGATACCCCAAATACCATGAGTGCCCCAACTGTGGAAGTGGGAAAGGGGGACCCTCCCTTCCTCCTCTCCTGAACACACACCCCCACTGGAGAAACTGAAGGTCTGTTTGAGGGAGAAGTTTCCGACCTTACCTGGAGCTGAGTCAATTTAGAGAGCTGGGCAAAATACAGGGGTAGATGAAGCAGGAGAAAGACCGTGGGAGTTCTCTGGGTCCCCAGGCAGACCATTCCTGCCTGGCACCACAGGGATCTATCTGGAGGACGGCCAGAGGAGCATGGGGTAAAACTTCACAGGGAGAAGGAAACAGACTCGGGGCTGTTAAATTGGGGCACGGTGGGAGTGAGACAGGCCCTTCAGTTTGCATGGGAGCTGACTGAGGCCTGTGATTGCCAGCTTTCCCCCACTTCCGTGACAACCTGCATGACTCAGCAGAGGCAGCCATAATCCTCCTAGGTACACAACTCCAGTGACCTGGGAATCTCACCCCCACCCCACACAGCAGCCACAGCAGGACCCGACTAAGGAGAGTCTGAGCTCAGACATGCCTAGTCCTGCCCCCACCTGATGGTCTTCCTTACCCATTCTGGTCACTGAAGACAAAGGGCATATGCTCTTGGGAGTTCTAGGGCCCCACCCACCACTGGTCCCTCTCCATACTACCACAGCTGATGCTCTCTGGAAAGGACCACCTCCTGGCAGGAGGCCAACCAGCACAAAAATAGGGCATTAAGCCACCAAAGCTAAGAACCCTCATGGAGTCCATTACGCCCTCCGCTGCCTCCACCAGAACAGTCGCTGGTATCCATGGCTGAGAGACCCCTAGACAGTTCACATTAGAAGACTCTGTGCAGACACCCACCAGTACCAGCCTGGAGCTGGGTAGACTCGCTGGATGGCTAGACCCAGAAGAGAGACAACAATCACTGCAGTTCGGCTCATAGGAAGCCACATCCATAGGAAAAGGGGGAGAGTACTACATCAAGGGAACACCCCATGGGACAAAAGAATCTGAACAAAAGCCTTCAGCCCTAGACCTTCCCTCTGACAGAGGCTACTCAAATGAGAAGGAACCAGAAAACCAATCCTGGTAATATGACAAAACAAGGCTCTTTAACATCCCCCCAAAATCACACTAGTTCACGAGCAATGGATTAAAACCAAGAAGAAACCCTTGATTTACCTGAAAAAGAAATCAGGAGGTTAGCTATTAAGCTAATCAGGGAGGCAATGGAGAAAGGAGAAGCCGAATGCAAGGAAATCCAAAAAATGATACAAGAAGTGAAGGGAGAATTATTCAAGGAAATAGGTAGCTTAAAGAAAAAACATAAAAAATTCTGGGAATTTTGGACACACTGTTAGAAATGCAAAATCCTCTGGAAAGTCTTAGCAATAGAACTGAACAAGTAGAAGAAAGAAATTCAGAGCTCAAAGATATGGTCTTTGAAATAACCTAATCCAACAAAGACAAGGGAAAAAGAATAAGAAAATATGAACAAAGCCTCCAAGAAGTCTGGGATTTTGTTAAATGATCAAGCCTAAGAATAATTGGGGCTCCTGAGTAAGAAGAGAATTCTAAAAGCTTGGAAAACATATTTGGGGGAATAATGGAGGAAAACTTCCCTGGCCTTGCTAGAGACCTAGACATCCAAATACAAGAAGCACAAGGAACACCTGGGAAATTCATTACAAAAAGATCATTGCCTAGGCACATTGTCATCAGGTTTTCCAAAGTTAAGATGAAGGAAAGAATCTTAAGAGCTGTGAGACAGAAGTACCAGGTAACCTAAAAAGGAAGACCTATCAGATTATCAGCAGATTTCTCAGCAGAAACCCTACAAGCTAGAAGGGACTGGGGCCCTATCTTCAGCTTCCTCAGACAAAACAATTATCAGCCAAGAATTTTGTATCCAGTGAAACTAAGCATCATATGTGAAGGAAAGATACAGTCTTTTCAGACACACAAATGCTGAGAGAATTCGCCATTACCAAGCCACCACTACAAGAACTGCTAAAAGGAGCTCTAAATCTTGAAGCAGATCCTGGAAACATATCAAAACAAAAACTCTTTAAAGAATAAATCACACAGGACCTATAAAACAAAAATATAAGTTAAAAAGCAAAAACAAAAAACCCAAAGCACAGAGGCAACAAAGAGGATGATGAATTCAATGGTACCTCACATTTCAATACTAACAGTGAATGTAAATGGCCTAAATGCTCCACTTAAAAGATACAGAACTGCAGAATGTATAAAAACTCATCAATCAACTATTTGCTGCCTTTAGGAGACTCACCTAACACATAAGAACTCATATACACTTAAAGTAAAGGGGTGGAAAAAGGCATTTCATGCAAATGGACACCAAAAGTGAGCAGGGGTAGCTATTCTTATATCAGACAAAACAAACTTTAAAGCAACAGCATTTAAAAGAGACAAAGAGGGACATTATATAATGGTAAAAGGCCTTGTCCAAGAGGAAAATATCACAATCCTAAACATATATGCACCTATCACTGGAGTTCCCAAATTTATAAAACAATTACTAATAGATCTAAGAAATGAGATAGACAACAACATAATAATAGTGGGGGACTTCAAGACTCCACTCACAGCACCAGACAGTCATCGAGACAGAAAGTCAACAAGCAATGGATTTAAACTATACCTTGGAACAAATGGACTTAACAGATATATACAGAACATTTCATCCAACAGCTGCAGAATATACATTCTATTTAACAATGCATGGAACTCACTCCAGGATAGACCCAAAGATAAGCCATAAAACGAGCCTCAATAAATTTAATAAAATTGAAATTATGTCAAGCACTCTCTCAGACCACATTTATCTCAGACACCCACATTTATTGCCCTGGTGCCATCCATGCACACCTATCTATGACATGCATCCACTATTTTAATGCACGTCAAAGCATTTGATAATAGGCTACTGCACATCAAAGCATTCGATAATAGGGTACTGGGGATCTAATTACACCATTTGGACTGTGGAAGAGCAAATTCTATTGCTTACTAAACTTAGTCAATATACTGGATTATAGGGAATATTTAACATATGACTTCACATTTGCAAAGTGCTGCCCTTTTTATTAGTATTTTCATTTCACTTTTGAAAACCAAGACAAGTCTGAGAGAAAGTGATCATCTAATACTAATGGGAGAGAGCGTTTAAGGGAGAAATTAATGAGAGGGGGTTATTGGTAACTTTAGATGCCACACATAGACTAATAAAATTGAGTTGGTTGGCGACTATACTTTCAGCAGAATTCATCTGACTGCTTTGTGACCAAACATATTCTTTACATTATCTTTCTAAACTAAACTGAATTTTCAAATTCCTTTCTCCGGATAATCTCTCAGTGTTTAACAAGCCCTGCATTGGCATTCCTAACCTGGTATCTCACATTCACTATTGAACTGGTTAAACATTGTGAATACTCTGAACTAGCATTGCCTATCCTCATGGAATCTATACAATCTCCTGTGATGGGCCAATATCAAAGATGGTGGAAAGGGATAAGATGAGGGGAAAGCAAAAAACCAAAAAAGAACAGCAGAAAGAAAAAAATGTGTATCATAGAAGGTGCAGGTAAACAGGAGAAACTTTCTTGATCTTGAAAGAGAATGGAGAGGGATTAGATGGGAATTAAGAGTGACTAAATAGCCATAATATTAATTCTCATAACAATTCATTGACATATATATTATTATCTACTTTTGTCAATAAAGCAGATTTAGAGAGGTTCATTTTGGAGAAGGTAACTGTGGTAGGTAGAATCCTAAAGTGACTCCCAAAATTTTTCTGGTGTAGACAAACCTTGGATAATTCCCTCCCTTTGAGTTGGGGTAGAACCAGTGAATATATGATTGAATATCAATCCTGTGATTAGCTTATATAGTAAAGGTCAAGGAATTTTGAAGATGTAGTTAAGGTCTACAATCAGTCAGTTTTGAGTTAATCAAAAGGGAGGTCGCTCTGAGTGCACCTGAACTAATCATGTGAGCCCTTAAAAGACAGGAAATGTCAGCAAGATTCTCCTGTGGGTTTAGAGGAAGAAAGCTGCTGTGTTCTGAGGTGCCATGTGACTAGGACCTGTAAGGAACTTCTAAGAGCCAAGAGCAATCCCTAGCAGACAGCTAGTAAACCTACAACTGCAAAAAACTGAACTACTAACAACCAGTGACCTCTGAAGGGGATTTAAACCTCAGATGACACTGCAGCCCCAGCCAGTATTTTGATCTCAGCATAGAGAAAATATGCAGAGAAAACCTGTATGCCTTGCTGAACTAACTACTGAGTCCATGACAATAAATGGGTGTTGTTTTAAGCTGCCGAATCTTTTCTAATTTTTTACAGAGAAATAAAAAATCCAATATAATGAAGGAAAAAATAGATAAATACATAGGTTGCTAATTTTGGTCCCTTAAATTTAGACTACCTGAAGATACAACGAAGTTTCTTCTCATTGAAGAAATTTTCTTGATTTTGTTATAGACTTGGTTTTTTATGAGTTCACACTCAGAATCTAGAAGAATGGTATAGTTTTCTTGGTTTATATCTCTATTGCTTTCTTTCACAGAGCCCTCTTCTAGTTGACACTTCTATACCATCTCCCTTCCACCTATATTATCTTTTATGATGGAAATTGATGAAAATGAAGCAAAAGGAGCAATAACAGTGGGCATTGCCTTTCACTTTACTTTTTATTCTTTCCTTACAACCTCACTAGGAAAAATGTTTCAATTAGATATTAATGGAGAGATAAAGGGAATATTATATGAAGAAATGGAGGAAGATGAAAAACCAATAAACATTTTAATCCAAATGTATTTCTAACTTTAACAGGTTCAAGAAATGCTCCATTTGCCTGCTATGAAGAAATACAATCTCAATCAGACAGATTTGGGAACTGTGGTAGGGATAGAAATAACAAATATGTGTTCTGTGGATGGAGGTATGCTCTACAAATATAAATGATACTTTTCTTATATTCTATTAGATTTTTAAAAACTTTGCCCCCTTCTGTGTCATTCATTCCAGTGGTTTAAAGTATTACATGTGCATAGGAGTGAACCTCAAATCAAAATCCCCAGCCCTGACACCTCTTTTGTGCTGCAGGCTAAAATTTCATCTTATTTCTAAACATTTATACGTGAATGGCCATTATGTTTCTAAATCCAATCCAAAGTTGAAATTCATAATACCCACTGTACCTTTCCCGCTCATTTTTCCTTTCCATCCCACTTGGTTACTTGCCTAAGAGGAAGACTGCTCAGTGTCTATAAAATGCAGTTCAATTCCTCCTGAATCTGAAGAGCCAGGTTTTTGATATTTTGATCATGAGTTTATTTTTACAAAACATCTCTTAGGACCCTACTATATGCCAGACACTGGGCTAAATCCTAGTTAGCAAATCATACTCATACACTCATGGAATTTGTAGACTCATAAACATACCATAAAGTTGTATGCTTCCTTGACTTGCTTATGCTGTTACTTTTGTTTAGAAATACTTCACTGTTTCTGTTGAAAGCTTACTAATTTGTGAGCTTTGACTCAGATGGTGTCTCCTCTATGAAGTTTTTCTTAACTGTGAAGTTAGAATGTGTCCTCTAACCTCACAGTTAAGGAAAACTTCACAGAGCTTTTAAGAGAATCTTAAACCTCTGTAATGATTTATTTCACTTGTAACATTTTTAATGGAATTTGAATCATATTAATATCATAAACCATAGTAAGAGTATTAGACTGTAAAGTCCTTAGAGTGTAGGGGTTACAACTTTTTCATCTTTCTTTCCTTCTATGGGGTGATATAAAATGCTGTAGTGAATTGATTATTTGACAGTAAATATATAATCTGCCCAGTAAGTAACAGATCTCTAGTATTGTTACCAGAAAGGGGTCTGAATACGGACCCCAAGAGAGGGTTCTTGGATCTTGTGGAAGAGAGAATTTGAGGCAAATCCATACAGTAAAGTGAAAGCAAATTTATTAAGAAAGTAAAGGAATAAAAGAATGACTGCTCAACAGGCAAAGCAGCAGCATGGACTGCTCAGCTGCTTACACTTATTGTTACTTCTTTATTATATGCCAAGCAAGAGGTGTCTTATTCATGAGTTTTCCAGGAAAGGAGTGGGCAATTCCCAGAACTGAGGGTTCTTCTCCTTTGTAGACCATATCGGGTAACTTCTTGATGTTGCTGTGGCATTTGTAAACTGTCATGGTGCTGGTGGGAGTATCTTTTAGCATGCTAATGCATTATAATTAGAGTATAATGAGCAATGAGGATGACCAGAGGTCACTTTCATCGCCATCTTGGTTTTGGTAAAATTTGACTGGCCTCTTTATCTTAATGCTGTTTTATCAGCTTATGACCTGTATCTTATGCCGATCTCCTGTCTCATCCTGTGACTAAGAATGCCGTAACCTCCTGGGAATGCAGCCCAGTAGGTCTTAGCTTTGTTTTACCTAGCCTCTATTCAAGATAGAGTCATTCTTGTTCAAATGCCTCTGATAGTACCTTTGAAAGTTAAGCTAGGATCAATGGATTTATACTTTTTTTACTTTTTACTTTGTTACCGTGAAAACATTAACGTTTTCTGTAAGTACATTGCCGTAAGTGGAAAACCATTCTTTTTGCATCACAGAAAGCAAATCCAAAGCATTCCTAATAAATTCCTAATGTATAATAATCATATATATTTTTTATGTTTTCAGGAATCTTATATGTGGAAGATTAGTTTGTACCTACCCTACTCGAAAGCCTTTCCATCAAGAAAATGGTGATGTGATTTATGCTTTCGTACGAGATTCTGTATGCATAACCGTAGACTACAAATTGCCTCGAACAGTTCCAGATCCACTGGCTGTCAAAAATGGCTCTCAGTGTGATATTGGGAGGGTAAATAATTTAAAATCTATTTAAAAAATATAGTTTTATTTATTGTTTTCATCTTTTTATTTAAGTATCAAATTTTAATTTAGTGCTAGTATTAGGTAATCTTAAATGTTTGGAGGCAAAATGAATGATCTTAAATTAGTCTCCAAATAGTAAGAGGGAAATGGGAACATCGCACCCCACCCCCTCCCACCCCCCATTAGAATTTCAGTGTTCTGAGCAAGGAAACTCCAAATATTTGGAGCTTTCCTTGGGAGAGAGTCTTGGGAATATATTGTAGTTAAGAACCTCATAGCATGGGAACTTGCTTTTCTTCTGGGAGAAGAAAGAAGAAATCTCACTTAGTAACATAAATCTCTTTGTGGCCCCATGAATAACAGCACAACTTAGATCAGGCTGCTTAGATAGAATCAAATATTGTTTAACATTTTGCAAGTTATCTAGCTAGTCTGAGATATCTCAACTGTACATAAAGTAGGGATAATAATAGCATTTACTCTACAGGGTATTGTGAAGATTAAATGAGATAATATTATAAGTGCTTAGCACAATGCCCAGAACATAGTAATAACTAAATACAGTTTGGCTATTATTGCCGATTGTTATCATTATAATTTGTCATCTTTGAAACCAACCCAAATCTGGAGAAGATAGAGCAAATAAATTTAACATCTCATTTAGAGGGAATAACACAGCAAAGGTTCCTGCTTAGGCATTGGAAGTAGAACACAACATCCAAATAGCTCAAGCCAGCCAGAGATAAGAACTTAAAGGCATTTCTCCTTCCTGGGGGACTGGGCTCTCAACTTTCCCCATGCTTTTCTTAAGTGGACCATTCAGGAGTTTGTCTGCAAACCTAAAGCAATCCATACCCTATTCTTCCATATATGTGTATACTGTTACTTCTTTCTCTCCTTCCCCCCGCCCCTCTCTGTCTGACTCTTCATTCCTGTGTCCTGTGACCTGGGGATGGAGGACTGCCCTCCTGGTACAATGTGCTCTCCCTGCCCAGGATCTGTAAATAATAAATCTTTGGATATATGAAATAAATAAATAAATATTTAGAAATTAAAATAAAATCTTATTTAATTCCTGACCAGATCTTTGCTCATAGGGAAATATAAAAAGTGTAAAGTGTAGGCTTTAAAGATAGATGTTCATAGATTTGAATTCTGACTCTGCCACTTACTTGATAGATGATCTTTAAGAAATAATTTAATATTATTAAGCCTTGGTATCCTTAGATATGAAATGTATATTTCAATAGCCACTTTTAGTGGTTTTATAGTATAAATAAAGCTTACTGTAGGTAAAGTATATAGACTCATTAATATTGATTTATTTTTATGCATTCGAGTCATAAGTGCCATCTTGATGGAGGTTTGGGCCAGGGAGCTCAGTGGATATATTTAGGTCATGGAGCAGAAAAGAAAAAGCCTAAAAAATGCAACACAACCAATAAAGTCTTTGAGATGATTTGATAAGTAATTTAATAAGAATATAATCTTTTTAATAACCCAGACAATTCTTCTCAGAAATAATGTGTAAAAACAAATTTTACTGGGTAGTTTTTAATGATAGTATAAATTATATATGATGAAACATTCTTAGTATTGTTTCTGTAAGTTAGTGTCCTTATTCAGTGGGGAATCTATCTCAATTTCAACTGAGCCAGGCAGACAGTAGATACTATATTCCAAAAAGACTTGTTAGACACATCATCATGGTCAAGGACCAGCGAGAAGACTCAACATATTAAAAGTTTAAAAGGGTTAGATTGTTTGTATTTAGAAGAGGTTTATGATGCCATTTATCTGAAGAAGGTTATGCTGTGCTTTAATGTTTAACAGGAAATGATTTTCACATATGTCATCTCATTTTAAACTAAAAACAAGCTCTAATGTTACTTGCTTTTTCTAAAATAACATTTTTTAAAAAAGTATTATTGTACTCGTGTAAAAACTGCAACTTAAGGAAATTGAGATTGCCATAAATAATGGAGTTGGGAATATATCTTCAGCCCTCTGATTATTATACTTTAAAGTTAGAAGAATTATGTCAGAATTTTTTATACGTTCCATAATATAATGATAGACAACTCTGGTACATTTTAACAAAAATTTCTATTATCTTCATTAAATACTTATGAGACTCTAATGATAGTTCATATTTTATGAAAACAATATATGCCATTATTATATGGAGTTAATTTTTTACTATGTAAAACTTTTGTATGTGCAATTAATACAAGATATTCTTTGAACTGTGTACTCAGGGATAGTCTTGTTAGATTTCATGGTGTTATAATGAAAAGTGGTTCTTTGATAATAATTATTTATTTAATAGCCAATCTTATTTTATTGATATCCTCCACTTTTCTGCCCTGAATCATTAAAAAAATTATTTTAAAAAATATACTTTACATTTTAGTGCCATTTTAGGTTCACAGCAAAAATTGAGTGAAAAATACAAAAAAGTATTCATATACTCTTTATCCCCTACTCCCCCACAAAACCTGTACCACTGTGCATAACCTACATCAGCGTGGTACATTTGTAATAATTGATGAGCTTATATTGACACATCATTATCACCCAAAATTCATAGTTTACATTATGGTTACCTGGAAAATCCCCATACTCTTTGAGGCTAAATAACACATGGGTCAAAGAAAAATTCTCAAGAAAAAAATTAAAATATTTTGAACTAAGTGAAAATGAAAATATAACTTATCAAAACTTGTGGAGGACACAGGGAGAAAAATGGCAGATAGGAGGCAGGACTTACTTGCAGCTCCCACTTGGATGGACAGCGTGTGGAGACTCACATTATGAACTTTTGCTGCAAGAACCACTGCAGGAACATAACAAGAAAACTTAAAGAATTCACAGACCCTTCAAAAGAAGCAGCTTGCCACTACAAACTTCGTGAAACACCCATAAAACTGTAAATGCCCAATATGTGAGTGGGGGAAAGTCTGGCTCTGGACACACATCCTTACTGGAGAACCTGAAAATCCAGATCACAGGAGAATAATTTAACCTTACCTAGAGCTGAAATGAATTTAGAGAGCCGAGCAAACCATAAAAGTAGAAGAAGCAGCGGGAAGAGCCTTGTAGGCACTCCCAGTTCTCAGGGAAGCCCTGGGAAGCGATTTCTGATTTAATCTGACAGCAGTGCCTGGGGAGGACAGCCAGTGGAATTGGGGAAGGGCCACAAGGATAAGGAGACTTCCAGCTCAACCTTGTAAAAATTTTGACTTAGTGTGAATTTTCCTGGGCAGATGTGGTGGGGTGAACAAGAAGTGCAAATATGAGCACAGAAGCCATGGCAGGCAGGTAGAAGCAAGGCCTGAGAGCTCTGCTTGCTTTCTCAGTGGGGAGGCTTGTATCCTGGAGCAAGATCTCAGCCCTGTGCACCAGAGGCCTGGATATACACTGGGCTGTGTTGGCTGCTTGGGGAGCATGGTGGGAGTGACACTGGCCTTACTGGCTGCATAGGAGCTGGGTGAGACCTGTCACTGCCGGCTTTCCCCCACTTCCCTGGTGACCTGTATGAAGCAGCAGAGGCAGCCATGATCCCCCTTGGAAGGTAACTCCATTGACCTGAGAACCACCTCCCCCAATCCACCACAACGGCCATAGCAAGCCCTACCCAAGGAGAGTTTGAGCTCAGACATGCCCAACTCTGCCCTCATCTGATGGTCTTTCTCTACCTGCCCTGGTAGCTGAAGACAAAAATGACAGTAACTCATGGGAGCTCTAGGGCCCACCCATCACCTGAAAAACTTGAATACTTACCTGGGTGACCTTAGGGCAAGCTTGTATTCCCCCTATACTACTACAGCTGATGCTCTCTTGAAAGTGCTGTCTCTTGGCTGGAGGCCAGCCAACTCAAGCCATTACAGCAGTTCATAACAGAACAACCCTGCTCCAAGGAAGGAAAAAACAACAGCTAATTCCACTGCCTACAACATTCTGGCTAACCAGAGGTCCTGAATCTGTCCACATAACAACTTCATTGCTAGCATAACCAGTCTTGAAGGAAACCAGTGCACTAAACAAGACTATAACCAAGGACTCTCACAGAATCTACTTCACTCCCCTGCTACTTCCACCAGAGCAGGTGCTAGTATCAATGGCTGAGAGACCTAAAGATGGACCACATCACAGGATTCTTTGCAAACATTCCCAAGTACCAACTGAAAGTCCAGTAGCTCCACTGCGTGGCTAGACCCAGAAGAGCAGTAATGATCACTGTGGTCTGGCTCTCAGGAAGCCCTATCCCTAAGGGAAGGGATAGAGCACAACATCAAGGGATTACCCTGTGGGACAAAAGAGTCTGAACAGCAGCACTTGATTCCCAGATCTTTCCTCTAACATAGTCTACCCAAATGAGAAGGAACCAGAAAAACAATTCTGGTAATATGACAAAAACATGGTTCTATAACACTCCCAAAAGATCACACTAGCTTACCAGCAGTGGATCCAAACGAAGGAGAAATTTCTGAACTGTCAGAAAAAGAATTCAGAAATTTGATTATTAAGCTACTCAAGGAGGCACCAGAGAAAGGTGAAAAACTACCTAAAGAAATTTTTTAAAGTACAGAATATGGACAAAAAATCTCCAGAGAAATAGAGATCAGAAATAAAAGAAATCATAACTTATGGAAATAAAAGACTTAGAGAAATGCAAAATACACTGGAAAGTTTCAACAATAGAATTGAACAAGTAGAAGAATTTAAGAGCTTTAACACAAGGCTTTGGAATGAACCCAATCTGACACAGACAAAAAAAATAAAAAATAAAAAAATGAACAAAGCCTCCATGAAGTTTGGGATTATGTTAAATAACCAAACTAAGAATAATTTGTATTCCTGAGGAAGAATAGAAATCCTAAAGTTTGGAAAACTTATTTGAGGGAATAATCAAGGAGAACTTCCCTGGCCTTGCTAGAGATCTCGACTTCCAAATACAAGAACCTTGAAGAATACCTGGAAAATTTATCACAAGAAGATCATCATCTAGGCACATGGTCATCAGGTTATTTAAAGTAAAGATGAAGGAAAGAAGCTTAAGAGCTGGGGGCAAAAGCACCAGGTAATGTATAAAGGAAAACCTATCAGATTAACAGCAGATTTCTCAGCAGAAACTCTACGAGCTAGAAGGGATGGGGATCCTATCTTTAGTCTCTTTAAACAAAACAATTATCAGCTAGGAATTTTGTGTGCAGTGAAACTAAGCTTCATAAATGAGGGAAAGATAAAGTCTTTTTCAGACTAACAAAAGCTGAGAAAATTTGCTACTACCAAACCAGCACTACAAAAACTGCTAAAAAGAGTTCTAAATCTTGAAACAAAACCTTGAAATACACCAAAATAGAACCTCTTTAAAGCATAAATTTCACAGGGTCTCTAAAAACAACAACACAATGAAAAAATAATCAAGATATTCAGGAAACAACCAGCATGATAAATAGAATAGTACCTCACATCTCAATACTAACATTGAAAATAAATGGCCTAAATTCTTCACTTAAAAGATTCAGAATGGCAGAATGTATAATAATTCACCAAACAGGTATCTGCTGTCTTTAAAAGACTCACCTAACACATAAGGATTCACATAAACTTAAGGTAAAGGGGTGGAAAAAGATATTACATGCAAATGGACATGTAAAGTGAGCAGGAGTAGCTATTCTTATATTAGACAAAACAGATTTTAAAGCAAAAACACTTAAAAAAGACAAAGAGGGGCATTATATAATGATAAAGGGACTAGTCCAATAGGAAAAAAATCACAATTGTAAATACATATACACCTAACACTAGAGCTCCCAAATTTATAAAACAATTCTTGATAGACGTAAGAAATGAGATAGATGGCAACACAATAATAGTGGGGATTTCAATACTTCGTGACAGCACCGGACAGGTCATCAAGACAGAAGGTCAACAAAGAAACACAGTACTTAAATTATACCCTAGAACAAATAGACTTAACAGGTATTTACAGAACATTCTGCCCCAAAATGCAGAATATGTATTTCTATTCATCAGCACATGGAACATATTCCAAGACTGATCATATGATAGACCACAAAATAAGCCTCAATAAACTTAAGAAAATTGAAATCATGTCAAGTACTCTCTCAGACCACAGCGGAATAAAATTGGAAATAACTCCAAAAGAAACCCTCAAAACCATCCAAATACATGGAAATTAAGTAGTCTGCTCCTGAATGATCTTTTAGTAAACAGTGAAATCAATAGAAACTAAAAACTTCTTTGAACTGAATGATAATAGTGACACAACCCATCCAATCCTCTGAGATACAGCAAAAGCCGTGCTAAAAGGAAAGTTTATAGCATTAAATGCCTACATCGAAAAGTCTGAAAGAGAAAAAATAGACAACCTAAGGTCATTGTCATTGTATTAGTCTGCTTTCATGTTGCTCATAGACATACCTGAGACTGGGCAATTTACAAAAGAAAGAGGTTTAATGAACTTAAAATTCCATGTGGTTGGGGAGGCCTCACAATCATGGCAGAAGGTGAAAGGCATGTCTCACATGGAGGCAGACAGGAGAAGAGAGCTTGTGCAGGGAAACTCCCCTTTTTAAAACCATCAGATCTTGTGAGACTTATTCACTGTCATGAGAACAGCACAGGAAAGATCTGCCCTCATGGTTCAATTACCTTCCAACACATGGGAATTCAAGATGAGATTTGGGTGGGGACAGAGCCTAACCATATCATTCAGCCCAAATCTCATGTCCTCACATTTCAAAACCAATCATGCCTTCCTAACAGTCCCCCAAAGTCTTAACTCATTTCAACATAAACTCAAAAGTCTATAATCCAAAATCTTATCCAAGACAAGGCAAGTCCCTTCCACCTATAAAATCAGAAGCAAGTTAGTTACTTCCTAGATACAATAGGGGTATAGGTATTGATAAATACAGCCATTCCAAATGGGAGAAATTGGCCAAAACAAAGGGGCTACAGGTCCCATGCAAGTCCAAAATCCAGCAGGGCAGTGAAATCTTAAAGCTCCAAAATGATCTCCTTTGACTCCATGTCTCACATCCAGGTCATGCTGATGCAAGAGGTGGGCTCCCACAGCCTTGAGCAGCTCTGCACCTGTGACTTTGCAGGGTATAGCCTCCTGGCTGCTTTCACAGGCTGGCACTGAATGTCTGCAGCTTTTCCAGGCAAACAGTGCAAGCTGTAGGTGGATCTACCATTCTGGGGTCTGGAGGATGGTGGCCCTCTTCTCATGACTACACTAGGCAGTGCCCCAGTAGGGACTCTGTGTGGGGGCTCCAACCTCACATTTCCCTTCCACACTGCTCTAGCAGAGGTTCTCCATGAGGGCTCCGCTCCTGCAGCAAACTTCTGCCTGGACACTCATACATCCTTTGAAATCTAGGCAGAGGTTCCCAAATCTTGACTCTTGGCTTCTGTGCATCCACAGCCTCAACAACACATGGAAGCTGCCAAGGCTTGGGCTTCCACCCTCTGAAGCCACAGCCTGAGCTGTACCTTGGTCCCTTTCAGTCACAGCTTGAGTGGCTGGATGCAGGGCACCAAGTCCCTAAACTGCACACAGCAGAGGGACCGTGGGCCTGGCCCACAAAGTCATTTTTTCCCTCCTAAACCTCCAGGCCTCTGACTGGAGAGGCTGCCACCAAGGCCTCTGACATGCCCTGGAGACAATTTCCCCATTGTCTTGGTGATTAACATTTGGGTCCCCATTACTCATGTAAGTTTCTGTAGCTGGCTTGAATTTCTTTTCAGCAAGTGGGATTTTCTTTTCTATTGTGCTATCAGGCTGCAAGTTTTCCAAACTTTTGTGATCTGTTTCCCTTTTAAAACTGAATGCCTTTAATAGCACCCAAGTCACCTCTTGAATGCTTTGCTGCTTAGAAATTTCTTCCACCAGATACTCTAAATCATCTCTCTCAAGTTCAAAATTCCACAAATCTCTAGGGCATGGACAAAATGCTGCCAGTCTCTGCTAAAACATAGTAAGAGCCACATTTGCTCCAGTTCCCAACAAGTTCCTGATCTCCATCTGAGACCACCTCAGCCTGGATTGTGTTGTTCATATCGTTATCAGCATTTTGGTCCAAACCATTTGACAAGCCTCTAGGATGTTCCAAACTTTCCCACATGTTTCTATTTTCTTCTGAGCCCTCCAAACTGTTCCAACCTCTGCCTGTTACCCAGTTCCAAAGTCACTTTCACATTTTTGGGTTTCTTTTCAGCAGCACCCCACTCTACTGGTACCAATTTACTGTATTAGTTTTTTTCATGCTGCTGATAAAGACATACCTGAGACTGGGCAATTTGCAAAAGAAAGAAGTTTAATGGACTTACAGTTCCACATGGCTGGGAAAGCCTCACAATCATGGTGGAAGGTGAAAGATACATATTAGCAGACAAGAGAAGAGAGCTTGTGCAGTGAATCTCCCTTTTAGAAAACCATCAGATCTCATGAGATTTATTCCCTATCACAGGAAGAGCACAGGAAAGACCTGCCTCCATGATTCAATTACCTCCCACTGGTTACCTCTCACAATATGTGGGAATTCAGAATGAAATTTGGCTGGGAACACAGCCAAACCATAACAGTCATACCTCAAGGAACTAGAGAAACAGGAACAAACTAAACCCAAATCCAGCAGAAGAAAATAAGTAACAAAGATCAGAGCAGAAGTAAATAAAATGGATACAATCAAAGGAAAAATAGATGAAACAAAAGCTGGTTCTTTGAAAAGATAAACAAAACGGATAGACCATTAGTGATATTAACCAAGAAAAGAAGAGAAAGTTCTAAATAAGCTCAATTAGAAATGAAATGGGAGATATTACAACCTATAGCATAGAAACACAAAAGATCATTGAAGGCTACTATGAACACCTTTATGAACACAAAATAGATAAACTAGGGGAGATAAATAAATTCCTGGAAATATACAACCCTCCTAAATAAAATCAGGAAGAAATAGAAACTCTGAACAGACTAATAACAAGCAGTGAGATTGAAATGGTAATAAAAACCATTACCAATGAAAAAAAGTCCAGAATTGGATGGATTCATACCTGAATTCTGTCAGAGATTAATAAAAGAACTGGTACCAATCCTACTGAAAATATTTCAAAAGATAGAGAAAGAGGGAATTTTTCCTAAATTGTTCTATGAAACCAATATCACCCTAATATCAAAACCAGGAAACGAAAGAACAAAAAAGGAAAACTACAGACCAATATCTCTGGTAAACAAAAATGCAAATTTTCTCAACTAAATACTAGCTAACTGAATGCAACAGCATATCAAAAAGATATTCCACCATGATCAAGTTGGTATCATACCAGAGATGCAAGTTTAGCATATACAACTAAATAAATGTAATACAACACATAAGCAGAATTTAAAACAAAAATCAGATGATCATTTCAATAGACACAGAAAAAGCATTTGACAAAATCCAACATCGCTTTATGATTAAAACCCTCAGAAAAATTGGCATAGAAGGGACATACCTTAAGGTAATAAAGGCTGTATATGCCAAAGCCGCAGACAACATTGTACTGAATAGGGAAAAGTTGAAAGCATTTTCCCTGAGAACAGGAAGAAGATAAGGATGCCCATTTTCATCACTTCTATTCAACATAGTACTGGAGGTCCTAGCCAGAGCAATCAAACAAGAGAAAGAAAGAAAGAAAGAGTATTCAAATTGATGATGAGGAAGTCAAACTGTCACTGCTTGCCAATGATATGATCATATACCTTGGAAACCCTAAAGACTCATCAAAAAAGCTCCGAGATTAGATAAATGAATTCAGTAAAGTTTCAGGATACAAAAGTAATGTACACAAATCAGTAGCATTGCTATACACCAACAGTGGCCAAGCTGAGAATCAAATCAAGAATTCAACCCCTTTTATGGTAGGTGCAACAAAACCCCCCAATATACTTAGGAATATACCTAACAAAGGAAAACTGTGAAACATTGCTGAAAGAAATTATAGATGACACAAACAAATGAAAACACATACCATGCTCATGGATGGGTAGAATCAATATTGTGGAAATGACAATACTGTCAAAAGCAATATATAAATTCAATATAATTCCCATCAAAATACCATCATCATTCTTCACAGAACTGGAAAAAACGATCCTAAAATTCATATGGAACCAAAAAAGAGCTGCATGGGCAAAGAAAGGCTAAGCAAAAAAACAAAAACAAAACAAAATAAGAAAACCCAAAAAACAAATCTGGAAGCATCACATTACCTGACTTCAAACTATGCTACCAGGCTATAATCACCAGAACAGCATGGTACCACTATAAAAATAGACACATAGACCAATGGAACAGAATAGAGCTCCCAGAAATAAAGCCAAGTATTTACAGTCAACTGATCTTTGACAAAGCAAACAAAAACATAAAGTGGGGAAAGGACACCCTATTCGACAAATGGTGGTGGGATAACTGGCAAGCCACATGTAGAAAAATGAAACTGGATCCTCATCTCTCACCTTATACAAATATCAACTCAAGATGTGTCAAAGACCAGGAAGGGGAACATCACACACCGGGGCCTGTTGTGGGGTGTGGGGAGTGGGGAGGGATAGCATTAGGATATATACCTAGTGTTAAATGACGAGTTAATGGGTGTAGCACACCAACATGGCACATGTATACATATGTAACAAACCTGCACGTTGTGCACATGTATCCTAAAACTTAAAGTATAATAAAAAAAAGATGTGTCGAAGACTTAAATATAACACCTGAAGCCATAAAAATCCTAGAAGATAACATCAGAAAAACTCTTCTAGATATTGTCTTAGGTAAAGAGTTCATGAACAAGAACCCAAAAGCAAATGCAATAAAAACAAAGATAAATAGATGGGACTTAATTAAACTAAAAAGCTTCTGCATAGCAAAAATATAATCAGCAGAGTAAACAGACAACCCACAGTGGCTAAGAAAATGTGGTATATAAATACCATGGAATCCTACTCAGCCTTAAAAAGGAACAAAATAATGACATTTTACAGCAACCTGGATGGAGTTGGAGCCATTATTCTAAGTGAAGTAACTCAGGAATGGAAAACGTAACATCATATGTTCTCACTCACAAGTGGGAGCTAATCTCTGAAGATGCAAAGGCATGAGAATGATACAATAGACTTTGGGGACTTGGGGGGAAGGGTGGGAGGCAGTAAGGAATGAAAGGCTACATATTGGGTACAGTGTGCACTGCTAGGATGATGGCTGCACCAACATCTCAGAAATCACTACTAAAAATCTTATTCGTGTAACCAAACACCACCTGTTCCCCAAAATCTATTGAAATAAAAATTAAAAAAAGAAGAAGTAGTTAAGGTTAAATGAAACTGCAGCCTTGTTCCAATCTGACTTGCATCCTTATAAAAAATAGATTTGGATACACAACGAGACACCAGGGGCTTGTGCATGTAGAGGAAAGGCCATGTGAGGACATAGGGAGAAGGCAAGTCTAGAAGAGAGGCCTCAGGAGAAACCAACCCTGCAGACACCTTGATCTTGGACTTCCAGCCTCTAGAACTGTTAGAAAATAAGTCACTGTTGTTGAGGCCACTTAAGCTATAGTACTTTGTGGTGTCAGCCTAAGTAGACAATATAATATCCTTATTTAGATGTTTGCTAAAACTCTCTTATTATTTAAACACTGGGCTTTTTGTTATTGTTTTAATTATTCTGCTTTAGAACTACATGAAGAAACATAGTAATAATAATATCAATTTAAAATGCAAATAAATCACAAATGTCTTTTCTTGCAAAAAAAATAAAACACCCTTCTGGAATGCAGCAAAAGCAGTACTTAGAGGAAAATTTGTATCATTGAATGGCTATGCTTTTATATCATATAATTATTTACTGTAATGTTATGATGACTGTACCCCTCTGACATGGGAACTTTTTTTGTATGTGTTTTTCTTTAGGTTTGTGTAAATCGTGAATGTGTAGAATCAAGGATAATTAAGGCTTCAGCACATGTTTGTTCACAACAGTGTTCTGGACATGGAGTAAGTAACCACATGTTTCCCTGAATCACATTTCTTGGACACTTTTTTGCATCACTCATTAATTTACTGACATTTTTTGGGTCACTACCATGTGACAGACTCTGTTGCATCTAGCTTCAATTGAGAGCTGAATTAAGTCATTAAATTCAGCAGCCATAATTAGTTACAGAAGATATATTGAGCAGAATTAAATTGCTAATGACCTAAATATATATTGTTATAATTGGGTACTTTTCAGAGGGTGTTAAATTTTCTGATAAATACATTAACCTGGTTCTCAAAGGAAAGATAATTATGCTGTAATTCCTGTGTCTGTGAATACACAGGGATCATGAAAAACTATTGTTTTATTTATCTACTTTTAAAAATAGACTTTATTTTTTAGAGGAGCTTCAGGTTCACAGAAACTTTGGAAAGTAGAAAGTACCGAGATTTTCCATATATCCACTCATCTTACAGAGGCACAATCTTTCCCAATTTTAACATCACACACCAGAGTGGTCTGTTTGTTATAATTGATGACCTACAAGGACATATCATTGTCACCCAAAGTCCAGTTTACATTAGGATTCACTGTTAGTGTCTCACATTCTATGGGTTTTGACAAATGTGTAATGATATAGATCCATCATTATGATATACAGAGAGTATTTTCATTACTCTAAAAATTCTCTGTGCTCCATCAGTTCATCCTTCTGTCTCCACTAACCCTTGGCAACCACTGATCTTATTACTGTTTTCCTAGGTTTTTCTTTTCCAGAATGTCATTTCATTGAAATCATATAGTATGTAGCC
Organism: Homo sapiens; assembly: GCF_000001405.40. Classification (NCBI taxonomy): domain Eukaryota; kingdom Metazoa; phylum Chordata; class Mammalia; order Primates; family Hominidae; genus Homo; species Homo sapiens. The sequence continues at coordinate 152,677 of NT_187577.1, forward strand.
TTTTCAGATTGGTTTCTTTCACTTAGTAATATGCATTTAATGTTTCTCCGTGTTTTTCTATGGCTTGATAGCTTATTTCTTTTTAGTGCTAAATAATATTCCATTGTCTGAATGTACCATAGTTATTTATCCACTCATCTACTGAAGAACATCTTGGTTGCTTCCAAGTTTGGTAATTACAAATAAAGTTTCTATAAACATCCTTCTGCAGGTTTTTGTGTGGACATAAATTTTCACCTATTTTGAGTAAATACCAAGCATTGTGGTTGCTGTATCATATCGTAAGAGTATGCTTAGTTTTGTTAGAAACTGACAAAACATCTTTGAAAGTGGCTGTACCAGTTTGCATTCCCACCAGCAGTGAATGAGAGTCCCTGTTGCTCCACATCCAAGCCAACATTTTTTGTTGTCAGTGTTTTGGATTTTGGCCATTCTAATAGGTGTGTAGTGGTATTTCATTGCTGTTTTAATTTGCATTTTACTGATGACATATGTGAGGCATATTTCATATACTTATTTTCCATCTGTTTTTTTTTGGTGAGGGGCCTTTTAAAGTCTTTTGCCCATTTTTAAATCAAGTTGTTTTCTTGTTGAGTTTTAAGTTTTCTCTTCATATTTTGAATAACAGTCATGTATCTGATGTGTCTTTTGCAAATATTTTCTTCCATTCTGTGGCTTATCTTTTTATTCTCTTGACAGTGCTTTTCACAGAGAATGTTTTAATTTTATGAGGCCCAGCTTCTTAATTATTTCTTTCATAGATTGTGCCTTCAGTATTGTATCTAAAAAGTCTATGCAATACCCAAGGTCATCCAGGTTTTTTTTTTTTTTCTGAGTTATCTTCTAGGAGTTTTTTAGCTTTGCATTTTACATTTAGGCCTATGACCCATTCTGGATTAACTTTTTGAAGGGTGATAAGTTTGTGTCTAGATTCTTTTTTTTTTCCTGCATTTTGATGTCTAGCTAGTACCAATTGTTGAAGTCTTTCTTTTCTCTACTGTATTGCTTTTGCTCCTTTGTCAGAGATCAGTTGACTAGATTTATGTTTGTCAGTTGCTGGGCTCCTTATTCTATTTCATTGATCCATTTGATTATTCTTTCTCCTATATCATATTGCCTCGATTACTACAGACTTACAGTATGTTGAAGTTGGGTAGTGTTAGTCTTCTGACTTTGTTCTTTTTCTTTCAATGGTAACTTGACTATTCTTGATCTTTTGTGCCTCCATAGAAACTTTAGAATCAGTTTGTTAATTTCCACAGAACACCTTGCTGGGATTTTGACAGGGATTGTGTTCCATCTATAGATCAAGTTAGTAAGAACTGATATCTTGACAATATTGAGTCTTTCTATCCATTCACATGTAATGTGTTTTCATTTATTTAGTCCTTTTTTATTTCCTTCATCAGTGTTTTGTAGTTTTCTTCATATTGATCTTATATATATTTTGTTAGATTTATACCAAGTACTTCATTTTTTGGGGGGGCTAATGCAAATAGTATTATGTCTTTAATTTCAAGTTTCATTTGTTCGTTGCTGGTGTATAGGAAAATTATTGGCTTTTGTGCATTAACCTTGTATATTGCAACCATGCTACAATCACTTGTTAGTTCCAAGGGTTCTTCAATTCTTTTTAGATTTTCCAAATTGGTGTTTATGTCATATATGAACAAAGACAGTTTTATTTCTTTCTTCCCAATCAGTATACTTTTTTTATTATTTTATTGTATTAGTTAGAACTTCCTGTATGATACTGAAATAGGAGTGGTGAGAGGAGACGTCCTTGCATTGCTCCTTATCTTACTGGGAAAGTATCTAATATCTCACCATTAAGTACGATGTCAGCTGTAGGTTTTTTTGTTTGATAGTTTGTTAGATGAAAAAATTTCCCTCTATTCCTAGTTTACTGTTAGTTTGCTTTTAAAACACAAATGAGTGTTGACTTTTTTTTTTTTTTTTTGAGATGGACTCTCACTGTGTTGCCCAGGCTGGAGTGCAGTGGCGTAATCTCGGCTCACTGCAAGCTCTGCCTCCCAGGTTCACGCCATTCTCCTGCTTCAGCCTCCCGAGTAGGTGGGACTACAGGGGTCCTGCCACCATGCCCGGATAATTTTTTTGTATTTTTAGTAGAGACGGGGTTTCATCGTGTTAGCCAGGATGGTCTCGATCTCCTGACCTCATGATCTGCCCGTCTTGGCCTCCCAAAGTGCTGGGATTTCAGGCATGAGCCACTGTGCCAGGCCTGAGTGTTGGCTTTTTAATGTTAAATGCTTTTTCTGTATTTATTGATATGATAATGTGATTTTTCTTCTTTAGCTTATTGATGTGAGATGAAGTACATCAGCTAATTTTCTAATGTTGAACCAGTTACATGCCTGCGATAAATCTTGTTTGTGGTGTATAATTCTTTTTATGCATTGTTGAATCTGATTTACTAATGTATAGTGAGAGTTTTTTGCATCTTTGCATCGACAGACATTTTTCTGTAGTTTCCATTTCTTGTAATATTTTTCTATGGTTTTGATGTTAGGGTAAGGATGGCCTGATAGAATGAGTGAGGAAGTATCCCCTCTGCTTCTGTCTTCTGAAAGAGATTGTAAGAGATTATAGAAAATTGGTATAATTTCTCCCTTAAGTGTTTGGTAGAATTTAATAGTGAACCCATCTCAGCAAACAATTATCTGTAACATCAATTAAGAATAAGAAAAATAAAAATTTTTAGTTTACTTTCACTTAATTCCTTCTCTAATACTATTCTTTTTATGTAAATAACATTTGCTGACCTTTGTGATTATCATTCTCTCTGAAGAATCTCTTCTGACATTTATTTCAAAGGCATGTCTACTGGTGATATATACTCTCAATTTTTGCTTGTTTGAGAGTCTTTATTTCATTTCCATTTTTGCAAGATAATTTCAAAGGATTAAATATTTCACTCCTCACTCTTTTTGCTTGCATGGTTGCTGAAGAGAAGTCCAGTATAATTTTTATCTTTGTGCCTCTATAGATATGGTATTTTCTCCCTCTGGCTTCTTTCCAAATTTGTCTTTATCTTTGATTTTCTGTAGTTTGAAAGTTATTATGTCTAGGTATAAATTTTTGGCATTTGTCCTGATTTTTTTGTGGTAGGGGTTGCTTGATCTGTGATTTGTTGTGAGACATTAATTTTGGAAAATTATCAGCTATTATTGCTTCAAATATTTCTTCTATTCCATTCTTTTTTGTTCTCTTGGTATCCTCATTACATGTATGTTATACATTTTTTTAGTTGTCCCACAGTTCTTGGATATTCTGTTCTGTTTTTTCAACCTTTTTTTTTTGACTTTTTAGTTTTAGAAGTTTCTATTGAGACACCCTCAAGCTCAGAGATCTTTTCTCATCTCAGCCATAATTATTCTATTTACGGGCCCATCAAAAGCATTCTTCATTTCTATTGCAGTGTTTTTGATCTCTAGTACTTCTTTTTGATTCTTTCTTAGAATTTTTATCTGTCTGCCTACACTGCCCATCTGTTCTTACATGTAGTCTACTTTATCCATTAGAGCTTTCAGCATATGAAGTATAATTGTTTTATTTATTTATTTTAGTTTTATTTTTTATTGGCAATAGTTGTACCTGTTGTGGGGGTATAAATGATAATACATTCATATAATTCATAAAAATCAAATCAGTATAATTAAGATATCCATCACTTTACATATTTGTCTTTATGCTAAAACATTTGAATTTATTTTTCTAGCTATTTTTGAAATATACAATAGGTTATTTTAAACTCTGGTCATCCTACTGATCTGTCAAACACTTGGTCTTACTTCTTCTTTCAAACTGGATATTTGTACCTATTAATCAACCTCTCTTCATCCTTTCCTCCCATTACACATTCTGGCCTCTGGTAACCACCCACCTACTCTGCATCTTCATGAATCCACTTTTTTAGCTTCCACATAAGAGTGAGAACATGTGATATTTATCTTTCTGTGCTTATCCTATTTCATTTAACATAATAACTTCCAGTTCCATCCGTGTTGCTATGAGTGATGGGATTTCATTATTTTTATAGCCTATGTTTTACATTGTGTATGTATCTCACATTTTCTTTATTTATTCATCTATTCATGGACGCTTACATTGATTCTATATTTTGGCTATTGTGAATAGTGCTACAATAAACATGGGAATGCAGATAGCATTTTGAAGTATTGATTTCCATTCTTTTGGTTATTTACTCAGTAGTAGAATTGCTGGGTCATATAGTAGTTCTATTTTTAGTTTTTTTGAGGAATCTCCACACAATTTTTTATAGTGGCTGTACTAATTTACATTCCCACCTATAGTGTGTGAGTCTTTCCTTTTCTCCACAGCCTCGCCAGCATTGGCTGTTACATCTTTTTTTATCAAAAAGATGGTCTTTTTGTTACAAAAAAAAATGGCTTTTATAAGCCATTTTAACTGGATTGAGATTATATCTCATAATTCTGATTTGCATCTCTCTCATAATTAGTGATGTTGAACATTTTTTCATATACCTGTTGGCCATTTGTTTGTTTTATTTTGAGAAATGTCTATTCAGATCTTTTGCCCAATTTTTTAATCATATACTTTGTGGAGTTTTTTCCTATTGAGTTATTTGAGCTCCTTATATATTATGATTGTCAGTCCCTTGTCAGATGGATAGTTTGGAAATATTTTCTTTTATTCTGTGGGTTGTCTCTTCACTTTGTTGATTGCTTCTTTTGCTCTGTAGAAGCTTTTTAGCTTGGTGTAATCCCATTTGTTTATTTTTGCTTATGTTTCCTGTGCTTTTGAGGTTATATCCAAAAAATAATTACATAATCAGTGTCTTAGAACTATTTTCCTACATTTTCTCCTGGTAATTTTATAGTTTTGGTTCTTAGATTTAAGTCTTGAATACATTTTGATTTTATTTTTGTACACAGTGAAAGATAATGATCAAGTTTTATTCTTCTGCATATGGTTATCGAATTTTTCCAGCACCATCTATTGAAGAGACTGTTCTTTCTCTGTTGTACATTCTTGGTGCCTTTGTTGAAAATGAATTGGTGTAAATGCATGTATTTGTAGCCGGATTCTTTATTCTGTTCCATTGGTCTATGTGTTTGATTTTATGCCAGTACCATGGTGATTTGGTTACTATAGCTCTGTAGTATAACTTGAAGTCAGATAATGTTATGCATTTGGCTTTGTTCTTTTTGCTCAGAATTGCTGACCACATATTAAGTCACGAGACAAGTCTTAACAAATTTAAGAAGACTGACATCACTCCAAGTGTATTTTCTGACCACACTAGATTGAAGCTAGAAGTTAATATTAAAAGAAAGTGGGAAAACTTAAAAAATACATGAAAATTAAATAACACATGAGTGAACAACCATTGGGCTAAACAACAAATCAAAACGGAAATTAGAAAATATCTCAAGACAAACAAAAAATGAAAAAAAAAAGGGATGTGGCAAAAACAGTACTAAAGGGAAATTTATAGTGATAAATTCTTACATTAAAAAGAATAAAGATTTCAAATAAACATTCTAACTTTACACCTCAAGAAACTAGAAAAAAATTGAACAAACTCCAAGTTTGCAGTAGGAAGTTATGAAGATTAGAGCACAAATAAGATAGAGAATAGAAAAATAATAGACAAAATCAAGGAAATTAAGAGTTGAGTTTTTGAAAAGATTAAAAAAAGGACAAACTCTTAGGTAAAATAGCAAGAAAAAAAGAAATAAGACTCAAAATCAGAAATGAAGGAGCAGATATTACAACTGATGTCACAGAAATTTTTTAAGAAGATACTGTGGTGTATATTTATACACCAACAAGTTGGATAACCTAGAAGAAATTTATAAATTCCTAGGATGATACAACCTGCCAAGACTGAATCAAGAATAAATAGCCTGAACAGAACAATAACAAATAAAGAGATTAAATCAGTAAACAAAACTTTCTAGCGAAGAAAATCTCAGGACTAGGGGGCTTCACAAATGAATTCTGTTAAACATTTACAGAAGAATTAAACAAGAAAATAAAATTGCAGGCTAATATATCTACAAACATGCATGCAAAAATTTACAGCAAGACATTAACAAACTATATTTGCCGCACGTTAAAAGAATCATACACTATGACCAGATGGGATTTATTCCTGGGATGCAAGGATGGTTCAAAATGCACAGATCAATTAATGAGATATGCCACATTAAGAAGATGAAAGATCAATTTACTTTATGACATTAAGATGCAGAAAAAGCATTTGACAAAATCCAACACCCTTTCATTATAAAAACTCAATACGTTAGGAATAGCAGAAAGCCTACATGTAAAAATCCATAGCTAAAATTATACTCAATGGTGAAATAATGAACGCCTTTACTTTAAGATCTATAACAATGCAAGGATACTCAGTCTCTGCACTTCTCTTCAACTTGGTACTGGAATTCCTAGATGAAGCAATGAGGCAAGGAAAAGAAATAAATAGCATCCAAATGGGAAAGTAGAAATAAAGTAGCTTCTGTTTGCAAATGCCATGATTGTATACACAGGAAACCATAAAGGTTCCATAAAACTAGTAGAAGAAATAATGAATTCAGTAAAGTTGCAGGACACAAAAACAACACTCAAAAATCAGTTCATTTTTATACGTCAAAAACAGACGGTCAGGAAAGGAGATTAGTTAAACAATCCCATTTACAACAGCATCAAAAAGAATAAAATACTTAGGTTTAAAACAAACCAAGGAGGTGAACGACTTGTACACTGAAAACTATGAAACATGAAAAAAAGTAAAAGAGACACAAAAAATTGAAAGATATTCCACGGATTGAAGAAACTAATATTGTTAAACTATCCCTAATAGTCAAAATTATCTACAGATTCCATGCAATCCTTATCAGAATCTCCATGTTATTTTTCAAAGAAATAGAAAATAAAAAAATTATATAAGATGAAAAAAATCCAGATAATTAGAAGCAATTTTTAAAAAGAAGAACAAAGCTTTTCAAAATACAGTACAAAGGTACAGTAACCAGAACAGGATGTTACTGTCATAAAATAGAGACATATAAAGCGATGGATGAAAATAGCTCAAAGATAGACTCATATATGCTGGCTCCAGCATGTCACTGGAGGGGTCACATTTTCATTATAATTTAAGTATGCATTTTTGAAATTGCATCGTAAATTTGTAGGTAAACATTTCAAGGTGTCAAATTTTCTTGATGCAAATATTGAGAGCCTCACTTTATAGTTCTTTTTTTTTTTTTTTGCTTTGTGTGTGTGTCTGTGTTGTAGTCTAAGAAACCAAACATTTGATATGTGAGACTGTCGCTCTAAATAAACAAAATTACACTAGATTATGGTACAAAAGTAAGCTTGATGCTCACCTTCTCTGAGAAAATATTTTAAAACAATCATTTAATTTTTCAAAATGATCCTAGGTGTGTGATTCCAGAAACAAGTGCCATTGTTCGCCAGGCTATAAGCCTCCAAACTGCCAAATACGTTCCAAAGGATTTTCCATATTTCCTGAGGAAGATATGGGCAAGTATTTGTCTCTTTAAATACCCATTTAATAAAATTCTCAAATTGCTTATCTTCACTAAAACAAAGTTCGATTTTTCCACTTACAAGGCAACTGATATTTGTAATAAAAAGGTAATCAGAATTCTCTCAAGGAATGGAAACCAAACATGCCATCTTAATCTTGCTCTCTTTTCTTTATAATTAACTAATCAATTAATTTTTTTTATTTCAATAGGTTTTTGAGGAATAGGTGGATTTTGGTAACATGGATAAGTTCTTTAGTGGTGATTTCTGAGATTTTGGTGCAGCCATCACCCAAGCAGTGTATACTGTACCCAATGTGTAGTCTTTTATACCTCACCTACTCCTATCCTTCCCCTCAATACCCCAAAGTCCATTGTATCATTCTTATGCCTTTGTGTCCTCATAGCTTAGCTCCCACTTATGAGTGAGAACATATGATATTTGGTTTTCCATTCTTCAAGTGAAGAGTTACTTCACTTAGAATAATGGTCTCAAACTCCATCCAGGTTGCTGCGAATGCTATTATTTTGTTCCTTTTAATGGCTGAGTAGTATTCCATGGTGTATATATACATCACACTTTCTTTATTCACTCACTGATTGATGGGCATTTGGGCTGGTTCCATATTTTTGCAGTTGCAAATTGTGCTGCTATAAACATTTGTGTTAGCGTCTTTTTATGTAATGACTTTTATATAATGACTTCCTCTGGGTAGATTTCCAATAGTGGGATTGCTGGATCAAATGGTAGATCTACTTTTGGTTCTTCAAGAAATTGCCATACTGTTTTTCGTGGCTGTGCTAGTTTACATTCCCACCAACAACGTAAAAGTGCTCCCCTTTAAGCACATCCATGCCAACATCTATTATTTTTTGATTTTTAAATTATGACCATTCTTGCAGGAGTAAGGTGGTATTGCATTGTGGTTTTGATTTACATTTCCCTGATCATTAGTGATGTTGAGCATTTTTTCATATGTTTGTTGGCCATTTGTATATCTTCTTTTGAGAGTTACCTATTCATGTCCTTAGCCCATGTTTTGATGGAATTCCTTTTTTTCTTGCTGATTTGTTTGGGTTCCTTATAGATTCTGGATATTAGTTCTTTGTCAGATGCATAGTTTGTGAAGATTTCCTCCCACTCTGTGGGTTATCTGTTTACTCTGCTGATTATATCTTTTGCTTCGCAGAAGCTTTTAAATTTAATTAAGTCCCTTCTATTTATCTTTGTTTTTATTGCATTTGTTTTTGGGTTCTTGCTCATGAACGCTTTGCCTAAGCCAATGTCTAGAATAGTTTCCTGATGTTATATTCTAGAATTTTTATGGTTTCAGGTCTTAAATTTAAGTCTTTGATCCCTCTTGAGTTGATGTTTGTATAAGGTGAGAGATGAGGATCTGGTTTAATTCTTCTACATATGGCTTGCCAGTTATCCCAGTGCCATTTGTTGAATAGGGTGTCCTTTCCCCATGTTATGTTTTTGTTTGCTTTGTTGAAGATCAGTTGGCTGTACGTACTTGGCTTTATTTCTGGATTCCCTATTCCATTCCATTGGTCTCTGTGTCTATTTTTATATCAGTACCATGCTGTTTTGGTGACTTTAGCCTTATTGTCTATGGCCATACCAGCCTGAATGTGCCCGATCTTGTCTTGCTCTTTTTTCTAACATTAAAATATCATAATTCACGCTGAATACCTTTTAAAATTTCTCTTTACTGATATCATTGACTTTATCTTTTAGAATATTTTCAACCTCTCTTCCTCAGCTTTATGACTGATCCTGTGACCTCAGCTCTAAACAAATGACATTTTCTCTGTGTCTAGTACTGTTACTGTGTTTCTGTTACAGAAGAAATGAAATAGAAGACAAGATTTTACTCTGAAGGAGTTTATCATTTAAATCAGAAAAATCCATCAATTTCTGCTTAGGAGATGACAGAAGTGATGCTGGCATATTATTCTGTTTGTGCCCCACAGCTTCCATTTCTGTCATTAATTCATTTATTGAGTTAGCAAATGTTTACTGAACTCTTAATATATGCCAGGTCCAGGTGCTGGTCTACACACTGGGGATGTACGGTGAGCAAAATGAAGTTCTTCTCCTCATGGAGTTTAGAGAATATGTTTAGGTCTATGTATCCAGTGATAGCAAGGGACAGAATTAGGATTAGGAATCAATTCTTCTAATTTTTATGCCAGTGCCCTTTTAGTAGTATTGCAATGACCCCATTTACAACATGATCCCCAAGGCCAAAAGCCAACAATCTACCAAAGAAAAATAAGATATACACAAATACACTGAATTCCTTTGATAATGCACCTTGTAAGAGTGCATTTTTGGATAACCATGCAATTACACAATCCCACGTTGTATATCATTGAATTTTTTTGTCCCTACTTAGAGGGTTATAGTGAGATTTTGCTGTAGCTGCTGTGAGACTTGAATACTTTTGAACTTTCCAAAACTTGGTTTCCATGCTTTTAGAATGAAACGTTGTACAGGTAGCCCCAAGGATTATGATTACAATTCTATAATGATTTTTTCCATGTTCCTTGAATAACAATACAAATTCAGAAGATTTTAATGAATGTGTTGCAACTTGAAAGTAAAAGTAGATAGTTTAATTTTTTTGTTTTTTTTTTTTGTATTTCTGTTTTTAGGTTCAATCATGGAAAGAGCATCTGGGAAGACTGAAAACACCTGGCTTCTAGGTTTCCTCATTGCTCTTCCTATTCTCATTGTAACAACCGCAATAGTTTTGGCAAGGAAACAGTTGAAAAAGTGGTTCGCCAAGGAAGAGGAATTCCCAAGTAGCGAGTAAATTGCATTTGTGTTCTGAAGTTAAACATTAGTACCATTTGAATCTAGTTATATGTAAGACAATATCACGAGCAGTAGCAATATTTTACATATCACTGGGATTTTGAGTATTACATCAATATGTCATTTAATTTTATGAGGTAGCTGTGAATACCCATTTTTAAGACACAAAGATTTGGAAGTGTAATTTACATAGTTTGCCAAAGTCATTGAACTGCTAGTTGAGAGAGGAAGAAGTCAAATGTGTAATATCTGTTCTTTTCTTATCAAAGGGGATGATCTGTATCATCTACAACAGAAGTATTTATTAAAAATGCAGATTTCAGGGCCTTACTACAGACTAAATATTTTAATTCACATTGCTGGCTCATATAAGAAGTAATTTTAAAAATATTCTTTGGGTTAAATTTTCAGAAGGGAAATTTGTAATTTAGATTATTACATTTTTATTTTTCAAGAAATAATTCAAACACTAAGACAGAGAACAACATGACAAACATCCTCTTGCCCACCATGGGAAATAAACAGATATTAATATTTTTCTTGTTTCTCTTATAAAATAAGCCATTGTATTTGCAGCTGCAATTCCTTCTGGTATGATCCCCTTCCCTCCCTGTAGAGGATGTCTACACTGAATGTTTGTGTATCTTACATGTTTTTAATACACGTGGCATTATCCATATCCCATAACCTACCTAGTATTGTTTTATGTATAATTTTAAATAGCTATACTTTCTCTGCAGATGCATTTCTTTTTCAATTTTGGTTTGTTCGTTTTGTCTTTTTTTTTTCTTTTTCATGAGCAGTCCGCTCAGAGGTGTTTTTATTTTGTTAGTAGTTTGAAACATGTAACTTTTGGTTTCATTGTGGTCTCTATTTCTATTGTTTTTTATATCAAGTTTTGCTCTTTTTCCTCCTTTCTGGTCTTTTTACCTTTGCTCTGTTGTAACTCTAGATTTCTTGATTTTAATGCTTTCTTTATTAATTTTCAACCCTTCTTATTTTCTAAAATAAGAAATACTTTAATAGCAAAAACCTTCTCCTTACATATATCATTTTCTTTATACTCTCCAGTTTTTAAATGATAGTCGACATTCAGTTAAAAAAATTTGAAAAATCTAGCAGGATTTCTTGTTTAAATAATGAATCAATTGTAATCTTTAGTTTTCAATTATATGATTTATTTTCATTGTTTTAAAAATAATTTTCTAATTTTATTAGCTTATTTTGAGAAACTTGTCTATGTGGTTCTCTTAAATGTTGGAACAAAAAATGAAGTAAATTTTTATAAATGTGTAAGCTTGATATGTGTCCTCCAATGTTTTTAGGACCAACTTTTTAATTGTGTTGTTTCAAATCATTTTTATACATACTGGGTTTTTTTCCTGTCCGTTTGATACTTTGTCTTCTGTGAGAGGCAAAGTAAAATTTTCAGTGGGTTGTAGCTTTCCCTCTGATTGTTGAAATTTTCGCTTCAGATATTCTGAGGCAGTGACTAAATGCATAATGTTTATTTTAGTTAAATTTTCTTGATGTATTTTCCTTTAATCATTACTAATAATATCTTAAATACAATTTTCACTGTTTTAGATTGCTATATCAACTTTCTCTTTAAAAATGACGTTTACCTGGTACAACTTTTTTCGTTTTTTTCTCAATCTGTCTTTGCATTTAGCTGGTGTCTTATAAACAGCCTTTATATGAAATGCACTAATGGAGTTCATTATGCTCATATGCTTAATCCATGATGACATATGTTTAGGCTGAAATTTGCCATCCTACTTTTTTCCTATTTACCATGTTTTTTGTTTTTTTTTTCCTTTTTCTATCATCTATTTTCTTGGTTTCATTTTTCTTTCTTTTTTGAGACGAAGCTTTGCTCTTGTTGCCCAGGCTGGAGTGCAGAGGCATGATCTTGGCTCACTGCAACCTTAGCTCGCCGGGTTCAAGTGATTCTCCTGCCCCAGCCTCCCCAGAAGCTGGTATTACAGGCGTGCACCACCACGCCTGGCTAATTTTTTGTATTTTTAGTAGAGACGGGGTTTCTCCATGTCAGCGGCTGCTCTCAAATGGTTTCATTTTTCTGTTCTCTTTTTTTTTCTTTAACTCTGGACATTTTTGTATTCTGTTTTTGTTTTAGTGATTTTCTTTAAATTTTAGTATTTGTAGTTAATGTTATATAATGTCTAAATTTAATCATTACATATAGTCTTCTTGGAAATAACCCAAGGACTTCAGTCATTTAACTCCTTCCATTTTCAATGTTTGTCATTTGACTTTCAAATTTCTCCCAAATAAGTCAGTGTTATTTTTGTTATTATCATCTTTATGTTTAGTCAGTGAATACTAGGATTTTCCAGTATATTTCCCAGTCTTACTCACCATTCCTTTTCTAAAAATTGTTTTGTTTTGAAATAATTTAAAGACAAAAAGTTGCAAAAATTGCACAGGGCTGTCATGTACACTTTGCCTAGCTTTTTCCATTGATAACATCTTACATGAACACTGCATTTCCACAGCCAGTATAATGGTATCGGTACAATACTTTTAATACAACTAAAGATCTTATTCAGATTTGATAGTGTTGTATGCATTCATTTATGTGTGTGTATAGTATTACCACATTTTATCATGTGATTCGTACCAACACCACAATCATAATTCCTGTTGGAATCCTACTTTTTCATTCTAGGTTCAATTATCTTTTTTCCCTTAGATTTACTGTGGTATGATTGACAAATAAAAATTGATGATTTGCCTGATATATGTATATGCTGTAAAATGATTATCACAATTCCTGTAATTAACACATCCATCACCTCATATAATTACCTCTTTTTGTGTATGTATTGAGAACACTTAAGATCTACTCCCTTAGCAAATGTCAAGTTTTTTACGTATAAGGTCATGTCATCTGAAAACAGAGACAACTTCTTCCTATTCAATTTGGATGCCCTTTTTTTCTTATTTCTTGTCTAATTCCTGTGGCTAGGCCTTCTAGTACTATGTTGAATAGAAATGGTGAGAGGGGCTTCTTGTTTTATTCTTGATCTTAGGCCAAAACTTTTATTGATAGCTTTTCACTGTTAAGTTTAATGTAGCTGTGGGCTTATAATACATGGCTTTTGTTATGTTGAGGTATATTTCTTCTATGACAAACTGTTGCTAGTTTTAATTAAATATGTTGAATTTTGTTTCCTGTATCTGTTGAGTGTATTTTCAACCATCCTTGCATCACAAATATAAATCCCACTTGATCATGGTGTATCATCCTTATAATGTTCTGTTAAAGTCAGTTCACTAGTATTTTGTTGAGGATTTTTACATCTATATTAATCAAGGATATTGGCCTATTATTTTCTTTTGTAATGTCCTTGTCTAACTTTGGTATCAGAGTAATTCTGGCCTTATAAAATGTGTTTGAAAGTGTTCCCTACTCTTCAGTTTTTTGGAGGAGTCTGAGAAGGATTAGTATTAATTCTATTATAAAAGTTTGGTAGAATTTACCAGTGAAACCATCTGGTTCTGTTTTTTTCTTTGTTGGGAGATTTTTTTTTAATTGCAAGTTTTATTTTTTCATATATTTTTAAATTTTCCAAATAACAATTGTACATATCCATGGGGCACACAGGGATGTTTCAGTATATGTAATGTATAGTGATCAGATCAAGGTAATTAGCAGATATATCATCTCAAATATTTATCATTTCTTTGTATTGGGAGGAGTCAGTATCCTCCTTCTAGCTATTTGAAACTATATATTATTGTTAACTATAGTCATCCTACAGTGATATAAAGAATTAGAACTTTTTTCGCATATCTCGCTGTAACTTTGTAGACTTTAGCAAATCTTTCCTTATCCCTCCCTTCCCCTTAAACTTCACAGCCTCTAGTATCTTCTATTCTACATTTTACTTCTGAGATCAACTTTTTTTTAGCTTCCACATATAAATGAGAACATGCAGTGTTTAAGTTTCTGTTCCTGGCTTATTTCACTCAACAACATACTTCAGTTGCATCTGTGTTGTGGTGAATGACAGGATTTTATTTTCGTGGCTAAATGATATTCCATTGTGTATCTACACCACATTTTCTTTATCCATTTGTTGTTGGAAACAGGTTGATTCCGTATCTTGACTATTATAAATAGTGCTGCAGTAGACATGGCAGTGCAAATGTCTCTTCGATACAATGGTTTCCTTTCCTTTGGATAAATACCCAGTGGTGTGATTGCTGGTTCATATGGTAGTTGCATTTGTTGTTTTTTGAGGAGCTGCCCTGCTGTTCTCCATAGTGGCTATCCTAGTTTATATTCCCATCAACAGTGTCCCTTTTCTCTGCATTCTTGCCAGCATTTGTTATTTTTTTTTGTCTTTTTGATAAAAGCCATACTAACTGGGGTGCGAGATTACCTCATTGTGGTTTTGATTTGCATTTCTATGATTATTAGTGATGTTGAACATTTTTTCTCATATTTGTTGGCCATTTGTGTGTCTTCTTTTGAGAAATGTCTGTTGAGTTTATCTGCCCATTTTTAAATCTAATTGTTTGCTTTTTTCCTGTTGAGATAGTTGAAATCATTGTATATTCTTGGTATTAATCCAGCAGTTTTCAAATATATTCTCATATTCTGTAGGTTGTCTTTTCACTATGCTGATAGTTTCTTTTGCTGTGCAGACACTTTTTAATTTGATATAATCCCATTTGTTTATTTTTGCTTTTGTCACCTGTGCTTTTGAAGTCTTATTTATAAAATCTTTTCCCAGGCCAATGTCCTGATCATTTCTCCTATGTTTTCTTCTGTGAGTTTCATTATTTTGAATTTTATATGTAGGACTTTGATCCGTTATGAGTTTTTTTTTTTTTCTGGTATAGATTGAGAGGTAGGGGTCCAGTTTCATTCCTATGCATGTGGATATCCAGTTTTCCCCAGGGCTATTTAATGAAGAGACTGCCCTTTCTCCAATGAATATTCTTGGCACCTTGTCAAAATTCAATTGGCTGTAGATATGTGGATTAATTTCTGTGTACTCTATTCTGTTCCATTAGTGTAAGTGTCTGTTTTCATGCCAGTATCATGCTGTTTTGGTTTCTCAGCTTTGTAGTATATTTTGAGTCTGGTAGTACAATTCTTCCAGCTTTACTCTTTTTTCTCAGGATTGTTTGGCTCTTCAGGGCCTTTTGTAGTTGGGAGTTTTTGATTATTCCTGCAATCTTCTACCTCTTATTTGATATGTTCAGATGTTCCCCTCCCTTCCTACCTTCCTCCTTCCCTCCATCCCTCCCTCCCTTCCCCTCTTTCTCTCTTCCCCTCTTTCTCCCTCTCTCTCTTTCACTCCCTCTCTCTCCTTCTCTCTTTCTTTCCTTCCATCCTTTCTTTTTCTCTTGCTCTGTCGCCCAGGCTGGAGTGCAGTAGTGTTTTAGGCTCACTGCAATTTCCCCCTCCCATGTTCAAGTGATTCTTGGGCCTCAGCCTCCAGAGTAGCTGGGACAACAGGTGCGTGCCACCATGCCTGTCTATTTTTTTTTAATTTTTAATACAGATGGAGTTTCACCATGTTGGCCAGGCTGGTCTCAAACTCCTGGCCTCAAGTGATCTGCCCACCTTGGCTTTGCAAAGTGCTGGGATTATGTGTGAGGCACCAGGCTTGGTGAGGTGTTCTGTTTACGATTCAGTCCTGATATGTTGTATCTTTCTTGGAATTTACCCATTTCTTCTATTTATTCAGTTTGCATATATTTGCTGTAGGTTCCATTTTATTCTGGAGGAAGTACATTACAGTGATGTTCTACGTGTAATAATCTGTTTGATGGTTATTACTGAATTTTTTTGCTTTATGTTCAATATTAATTATAGGTTATATGGGTATGGAACTTTAGGTGAACAGTTATTTTTGTAAGGCTTTTAAGGATATGCCTTTGAATTTTAGCATGCACTGTTTATGGGATGTCTGCTATCAGTCTAATCAATTCATTTTTTATCTTTATACTTAAACTTTATTTTTCTATAAGTTATGAAAATTTTCAGCCCTTATCTCTGCAATAATTGACTTCTCCATTCTGCCTCTTTTTCTCCTTCTGAACTTCCTGTACTTTAGTGTCCCCATTCTAGCCTCCATGGTTGTGGTGGTGGTTGTTCTCTATTTCCTCCTTTTTCTTCATCTTCTTTTCTTCCTTTTCATTGTTTTTCTTTTGCGATTGGAATAGGGCTTTTAAAAACTGGGATATAATTTACATATCCTGAAATTCATTATTTTTTAGTGTGTGCAGTGTTATGAGTTTAGCAAATATATACACATACCACTAGCTCAATAAAATGTAGAGCAGTTCTGTCATCCAGAAAATTTTGTCTCACCCCACTCGAGCTCTGGGCACTGGTGGATCTGTTTTCTGTGCCTACAGTTTTGCCCATCAGAACTTTGTATAAATGGATTAATACATTATGCAGTCTTTCCAGTCTGGTTTCTATACCGTAGCTAATATATTTGAAATCCATCCATGTTATTATGTGTATCAATAGTTTGCTCTCTTTTAAATCTATTGTTTTATTGATATATAGTTGATATACAATAATTTACACATATTTTCAGTGTATAATTTGATGTTTTGATAATTTGAAAAGTAACACCCATTAAACCATCGACATAATCAAGATGATAAAGGTATCTGTAACCCTCAAGAAATTTCTTATTTCCCTTTGTAATTCCCTTCCTTAGCCTTTCCCTCCCATTTCCTGTCTATCCCCAGATTACCACTTTGTTTTTCTTTTTCAAATTTTAATTTAGGTTCAGGGGGTACATGTTCATGTTTGTTACAGGGTTAAATTGTGTGTCACTGGGGTTTGGTATATAAATGATTTCATCCCCCAGGTAGTGAGCATAATACTTGTAACTGATCTGTGTAAGGTTTCAGTTTCTTCATGGTTCAATCATGGTAGGTTGTGTGTTTCTAGGTATTCATCTATTTCTTCTAGGTTTTCTAGTTTGTGTGTATAGAGGTGTTTGTAATAGTTTCTGAAGATTTTTAAAAATTTCTGTGGGGTCAGAGGTAATGTCACTTTGGTCATTTCTTAGTGTGGTTATTTGGATCATCTCTTTTTAAATTAATCTAGCTAGTGGTCTATCAATCTTATTTGTTCCTTAAAAAAGAAACTTTCGGTTTTATTGATCTTTTTCCTGGATTATTGTGTCTCAATTTCATTCAGTTCAGTTTGGATTTTGCTATTTATTTTCTTCTAGCTTTGGGGTTGGTTTGCTCTTGTTTTTCTAGGTCTTCTAGGTGCGATGTTAGGTTGTTAACCTGAGATCTTTCTAACTTTTTGATGTATGCATTTAGCACTATAAACTTTCCTCTTAACACTACTTTAGCTGTGTCCCAGAGTTTCTGTTATGTTATATGTTTGTTTATATTAGTTTCAAATAATTTTTTTATTTCTGCCTTAATTTCATTATTTACCAAAAAGTCATTCAGGAGCAGGTTGTTTAATTTCTACGTGATTGTATGGTTTTGAAATTTCTTGGCATTGATTTCTGTTTTTATTGCACTGTGGTCTGAGAGTGTGATTGGTATGATTGGTATGTGCTGATGTGAAGAATTTACATTGTGGTGTTGTTGGGTGGAGTATTTTGTAGATGTCTGTTAGGTCTACTTGGTCAAGTGCCGCGTTAAGTCCCAAATACCTTTGTTAGTTTTCTGCCTCAATGATCTGCATAACACTTTCAGGGGGTGTTGAAGTCTCCCACTGAAATAGTCTCCCACACTATTATTGTGTGGTTCTCAACATCTCTTCGTAGGTCTCTAGGAACTTGTTTTATGAATCCAGGTGTTACACTGTTGGGCCCATATATATTTAGGATCATTAAGTCTTCTTGTTGAATTGAACCCTTTATCATTATGTAATGCTCTTCTTTGTCCTTTTTTATTGTTTTTGGTTTAAAGTTTGTTTTATCTTAAATAAGAAAGCAACTTCTGCTCTTTTTTATACTTTGTTTGCTTGATGGATCTTTCTCCTTCCCTTTACTTTGAGCTTATGGGTGTCATTGCAGGTGAGATGGTCTTTTGAAGACAGCATGTAGTTGGATCTTGCTTCTTTATACACTTTGCCACTCTGTGTCTTTAAGTGGGGCATTTATCCCATTTACATTCAACGTTAATATTGTTATGTGCAGATTTGATCCTGTCATCATGTGTTAGCTGGTTGTTATGTAGATTTGATTATATATTTGCTTTATAGTGTCAGGGGGCTATGCGTGTAAGTATAATTTGTGGTGGCAGGTAGCTGGTTATTAAGTAGATTTGATTATATATTTGCTTTATAGTGTCAGGGCTAAGCATGTAAGTATGATTTTGTGGTGGCAGGTAGCTGGTTGTTATATAGATTTGATTAGATATTTGCTTAATAGTGTTGGGGGGCTACGCATGTAAGTATGATTTTGTGGTGGCAGGTAATGATCTTCCCTTTCCATGTTTTGCTTTCCCTTAAGGACCTGTTATAAGGTAGGTGTGGTGGTAGCAAATTCCCTTAGCATTGACTTGTTTGAAAAATATTTTATTTTTCCTCTGCTTATGAAGCTTAGTTTGGCTGGATATACAGTTTTTGGTTGAAATTTCCTTTCTTTAAGGATGCTGAATATAGGTCCCCAATCTCTTCAGACTTGTAAGGTTTCTGCAGAAAATTCTGCTGCTAGCCTGTTGGGGTTCCCTTTGTAGGTGACTTGCCCCTTCTCCCAAGCTGCCTTTAAGATTTATTCTTTCACATTGCCTTTGGAGAATCTGATGACTATGTGTCTTGGGGATGGTCATCTTGTATGGTATCTCACAGAGGTTCCCTGAATATCCTGAATTTGCATGTCAACATCTCTAGTGAGGTTGGGAAAATTTTTGTGGAAGTATTCTCCAATATGTTTTCCAATTTGCTTGCTTTCTCTTCATCTGTTTCAGGAATGCCAGCGAGTCCCAGGTTTGGTCTCTACGTAATCACATATTGCTCTGATATTTTGTTCATTTAAAAAATTATTTTTTCTTTTTTCTAGTCTGCCTGTGTTGTTTCAAAGAAATGGTCTTCAAGCTCTGAGATTCTTTCCTCAGCATGGTCTATTCTGTTATAATGCTTTCAGTTGCTTTATGAAATTCCTGTAGTGAATTTCTCATTCCCAGAAGTTCAGTTTATTTTTCTCTTAAAATGGCTATGCCATCTTTTAACTCTTCGACCATGTTGCTGTGTTCCTTGGCTTGAGTTTCGACCTTCTGTATGTCGATGAGCTTCCTTGCTATCCAGAATTAGTATTATATGTCTGTCATTATAGCCATTTCAGTCTGGTTAAGAACAATAGCTGGAGAGCTATTGTGGTTGTTTGGTGTTAAAAAGACACTGTGTCTTTTTGAGTTGTCAGAGTTCTTGCATTGGTTCTTTCTCATTTGTGTGGGCTGATGTTCCCTTAATCTTTGAAATTGCTGTCTTTTGTATGGAGCTTTCTGCTTTTACATTCTCTGATACCTTAAGGGTTTCACTGTGGTATAAGTTAGGCTTAGGCAATTGGCTTCATTTCTGGATGCTTTCAGGGGGCCAAGGCTCAAATTAGCATTCCTGGGGTACGTGCTCTATCCCTGGGGGGTTGGGACCTGGCCTGTTTCTTTGTTCTCTGTCCCCTTAAGGTTAAACCCCTGTTGCACTGGAGAGGCCAAGGTATTCCCAGTCTGCTGGCAACAACCCTCCAATGGGGGCTGCCAGCAAAAGCACTGGGGTGGGCCAGTGGTGGGTCCATGTATATGTGCGTGCAGGCAGGGTAGGTGGGGGTTCCCCCATTTGTGCATGCTGGCAGGGTGGTGAGGGTTCTGTGTGCCCATGCGTACTGGTGAGGGGGTGGAGAGAGGCTGTGCTGGTGGGGAAAGGCTGCAGGCTGGTATCCCAGACTACTACTAATCTGCTTCTGTCACTACAGTTTACAGTTCCTTTTCTAGAATTTTATATAAATGAGATCATATGATTGTATGTACTTTGTCTGGATTATTTACATCACCATAATTATTTTGATATTTATACATGCTTTTGTGTGTGTCAATAGTTTGTTCCTTTTTATTGCTGAGAACTACTCAGCTGTATGAATATACCTTAATTTTTTTAAATCTATTTATCTGTTGATGAATATTTGGGTTATTTCCAGTTTATAGGTGTTATAAATGAAGCTGTTGTGAACCGCTGGAAACAAATGCTCAGTGCCGCAAAGAAGAACCAGCACTGAGACAAAGGATCTCTCAGCAAGGCAAATTTACTTCTGCAGAAGGGTGCTTCTCATAGTTCTGGTTGCCATGAGAGCACCCCAAACAGAGGAAAGCAGGGGTTTTTATTTCTAACACAGCTTGTCCCTGCTACTGTGTCATGCCTCCATTGGCTGGAGTTGGACTGCACAATCTAAGCTGAACCCGGTTGGCTAACTTGAAAAGTGCAGGAATGCGGTTACACTGGTGGGAAGGTGGGAAGATCAGTTTTGGCAGGAGTAGCCATTGCAATGGGAAAGGTAATTTACAGAGTGGGTAGCAGATGTGGAATGTGGGCTCTATAGATAAAGACTGGCAGGAAGGTTGTTTACCAGGGCAGGCGGACACAGTGAGTAAAGAAGTCTGGCCTTGAAAGCAGGGTACAAAGGACAAGCAAACTTAAGCAAACTAAATCTTTGAAGAAGAATTTCTTACTGTATTTAACATGAACATTCAGGTACAAGTCTCTATGTGAATATATGCTTTCCTTCTCTTGGTTAATACCCAGGAATAGAATAATTGGGTAATAAAGTAAGTGTATGTTTAAATTCTAAAGAAAGAGCTATGTTTTCCAAAGTGGTTTTGTCATCTTGTATTCCAGCCACTAGTGTATGAGAGTTGTAGTTTCTCCACATTCTTGTCAATATGTGGTCTCATTTTTTTTAACTTTACCAATTCTGATATTGTGTAGTGGTATCTCATTATAATTTGAATTTCTCTAATGGTTAATCATGTTGACAATTGTTTCATATGGTTATTTGCCATCTGTATACCTTCTCTGGAGAAATGTCTATTCAAATTATGGGTTATTTTCCTTTTTATCATATTTTTCAAATCTTTTGATCATTTTTGAAATGGGTTTGTTGTATTTCGAGTGTTCTGAATATAAGTCCATCATTATATATGTAATTTGCAAACATGTTATCTCAGTCTAAGGCTTGTCTTCTAATACTTTTAGCAATCTTTAGAGCAAATGTTTTAAATGTTTAATAAAACCAGTGTATCAATTTCTTTTTTTATAGATCATAATTTTGGTGCTGTAGCTAAGAAATAATTGCCTAACCCAAGTTCACAGATTTTCTCCTATGATTTCTTCTAAAAGTTTCAAAGTTTTAGGTTTTGCCTTTAGATCTATATCTAATTTGAATTTTTGTATATGTTAAGAAGTATGGAAATAGTATATTTTGTACAAAAATTTTTAATTATTCTTACACCATTGATTTTAAACTTTGTTAAGTAGGATCAGAATAGTCACCCATAAAAAGACAGTACCATTCTGAGTAACTCTATCCATCTTACTCTGAATTACCATATATTCAACTCAGGTGGAACTCAAACTATTCCTGTCCTTCTGTGAGCACAAGAAATTATTCCCTTTGTTCATTTTGGATAAATGGTTTTACTCTGGCTCAGGCAGTTCCCTCACTGGCAAGCATTTATCAGTACTCTGCAGAAGATGCAAGAGGCGAGGGAGGGGGTCTTCCCCCAATCTCAGGATTCCTTCTAAGCATTTTCTTTTTTTCTGTGGTGTTCTGCCCTGTGAACCCTAGCTGCCTTGCCCTTCCTAGGCCCCCAATTCTATCACCTCAACTCAGAGAGACTACTGGGATTTGCCTCAGTTTCCCTCATTGCATTACAGCCTGAAAACTCTCTCTAGGCAGTAAGAAGAGTCAATCATAGAGCTCACCTTGTTTCCTTCTCTCAAAGTTCGCTGTACTGCACTGTCTAGTAGCCAATGTGTGAAATCAATTGTTTTATACATTTTGTCTGTATTTTTAGACATTCTGGCAGGAGGGTAAATTTAGTCTTACCCCATCTTGGCCAGAATTAGAAGTATGCTTTTAGTATTTGCAACTTTCACATATTTTTAATCTCTGCATCTCACATTCTGATTAATTTTCTTAGTTTACTCTTTCATTTCTCTAATTTTTCTTTCCTCTCTGTCCTGTTTTAGACTTATGGATTCTATTCCTGCAAAGATCTCTATGAGGAGTCTAAATATTCTCAGATTAAAGCGTTTTTAAAGCAAATCATTTGTAGCTCTTGCTGCGTGAATTCATGTTTTAGTGTAGTGTTGACATTAACTCTTAGTGATTTGTAATGGTAGACTCTTTTATCTTCAGTGTCTTTGATGTTTCCCATGAGAATTCTGTGTGTGCTGTGTTATAGAGACATATATGTAAGTTGTTGTATTAGTCCATTTTCATAGTGCTATACAGAACTGCCCAAGACTGGGTAATTTATAAAGGAAAGAGGTTTAATTGACTCACAGCATGGCTGGGAAGGCCTCAGGAAATCTGCAATCATGGCAGAAGGCGAAGGGGAAGCAAGGCACCTTCTTCACAAGGCAGCAGGAGGGAGAAGTGCTGAGCGGAGGGGCAAGAACCTCTTATAAAACCGTCAGATCTCATGAGAACTCATTCACGAGAAAGGCATGGGGGAAACCACTACCGTGATTCAATTACTTCCACCTGGTCTTTCTCTTGACACATGGGGATTATGGGGATTACAATTTAAGATGAGATTTGGGTGGGGACACGAAGCCTAACCATACCAGTTGTTTAATTTTTCCTTTCTTAAAGAAAAAATATTTTTAAAAATTTGCCATGCATGGTGTTCAAGAATTTGTGGGAGTGTGAACTGGGGTCCTGAAACTGCACTTTTATGACACTTGGGAGTCCTACTTCTCTTCTTGATGCATTTTTCTCTCTATTTATGCATATTTCCCTCTTGCATTCCAAAAGCCACTGGTCAGAAATTTTATTATTCCTGTTTCATGGGTGAGATGGCTCCTTCTGGCTCCTGGTTTAGTTAAAGAGTTCACTTATAGCATCTCTGCATCCGAAGGCCTGAGGCTTCAGCTCCTTCTAAGGCAGTGCTACTAAATCTCTGGCCTCAGAGTTAGTCTTTTCTTTAAAAATGAATAAAAAACCAGAAGTTGGATTATGAAGGTCAGAATCAGACATTCAAGGTCAAATCTAGATTCTGTGTTTAGAAGGGATCAGAAAAAGCAAATTTGGGTGTTTTTGATACTCTCCTCATTGCAGGATTTGAAATGTGCCCTTCTTATGGATGAGGTATATGGGTAAATAAAAATGTTATTTATTTGCATCTGTGTTCATTGACCTTTGGACAATATTTTATTTTTTAATAATTAGTCTTATAAGGAGATAATACTGATTATAAAATGGACTGATTTTAATTCATGAAGTTGGCAAGTTTTCTAAGTACTAACATGAGACATTTTCAATTTTTTTTTAGATCTAAATCGGAAGGTAGCACACAGACATATGCCAGCCAGTAAGTAGTTTAGAAGGTGTTTTTAAGATACATGTTGAAAATTAAGAGTTAATTGATAATTCACAATTTATTTCCAATTTTTTTTGAACATCAATTGGTAAAGCAATGCACTGAAATCCAGACTGCTAATATATAGTCTAATTTAGTTTCTAATAAATTAGTCCTTTCTTCATTTAATAAATGTTTACTGGAAGTCTCTTCTGAGGAAACAAGGAATAAAATAGCTGATTCTAAAATGAGATAGGACATGTATAATTAGTAAAGAAAAAGAATGTATAGGGCCTAGAAGTTACCCAGCTTGTGTTATAGAGGCACGTGCTGTATAATAATGTTTTGGTAAATGATAAACCACATGTATGATGGTGGTTCCATAAGATTATAATGAAGGTGAAAAATTCCTGTAGCCTAGTGATGTTGTAGCCATCACAACATCAGAGAGCAATGCATTACTCACTGGTTTGTGGTGATGCTGGTGTAAGCAAACCTACTGCACAAAGCAAAATATGCAGAATTCTCATGAGACAATCAATGCTACTTAACCTTACAAAAAAAAAAAAAAAGCCACTAAAGGTGGTGATGCCAACAGCCAAAGCAATCTAAAGAAATACAGGTAATTGAAAAACCTCAAAAAAAAAAAATGCTTAGGATCCGCATAGAAGTTAAAAAACAAATATAATCCATTAAACAAGAAATAAAGGAGCTGAAAAAAGATTTTATTTTTAAATTGTTTAGGGAAATCACTGAGAATACAACATAAACAGAATAATAACATATAAAAGACCAGTTAAGAAACAAAAGAATTCAGAGACAGAAAATTTAGAGTGGGGAAGAGTCAATATTTGAAGAAATAAGGTCTTGGACTTTTACAAAATTGAAAATGGGTAGTTAAGTGTCTTGACACTGAAAGAGAATATGGAGTCCACTTCACAGACTGTTAGAAAATAGTGAGAACTGAAGTTATGGTTAAAAAATATGAATAGGGGCTGTGTGTGTTGGGTCATGCCTGTAATCCCAGCACTTTAGGAGGCTGAGGTGTGAGGAGCACCTGAAAAATTAAAAATTAAAAAAATAGCCAGGCATGGTGGCATGAGCCTGTGGTCTCAGCTACTTGGGAGGCTGAGGTGGGAGGATTCATTTAGCTTAGGAGTTCAAGACTGCAGTGAGCCATGATCGCCAGTGAGCTCCAGAAAAAAAAAAAAAAAAAAAGAAAGAAAGAAAGCAAAAGAAGTAAAAGAAACATAAGTAGGATGAATAGGGACAAAATGCAATTTATTGATGATTAAAAGAACAGAACAATTAGGTCAATGTAATTAGCTCTCCTCAACCCATAATTATTGTAGAAATTTATACATCTAGATTCATGACTTCTGTCACAATCTATAAAATTCCATCCATTTGTTTGTTTACCCAAGCAGTACACTAATTCAGTCATGAGTCGCTTAACACAAAGATACATTCTGAGAAATGCACCGTTAGGTGATTGTGTTATTGTGCGAACATCACAGAGTGTACTTAAAAAAACCTAGATTGTATAGCCTATTATGTACCTAGGTTATATCCTATAACCTTATATATATAAGCCTGTACAGCATCTTATGGTATGGAATACTGTAAGCAACTGTAACTGATTAAGTATGTATTGAAACATAGAAAAGCTACTGTAAAAATAATATAAAAGATAAAAAATGATATGTCTGTATAGGGCACTTACAGTGAATGGAACTTGCAGGACTGGAAGTTGCTCCGGGTGAGTCAGTGAGTGAGTGGTGAGTGAATGTGCAGGCCTAGGGCATTACTGAGTCCTACTATAAACTGTATAAACACTGTGCACTTAGGCTACACTAAATTTACTTAAAAATTTATTTCTTCAATAATATATTAACCTTACGTTTTACTATAACTTTTAAAATTGATACACTTTTTAATTTTATAAAACTTTTTGACTCTTGTAATAACACTTAGCTCAAAAACAAACACATTGTACAAATTCTTTATATCTTTATCGGCTTTTTTGTCTTAATTTTTTTTTCTTTTTAAAATTTTTGGTAAAAACTAAGACAGAAACACATTAGCCTTGGTCTATGCAGGGTCAAGACAGCCAATATCACTGTCTTCCATCTCCACATCTTGTCCTGCTGGGAGGTCTTCAGAATCAATGACATACCTGGAGCTGTCATTGGCCAGGATAACAATGCCACCTTCTGGATTCGTCTTGAAGGACCTGCTTGAAGTTGTTTTACAGTTAATTTTTTTTCTTTAAATAAGCAAAAGGAGTACGCTCTAAAATAATGATAAAAAGGACAGTATAGGCCTGGCGCGGTGGCTCACTCCTGTAATCCCAGCACTTTGGGAGGCTGAGGCGGGCGGATCACCTGAGGTCAGGAGTTCGAAACTAGCCTAGCCAACATGGTGAAACCCCGTCTCTACTAAAAATACAAAAATAAATAAATAAATAAATAAAATTAGCCAGGCGTGGTGGCACATGCCTGTAATCCCAGCTACTCAGGAGGGTGAGGCAGGAGAATCGCTTGAGCCCAGGATGCAGAGGTTGCAGTGAGACAAGATCTCGACATTGCACTCCAGCCTGGGAGACAGAGCAAGACTCCACCTCAAAAAAACAAACAAACAAACAAACAAACAAACAAAAGGATAGGATAGTAAACACATAAACCAAAACCAGTTATTATTATCATTATCATGTATTTTGTACTGTACATAATTGTATGTGATGTACTTTCATATGACTGGCAGCACTGTAGGTTTAGATGCTTCTGAAGTTATTCAGCCTCAGCTCCTGTTTAACCTGTGAGCTCTCAGTTTTATCGTTTTTATTGGCAATAGGAGAAGTCTTTCCTTGCTGTGAGCTTCAGTTGTGTATCAAATGTTTGTGTGTGTGATTTTTTTTTTCAGCACTCCTCTATGCGAGGAATGGAAAGGGAAAATTGTTTTGCCAGCTCACTCTGCTAGATTGCTTAGGAGGCAGTATAGGTTTTAATTTACAAAATACTGTCTTTTTTTAAACAATAAATAAAAAGCCAAAAGTTGGGGTATGAAGGTGAGAATCATGCAAAGTCAAACCTATGTTCTATGTTTAGAAATAGCTAATCTGTGTTTTTTCTGAACGGATCTATATTCTATGTTCAGAAAAAGCAAATCTGTGTTTTTTGGATACTCTCCTCATTGCAGGATTTGAAATGTGCCCTTCTTGTGGATGAGGTATATGGGTAGATGAAAATGTTATTTATTTGCATCTATGTTCAGTGACCTTTGGACATCATTTTATTTATTAGTAATTAGTCTTTTAAAGAGATAATACTAATTATAAAATGGCCTGATTTTCATTCATGAAGTTGGCAAGTTTTCTTAGTACTAACTTGAGACATTGCTTTCAATTTTTTTTTAGATCCAGCTCAGAAGGCAGCACTCAGACATATGCCAGCCAGTAAGTAGGTTAGAAGAGGTTTTTAAGATACATGTTGAAAATTAAGAATTTATTGATAATTCACAATTTATTTCTAAATATTTTTGAACAATGTCAATTGGTAAAGCAATGCACTAAAATCCAGACTGCTAATATACAGTTGAATTTAGTTTCTAATAAATTAGTCATTTCTTTATTTAATAAATGTTTACTGGAGGTCTCTTTTGAGGAAACAAGGAATAAAATAGCTGATTCTAAAATGAGATAGGACATGTATAATTAGTAAAGAAAAAGAATGTATAGGGCCTAGAAGTTACCCAGCTGGTGTTACAGAGAGAGCCATGTGCTTCATAACAATGTTTTGGTAAATGAGAAACCACATGTATGATGGTGGTTCCATAAGATTATAATGAAGGTGAAAATTCCTACAGCCTAGTGATGTTGTAGCCATCACAACATCAGAGAGCAATGCATTACTCACTTGTTTGTGGTGATGCTGGTGTAAACAAACCTACTGTGCTTTGCAGAAGACTCCTTGTGGAGGTCATGTTTTACCCTCCTGTGTGATAAATTTTTACATTAACTGTTACACTGGAGTTCATGGGAAGCATGGAGTGGTGTCCTTATCCTATACGTGTAAAGAATTAAGGCTCCTGTTTCTCTGTGTGATGATTTTTCCATCCAAATTCCTAAGCCAATTTAAGTGCTCCGGGTTCCCGTGCCTCCTGGTGTTCATTTTTCATCTCTACTTCTGAAGCAGTTTCCCTGATGCATCTCTGTGTCTAGTGGCCACAGCTTTTACTATCCCCATTTCATGGGTGGTACAGCCTTTCAGGGCTTCCAGGTTTAGAGAAGGAGGTCAGCTTCATCTTTCTAGGAAGTCTCAACTCTTGATAAGCTGATGTGGCTTATGAAACTGACTTGTGTACCCCCAAAGTCATTCAGATTTAGTTTGTATTTACCTTTCGCATTTTCAATTCTCTCTCTCTCTGTTACTATCACTAGAAATGGCCTTTTCTTTCATAAAGTTTTAGTAAATAGTATGTGTTGTTTTGCACTATTTCTCTGTGTGTGGTATAGGAGGGGAAATTACCACACCTCCCCATCAGTTCAGTCTTCTTGACATTAGTGTGGATTTTGAATCACAACCTACAGCAATGTATTTATCAACGGATAGACTCTGAAGGCCAGAATCAGGCATTTAAAATAAAGCATGTATTCTGTGCTAGAAAGTGAAAGGAGAAAAACAAATCAGTTTTCTTGTTCCTCTGCTTAGTTGAATATTTGAAATTTAAACTTTTTATGGACATTGTATATGAATAAATAAAAACTTGTTTGCATATGCTAATTTAGTAGTGTTTTGAAATTATTCTTCAGTGGTGATTCTTGGTAGAGAAGAATTAACACAGGTTGTAAAATGATCCGACATTCATTCATTATGGAGGCACATTTGTGTTAAGTATTAACGTGGAAGCATTACTTTTTCGCTTTCTTTTAGAACCAGATCAGAAAGCAGCAGTCAAGCTGATACTAGCAAGTAAGTGAATTAGGGGGCATTTTTTTTATATAATAAGTATATGTTAAAAATTGAGATGAACAAATTGATAATTAACAATTACTTGCTAACTATTAACTGAGTAGCCACAATTAGTAAAGTACTGTACCTTAAAACAACCTATTTGCTGATCTAGTAACTTGCGAGTATTTGTCTAAATAAGACAATATCTTCTTTCCTGCAGTTTAGTTAATATGTGTTGGGAGTTTATTTTTGGGAAACAAAGGAAAACATTTTTGGTGAAATGTTTAAGGAGCTAATTCATAAAAAGGATCTTTTTGTATTCTTTTTCTTGGAGTACACCAAGGGGAAGTTTACTTTTTTATTTGGAGATGGCACAACTAGAAACTAATATGTATGCTGATGAATAACTGAGTGAATGCTCGCATAGATCACCTGGGAAGAATTTGTTGAAAAAAAAAAAGCATCACAAAGGAACAAAAATTCCACATCTTTCATTGTTCTCAGTATTACTAGGTCCCTGTCCATTTCCTGAAAGGTGGATGTCTTTTTAT
This sequence comes from Homo sapiens, assembly GCF_000001405.40. NCBI lineage: Eukaryota > Metazoa > Chordata > Mammalia > Primates > Hominidae > Homo > Homo sapiens. Next base: position 182,105 of record NT_187577.1, read on the forward strand.
AATAACTCAGTAAGTATCTAGTTCCTCACACTCAGCAATTGTGGGTTTTAGGTCCTTCTGCAGATATAAAATGCTTTGAAGTTTTTACTGCTCCCTCTCTGAGTTACAGTTTTTATATACATTTATAGGGGGCTAGTGTTATTCTTTCTAGGTTGCTCCAAGCCCACTGCTGTTCCCAAACACATCCAAATCCACAGGACAAACTCTCTAAGCTGCACAACAAGGTTGTATGATTTCTTTTGTTCCAGAAGAAATTTACCTCTTCAATAAGAATGCCTGCGTTGCTCATTTTTAATCTGCCTCATTATTTTTTTCCTTACAGTGGCACGTTGGAGTCATGAGTTTATCTTTAAAATTTTGATTTTTATTATCATGTCTGTTCTTATTATTGTGAGCAAGGGAGTTACCATATAGGGATCAGGCCCAGCGAGCCTCAGTGACCTTTTTCTCTTATTATATTCTGTCATCTCAGATAATAAAGGCTATGTCTATCTTGCTCAGCATTGTATAGCTAGCATGTAGCAGAGTGCTCGGCTCATATTATAAGTGATCAATAAATATTTGTTGAAGGAATGAATGAATGACTACCTTTGATCTTCACACAGAGGCAACCAAACCAACAAAAACAGAAACACAAAGGTACATAGACAAATCTATATATATGTGTTCACATGCATGCATGCACACACATTCATATATCCATGATGATGTTGTCGCTTCCTCCATTTCTTCTTCGCTCAATATATCATCTCTCACCCTGAAACCCTGTTAACATAATTCATCTCTCCCAGGGTTATTTACCTCCATTCAGTGAGGGGTGATAGCATCACCCATAGGAAAATGTACATTTCAATAGACATCGTTTAATTTGCAATGTTAAACCACTGGTCTAGCCTTCTGGCTTACCGTGCACCAGGGAATCATTTTAGAATAACTATTCATTTGAATTTTAGTAACATCATTTGACATGGTGGCTGTGCTTTAGTGATATAACATCCACCATAGTTTTCATGTCATTTATCTTTGGAGTAACCTTTAACTGGTGGGAAGTTGAAGCCAAAGAAAGCAGAGAGATGGAATGAATTCCAGTGAAGCAGGATATTTCCCTGACCCCTTCAGGGGACTCATGACAGGGGTGCCTCATTTACTCAGCCTCCTGACTCCTTATCGGAGGGAACGCGTGGGTGAACGAGGTGGGAACTGCTGGAGTGCAGGAGCGCTGGAACCAGCCGGCCATTTCAGCCCTGGCTGGGAGGGATCAAACTCCACTCACTGGGACCCACTGCGCTCCACCACTCGGGAGGGAGCATGCAGGTGAGCAGGTGCAGGAGCCACAGCCAGCACTTTTGGGCGCCGGCAGGGGCGAACTCTGTGCAGGCCCTGCAGCGGTATCCAGGCAGGGTGCCTGTGACTCCGAAAACCCCAGAGGGCGTGTTACAGTGCTCTTTTAGCTTGGACAGCTTAAGTATTAACAGCTCAGTAGGCCCTCTGCCTTTTCAAGTGAGGCGGCTGATCTCCACCAGTGAGGGCGAAGGGACAGTGTGACAGCCTTTTGAATCCACACTTGTGGCTCCCAAACTCTTGTCTGGCATCCAGGAAAAATGAGGTTGCATGAATGAATTGAAAGATGATAAATGTGAGGAATTTTATTGAATAATGAAAGTGGCTTTCAGCGGGAAGGGGAGCTGAAAAGGGGATGGGCAGGAAATCTTCCCCTCAAGTCCAGCCACCTCGGGCTGGACTCTTCTCTGAAGTTATGCCATCAAGCTGTCCCTCTGAAGTCTAGCCCCTTCTCTCCGACATCCAGCCATAGTCCCTGACGTCCAGCTGCCTCTCGTCTCTGCCAACTGAGTCTGGGGTCTTTATAGGCACAGAATGGGGAGGGGCAGGGCCATGGGTGGTTTAGGAAAAGGCAACATTTGAGCAGGAAAACAGTGATAGAAATTCTCTCTTTGGATGGTGGTTTCCGGCTTTTCGGCTTGAGGGTGGTGCTTTTGCCAGAGACCCACCCTTTTCTGCCTAGAATTTCTCTGCCACCTGTTCCCATCACCAGTATGGGTCACATTAGTACTACTTTAGTGTAATTATTTTAAATGTCTAAATTCTTTCAGTATTTCCAGTCTTTTCCTAAGCAACAGAAGAATCTTTGACAATTTATCAGCAAACTCTTAACATTACTCTCCCATATTATTGTCATTTGGCTTTTAGCTTCTTCCAGGTTTTTACCTACAGAACCCTACCCTCCATTATTATTATTATTATTACTATTATTATAATCATTTTTATATTAAATTAATACCTGCTAAGAGTTTAAAACGTATCTATCAGTTGCTTTGCTCTCACTATTTATTGTTGAATCCATTGATTTTTCATTATGGGTTTAGTTTCCTTTTTACAACCCTTTTAGTTTCAGTTTAGTGATTCTGTATTATCAACATTTGTGTTAAATGCCTGAACATGCTTTTTTTATCCACACTGAATTTTGAATGATAGCTTAAATGGTTACTCCTAGCTGAGAAGGACTTTTCTGAAAGCGTTTTGTAATATTCTGTTGTTGTAATGTGCCATGTACTGTCATTGATGAGACCTTAGTTGTCAGTATCATTATTTATTCCCCCCTCAATTAATGTGCTTTTTCTAGGTGGCTTCTAAGTTTTCCTTTTTGTCTCAAATGTTTTGTTATTTTATGATTATATGTTCTGATAGAATTTGTTTTTATTTATCCAGCTCTAGATTCAATATAGTCTTTAGATATCAGGACTCAGGTCATTAAATCTAAAAAATTAATTCAGTCATTATGTCTTCAATTATTGACTCTTTCTCATTCTTTCTCTTTTTTCCACTGGAAATGATTATATTTAGGAGGGTCTTCTCATTTTAGCCTTCATGTTTCTTTCGTCTTTTATTTATTTTTTTTAAGCGGAGTCTCTGTTGCCCAGGCTGGAATGCAGTGGCGCGAGCTCAGCTCACTGCAACTTCCATCTCCTGGGTTCAGGCAATTCTCTGCCTCAGCCTACCAAGTAGCTGGGCTTACAGGCACCTGCCACCACGCCTGGCTAATTTTTGTAGTTTTAGTAGAGACGGGGTTTCACCATCTTGGCCAGGCTCTTCTTGAACTCCTGACCTTGTGATCCACTCGCCTCGGCCTCCCAAAGTACTGTGATTGCAGGCGTGAGCCACCATGCCCGGACTAGCATCCATGTTTCTTAACTGGGTTCTTCATGTATTACATCTTTCTACCTCTCTATCTGACATTGTTTCACTTCCTTATATCAGTTTCCAAATCCTCCGTTTTCTTAATAGCTATTTTTTTTTGCCTCAGTCCTGCCTTGATTTGTGTGGAGATCCTAAATATTTCAATTTTGAAGATTTTTATATTATCTGTTGATCTTGATGTGTGAATTTTTGTTTTGCAATTTAGGTTGATAAGCCCACCCTCAAGGGCAGTGATTGTTCTCATGGGACTTCTGCATGCCCTGAGTTGTAGAGGCATGCATTGGGAGGATGAGAGTATTTCAGGTTTGCCTCTCCTGGGGCATGAATGTTGTAATGTTTTCCATGCTTGCTCTTTCAGATTTGCGAGTAGTGGAACTGAGCAGCTGAGGTCTGCACTGCGTGGTGCAGGCCTGTGATTTCTGCATCTCTAGATGATCCTTTTCTTTTCACTTGCCTGAGAAAATTTGCTAGTTGTGTTCTGAAGTGCAGTGGTCATAGCTTTTAATATTTCCATTAAAGACTACCAGGCTTGGGAAACTGCTCCATTGCAGCTTTCTAACACGTAAAGATCCATGCCCTCAACTCCTTCCAAGCTAGGGTTATGAAAACCACATCTTTTAGGGTATAAGTAATTCAGCTTTAGCTCTTGTTTTCCCTCTGAGCTTCTAATTTATTTTTTTTTAAATGGTAGAAGGAAAACCCTTTGTGACTGTCAATCTTAGTTATGCATACGTTTTTTGTTTTCTTCAGCTTTTCTCTATGTATCTAATAGAAAGGATAAGTTTTACTATTTGTCCAGTCTGCCAAACTGGTCAGAAGTAAATGTAAGTTTTAATTTACAAACTGCTGCAATTTATATATTAACAAATACAAAACTAACTTGGAGGCTGAAGAACAGGTTTAGACATTTACAGTTAAATTTACATTAACTTCGAAGTAATTTGAAAAACCTCTGCTATCTTGATACTCTTGATTCTCTACTAGAGAATTTACATTTTGTACTATATGTTGCATTTGGTGTTTGAGTAAAAAAGAATGCTATTTATTTGCATGCCCCACATATTTAAATAATTAGTTTTGGTGCTATAAAATGGCCTGTTTTTCATTCTCAAAGTAGGCAAGCTCTTAGTGTTAACTTTCAGATATTGTTTTTAATTTATTTTTATTTTTATTTATGTTTATTTTTATTTTTTTGAGATGGAGTCTTGCTCTGTCTCCCAGGCTGGAGTGCAGTGGCGTGATCTTGGCTCACTGCAAGCTCTGCCTCCTGGGTTCACTCCATTCTCCTGCCTCAGTCTCCCGAGTAGCTGGGACTACAGGCGCCCGCCACCACACCTGGCTAATTTTTTGTATTTTTAGTAGAGACGGGGTTTCATCGTATTAGCCAGGATGGTCTCGATCTCCTGACCTTGTGATCCACTCGCCTCAGCCTCCCAAAGTGCTGGGATTACAGGCATGAGCCACCGCGCCTGGCCAATTTATTTTTAATAATAGATATTTAATATATATTGTTTTTAATTTATTTTTAGATCCAAATCAGAAGATAGTGCTGAAGCATATACTAGCAGGTAAGCAGGATAGAAAGTGTTACTTATAAATAAGTATGTTGAAAATTCAGAATGAAAAAGTTGATAATTCACAAATAATTGCTCAACATTTTTTGAGCAGCCACAATCGATAAAGTCTACACCAAACCCAACTTATTAATATTTCCCATTCTACAAGCATTAATTAATTCCATTAATCTTTTTTCTTCAGTTGACTAAATTTTTGTTGATTGCCTACTCTTGTGGTACATAAGAAATAAGCTAGTGAAATTTAATAAGAGACAAATATTTATGATTACTTTGTGAAACTAAATCATAAGCTGAACATTTTGCATCCTTTATTCTGGGATACACAAAGGGGAAATAGTACTTTTTCAGGTTGCATTTACACCCCCAAAAACTCAATGTGAACAACTGAGCGAATGATTATTTCCACTTAGGAAGAGTTTAGGAGACAGTATTATAAACACACTAAAATTCTACATTTCCCACAGATCCTCAATGTCCCACACCTATGTTAACAAGAGTTCTCTGAACTCGTTTAGAGAAGCTTTTGGTTTCCTACACCCCACAGTTGTGGCTTTGTGATCCTTCTGAAGTTATCAAATATTTACTGCTATGTTCGTCATGGTTTCTCCATTGTAGAGTTTTCATTTTCTTATATTGCCTAGTATTTTTCCTTAAAGTGACCTCTTTGAGTTACATTCAACCCACTGCTATTCCAAAATATCCTTTATACACACAGATTAAATTTTCTAGGCTACACCAAAACATTATATGGTTTGTATTTTCCCCAATGAAGGCACCCCATCCATTAGGAAAGCTACAGTATTTCTGTCTCCTTTATCCTTTCTGTTGTTCTTGGATGTCTCCTAACATAAGCACCCTTTTACAGTCATCAGTTACTTTCTCTAAGCTATGTTTGAGAAAAAAGCTGATTTTCTTTGTTGTCTCCACTCTCCGTCACTGTCACCAAGGGAGTTGTGATAGAGTGCTCAAACACTGCAATTCTCCCAATCTTCTGCTCACCTAGAAGCATTACTCTCCTTTTAGGCTCTGAAATCACTTGAGGGTCAAGTCCATGTTTATTTTCCCTACCTATTTATAGGTAGCATCTTGCAGGGTTAATGCTCAATAAATACTTGCTTAACGAATGAGTGGTTTCTCTTGAAGTTCACATATGCACATATAATTCTTAGTGGTGTAACTACTCTAATTGTCCCCTTACATTATCTCTCCTCATAAAATATGCCATAATCATATCATAATCATCCTTTTTAAAAGTAATAAATTCAACTAGATTGAGGGATAGACAAGGGCATCATCTATAGGGTAATATACACTGGATTTGGGGAGTATAATTTGGAATGTTAACCCATTATTCTAACTTTGTGTTTAGCATACCCAGAAAGGTATTTGGTGATTATTCTTTCACTTAAACTTAGTAAGCTAAGCAGACATAGTTGCTGTCCTTTACTGTTAGAGCATTTACTGTATTTTCTTGTATTTCTGTTCCTTTTACATTTATATTTTTAGTATTTTTGTTGCCGTTGGGAAGCCAGTGGGAGATGTTGGTAGAGCCAATTCCTTGGGTAAACATAATGAAACAATATATTTTTTTAAGCCAGAAATCTAATGGGTGTACATTTCAGTAGACTCATATGTCTATAAATACAGATCTTTTTATTGGTTTGGGAGATAACTAATTATATTAAATAAGAATGTTTCATGGTCAGAGTAGTAGGAAAAATCAACAGTAAGTTTTGAAGATATAAAATAGCAAAGGTAGGGAAAGGACGAAAGAAGTAAAATTGTGCATTATCACTGAATACTCTCACTTATATTGTATTATCTTCTCTGTGAATTAATCTTGATTAATTTGTCTTCAGTTCATTCTTTTTCTCCCCCATTCTTTTAGTTAGGGGATTAGAAATAAGGAATCTGTGTATATAAAAATGGAAAAGACTGGGTGTGGTGGCTCACATTACAAAATGCTGTAATCCCAGCATTTTGGGAAGCCAAGGTGGGAGGACTGCTTGAGGTCAGGAGTTCAAGACAAGCCTGGGCAGCAAAGTGAAATCCCATTTCTACAAAGAAATATAAAAATTTGGCTGGGCATGTTGGTGTATGCTTGTAGCCTTAGATATTTGGGAGGCTGAGGCAGGAGGACATTTGAGCCCCCAGGAGGTTGAGGCTGTGGTGGGCCACAGTCATATTACTGCCCTCTAACCTGAGTGGCAAAGTGAAACTCCATCTCTAAAAAAAAAAAAAAAAAAAAAAAAATGGAAAAGAGGTAGAAATTTGGCAAATATTTCTTTTTTAGTACAACTTTGAACGGAAAGAGGAAGAAATTGCCATAACAAATAAATACAACATAAGTTTGACAGGTTGTATTATATCAGCCTAAAAATGTTATTTCCTTATTTCCTTAGATCCAAATCACAGGACAGTACCCAAACACAAAGCAGTAGGTAAGTATATTAGAAGGTGTTTCTTAAAATAAATACATGTATAAAATTAAAATAAAACTCATAATCCACTATTAATTCCTAAGTATGGACTGGGTAGATGAATTGGTAAAGTACTGCACCAATAAATAACCTATCTTTCTTTTATTCTTTTTTTTTTTTTTTTTTTTTAAGACAGAGTCTTGCTCTGTCGACCAGGCTGGAGTGCAATGGTGCGATCTCAGCTCACTGCAACCTCAGCCTCCCGCGTTCAAGCGATTCTCCTGCCTCAGCCTCCTGAGTAGCTGGGATTACAGGCGTGTGCCGCCATGCCCGCCTAATTTTTGTATTTTTAGTACAGACAGGATTTTGCCATGTTGGCTAGGCTGGTCTTGAACTCCTAACCTCAGGTGATCTGCCGCCCTCAGCCTCCCAAAGTGCTGGGATTACAGGCGTGAGCCATCATGTCCAGCCTAAATGACCTAGCTTCAAATGACCAATCTTTATTAATCTTGTTACTAATGAGTATTTAAATAACTTAGTCTGTTTTTTTTCAGTTTAGTAAAGTTCTCTTAAGTTTATTGAGAACTTGCTCTTGTTGATAGAATAGAATTAAAGAGTTGTACCTACAAGATGTAAGATCTGTAAATTTGTTTATAAAACAAATCTGTAATCAGGACCATTTTATTCATTAGGCAGCATAGGCTATAATGCTTCAGGTCTATGAATTTTCAAAGATCAAAAGGCCAAAATACTGTTATACACACACACACACACGTACACACACACACACACACACACGTACACACACATACACACACACACGGAGTAATTGGCTGCAAGGTATGAAAAAAGGAAAATTAATGTGAACTTAAATTTCTAAAACATGTAAAGACATTAACTTAATTGTTAAATTCATAAACATTTCATTTTATATGAAAAAATTTTAATTTTTTCATTTGCAAGTACTTCTGATTAAATATGATGGTTCCTCAGAAATCAAAGAAAAGCATAAAGTAAATAAGTGGCTCATGGTTAAATAATTTCACAGGCAAAATTGTAAACATCCTTTCAATAATTCTTTTTTTCGTGCCACATGAATTTTCCACTTGGCAATACCTCAGCTGCTTGTACAGTGGGAGGGAGTTTGCTGTCAGTACTTTGAGCACGTGTTTTTTTGTTCTCTTCCACAGTAACTAGTGATTCCTTCAGAAGGCAACGGATAACATCGAGAGTCTCGCTAAGAAATGAAAATTCTGTCTTTCCTTCCGTGGTCACAGCTGAAAGAAACAATAAATTGAGTGTGGATCAATTTGCATGCCAGCGTGTTCGTTTTTTTTCTTCTCTTTCCTTTACCCCCGGGGACTACAGTTTTGCAGGTGCAGGGCCCTTAATTGAAAACAGTCTTCCAAACTCATCTCAGCTGTCCCCATTCCCACCTGACTCCTCATGAGCTCTTCTCATTGTCTTCTCTGCAGCTCTTCCATGACTCCTGCCCCTGTGCCCCCTGCCCCATGCCACCCCCTCTGATGTACTGCCTGGGGCCCCAGCTACAGCACCTATTCAATCTTACCCATGACAGGATCTGGGCAGTGTACTGTGTTCCTCCTTCTGGTCCTTCTCATGGGATTTGGCTGGCTGCACAGAGGTCCAATATATCCAGATATTTGCCCTCCTCATACTCCCCATGACCCCAGCCTGGGTTTCTGAGGGAGGACTGTTTGTTTCAGGGGTTGTAACTTCCCATCCAGGCCTTTCCTTCTACCCCTCACCTTTCTCTTGTCCCTTGGCCAAGTGACCCACAGGGTCAAGCCCAGAAGACAGAGAGGCAGCTTCTGAAGGACCCTTAGGCATGGGTCTTAAAGGCAAATATTAAACCCTTGTTAGAGTTTGGTATGAGGCTTGATAAAATGAATTAGAGAAAGGTTCTCTCATTTTCCATTTTCTGAAATAATCTGAAAAACTTGTTTAGATTTTCAGTTAAATGTTTGTCAAAATTCACCAGTGAAGTTCTCTGGGACTGGAGTTTTTTTTTTTTTTTTTTTTTTTTTTTTGGCGGGGGATGATTTTAAATTACAGATTCAATTTATTAAATAGAGAACTATTCAAATTTTCCATTTATTCTTGTGATAGGTTTTTTCAGGCACTGTATTTTTAAAAAAAGTTTATCCATTTTATTTAATGATTAGACTTGTGGCCTAATGTTGTTCATAATATTCTTTTTTATGTCTATAGGATCTATAGTTATGTCCCCTCTTTCATTCCTTGTAATAATAAGGTTTTTTTTTCCTCTCATCAGTCTCGTGAAGAGTTTATCTAGTTAATTAATTTAAGAATCTCTCCAGAACCGCTCTTGACTTTGTTATTTTTCTCTATTACATCTCTGTTTTCTACTTCATTGATTACACATTTTATTAATTTGTTTTTCTTCTACCTTCTTCAAGTGAAAGTTTAGATCAATGATTTTAAATCTTCTTTTCTAATGCATTTAAAGGTATAAGTTTGTCCTATGTACATTTTTAGCTCCATTCCACATATTTTATGTTGTGTCCTCATTATAGTTCAGGTCAAAATATTTTCAGATTTTTATTTTGATTTCTCTTTTGAGTTATAGATTATGTAGAAGCCTGTTTAAATCCAAATATTGGTATTTTTTTAGCTCACTTTTTCCTTATTGTTTTCTCAATGGTGACCAGAGAATATATTTATATAATCTCAATGTTTTAAAATTATTTTCTTGAGTTGGTTTAGCCTATGATATATTTTGTTGCATGTTCTGTGTGTACTAAATAAGTACATGTGTATTTTGCTGTTGCTGAGTATATAAATGTTAATTAAGTCATTTGTTGACAGTGTTCTTGAAATCTTGTTTTTTCCTCTTGTTCTATCAATTCTTGAGAAAGATGTGTTGAAAGTGCCAACTATTGTTTTTTATTATTGTTGTTATGTAACTTGTTTTACACACATTAATTGTATTTCATGTATTTTGGAGTTACATTTTAGTGCATGCATCTTTAGGACTATTATGTTTTCCTAATGAATTGGCTATTTATCATTATGCAATTCTCGTTGTTGTCTCTAGTAATACTCTTAATTTTGAATTCTGATTTTGTGATAGTAGTATTGCCATGCAGCTTTTTTTTTTTTATTGGCAGCTTTTTAAAGTTAGTCTTTGCACGGGGTATCTTTTTCATTCTTTTACTTCCATTGCATATTTTCTTATATTTAAGGTGTATCTGATGTACAGAGTATGCAGTTGGTTCTTGTATTTTTTAAAAAATCCAGTCTGACAATGTTTTTAAGTTGGAGTGCTTAAAAGCATTCATATCTGTTTATTTTTGTTTTTAATTGACACATAATAATTGTACATATTTATGACATAAGTGTGATGTTTCAATACGTATGGACATTTCATAAAAAATAAAATGAGTGTATTTAGCATATTTATCTCCTTATACATTTATCATTTATTTGCAGTGAGAACATTCAAAATCCTCTCATCTAGCTGTTTGGAAATGCAATTGGTCCTCCATATCTACGGGTTCCACATCCATGGGTTTCCAGGTTTCTGTGTTTTGCCATAAATGACAGATTTCTTTTTTATGGCTGAGTAGTATTCCATTATGTATATATATGACATTTTCTCTATCCTTCCATCCATTGATAAACACTTAGGTTTACTCTACATCTTGGCTATCTTGAATAGTGTTTCAATAAACATAGGAGTGCAGGTGTCTCTTCTTCATTGACTCATTGGTTGTTCAGGAGCACTTTGATTAATTTGCATATATTTGTAAACTTTCCTAGTTTTACACCATCATGGTCAGAAAACATTACTTGACATGATTTCAGTTGTAAATTTGTTAAGACTTGTATTGTGGCCTAATATATTATCTAACCTGGAGAATGTTTTATGTGGTGATAAGAATGTGTATTCTGCAGCTATTGGAGGGAATGTTCTGTAAATGTGTGTTAGGTCCAGAGCTGGTCTGTTGGTCTAGAGTTACAGTTTAAATTCAGTGTTTCTTTGTTGACTTTCTGTTTGGATGATCTGTCCTTTACTATTAATGTATTGCAGTCAAATTTCTCCCCTTAAATTAATTAATATTTGCTTTATATATTTTGGTGCTCCAATTTTATGTGCTTATATATTTGTGATTGTATATCCTCTTGCTGAATTGACCCCTTTATTTTGTAATGACCTTCTGTGTGTCCTTTTTTATGGTTTTAAATTCCAGTTCTATTTTATCTAAGTATAGCTATCCCTTCTCTCTTTTGGTTTCCATTTGTGTGGAATATCTTTCTCCATCCCTTCACTTTCGGTTGTTTGTGTCCTTATCAGTGAAGTGAGTCTCTTGTAGGCAGCATATATTTGCATCTTCTTTTTTAATCTATTCAGCCATTCTGTGTCTTTAATTGGAGAATGTAATCCATTTACATTCAAGGTAAGGTCCTACTACTGCCATTTTGTGAATTTTTTCAAATGGTTTTATAGTTCCTTCCTTCCTTCCTCTCTTACAGTCTTCCTTTGTGATTGAATGATTTTCTCTAAGAGAATGTTTTGATTTCATGCTTTTTATTTTTTTGTGTATTTACTTTGTGGTTACCAGGAGGCTGAACAAAAAGTCTTGGAGATACAATAAGTTATTTCAAGCTGAAAACAACTTAACTTTGATCTAAATAAAATGAAGACTGTATATTTTAACCCTACCCCCCTTACATTACATTCTGAATTTCTGATGTCACAATTTACATCTTTTTATATTGCATGTCCCTTAACAAATTATTATAATTATTTTTGATAGTTTTGACTTTTAACTTCTATACTAAATGTATAAGTGTGATTTACAATCCATCATTATAGTATTAGAGTATTCTGAACTTGACTGTGTACTTATTTTACCAGTGAGTTTTATACTTTCATATGTTTTTGTGTTACTATTAGTGTCCTTTTCTTTTGACTTGAAGAACTCCCTATGTGTTTCCTGTATGGCATATCTAGTGGTGATACATACCCTCAGCTTCTTTTTGTCTGGGAAAATCTTTCACCTTCATTTCTGAAGAAAAGCTTTGCAGTATAAAGCATTAGTTGACATTTTGGTTTTTTCTTCAGCACTTTGAATATATTATTCAATTCTCTCCTGGCTTGTTTCTGCTGAGAAATCTGCTGATAGTTGTATTGGAACTTCTTTGTATGTAATCTGGTTTTTATCTCTTGATGTTCTAGAATTTTTCTTCATCTTTGATTTTTGATAGCTTAATTATTATATGTCTTGATGAATTCCTCTTTGGTTTGAATTTGATTGAGATGTCTGTGCTTCTTGCGTCTGGGTACTGGTATCTTCTCTAGATTAGGGAAGTTTTCAGCCATTTTTCTTTATATATGCATTCTGGCCCCTTTTCTCTTTATTCTCTTTCTGCAACTCCTATTGTGCAAAAGCTTGGTCCCATATGTCCATATACTTTCTTTATTCTTTTTGCTCATTTGAATGGATGATTTCAAAAGCTCTGCCTTCCATCTCACTGATTCTTTCTTCTACTTGATCAATTCTGCTATTAAAGATTTGTTTTAAATTTTTCAGCTCAGTGCTTCTATTCTCTATCTCTAGGATTTCTATCTTTTTTTTGGTTTTTATTTATTTGTCAGTCTTGCGTTTTCCATGTTACTGTTTTCCAAATTTCATTTAATTTTTCTCTCTATATATTCCTGTAGTTCACTGAACTTCTTTATGAGTGTTACTATGAATTGGCATTCATTTAATAGCTGTCCATATCTTTGGGGTTTGCCACTGGAGCTTTATTAGTTTCTTTTAAAGGTGTTATGATTCCATGATTTTTTTGTACTTCTCTTATCCTTACATTGTTGTCTGTACCTTTGAGGAGAGATTCATATCTTCTGGCCTTACGTGTGTTCTTTGCCAGGTATAGAGCTCCACTAATTAACTAGTCTGTGATTCTGAAAGGGCTAGCTGGTGGTGACACCAGAGAGGTAAGACTTGTTGTGGGTTTTCAAGTTGCCTGGGCTGCTGCTGTTGCTCCAATATCAGAGGTGGCTACTATCTGAGCTCCAGTGACTGGTGAGACCACTGGCTGCGCTCTGCTATTAGGCAGAGCTGCTGGCCAAGTACTCTGATGGCCTCTGATCAGGCTGGTCACAAGATGTCTTCCCTGTCTGGGCAATTTTGCTATTTTCTATCTGTATTTGAACAGGGCTGCAGGTGTGTTCTGAGGTTAGGTGGTGTTGCTGCTCTGGAGAGGAAGGATCTGAGGCTATGGTCCCTAACAATGTGTGATTGGGGATATGCTTCCCTCTTTGGCTGGAGCTGTGGGATGAACCTTTAGCTGAGTTGAATGGCTGTTTGACCTCAAGCAGGACTAGCTCCTACATTTCTCCAAATGCATACATACAGGTGGGAGTCTCCCTGCATGGGTGATGTCTTTGGGAGGACTTTTTGGCTTTGTGGAACCACTGCATGCCTTCCTGTGTCAAGCTGTTATAGCCTCTATGCTTCTCTGAGAACCACGGAGGTGGAAATATCCCTGCCGAGGCAGGGTCTTTGGGTAGGCTTTTTGGTTGTGTGAAGCCACTGCTTGCCTTCCTGGTTAAAGCCAGTGTAGCTCTTTTGCTTGCCTGAGGTCACTGGAGGTGGGAGTCTTCCTGCCTTGGTGTGGTTATTGGGCAAGCTGTTTGGCTGTGTGGAGCCACTGCTTACCTTCGTAGGTCAAAGTGGTGTAATCTCTTTATTTTTCTGAGATCTGCAAAAGTGTGAGTCTGTTGGATTGGGTGGGATAATTGCTCTGGCTTTTTGGCTGTGTGGAGCTACTGCCTGCCTTCCTGGGCCAAGCCAGTGTAGTCTTTTTGCTTCAGAGATCCATGGCAGTGGCAGTCTCTCTGCCTTCGTGGGGCTATTGGGATGGGTGCTGAGGCTGGGCAGGGAAACAACCAGTCTAGGAGCTGAAGCTAGACTGTGCTTCCTTCCATGCCTCTAAAGGTGACTAACTCAGTTTGGCACATGTGCTATGGGACTGGCTGATATCTAATGGAGCACCGCAGTTGGCAAGAATGCAGAGGTACCACCAGGATCCATGTGCTGGTTGCTTTCTTTTTTTCTAACTGACTCCCAGGCATTCAAGTCATGTCATTTCCTTTAGTGTTCTCTCTGAAGCAAGTTCCAAGTAGGTGTTTTGAGAAGTGTCTTGGTATGCTAGAGAAGCTGGATGTCTGCCTCCTATTCTATTTTTCTCCTGTAGAAACAGAGACAGTTAGGGAAACCCTCTCTGTCTGGTGCTATGCCAATTTGGGGGGCGAGGTGGGAGCATAGTCAGAGTGAGACTGTTCCTCTTACCCTTCTAATTCAGACTTTGTTCAGTTTTACATATCATGCAGGTGTCTCCAGCTTGTTTTCAGGTGTTGGGGTTTTCCAATCTGTGGATGTTGCTGGTTAAATTTTGTTGTGGGGCTAGTGGGTAGTGGAGCTCAAGACTTCTTACTTCACCAACCATCTTGCTGACATCATTCCTAGCATTTATATTTAAATTAATTTCTGATATTATTGATTTTAAGTCTATCAGTTTCTATTTTTCTATTTCTCTCATCTTTTTTGTTCTTTTGCTTTTTCCTTCTGTACTTATTTCAGGTTAATTGAGCGCTAATCTGATTTTTTTCTGTTCTATGGGCTTTGTACCTCATTATTAATAATATTTGGTGTTTACTCTAGAGATTACAGTATGGATTCTTAATGTATCAAAGTCTACCTTGAATTAATATTATCCTACTTAACAAACAACAAAAGAATTTTGTATCAGTATGATTCCTAATACTTCCTTCTACCCTTTGTATTATTACATTTAATTGTATGTGTGTTATAAATTCTGACATATTGCTATTATTTTTACTTGAAACAGTCAGTAGTGCTTTGAAAAAGCTTAAATAGTCTTTTACATTTACTCCATGTTTATTCTTTCTGGTGTTGTAGATTTCTTCTTGTAGCTTTGTGCTTCCATCTGGAATCACTTTCCTCACCCTGAATAACTTTCTTTGGTATTCTGTGCAGTGTATTTTGGATGGTGGCAAATTCTGCACACTTTTATTCTGTTAGAAAAAATTTTATTTACTTTCTTCTTGGTAAGATACAGTTATTATGATTTGTAATCCAATCTTGCACCACTTTTATTTTAAAGATAGATAAGAGGTTTATAAAAAGAACAACTTACTCAAACCCATGTTTTTCCTATTATTGCCTGTGGCCTTATGGATTAAGACAAGTGCCTCTAGAAGGGGAAAATGTAGGACAGGAAGGCCACATCTGCACGTTTTCAGGAAAATCCTCTACCTGACACTCAAATGACAACATTCCTTTCATTGATAGTATTTCACATCATTTTTATTTTGCTTTCTTACTTCCTCTTGTGCCTTCCCATGGCCTCTAAGGCTCAGCCTGTCTGTCTCCTGCTTGTCTCCTAGTCTTCTTTCTGTTCCATAAAAACCAGCCACACTGGCCTCCTTAACAAGCCAGTTTTATGCCCATCTGAGGCCTTTTGCACTTGCTGTTTCTTCACTGTGGAATGTTCTTCACCAGTTCCTGTCATGCCTGTCTTCCTCTCATAATTCACGTCCCACTCAAATGTTTCCTCCTAGAGGTGAGCACTCAACTACAGTGCCCTCACCTGTCACTCCCCATTGTGCATAGAATTCTAGATTGGCATTTTTTTCCTTTGGCACTTTATATTTATTTCTTCTTGGTTTCATTATTTCTGCTTAGAATGAGTTATTATTCATGTTTTTGTATGTTGGATTGTAATATACCTTCCATCACACCTCTTCAGTTGCTTTTAAGATGTTTCCCTTTGCTGTGGCTTCTGAAAATTTGATCATGATATGCTTACATGTGGTTTTCTTTGAATTTATCCTTCTTTGTGTTTACCTAACTTCTTTGATCTGTTGCTTAATGTCTCTCCACAATTATGGAAAATTCTCAGACATTAAGAATCTTTCTTTTGCCTCATTCTCCTTAAGTGACTAAAATTATACAACTTCTTGCTCATTTAATATTGTTTCATGTGTCTCTGAAGTCTTGCTCTGTTTTATTTTTTATTTTTCATTATTTTTTCCCTTTGCTGCTTAGTTTGAATAAGTTTGTTGACCTGTCTCAAGTTCACTGATTATGAATTTATGTATTTAACTGTAAACTGACAACTTATAATTGTGTATATTTATGGGATACAGAGTAATGTTATGACTCATGAATACAATGTGCAATAAATAAATCCAATTAACATGTCCATCACCAGGCTGAGGCTGGAGAATGGCGTGAACCCGGGAGGCGGAGCTTGCAGTGAGCCCAGATCGCACCACTGCACTACAGCCTGGGCGACAGTGCATGACTCCGTCTCAAAAACAAACGAACAAACAAACAAACAAACAAAAAACATGTCCATCACCTTAAATATTTATCATTTTTTTGTAGTTAGAATGTTTGAACTTTATTCTCTTAGCAATTTTTTAAATGTACAACACATTATTGTTACATTTCCCATACTGTGCAATAGGTCTCAAAAAAATCCTTATTCCTTTTGTGTAACTGAGATTTTATATCCTATGACATCATATCCCTATTTCCCCACCCCCAGCCTCTGTAACCACCATTCTACTCCCTGCTTCTATGAGTTTGATTGTTTTAGATTCCACATATAAGTGAGAACAGGCAATATTTGTCTCTCTGTGCCTTCATTATTTCCCTTAGCATAATGCCCTCCAATTCCACCCATATTGTCACAAATAACAGAATTCTTCTTTTTTAGGGCTGAATAGCATTCATTATAGCACATTTTATTCATTTATTTGTTAATAAACACTTAGGTTGACTCTGTAACTTGGCTGTTGTGAACAGTGCTGCAGTGAACACGGGAGTGCAGACATCTGGTCAACAAGCTGATTTCAAATCTTTTGGATAAATACCCAGAAGTGGGATTGCTAGATCATACAGTAATTTGATTTTTACTATATTGAAGTAGCTCCATGCAGTTTTTCATGTCTGTACACGTTTACATTTTCACCAGACAAGTGTTCCCTTTTCTCCACATCTTTGCCAATACTTGTTAATTTTTGTCTTTTTGATAATAACCATTCTGACAGGAGTGAGATGATATCTCATTGTGGTTTTAATTTGCATTTTCCTAATTATTAACGATGTTGAGCATTTTAAACTATATTTTTTGGCTATTTGTATGTCTTCTTTTGAGAATGTCTCTTCAGATCCCTTGCCCATTTTAAAACCAGTTTTTGTTTGTTTCCTTGTAAGTTCTTTGAATTCCTTCTGTATTTTGAATATTAACTATTTTTCAGATGCATGGCTTACAAATATTTTCTCTAAATCCTTAGATTATCTCTTCACACGGTTATATGTTCTCCTTGCTGTGAAGAAGCTTTTTAGTTTGATGTAACCTCAATTTATTTTTGCTGTCGTTGCCTGTACATTTGGGGTGAAATCCAAAAATCATTGCCCAGACCAATGTTTTGGAATTTTTCCCTATGCTTTCTTTTATTAGTTTTATGGTTTCTCATCTTATGTTTAACTCTTTAATATATTTTGAGTTGATTTTTGCATATGGTATAAGTGTCTAATATTGTTCTGCATGTGGATATCCAGTTTTCCCAGTACTATTTACTGAAGAGATTATTTTTCCCCATTGTGTATTGTTGACAATTTTGTTGAAAAGCAATGGACCATACATATATGGGTTCAGTTCTGGGCTATTCTCTCTATAAAAATTGATGTGTCTATTTTTTTTTTTGCCAGTACCATGCTATTTTAATTACTGTAACTTTGTAATATCATTTGAAGTCAAATAGTGTGATGCTTCCATCTTTGTTCATTTTGCTCATTACTACCTTGGCTATTTGGCTTTTTACTTTCTAATTCCATATGAATTTTCAGATTGTTCTTTTTTTACTGTGAAAAATGACATTGGAATTTGTATGGAGATTGCATTGAATTTGTAGATTGATTTTGGTAGTATGGACATTCTAACAATATTAATTCTTCTAGTTCATAAATACAGGATTCTTTTCATTTATTTGTGTCTTCTTCAATTTCTTACATCAACATTTTATAGTTTTTAGTGTATAGGTTTTTCATCTCCTTGGTTAAATTTATTTCTAGATATTTTATTTTTTGTAGCTATAGTAAATGGAATTGTTCTCTTGATTTTATTTCTGAAAAGTTGCTAGTATATAGAAATGCTACTCATTTTTGAATGTTGATTTTGTATCCTGCAACTTGACTGTATTCATTTATTAGTTCTAACAGTTTTCTGGTGGATTATTTAGGGTTTTCTATGTAAAAGATCGAGCCATCAGCAAACTGACAATTTTACTTCATTTTTCCTATTTGGATGCCTTACCTTTTATTTCTTTCTCTTGCCTAATTGCCCTCGTGTGGACTTCTAATGCTATATTATATAGAAGTGGTGCAAATGGCCATTCTTGTCCACTTTTTCCAGAACTTAGATAAAGGCTTTCAGTTTTCACCATTGAGTATAATGTTAGCTGTGATCTTCTCATACATGGTCTTTATTATGTTGAGGTGTATTCCTTGTATACCTAATTTGGTGAAAGTTTTTTAATAATAAAAGGACGTTGAATTCTTTCACATGCTTTCTCTGTATCTGATGATATGATCATATGGTTTTTTGTCTGTCATTTTGTTGATGTGATGTATCACATTTATTGATTTACATATGTTAAACCATCTTGCACCACTCAGATAAATCTCATTTGATTATAGTGGGTGATTCTTTTAGGATGTTTTTGAATTCAGTTTGCTAGTATGAGGGAACTTCAAGAAGTTTATGGAAAATGTGTATTATGAAATAACTCTGCATGGATTTCAAATTTTTATGCATCAAATTAAACTCATACTAACTTATTATAACATATTTCAACAGGAGCAAATTTGAGGCACTAAGGAGAAGACATTAGTTTTTTTTTGAAGCACCTATCAAAGTAGCATGAAATCTGCTATAATTGAAGCAAGAACAAACATCAACTTATAGTAAAACTTGGATGGAAGAATGATGAATAATTGATACTTATGAAAAATTTTGGGGTGCAATTCCCAAAAGAAATGATCAATTTACAAATGGATAACTCATTTTAAGAAAGAACAAGATGATGTTGAAGATAAAGCATGTAGCAGCAGACTATCCACATCAATTTGGAAGAAAAAAAATGCATCTTGTTTGTGTCCTTATTGAAGATGTCTGATACTTAACAGCAGAAATAATAGCCATCTCAATTAGTTCAGTTTGCACAATTCTGACTGAAAAATTAAAGTTCAGCAAACTTTCCACTCAGTGGGTGCCAAAACAATTATTCCTAGATCAGCTGCAGACAAGAGCAGAGCTTTCAATGGGAATTTTAAACAAGTATGATCAAGATCCTGAAATATTTATTCCAAGTATTTTAATAGAAGATAAAACATGGATTACCAGTGCAATACTGAAGATAAAGAACAATAAAAGCAATGGCTACTGAGAGGTAGAAATGTTCCCATCAGCAGCAAATATTTCAACAACAATGTTTTGGGGGGATCTTCAAGGCATTTTGTTTGCTGACTTTCTGGAAGGCCAGAGAATAACATTTACTTATTATAAGTGTGTTTTGAGAAACTTAGCCTAAGACTAAGCAGAAAAATGCCCAGGAAAGCTTCACTAGAGGGTCCTTCTTCACCGTGACAATGCTTCTGTTCATTCTTCTAATCAAATAAGGGCAATTCTGTGAGAAGAGAAATAACTGGACATCCACCTTACAGTTTTGGCTTGGATTTTTCTGACTTCTTTTTCCCCTAATTTTAAAAACTCTTTAGAATGTAAATTTTTGTTCAGTTAGTAATGCTAAAAAGAGTGTATAACTATGGTTAAATTCCCACGATTCTCAGTTCTTTAGGGATAGACTAAATGATTTGTATCATCACTTAACAAAAATGTCTTGAGCTTGAAGGAATTTTTATTGAGAAAGTTTATATTTTTTATTTTTATTATTAATATTTAATTCCATTTTCTATGATTTTTTGACATCCCCTGTTGTTGAAAAATTTTGCATCCATGTTCATAAAAATATTGGCCTATAATTTTTATTTGTTATAATATACTTGTCTGGCTTTTGTATCAGAGTAATGCTGGCCTCATTGAAAGAGTTTGGAAGTATTCTCTTCTCTTTGATTTTTTTTTGGAAGAGTTTGAGAAGCAGTGGTATGAATTTTTCTTTAAAAGTTTGGTAGAATTCAGTAGTGAAGCCATCAGGTCCAGGGCTATCCTTTAATGAGAAACTTTTTGCTACTGTCAATCTCTGTACTCATTATTAGTCTGCTCAGATTTTCTATTTCTTTTTGATTTAGTCTTGAGTAGGTGTATGTGTCTAGGAATTTATCCATTTTTTCTAGGTAATCCAATTTATTGACATATAATTGTTCATAGTAGTCCCTTATGATCTTTTTTATTTCTGTGGTATCAGTTGTAATGTACCCTCTTTTATTTATGATTTTATTCATTTGAAATTTCTTTTTCTCCTAGTGTAGGTAAAGGTTTATTAATTTTGTTTATCCTTTTGAAATATTAACTCAGTTTTGTTTATGGTTTGTATTATTTTCCTATTCTCTATTTCAGTTATTTCTGCTATGATCTTTATTATTTCTTTTCTTTTCCTAACTTCCAGCTTAGTTTATTCTTGATTTTTCTATGTCCTTGAGAAATATTGTTAAATTTTATTTCATATTTTTCTTCTTCTTGAGGTAGGCATTGATTGGATAAATGTTCCTTTTATAACAGATTTTCCTCCACCCCAATAGATTTGGTATGTAGTGTTTCCATTTTAATTTTTATCAAGTTTAAAAAAATATTTTACTTTTGTGGATACATAGTAGGTTTGTATATTTATGGGATACATAAAATGTTTTGATACAGGCATGGAATGACATAATGTAAAATGGGGTATCCATCTCCTCCAGTATTTATCCTTTGTGTTACAGACAGTCCAATTATACTCTTTTAGTCATTTAAAAATGTAAAATTAAATTATTATTTACTGTAGTCACTTTGTTGTGCTATCATATAGTAGGTCTTATTCATTTGTTCTATTTTTGTTTTTTACGAATTAATGATCCTCAACTTCCCCACAACACTCTATTCCCTTCCTAGCCTCTGTTAACCATCCTTCTACTCTCTGTCTCCATGAGCTCAATTGTTCTGATTTTTAGATTTCACAAATAAGTGAGAACATGTGATGTTTGTCATGTGCTGAGCTTCTTATATATTCTGGATATCCTTTGTCAGAGGGGTAGTTTACAAATATTTTCTCCCATCCTTGAGGTTGTCTCTTCACTCTATACTGATTATATTCTTTGCTGTGCAGAAGCTTTTTAACTTAATGTGATCCCATTTGTCCATGTTTGCTTTGGTTGCCTGTACTTGTGGGGTATTACTCAAAAATCTTTGCCCAGACCAATGTCCTGAAGAGTTTCCCCAATGTTTTCTTGTAGCAGTTTCATAGTTTGAGGTCTTAGATTTAAGTCTTTAATCCATTTTGATTTGGTTTTTGTATATAGTGAGGGATAGGGGTCTAGTTTCATTATCTTGCCTATGAATATCCAGTTTTTCAGCACCATTTATTGGAGACTGTCTTTTCCTCAGTGTATGTTCTTGGCACCTTTGTCAAAAATGAGTTCATTGTAGGTGTGTGGATTTGATTCTGGGTTCTCTATTCTGTTCCATTGGTCTATGTGTTTATGTGTCTGTTTTTACTCCAGTATCATGCTGTTTTGGTTACTATAGCTCTGTAGCATAGACTGAAGTCAGGTAATGTGATTCTTCCAGTTTTGTTCTTTTTACTTAGAATAGCTTTGGCTATTCTGGGTCCTTTGTGGTTCCATATACATTTTAGGATTTTTTTCAATTTCTGTGAAGAATGTCATAGGTGTATTGATAGGAATTGTACTGAATCTGTAGATTGCTTTGGGTAATATGGGCATGTTAACAATATTTATTTTCCCAGTTCATGAACATGGAATATCTTTCAATTTTTTGGTGTACTCTTCATTTTCCTTCATCAGTGTTTATAGTTTTAATTATAGAGATCTTTCACTTCTTTGGTTAATTCCTAGGCATTTAATTTTATTTGTGGCTATTGTAAATGGTATTACTCTTTCTATTTCTTTTTCACATTGTTCAGTGTTGGCATATAAAAATGCTACTGATTTTTGTATGTTGATTTTGTATACTGCAAGTTTACTTAATTTATCAGTTCTAATAGTTTTTTTGTGGAGTCTAGGTTTTTCCAAATGTAAGATCACATCATATGCAAGCAAGGATAATTTGATTTCCTCCTTTCCAATTTGGATGCCCACTATTTCTTTTTCATGTCTGATTGCTCTAGCTAGGACTCTCAGTACTATGTTGAATAACAGTGGTGACAGCGGCATCTTTGTCATGTTCCAGATCTTAGAGAAAAGGCTTTCAGTTTTTTCCATTCAGTTTCCCACTAGCTGCGGGTCTGTTGTCTATGGCTTTTATTATGTTGAGTTATGTTCCTTCTATACTCAATGTTTTAATGTTTTCTATCATGAGGTGATGTTGAATTTTATCAAAAGCTTTTTCAGTATCAATTGAAATATATGATTTTTATCCATCATTCTGTTGATATGATGTATCACATTGATTGACTTGCATATATTGAACCATCCTTGCATCCCAGGGATAAATCTTAGTTATAATAAATGATATTTTAAATGTATTGTTGAATTTGATTTGCTAGTATTTTGTCAAGGATTTTCCTATCAATATTCATCAGAGGTATTTTCTTGTATTTTTTTTTTTAGTGTGTCTCTGTCTGGTTTTGGTATCAGGATAATACTGGCCTTGTAGAATGCATTTGGAAGTCTTCCCTTGTCTTCCATTTTTCTGAATAGTTTGAGTAGGATTGTTATTAATTTTTTTTACATGTTTGGAATAGTTCAGCAGTAAAGCTATTGGGTTCTGGGCTTTTCTTTACTGGGAGACATTTTACTATGGCATTAATCCCATTATTTGTTTGATCTGTTCAGAGTCTGAATTTCTTCATGGTTCAGTCATAGTAGGTTGCATCTTTCTAGGAATTTGTCCATTTTTTTCTAGATTTTCTGATTTATTGGCATATAGTTACTCATAGTGGGCACTAAGGATCCTTAGAATTTCTGAGCTATCAGTTATAATATCTTTTTTTAATCTCTGATTTTATGTACTTAGATCTCCCATTTTTTAAAATTGTCTAGCTAAAGGTTTGTCAATTTTGTTTAACTTTTCAAAAAACCAACTTTTTGTTTCTTTGATCTTTTGTATTGTCTTTTTTTCATTTCATTTATTTTTGCTCTGATTTTTATGTTTATTTTCTTCTGCTAATTTTGGATTTGGTTTGCTCTTCCTTTTCTAGTGCTTTAAGATGCATTGCTAGATTGTTTATTTGAAAATTTTCTTCCTTTTTGATGTATGCACTTGTAGCTATAAACTTCCCTCTTAGTACTGCTTTTGCTGTATCTGATAGGTTTTGGCATGCTGTATTTCAATTATTTGTTTTAAGAAATTTTTCAATTTCCTTTTTAATCTCTTCATAGACCCACTGGTGACTGGGGAGCATATTGTCTAATTTTCATGTATTTTTATAGTTTCCAAAATTCCTCTCGTTATTAGTTTCTAGTTTTATTCCATTGAGGTCAGAGAAGATACTTGATATTATTTCAATTTTTTAAAATGTTTTGTGGGCTAACATATGGTCTTTCCTTGAGAATAATCCATGTGCTGAGGAAAAGAATGTGTATTCTGCAGCTCTTGGTTTGAATGATCTGTAAATATCTATTAGATCCATTTGGTCTATAATGCAGATTTAGTCTTATTTTGTTGTTGTTGTTGATTTTCTGTTTGGAAGATCTGTCCATTGCTGAAATTGAGGTGTTGAAGTCTCCAGCTATTATTGTATTGGGGCCTATCTCTCTCTTTAGCTCTAATAAAATTTGCTCTATATATCTTGGTGCTCCAGCTTTGGGTGCATATATATTTAAAATTGTTGTATCCTCTTGAAGAATTGGACCCGTTATCATTATACAGTGACCTTCTTGGTCTTTTCTTACACATTTTGTCTTAAAGTCTATTTTGCTGAATACCAGTGTAGTGACTTCTGCTCTTTTTTGGTTTCCATTGGCATGGAATATCTTTTCCATACCTTTATTTTTGGTCTAGGTGTGTCTTTATAGGTGAAGTGTATATCTTGTAGGCAATAGATCTTTCAGTCATGGTTTTTAATCCACTCAGTTACTCTATGTCTTTTGATTAGAGAGTTTAGTTCATTTACATTTAATGTTGTTATTGATAAGTAAGGACCTACTCCTGCCATTTTGTTGTTTTCTGGCTGTTTTGTGGTCTTCTCTTCCTTCTTTCCTTCCTTCCTGTTTTCCTTTCAGTGAAGGTGATTCTTTCTGGTGACATGATTTAGTCTTTTGCTTTTTATTTTGTTCTGTACTCATATGTTTTTTGCCTTGAGGTGACCACAAGGCTTGCCAATGCTATCTTGTAACCCATTATTTTAATCTGATAATGACTTAACACTGTTTGCATAAACAAGAAAACAAACAAGCAAAGGATCTACACCTTAACTTTGTTCCCCTGTTTTTTAACTTTTTGTTGTTTCTATTTATATCTTATCATACTGTCTATATCTTGAAAAGTTATAGTTCTCATTTCCAATTGGTTTTTTAGTCTATTTAAGATAAGTTTACACACCACAGTTTCAGTGTTCTAATATCCTCTCTTTTTTTTGACCACTTACTATTGCCAGTGAGTTTTGTATCTTCACATGATTTCTTATTGTTCATTAACATCCTTTTCTTTCTGATTGAAGTACTATGCCCTTTATCATTTGTATTAGGACAGTTCTGGTGTTATTAAAATTTCTCAGATTCTGTTTGCCTGGAAAAGTCTTTATTTCTTTTTTACATTTGAAGGATATTTTCACTGGATATACTATTCTAGGGTAAAAGCTTTTTTCCTTCGGTACTTTAAATATGTCATGCCACTCTCTCCTGTCATGGAAGGTTTCTACTGAGAAGTCTGCTATCAGGCATATTGGAGCTCCATTATGTCATTTGTTTCTTTCGTCTTGCTGCTTTTAGAATCCTTGCTTTATCTTAGACCCTTGGGAGTTTAAGGGATTATAAAATGCCTTGAGGCAGTTTCCTTTGACTTAAATCTGCTCGTTGTTGTCTAATCTTCTCATACTTGGATATTGACATTGTTCTCTAGGTTTGGGAAGTTCTCGATTATCCCTTTGAATAAACTTTCTACCCCTATCTCTTTCTCTACCTCCTCTTTAAGGCCAATAACTCTTAGATTTGCTTTTTTGAGGCTATTTTCTATAATGGATCCTGTAGGCCTGCTTCTTTTTTTAATTCTTTTTCTTTTGCCTCCTCTGACTGTGTATTTTCAAATAGCTTCTCTTCAAACTCACTGATTCTTTTTTTTGCTCGATCAGTTTTTACTAAAAGACTAAAAGATGCATTCTTCAGTAGGTCAATTGCATTTTTCAGCTCCAGAATTTCTGCTTGATTCTTTTTAATTATTTGAATCTCTTTGTTGTAATAAATTTGTCTGATGGAACTCTGAATTCCTTCTCTGTGTTCTCTTGAATTTCTTTGAGTTTCTTCAAATAGTTATTTTGAGTTCTCTGTATAAAAGGTCACATATCTCTGTTTCTCCAGGATTTGTTCCTGGTGCCTTATTTAGTTTATTTGGGGAGGTCCTGTTTTCCTGGATGATCTTGATACTTGCATATGTTCATCTGTGTTTGGGCATTGAAAAGTTAGGTATTTATTGTAGGCTACTCAGTCTGGGCTTGTTTGTACCATTCATTCTTGGGAAGGTTTTCCAGATATTCTAAAGAACTTCGGTATTGTAATCTAAGCTGTACCTGCTTCAGGGACCCATTAATACTGTAGCTCTTGCAGACTCATAGAGGTACCACCTTGATGGTTTTGGACAAGATTGAGAGAATTCTCTGGATTAAAAGGTAGAGACTTTTGTTGCTTCCTTTAATTTCTTCCAATTAAAGTATCTCTTTCTGTTCTGAGCCAGCTGGAGCTAGGGGTGGAGCATTCCTCTGGACATCACCAGTACAACTGTGCTGTGTCAGACCTGAAGCCAGCACAGCACTGAGCCTCATCCAATATTTTCAGTAACTACTCTCTGGCTTCCACCTATGTTTGCTCAATGCCCTGGGACTCTACAATCAGCAAGTGGCATAGCCAGCCAGATCTTTGTCCTTCCCTTCAGGGTGGTGAGTTTCCCTAGACTCCAGGAAAGTTCAGAGGTGCTGTTTTGGAGCCAGGGACTAAAGTCAAAAATGTTACAAGTCCACCTGGTGTACTATTGCACTGTGACTGAACTGAGACTCAAATCACAAGACACAGTCCTTCTAACTCTTCTCTCCCCTTTGCAAGGGCAGAGGAGCCTCATTCCATGGCTACCCCACCACAGGCACACAGGGAGTACTGCAGGAATACCGCCAGTGTTTCCTTAAGGTCCAAGGGCTCTCCCGTCAGCTTGTGGTGAATGCTACCTGGCCTGGGATTTATCCTTCAGGGCAATGCCCCCTGACTGCCTCAGGGCAGATCCAAAAATGCTATCCAAGATGCAAGTCCTGGAACTGGGGACTCCAGGAGCCCACCTGACGCTTTACCTGCTGTGGTTGAGCTGGTACCTAAGGTGCATGACAAAGTCCTTTTTACTTTTCCCTCCACATTTCTCAAGCAGACAAAATCTCATCCTATAGTCACCACAGCTGGCAATGTGCTGAGTTTCAACTGAAGCCAGGAGGTCTCAGAGGTTCACCCAAGGCCTTCAATGTAGTACCTGGTATCACTGCTGATTATTCAGGGTCCAAAGGCTCTTCAGTTAGAAGGTGATGAATCCTGCCAGAACTGGATCCTTCCCTTAAGGTGGCGGATTCCCTTAGGGTCCACAGTGTCTCTAGAAATGCCATCAGGAGCCATGACCTGGAAAGGGGGCCTCACGACTTTGACCAGTGTTCTATCCTGCTGTGGATGAACTGGTATCCAAGATGCAAGACAAAGCCCTCCCAACTATTTTCTTTCCTAAAGCGGAGGGAGGGGGTCTCTTTTGGAACCATGAGCTGTGATTTATCCCATAGAGTAGTCCATATGGGAAGAATCTGAGGTTGGCCTTCTTTTAACAGCCAGGAAGAAACTGAAGGCTCTTGCAAAACAGAATCTTTCCAGCAATTCCAGAATAAGTGGATAGTGGATACTTTCCCAGTCAAACTTTGAGATAACTGCAGTCCTAGCTGGCACCTTGATTCCTGCTTGTGAGAGACTGTAAATTGGAGGATCCAGTTAAGTGGTATATTACTTCCTGATTTACAAAGATTAAGATAATAACTGTTAATGTTTTTAGACACTAGTATTAGGGTAATGTGTTACACAGTGATAAAGAACTACTTCAGCCAGGCATGGTGGCTCACGCTTGTAATCCTAGCACTTTAGGAGGCTGAGGCAGGTGGATCACCTGAGGCCAGGAGTTTGAGACCACCCTGTCCAACATGGTGAAACCCTGTCTCTACTAAAAATACAAAAATTAGCCAGGTGTGGTGGTGGGTGCCTGTAATCCCAGCTACTCAGGGTGCTGAGTCAGGAGAATCGCTTGAAACCGGGAGGTGGAGGTTGCAGTGAGCTGAGATCGCGCCACTGCACTCCAGCCTGAGCAACAGAGTGATACTCTGTCTTAAAAAAAAAAAAAAAAAAAAAAGAACTACTTCAACTTTACTGCACAATATTTATATGAAAATATTACTTTTAAAATTAGAAAATAATGCTTTTGACATAGAAGAGACAATGTGATTTTAAAGATAATACACTTTAGTAAAATCCATTTGTTGTAATCCACTTATGCTGCAATCCACTTATGCTGCTGTAACGAAATGCCACTAACTGGGAAATTTGTACATATTAACAAGAGAAATTTATTTCTCATAGTTCTGGAAGCTGAGAAATCCAACAAGATCAAGGTGCTTGTTGGTGAGGGCCCAGTCTCTGTTTTCTCAGATGGCACCTTGTTGCTCCATCTTCTGGAGGGGAGGAATGCTGTGTCCTTACATGGTGGAAGGGACAGAAGGGGCAAAAAGGGACCACATTCCCTCTGTCAAGCCCTTTTATTATGGTATTAATCCATTCATGAGAGGGGCACCTTCATGACCTAAATGCCTCTCAAAAGCCCCCACCTTTAAACACTGTTGCATTGGGGATTAAGTTTTCAACACATGAATTTTGGGGAACACATTCAGACTGTAGCATTCTGCTCTTAGCCCCCAAAATGAATGTTCTTATCACATGCAAAATACATTTATTCCATCTCAATAGCTCCAACAGTTTTTTTTTTTTTTTGAGATGGTGTCTCACTTTGTCACCCAGGCTGGAGTGCAGCGGCATGATCTTGGCTCACTGCAACCTCTGCTTCCCAGGTTCAAGCGATTCTCCTGTCTCAGCCTCTCTAGTAGCTGGGACTAGAGGCGTGCACCACCATACCCAGCTAATTTTTGTATTTTTAGTAGAGACGGGGTTTCACCATATTTTCCAGGCTGGTCTCGAATTCTTGATCTCAGGCATTCTGCCTGCCTCAGCCTCCCAAAGTGCTGGGATTACAGGCATGAGCCACCGTGCTGGCCCAAAAGTTTTAACTCATTAAGATATCAACTCAAAAGTCTAAGGTTCAGAGTCTCATTTTAATCAGAAATGAGTAAGACTCAAGGCATGATTCAGCCTGAGGAAAATTTACTTGCAGCTGTGAGCCTGTTTAAATTAAACAAGTTACCTGCCTTCAAAATACAATAGTGGGACAGGCATAGGATAGACATTCCCATTCCAAAAGAGAGAAATAGGCAAGAAGAAAGTGGTAGCAAGTCCCAAGTAAGTCCAAAGCTCAATAGGACAAACACAATAAAATCTTAAGGCTTGAGAATAATCTTTTTGACTCCATTTCCTGCCTTGTGGATACACTGGTGTGGGGGGTTGGGCCTCCAAGGACTTGGGAAGTCCCATCTCTCTGACTTTGCTGGGTGCAGCCCATATTTCAGCTCTCACACACTGAAGGTGCATTCCTGCAGCTTCCCAGGCTGATGCTGTACACTGGTGACTACAGTGCTGGAGGCCTGAGGGTGACCCAATCCCCACAGCTACACTAGACATTGCCTAGTGGGGACTCTCTAGAGTGGCCTCATCCATTGCTCCATTAGACATTGCCCTAGCAGAGACCCTCTGCAGTGGCCCTAACTCTATGGCTCTGCTAGGCATTGCCCTAGTGGGGACTTTATTCAGCACCCCTGGCTCTGTGACAGTTCTCTGCCTGGGCACCAAGGATCTCTGAGGCATCCTTTGAGATACAGGTGCAGACAGCCATGCTCCCACAGCTCACACACTGTGTGCACCTACAGAATTAGCACCATGTGGAGGCTGCCAGATTTTACTATGTGCATCCTCCAGACAAGTGGTTCAAGCTCCACCCGGGCCCATTTGTGTCATAGCTGAGGTGGTCATGGAGCACTGCACCAGAATGCAGGGAGTGGAGATTTGAGGTGGCCCTGGGTATCCAGCCCTGAGGTCCCATGGGTGTCCTAGGCTTCTCCCTTAAAACCATTCTGCCTTCAAAACCCTGGCACTCTGGGCCTATGATGAGAAAAGCAGCTTCAAAGATCTCCAAAATGCTTTTAGAGTCATTTACGAATTTGTATAGGAATTTTCCACTGTCTCAATGGATAGCATCTTGCTTCCTTCTATCCTTGCTATTCTCCTTATCAAGCATTTCATTTGGTCATACCCTTGGTATTTTCTCCCAAATAAGCCTTTTTTTCTTTATATGGCCAGGCTGAGAATTTTCCAAATCTTTATGTCCTGCTTCCCTATTGATTATATATTTCACCTTTAACTCATTTTTCTCCTCTGGCATTTTACTACAACAGACCAGAAGAAGACACATAGCACCTTCAATACTTTGCTGCTTTGTGATTTATTCCAGCACAAATCCTAGTTTATCACTCTCCAGTTTTGCCTTCCACAAAGTCCTAGCTTACAGACAAAATTCAGTCAAATTCTTTGCCACTTTAGAGCAAGGATGGCTTTTCCTCTAGTTTCTAATACCTTGTTTCTCATTTCCATCTGAGACCTCATCAGAATAGTGTTTACTATCCTTATTTCTACCAGCAATTTGTTTATGACAATTTAAGTACTATCTATGAAGAACGAGATTTTTTCCTACCTCTCTTCTCTTTCGAACTCTCACTAGAATGTTTTTAATGCTCCATTTACAAATTTTCTAGCTTGTATATTTTTCACTTCAAAACTGTTCTAACCTCTACCCATTACCCAGTCTCAAAGCTGCTCCCCCAGTTTTAGGCACTTGTTATACAACACCCCACTTATCTGGTACCAATTTCTCTTAGTCCCTTAGTGCTTCTATAACAAAATATCAGATACTGGGTAATTTATAAAGAACAGAAATTAATTTTTTTCACAGTTCTCGAGGCTGGGAAGTGCAAGATCAAGACTGGAAGGTCTGGGTGTCTGGTGAGGGCTGTTCTCTGCTTCCAAGATAATGCCTTGTTGCTGCAGCTTCTGAGTGGGAGAAATACTGTGTCCTCATTTAGCAGAAGGGATGAAAGGAGTGATAAAAGGAGCAAACTGTCTCTATTACAAGCCCTTTTATAACGGCATTAACCCATTCTTGAGGGCTGCCCTCATGACCTAAACAGCTCCAAAATGTCTCCCCCTCTCCAAGATTATTGCACTGGGTATTGAGTCTCCAACATGTGAATTTGGGGAGGACACATTCAGGTCATAGTGATATAGGAGTTAAGAAGAAATTATTAGGCAGGCGGATCACGAGGTCAGGCGATTGAGACCATCCTGCCTAACACGGTGAAACCCCATCTCTACTAAAAAATACAAAAAATGAGCCGGGCATGGTGGCGGGCGCCTGTAGTCCCAGCTACTTGGGAGGCCGAGGCAGGAGAATGGCGTGAACCTGGGAGGTGGAGGTTGCAGTGAGCCAAGATCGCGCCACTGCACTCCAGCCTGGGTGACAGAGCGAGACTCCGTTGCAAAAAAAAAAAAAAAAAAAGAAAAGAAAAAGAAGAAATTATTTAGGCAAATAGTAACGGTAAGGAAGTCCTCAGTAAGATTTTCCTTTTAACAAATAGCAGCCCCAGATCATTTTCTTTTCTAACAGAGAGCAGCCTGTAAAATCGAAATGCAAACATAAAAAGGAAAGCTAGAAGCTTGCACAGGTGAATGCTGTCAGATGTGCCAATAGGAAAGGGGCTACCTGGGGACTAAGCATGTTCAAAATGGTGGCTCCATCTTCCCCTTTCCTTGTCGGCCACGTGCACAGTAAGGAGCAGGCAACATAGCACTGGCCAAGTAGAGAATCCATTTGCATAATAAAAGATTAGGGTGGGGTGGCTAGCTTCCCAGTGCATTATGTAAACATCACACCTGGTCCAACCAATCTTTGGGCCCTATGTAAATCAGACACACCAACTCAATCCTGTTTATAAAGCCCTGTGCATTCCGAAGCGGGTCGGAAGTCCCATTCCGGCTTTCCCCTCTCTCATAAGAGAGAGAGCTGTTCTCTTTTCTCTTTCTTTTGCCTATTAAACCTCCGCTCCTAAACCTGCTTCTTGTGTCTGCATACTCAATTTCCTTGGTGCAAGACGGTGAACCTCAGGTATTTACCCCAGACAATGATGCCACTTCAATAAGACAGTTAAAAATTTAAAACAAACAAATTTCAAAGGATAAAAAGCAGATCTGATGTGATACATCTTTAGAAACCATTTCCAACATACTTAATAGAAGTCATGTTGTCATTCTTCATTGGAAATTTGGATGCCATTAAGATGTTTCTTATATTTAAGAATGTCAAAACTGTTCCTTATTTATTGGAAAAATAAACAATAACTCACATATAGATAATGTACACCTTTCTATAAAAGCATGTGGTTATATTTCAGACTCAGATTTACAGCTGTATGGACTTGGAAGTTAGTTTTTGAAATCATATCTTGCAGAAGCAAAATCAAATATATTACATATTTATCTAGAGAAAAACCTATGTTAACATAATGGTTATACATCCACAAATTGATGTTATATAACATTGTAAAAAATGGATATTTATTTGTCCATCAATGATAAACTGGATTAAGAAAATGTGGCACATATACACCATGGAATACTATGTAGCCACAAAAAAGGATGAGTTCATGTCCTTTGTGGGGACGTGGATAAAACTGGAAACTATCATTCTCAGCAAACTATCACAAGGACAGAAAACCAAACACTGCATGTTCTCACTCATAGGTGGGAATTGAACAATGAGAACACTTGGATACAGGGTGGGGAACATCACACACCAGGGCCTGTTGGGGGCTGGGGGGCTGGGGGAAGGATAGCATTAGGAGAAATACCAAATGTAAATGACGAGTTGATGGGTGCAGCAAACCTACATGGCACGTGTATACCTATGTATCAAACCTGCACGTTGTGCACATGTACCCTAGAACTTAAAGTATAATAATAATAATAAGAAGAAGAAATTAAAAAAAACCCGGGATATTTATGAAATTCTGCATTTTTTCAGGTTGTATTAGTAACCAAAGCAGTTGACCTCTGGGAATTGAATAATTGAGAACTGCTCAAAGGACCTCAACTATACAAGTATTTATAAAATATGTACAATAATACTTCAAATATACCTATCTCATGTTTTTGAGGACTTTTAATTTTTTTATCTGAATTCTTCCAGAATAGAATAGAAATAAATCTTCACACTCCATTAGAAAACATTCCTGGTGTGGTAATTATGTCTCAGTCTCTCAGATTGTGGTTTTATAATCTATTATTCAATGATCATTTATTATTAAATATTCAGCTAATGGATATGCCACAGAAAACTTATAGTAAAGTAAGTGTATTTTAATCTATTTAATAAAAATATTCCATGGCTTTAATTTAAACGTATATCTGAA
Organism: Homo sapiens; assembly: GCF_000001405.40. Taxonomy (NCBI): domain Eukaryota; kingdom Metazoa; phylum Chordata; class Mammalia; order Primates; family Hominidae; genus Homo; species Homo sapiens. Next base: position 215,428 of record NT_187577.1, read on the forward strand.
AATCTAGAATACATTTCTTTTTTAAAGTGAAAACTGTAACAGCATGCAATGATCTTCCTTATATGTATCCAATTTTGTTTTAAAATGAAACCGCCATTCAGTAAGCACACGAGTTAGTATTTAAGAAAGACAAGAAAATAATGGATTGTCAATCTATCTTCCTTAATTTCAGTGAAGTATTTATCATTTGTAGAATTTACTCTCAGGAGGACTATATTCATTGCAATTGGTAAAGACTGCCATGAATAACTACTTAGACACATACATGAAGGTATTTGCTTATGGTTTCCGGATATCTGGATATTTGGTGAGCCTCATAAGTTCGTAATATCCAAGAACTTTTCTTTTTTTCATAAGTTCAAGAAAGGGCCAAGAGTCTCACGGGCTTCTTACGTGTTGCTGGATGCTCAGGAGGAGGCTGTGAGGATGAAGGCATCCTTTCCATTCAGTTTACTGCTGGTGTCTCTCATTTCAGAAATGCTTTCTGTAAGAATATGTCCAATCCTATCTTTAAGTGATGAAAATCTAAGGTAAGCTTTTCAGATCCCAGTCTTTTATGTTTCTATCAGTTTTCTAATTTTTTCTGTCTGTAAGTTAATGGTGATAGAAGATTCCGTTCATGGGAGCTGAATATTTAGCTAATGTAGAAGTAGCTTCTTCATAACATTTAATGGAGTCAAACATATTTGGTATAAATTTTAACTTCTTTGAAGAAATCCTGAAATACCCAATTGGATTTTAGGATGGATTTTCCTATTTTTGCAAAAAACAAAAATAGTAAACAAAAACCAAAACCCCAAAAAACAAACAAAAAAAGACAAACAACAACAAAACCACTTGGGATTTGGATAGGGACTGTATTGAACCTGTAGATAGTTTTTGGTAGTACTGTCACCTTAACAATATTAAATCTTCCAATCTGTGAACATGAGATGTTTCCATGTCTTTATGTTTTCTTTATTTACTGACGTGTTCTCTGTGGACACAGATGAAGAGAGATTTCACACCCAACATTATAACCAGCTAGTGCTGGTCTACAATACATTTCAGCTAGAATGACAGCTATTTGCATGCAGTAGGTTAACTCCAGGAGGAATTAAAGAGAGGAATTTTGTTTTTTCCAGCCACTGCATTTGCAAGTCTCTCTCTCTCCAATTTATTGGCCTAGCCATGCAGGTTCACTTTCCTGAATCCAGATGAACTGCCTAGATCCTTTGTCTAGCCCTGCCAACCTCAGGCATACATATGCCTTCTCCAAAGACAGACAACAGGTGCAAAAATGTGTTTTCTGAACAGGCATTGTGGAATCATGGATAATTAGCTGCTGAAGAATTTGCTTTCTGCATAAACCAAATTAGAATTAGCTAAAGTGATAACACCCTTTCTGCTTTATGGATATAACATAAAGAGGGACCCATTGCAATCTATCTGTCAGTGATAGTATGGGTCAATAATTTTAGGAAACAGAGGATGCCTGGAGCAAGAACTAATTTGTAGCTAACTTCACACTCATGAGCTACTTGAAGGTGTTCTCAAGCTGCCATAGGAACCATCTTGGCTGGGCCCCACAAAAGGCAATATTCTTTTCTTCATGCACATTTTATTCACTCCTTTTCTTCATTGTTTTCAGTGTGTTTGTCGTGTCAGAGAGCCTATAGGTTTTGTCTGCCCATCAACCGTATTGTTCAAGGTCAATATATTCTAGAAATGTGGTGGGCATCCATATAGGAAATTAGTTTTTCAATTCTATTAGAAATGTCAGAAACTTGAATGTATAGGAATTAGGCCAGCTCAATGCTGATCAAATTTCTCCAACCATTAGAATGCCAGACAGGTTAGCTAAACTATTAGGCACAGACAAGTAACAGAAATTATAAGGAGCAGCCTGATGGAACTTTAGCATCCAGGTACATTTCATGAGTACTGTCTTCAGTTCTGCCTACTTGACTAGGCTCCTTCACCTTTCTCTTTAAATCTATGTCAACAGACTGTATTCTATGTGCTTGCCATCCTTACGCATTTGGACATGAGGGTGATGGAGCCAGCCATAAATCATATAGCAGCTTTAAGGTCCTAGAAAAGCATTTCATAAGAGGTGAGGTCCCAGGATACCAGCGATTTCTTTATGGAGAGATAAACCTCATGCATCATTTCAACATCACTCTCATTTCCCTGTACAACTTTAGGGGTTTTCAGGTTGCACGTGACCTAATTCAGGTTAGGCATCTTGGGTTGTGGAAAGACTCGGTGAAATTTGTTTGCCACTCTAGCAACATCTAGCAACAAAAATTCAAAGTTTGTATACATTATGGCAGGTTCGGGGGGACTGTACCTTTTTACCACCTAAAAGACCTGTTAAAACACCATACCACCTCATCCTCAAAGAATGACACCTGAAGAATCATATCTAAACCTGGTTGATAAGGACCCGAAGGACTAGAAGACATTATTGCAGGCAGAATTCTAAAGATATTCCTTCAAAATTCCTGTTCCCTAGTTAAAACTAGGTATTTCTGTGAGGGAACTTTGTAAATGTAATTAAGGTTGATAATCAGTAGACATTAAGATAGGGACATTATCTTGAGTAAATGCTATAATTCTAAGGTAACCACTAAAAAATTTAAAAACTACATAGCTGTCATGTCAATAAAGTAGGAAAATAAAATAATAATGATCAATCCAAAAGAAGGCAAGAAAGGAGAGGAAAAATAGGACAGGGCAAATGGAAAGTTAATGGTAATTACGATCCAACTATATCAATAATTCCTTAATATTAAATTGACTGGTTCACTTAATATATAGTGATTATCAATATAATTGAAAACATATAAACTCAATTACATGCTTATTCTTTAAAATTGGTGAAATATTATAAAACCTAGGACATGATCATTTTGTAAATATTTTGTGGGTGGTTGGGAAGAATGTGTATTCTCTATGGTTGATCTAGAATTGTACAAATGTTTACTAGATCATACTTATTTGAGTCATCCAACTCTCATATATTTTTGTTAAATTTTGCCTGCTTGATCTATAAATAATTATAAGAGATGTGTTTCAATCTCCAATCCTGATGATACTTTTGCCAGCTTTCCCCTATACTCCTATCAATTTTTGTTGATACATTTTAAAGCTATTTAGTTATATAAATACATGTTAGAATGTTTCAAATTGAGAACATTATCATTTTGACATTGCCCCTCTCCATTCTTCCCATCATAGTCATATTGTCTAAAAGTATGCTTCTAGATTATTAGATATATATGTTTTCATTATTTGATGTAGTATTTTTCTCTCACATATAAACAAACTCTGGAAAGATATTTGATTGCTGTTACTGTGACATCATTTAATATAATCTTCTGTTTTCCTTATCATGTGGTTTCTTCTACGAAATGCCTTTCTGATATGTATTTTTACGTCAAATTTTATTTGAATTTATATATTGAAGAGAATTTTAAAACTCATGCCCTCACATTTGAATAATATTTCAGATTTCTTTTCAGTTAACAATTTAATAATATTAACCCATTGATTTCATGTGTTCAGTATGGCTATGAATGTTGATTTGATTCTTGTTCCTTGGTAGGCAACCTGTTCTTTTCCTTTAGAAGATTCTAGGATTTTCTCTTTGTTATCATTTTAAATTTCAGGTGTGTGTGTGTGTGTGTGTGTGTGTGTGTGTGTGTGTGTGTGTGTTTTCCTCTTCAATGCCCAGTTTGCAATCTCTGGGTTCTTTCAATCTAAGGTCATTCTCTAACTTTTTAAATGTACAGAAACTTTTTCCATTATTTCTTTAAATATTTCCTCCTATTTTGATTTTTCTCTTTTTTGGTGGGGAAATGCTATTCTCTAGATACAGGCAGTTCTATTTCTATTTTCCATATAACTTAATTTTATTTTTGCATTCCTACTTTTTTTCTTTCCTTGTTCTTTTCTGTCAGAGTTTGCCAACCTGATATTCCAAATTTCTGCTTCATTAAGCAATTGTATCCATTCTACTATTAATTTCATGTCTTGTGACTTTACTTCTTTGTCTCTTGGTTCTTTTTTTAAATATTTTTGTTATTGTTCTGCTGATAACGTCCCTTAGATTTGCATCCAAGTAATTTCAAAGCGTATTTATAAACACGCTTTCAGATTTTTACTGAAAATTTACAGTTAATGTGGGGATGTGGCTGTATTTTAGTGTATTTAATATGATGTGTGCTAGGACCTGCAAAGGAAAGAGTGCCTATGGACCCCAATAAACTAAACTGTTTCTGCTTCTGCTAGAGGCAGAATTTTAAAAGGTCTGAATAAAGAAGTAAAAGCTAGGGATTGCAGGATTACACAGAATGTAGCAGTAATAGTTTGGGACATTAGAGAAGATTTGTTGGAAGTCCGTCTGAGCAGGGACTGTATGGGCTGTTCGGCATTCAATAGCTGTCCTATAATGGTGTCCCCAGCCATGGAATGTTAAAATCACAGCGTTTGCAACATTTTCTGCAAACATGCATTTTGCCTGGTTCTAGCTAAACTGTTTGCATGGTATATTAATGTAATGGGAAGAAACTTGATTGCTGTCAGTAACCAGAATATGTTTATATTTGTTTCTTTTCTCACTGTAACTGGAAGTTAATTAAAAAAGCGATGGTCTAAGTAAAAGATATAAGCAAAAGCGTCACCAGGCACCACCCTAACCTGAGAATTGACAATTAGGAATCCTTTCTTTTTTAACAATAAACTGACTGGCGTATCAATGCTGAGACGCTTCTCTTGAGTGCTCAGCTGCCTGCCAGCAGCGCGTTACCTACTTCCAATCACCTCCCGCTTCGTCTGTGCGCTTTTCCTCTCCGCAGCCTTCCTGGGCCGCCTCACGCGCGCTCAGCCCTGCGCGAGCTGCGCCTCTCCAGCTCTCAACGTCTCAACTGCTGTTCATCGCCAGGGCTCTAAGACAGCGAGCCATGTTCCTTCTTCTGGTGCTTCTCACTGGACTTGGTGGGATGCATGCAGACCTCAGTAAGTCCAGGAATCCAGGCTTCCGAGGGAGACCTTGTTCACTCTTTCCACGGCCCAGGTCCAGCCCAGACTTTACCCTGGCTCCACGCTCTCCCGCTTTCTCCTGGCCCCTTGCTTCAAGGTCTGTGGCCAAAAAGGCAGAGAGGCAGCCTCCGACAGAAAATCGTTTAACTTCTCTGGGATGGCTTCCTGATGCGGAAAATGAACAAAAATGAAATATGTGGTTTTTTCCACATACAAAATTCTGCTACTCTACGAATAATTGCATCACTGTAAAAAAAGCTATCTATCAAGGATTTACTGATTTGGCAACTGTTATCCTCCACCTGCCCCATTGAAAAGTGCAGATCATCCTTGTATTCAATATTCTATATTTGTCCCTGCAAAACCTTTCTTGATGCATCTGTGTTTTCTCATTTCCACATCTGTTTATAACACTGAATCTGGTACTTAGTGTTAACTTAGCTGTGCCAGTGCCAACTGTGCGTGTGTGTGTGTGTCTGTGTGTGTGTTGAGAGAGGGATTTGCAGGGGAGAATGGGAATAAAAATTTGAGATCTTGACCAGGGGTCAGAAATTTGTAGGTAAGAATGACTAGAAAGACAGTGGAAAGGGCGAGATGTGTAGATTATTTTAAAAATAGCTGCTAATGTAGAGAAACAAATGCAGAATCAGAGTTAGAAATGAATAACATAAGACCACAGGTATCAAAATAACATAGTTTATATTTATTTTTAGATCCTCATAAAATCTTCCTACAGACCACAATTCCAGAGAAGATTTCATCATCGGATGCAAAAACAGATCCAGAACATAATGTAATTTTAATAATATTTTTACTATGAAATGTTGTTCAAGTTACGTTTAATGTCAAGACCAAAGGTGCTGAATGTGGGCAGGATTGCACTTCTTGGAGGCAGAGCTGACAGCTGAGAACAGGTTCACAAGAGGGAGCATTTTGATGTTTACGAATGTGTGAGACTGTGTGTGTGTGTTTCTGTTGATGATGAAGGATTTTAGGGATAAGATCCCTTGGGGCCAAAATGCTAGGTATAGGATCCCCCAAGTTTGAAATTTAAGGAGGTAGCAGAAAACTTGGATCCCCCCAGGACCAGGATTAGGGTGAGGCAAGTGAAATGAATCATGTAACTACAGGATCAGATCCTGTCTGTCTTGAAAATTTTGGTATTTTTTTCATCATGGTGTTTTTTTGCATTGATTTTTAAAAAGGTTGCATTAAGATATGATTTATCTTGATAACTGAGTTTTCTGGTATCCTAGTTCTAGCCCTAGTGATCCCCTAGTGATTTGTCTTAGCTTTTACTAAGTCAGTGAGGATCTGAATAGTGATGACCTCTGGGCAGGCTTATCTGTTAATGATCACATCAATTTCACAGTCCGAGATTGGATGGTAGTGAATGGTCCTTCTCTAATAATTCAGCAGGAGAATACTTCTCACATGGCTTCTTCCAGTATAAGATAATCTATTGTTATTTAGTAATTATAGGCCTCCAAATTTTTTTTTCCGTTTAGTGGTTTCAGAAATCTTTCCTCTCTGTTTCACATAAGGATATACTATTTATATCTTTTCCCCTTCCCCATATACCTTTTCTTTACCTTTTCTTCCTCTAGTAGCTGAGTTTTATTTACCAACATGCTTATCATGCAGCTTTGAACACCCCTCCACGCTGCCTCCCAAGTGAATTACTAGCTATGCTGTGGTGTATGAGCCCTATGACAGCTTCCCTTTCTGATTGGAAAGAAGAGGTGACATTACATCTTTGTTTAATTTCCTTTTTCCTGAGATCAGTAATGCCAACTCTCCCTTTCCATTGTTTATCACTGATAATCTTTGAATTTCTCACATGTCTAATTTCCAGAATTTTTATAAAGGCATTTGTAATATGGAAATTCAGTGTGTTTCTTTTAACTATAATGATTTAAAAATTTACATTGTAATATATTTTAGCAACAGAAAATTATAATTATTGTGGGATGTGATTTTATTTGAATATGTTTGGTATCATATGGGGTAGGACCTGCAAAAGTAAAAGTGCCTAAGGATGTACAGTTATAAGATTTTGTAAATAAAAATACAGAATACCCAGTTAAATGCATGTGTACATAAAGATAAAAGAGAAATACTACATGAGGCTTACTTATACTAAATTATTTGTTGTTCACCTGAAATAAATTATAAGCATCTAAATTACATACTTCCTTCTAAAATTACAGCTTCCTGATGATTTGACTTCCCCTAACAGTTCTCTGTTTTGTAGAATTTGCTTGCAGTTATAGTCTGTTTCATTTAGATCGCAACATAATTTCTACAGTGGTCACACCCAATGTATTTTATTCTTTTTTTCTAGTGAACATTTCCAGTAGTTTTACAGTTTTTGCATTTTACATTTAGGCGTGCGGTCCATTTTGAGTTAATTTTTGTGAGGGATTTAAAGTCTGTGTCTAGATTCTTTTTTATTTTTATTTTTTGCATGTGGCAATACTGTTGTTCTAGTACAATTTTTTTGAAAAGACTGTCTTTTAAAAATATTGTTTTGCCTCTGCTTCTTTGTCAAAGATCCATTGACCATATTTATGTAGATCTATTTCTGGGATCTCTATTTCTTTGAACTGTTTGTCTATGATTTTGCAAACACCACCGTGTTTTGAGGACTGTAAATTTATACTAAATCTTTTATTTTTTTTTGAGACAGGGTCTCACTCTGTTGCCCAGGCTGGAGTGCAGTGGCATGATCTTGGCTCACTGCAACCTCTGCCTCCCAGGTTCAAGTGATTCTCCTGGCTCAGCCTCCTGAGTAGCTGAGATTACAGGTGCCCGCCATCGTGCACAGATAATTTTTGTGTTTTTAGTAGAGACAGGGTTTTGTCATGTTGGCCTGGCTAGTCTTGAACTCCTGACCTCAGGTGGTCCACCTGCCTTGGCCTCCCAAAGTTCTGGAATTACAGGTGTGAGCCACTGCGCCTGGCCTTATACTAAGTCTTGAAGTTGGGTGGTGTCAATTCTCCAACTTTGTTCTTCACCTTCAATATTATATTGGCTATTTTGGGTCTTCTGGCTCTACATATGAAGTTGAGAATCAGTTTGTTGGTATCTATAAAATAGCTTGCTGATATTTTCATTGGGATTACATTGATCTATAGATGACATTGGAAAGAACTGACATCTTGACAATATTGAGTCTTTATATCTATAAACATGGAATATCCCTCCATTTATTTAGTTCTTTTGGAGTTTTTGCATTAGTTTTGTAGTTTTTCTCATAAATATATATTTTGCTATATTTATACCTAAGCATTTCATTTTTCAGGGTGAAATGTAAATGACATTGTGTGTTTCACTTAACTTATTACCTGTTCATTGTTGGTACAAAGGAAAGATAATGAGTTTTTAATATTAACTTCGTATCCTGCAACCTTGCCACAATTGTTTATTTGTTCCAGGGTTTTTTTTTTTTGGTGATTCTTTCAGATTTTCTACATAGACAATCATGTAATCTGTGAATAAGGACACACATTTATTTCTAGCAAATCTGTATCCATTTTATTTCCTTTTTTTGCTTTATTGCATTAGCTAGGACTTTCAGTGTGATATTAAAAAGTACCGGAGAGAAGGGAAGTCCTTTGCCTTGTTCCTGATTTAATAGGAAAACTTTCATGGTTCTCACAGTTAAGAATGACATCAGCCATTAAGACCCTATCTCCAAATATGGTCACATTTTGAGGTGCTGGGGATTAGTATTTCATCTAATGAATTTTTAGGGGGGTTACAATTCAGCTTATATCAGTTGGATATTGTATATGAAAAGATGTGGAGGCTCTGGATAATGTGTCTTTCGAGAGTTTTTTCCTTCTATTGGTTGGTTTTGTACATTTTTGGTTTATTTTAGTTTTTTTGTTTTAGCTTTGTAAGATATGTGGATTTTAAATTTTATTGTTGCTTTCATATTATCCTTTAATTTTAATCTTATTTGTTTAATATCAAAGGATTTTAGAGGGCACAATTTTAAAGGTCCCTTCCAAATTCCACTTATACTTCTTTTCACAATGCCATTCAACCGATTCCTCACAGAACATTTACCTGAATCAAAGTAGCTTGTTATGCTCCAGTATAAAGTTGAGGAATTGAAAACTGTTAAATGCTATTTCTTAAATTAACCAAATACATAATTTAATGACCATTGCATTTTCTGTTATCTTCTATGGTGTTCTCTAGACATGTCTTTAGTCTCCCTGTATTCTCTCCTACATTCTATTCCAGAGGAGTTTGATTGCTCACACAGATAAGTAAAATGCAATGGCTTTTGATGTTATATTGCTAGAAGTATATTACATTTCTTGTACTTATATCTTTTGGGAGGGTCTCTTTCAATGAGCAGGACAATTTACCTTCCAGGAGAGCTCTAGGTAAGCAACCAATGGGTCCTCACAATTAGTTGTGAGTTGATGATGGGGTCTGTCTGAACTGAAAGACAATAATCATCAGATAAGCTTCTCCCTCAGAGGTGTGAGTAATAGTGAATAGCAGGCAAGTGAGTGCTTTATCACTTAGTTCTCAATGCAGAATTCTGAAGCTCCAAGTATCTGTGTGGGAAGGAAAGCCAATATAATGGTTACAGGTTGTTATTAATTTTGTCAATATTTTAAACTCTAATTTGGAGAAGATACACTATTTGGCATGTGTTATTATTGAATTTTTCTAATAATTTTGTTATAGGTTATTTACATGATTACCATAGGGAAAGCCATATTTTGTCCATCTCAAAAAGCAGTAAGTAATTAGTTTGTCCTTTCAAATTTTAATACTTTGGCTTCTTAATTTCTAAAAGTATGTATAAGTAGAATGAATCATTTTGATTCAAATATATTGATGCCTACTCTATACTGGGTACTGAGTAAAGTCCTAGGCATGCAAAAGAGAATAAAACATATTGCACTGTTAAAGAATTTATAATAAAGAAAGATACATTCAGATACCTTAATAGAAAAACAAATAATTTTATTATAATATGGTAATATGATAAATGTGTAAATAGTATTACTTGGAAGTCAGGAAAGGCTTTTATGGAAGAGGTAACAGATTACTTGTATCTTAAGGGAGGAGACAGAGCTATATAAAGTAGAGGGGCAGGACAGGGGGACATTTTTTTTTCTGAGAGAGTCTTGCTCTGTTGCCCGGGCTAGAGTGCAGTGGAGTGATCTCGGTTCACTGCAACCTCTACCTCCTGGGTTCCAGCAATTCTCATGCCTCAGCCTCCCAAATAGCTGGGACTACAGGTGTGCACCACCATGCCTGGCTAATTTTGTGTACTTTTAGTAGAGATGGGGTTTCATCATGTTGCCCAGGCTGGCCTTGAACTCCTGCCCTGAAGCATTTCTCCCTCCTTGGCCTCTCAAAGTGCTGGGATTACAGGCGTGAACCACTGCACCCAGCCAACATTCTGTTTCGAGAAGAAATCATGGTAGAGCACAGAGGTGTGAGACAGAGTGGCTTTTCTGATGTGCATAGTCAATGTGAATTACTGAAGCACAAATTTTCTGAAAAATAGAGGTAAAAGATTCGGGAAAGGTAGGTAGGAGCCAGGCTGTAGAAGATTCAGAATGCCATGGTCAGATATTGGGAGCCAAAAATGGTTTTAAGTATGTACTTATGTAGCCACATTGAGTCTTTTAGGCTGTTTTTGAGGGGACAAATTAGAGTTAAGGTGATCAATTATATCACGATACAGTTTAGGTGAGTAACAGTGGTGGTTTGAATGATGGCACCAGTGATAGCACTTGAAAGAAAAATCGGTGGACCTCAATATAGATTTGGTAGAATGATTAGTAAACAGTGAGGAATTTCAGATAATTTAGTTGTCGCTCAAGAAAATGAATAGGCTATAGCATAATTAACTGAGGAATATGAACAGGGGATATATTTGTGTGAGGAAGGGGTGATTTCGGTTTTTTAGCACATATGAGATATCCAAGTGTGTTTTTTCCTCTAGATCAGGGGTGTCCAATCTTTTGGTTCCCCTGAGCCACACTGGAAGAATTGTTTTGGGCCACATATAAAATACACTTATGGTAGCTGATGAGCTAAAAAAAAATTTAAAAATCTCATAATGTTTTAAGAAAGTTTACAAATTTGCATTGGGCCGCATTCAAAGCCATCCTGGGCCATATGTGGCTAGGAAATTTGAATCTCTGAAAATATTCAATAGGAATATTGGAAAATAGTTTTAGCTATAGGTATATAGATTGAGCAGAAAGCAGTAGCTTGGCTGTGTTTTTTTTTTAATGAGTGCTCTTACGTAGGGTGCTTATAAATAGATCGTGGCTAAAGACTGGACCCTGGGAAACGGCAATGTTTCCTGGGATAGGTTGAACAAAAACAGCAGCCAACATGGAAGATAAAGCTGGAGGGACCAAGGAGGTAGGAAGAATAGCAGAAGAATGAAGTGTTATGTAAATTAAGTGAGGGGACTGAGTGGCCACAGTTTTCAAAAAGAAGCTAGAGGTCCAATGTAACAATGATTTTTTAAAATGCCTTTTGGATTTGGCGTTCTAATATTTGTGGATCTTTTCCAGGGAAGTTTTAGGGATAATAAGAATTGAGAAAGTGAAGGAATTGTGTGTAGACAATTCTTTTGATGAAATCTGTTAAGAATTGAAAAACATGTACATAAGGAATAGCTACAGTAGAACATGGGGTCAAGAAAGAGTTCTTTAGGATAATAATGACTTATTAGTATCATTTTAAATAGCATTATGATAAAAATCCAGTAGAGCATAAGAGTTCAAAATTATAGGATAGAAAAAGTAGTGTCCTCCGTATATGGCACAGGATGGTATCTGTAGCACCAGTGTAAGGGTTTGTTCTGAATGAAAGCAGTAATCTTCTGGCAATAAAGATAAGGAGTGCAGATGGGAACAGGTGATCTGACAGTGAGGGAACATGGGGGTTTTGTGGGATGAGTGACAGGAGTAGTCTCAAGTTTTTGAATAGTTACTGAGGGAAATAAAATTCTGACCGGAGTTATTGAGAAGAAATTGGCCCTTAGCATAGCTTAGCAAATATGAATTTGTAGTGAGAACAAGTAACTCTTTCTACATTTTCTGTTTGTATTAGTCTGTTTTCACACTGCTGATAAAGACATACCCAAGACTGGGCAATTTACAAAAGAAAGAGGTTTATTGGACTTACAGTTCCACATGGCTGGGGAGGCCTCACAATCATGGTGGAAGACGAGGAGCAAGTCACCTCTTACGTGGATGGCAGCAGGCAAAGAGAGAGCTTGTGCAGAGAAACTCCCGTTTTTAAAACCATCAGATCTCATGAGACCCATTGATTATCACAAGAACAGCATGGGAAAGACTCGCCCCCATGATTCAGTCATCTCCCACTGGGTCCCTCCCACAACATGTAGGAATTATGGGAGCCGCAAGATGAGATTTGGGTGGGGACACAGAGCCAAACCGTATCACTGTCCTAACCTTACACTTTAATTTTGAAACTTTGGTATAAAATCTAAAATCAATGAGTGAAATAGACAAAGACTAGAAAGTTCTATGCTGGAAATTGGGACCTATGCTATTTCCTCTTCATGTCTCTAGCAATCTGAGTTGCTCACTTATCTGCATTTTTGTATTGTATGTTATTCTAGTTAAAATGTCTCACTAAGCACCTAATTCAGTTTAAGTGCTAGAAATGCATGGACAATAATAAAACAAGTCGATTAGCACTACTTTAAATTTTTCAGTAAAAAGAAAATTTGTATAAGAATATTTTTTCTACCTTTTTGGTTTCACAACTTGAGCATGTTTTTATTATTTTTGCCTAGATCAATTTTATCTTCAGCTTCTGTTATTAATTCTTATGACGAAAATGACATCCGTCATTCCAAACCTCTGCTAGTTCAGGTAAGAATTAGGTTATTTTTTTCTTATGTATTTGTAATTCTAGATTTCTTTAAAAAGACAAATATTCTATAATAACTAGAATGTTATTTTACATATTCGCTGAAATTGAATAACTTGGGCTGGTGCTTATTTCTACATGGCACAAATTTATTAGGTAATTGCCAATCATATTAAAGTAGAAATGTAGCTAAAGTAATAAATAGTAAATGTAGCTAAAGTAAAAAATAAATAAAAAATATAAAGTAATACATATAAATAAATATAAATAAAATATATGGGGTGTTTATTTTAAAAATAAGTTATCCATTAATTTTTCTTTTTTTTTCCTAGATGGATTGCATTTATAATGGATATGTTGCGGGTATTCCAAATTCTCTTGTGACTCTCAGCGTATGTTCAGGACTCAGGTTGTAGACTACTTAAAGATACTCAATTTGCCAGTATTATATCCTGCTAGCCTATGAATTAATTCTCCATGTATCTGTTCTAATTCTATAATCACCTTTGTTATATTTCAGTTCCTTAAGGACTGAACCAAAATTACTAATAAAATAGTATTGATATTCTAGCAGTATCTGTTCCTGATGAGAGGCTACCTGTTGATACTGACAGGATCTGCTGCTTTAGGCTTTAAGAAAGGTTGAGTGTAGGGAGATTGATTGGTCTCCTCATACTTTTTTAGTTTTCTCAAATTCTGTTATTGTCCAATTTCCTAATGTCCTAGAAAAATTGACAATTGTGGAATGCATGGGACTAATGGACGCTGGCTCTGCAGTCAGTCATTATTAGGCATATGGTACCTTCAATCCAGCCCACACAAACAAATGATTTAGGGTATCAAGTGTCAGAGGAGAGTTAAGTGTATCAAAGAGAAGGAATCAAAGACTAAAGAAGAGACTGCCTAGAGATTCTACAGGCTGGTTAGAAAATATACATAATAGAAAGGGGTTTCAACCTGTTTAAGTGCACAGATCCATGCCACCACCATGCTTTCTTGAAGATAATCACAGATTTGTAATGTAAGGTAATATGTATCCTGTGATATAGTCGTCTAGTTCTGGTGTAAGAAAGACCCCAAAAGATAAAGAGATAAAAGTAAAAAAAAAAAAAGCTAAGGTCACTTTAGATCTTAAAAACTGTGGCCCAAATTTCTCGTTATAATATTATGGTTTTAGACCGGGCGCGGTGGCTCACGCCTGTAATCCCAGCACTTCAGGAGGCCGAGGCGGGCGGATCACGAGGTCAGGAGGTCAAGACCATCCTGGCTAACATGGTGAAACCCCGTCTCTACTAAAAATACAAAAAATTAGCTGGGCGTAATGGCGGGCGCCTGTAGTCCCAGCTACTCGGGAGGCTGAGGCAGGAGAATGGCGTGAACCCGGGAGGCGGAGCTTGCAGTGAGCCGAGATCGCGCCACTGCACTCCAGCCTGGGCGACAGAGCAAGACTCCGTCTCAAAGAAAAAAAAAAAAAAAAAATTATGGTTTTAGTAGAATCATTTCAGACTTGTTTCGATTGTCTTAACACTCAGGGGAACAATGCAGCTGAAAAACATCTCATATGGAATTGAACCGATGGAGGCTGTTATCAGGATTTATACACAAGATTTATGAAGAAAAATATGCTGACACTAATATTCTCTTAGAAGAAAATGACACTTATACTTGGTTTAATTCAGAGTATCAAGTCAGAAAAAGTTCAGAAGTAAGTATTGACTCTTTTATTTTAATTTAGTATAATTTTGTGTAATAAAAAATACTTTCAGAGCCAAGATTTGGTGACTTACAAATCTTAAAACTATTTTACTTCTTCATGAGGGCCCTACATGACTTTTAAAATGGCAAGAGAATAAACTTATGTTTGTCATTATGCTTGCCGTTAGATGAAAGCTTAGCAAAAACTTAATCTTAGAAATATAAAGATATGAATATAGTATAAAAGAAACTGAAACATTAATTTTCATATGTGAACATTTAGATAATTAATGTAAAATATTCTTTTTCTTCAATTACTCAGAAAATTTAGGGGAGAATATCATACAACCTGGATTTCTCAGTTGAGAGTTCAAAAATGGATGAGCAACTTACATAAAGTACATGTAAAGCAAAGTGATGATTTTTTTTCTCTACCAAGACCTATAGACTGCTCTAAATAACATGTCTGGCTCTAGCAAATTGCCATTGGTTGTAAATTTTAATATTTTTCTAGACTACATTGTTTGCCAGAAGTAACTTCCTAGTAATTGGTAGCAGAAAATCTGCTTGCGTGAAAGATTAGTATGAAAATTATCAAAAGGCTAAGAAAAACCAAAGCTGTATGTTATAAACTGAAAACTTCAGTTTCAATTATTATAAAAGTAAAAGATTCCTGAGTTTTTACGTATCTTGAGAAGTCTAATAGAAAAGTCTTACTACCCAGGGCACTTTGAACTGGAATCTTCTGAATAGCACCTAATTTTGTACTTGAAAACAGCCTCGTTATGTAATCAGGAGCAATGTATCTTTCAGTGTATCTCTCAATATAATTTCAGTAGAAGGTAAATTTTTGTAAGCTCCTCATGACTCGTGTGTTTTTCAGAAAACTGACTTTATTAAGTTATTCCCTCGATATATTGAAATGCATATTGTTGTGGACAAAAATTTGGTAAGTCTTACTTTATGCATTGTTATTTTAAAATTAATATATCTCTTTAACTTGATTTCAGTGAGGCAATGGAAATTACCAACCATTCTATTTTACGTTTGCGATGAACACATTCATACAAATTAATCAAGTTTTTGTTATTTTGTATACAGCATCTACTCACTTTTGCAAAGTGAAGCATCTTAATTTCTAAAGCTTGTTGACATTTTTGATTTTTCAAAAAACCTACATCCTCAGTGAAAGGATAGGTTACAACTCCCTTAAGCCCTCAACCCTCATATACAATAATAATATTTAACTGTCTCAGTCTAATTGGAAGGATGGTCTACAAAACAAATATGCCACTTCTTTAAAGCAAAAGGAGAAAACATATTATCACCTGTTTTCTTCTCAGTTCTAGGTAAATGAAACAAAAAGAAAAACCAATGAATAAAATACTCATATTGAGAATTCATGACTATACTTTGGATCTCTTATGAATTTAGGCTCCGAATATTTGTTACCTATGTGGTTAGGATTCTAATCCATGAGGCTACATTTGTCCCAGATTGGTAAAAGCTGAGGGTGCATGATGGAAGCAAATAGTATTTATATCTGGAGGAATGTCACTTCAAGCAGAATACCTCAGGATTCCTACAGATTAATATCAGCCATACATAAATGGGCTTACAATCCGTAAGGAAATAAAACACCATGAACAATGGTTAGCAAAATAAAAAATATATGTATGGCTAATATTCATTTTTTAAAAATATAGTTATGATTGGCAGAACAATAATTTATTTACTTGCCAAGATTTAACATTTCCCTTTGGGGACTTACAAAGTTATAAAGGCAATCCCATGTATAATTAAATCTCCCTGCAAATATGCATTTAAAAGAAGTTTTAATATTCGGTGGTGAACTTTGAGAGGAAAGGTTAGAAACAATAAAAAGTATCTGGTGAGGTAGGAGTGGGGCTAAGTAAGATGAGTAGTCCTCACTTAGTTACTTATTTTTTATGATTTTTAGCTTAAGATCTTCTATTTCTTCACTTTGATATTTTGGACATTTTTCTGGGCTGTCAGGGGTTGCTCCCTCAGTTTTTCAGGCTTTGACTTGAGTGTGATGTATTCAGGAGTTGATTTTTGTAACTTTTACTGCTGAGGGGTTTGAAAGAAGAACAGTGTAGGGCTCTTCCCAGCTTGGCTTATTAAGGAGAGATAAGAGTTTTTACTAATACTAAGTTTCCTGGGTTAAATAAAGATGGTTCCTGTTGGAAGTGAGCTAGAGAGGTTATATGTTTAACCAGTTTAGAGGTTTTCTGCCTGAAAACAATTTTTGAGCACATTGATAAGTTTTATCCTTTTTCAAGTGAAAAGCTTGGTGAAGGATTTTTTTTTTTTTTTTTTTTTTGAGACAGAGTCTCACTCTGTCACCCAGACTGGTGTTCAGTGGCACTGTATTGGCTCACTGGGTTGGCTCACTGGCTCACTGGGTCAACCTCTGTCTCCTGGGTTCAAGCAATTCTCCTGCCTCAGCCTCTTGAGCAGTTGGGATTACAGGTGCCCACCACCACGCTCAGCTATTTTAAAAAAATTTTTAGTAGAGATGGGGTTTCACCATGTCTTGAACTCCTGACCTCAGGTGATCTGCCTGCCTCAGCCTCCCAAAGCGCTGGGATTACAGGCGTGAGCCACCATGCCTGGCCCCTGGTAAAGGATTTTAAGGACTTTCTATTGGCCGGAAGCTGGAAAATGGAGTTTGCCATTCTCTGACCATAGCCATTTTGAAGGCTGAAAAGTATGCCCTTGAGAAGTGGCCTATTTTATTTTTGCAGGGGAATACTGAGGTTAATTTTTCTTATGGAGCGTTCCTAGATTAGAAGGGCTTGAAGCGTGTTAATGCCTTGAAGTTTCCTTGTCGCTGACTTAGCTGTCTGATCAGCTAACCTATATTTTTTGGCTACCTTATCTGTTTCCTTTTGATGTTACTCAGAGTGCATTTTTGCTATTTTTTTGTGATAGAAAAACTGAGGATAATAGCCTGCTAATTTTTTGGTGACATTTTATAGGAGATTTATTGGTGGTAAGAAAATGTGTTTCCTTTTAAATGGCAGCATGAGCATGGAGAGCTATGAAAGCATACTTAGTGTTAGTATAAATGTTAGCTATTTTTCCCTTGCTTAATTCAAGTGCTCTTGTCAGAGCTATTAGTTTAGCTATTTGAGTGCCTGTGCCTGGGGAGAGTGACTACTGTTTATTCAGCCTTACGCACTTCTTGCTTTAACCACTGTTTGTTAGCTAAGAAGAGCTCCCCCTAGAGGACAGTAATCCTGCCACTTTATGTGGCGTGCACATAGTTAAATTATTTCCTAGGGTTAACTTGGAGGCTTTTTTGAATAGTAGAACTATCATGACAATGGCTTGGAAGCATGTGTTAATAGGTCCTCTTAACTGCAAATAAAGTTGAGAAAAATATTGGATTAGAGTTTTCCTTGAGATGCCCCTTACAGTCATGCTATGGGAAGAGGGGAGGCCTGGATTAGAGACGAGAAAAGAGAGAGACTGGCTCTAGTGTTTAGAAGGAGGTCTACTTTCCTTTCTTTAATTTCCAGAATTAGCTGGGGCTCCTGTGCTATAATGGCAGTTTGAGCTGCTGGAGCTGGGGCTTGAGCCCCGGGACCCATTAGTCCTGCTGGACCATCTGTGAGACTGTTTCTGAACCCAGTAACCTCCACCTCTGGGGGCAGTTTCATCTCCAGTGGTTTGTGCCACAAACTAGACAGGTTTGAGGTGGCTTCATCTTGCTGCCTGGGCATTCCTTCTTAAAATGCCCTGGCCTGCCACACTAATAGCAATTAGCCGATGCACCTGGGGGATCCTGGACTTTGCAAGCCTGCTAAGCTGCTGCTAGAGACTTTGTCCTTTTTCTGAGCTTTCTTTCTTTTGGGCCTCCTTCTGGTCCCTATTATAAAAGACTGAAGTGGCCACCTTCAGGAAGTTCTCTAAGGTGCTATTTGGTCCTATAGCTTGCTTCTGTAGTTTTCTTCTAATATTGGGAGCTGCCTGTGTAATAAACTTGTCCTTCAGGATGAGCTGTCCCTTGACTGAATTAGGGGATAAAGAGG
The DNA here is from genome assembly GCF_000001405.40 of Homo sapiens. NCBI lineage: Eukaryota > Metazoa > Chordata > Mammalia > Primates > Hominidae > Homo > Homo sapiens. Next base: position 234,102 of record NT_187577.1, read on the forward strand.
CGTGTTCTATTAGTGCTTCTCTCAGCCTTTCCATAAAGGCTACAAGATTCTCATTTGGCTTTTGGTTTATTATAGATAGTTTAGAGTAATTGAGTGGTTGGTCCTGGTTTTTCATAGGCCTTCTAAAATGCATATTAAAAAGTGCTTTCTTTTCCATCTAGCTCCTGAGCTATTGGGGTTTCAGTTAGAGTTGTCTACTGGAACTGCTTCCCTCCCAATTGGGAATGGTGTTTCTACTACTTTTTCACTTTCCCAATCTGCTTTCTTACCTTTTGGTGTATTATGGGAGATACACATTGTTCATTTTCAAAATTCTCTGCTGCTTGCAGAGCTGCCTGCTTTTCAGCTGCAGTGAGGGTCTGACTTAGGACCAATATGACATTACTTCTTATTTTGGAGAGCTTTTATATACCTATCAGGGTCATCAGAAAATCAGCCTAAGTCTCCCTTTATTTGCTTAAGGTCCTATAATCAGAAGCGAACTTGAAGGGGCCCCAACTAAGGGGGATCCTTAGATGGTTCCCCTGGAAATTGCTTTTTTAATTTTGGGGAACTATTTTCCTTGGGCCTGCCTGATATGATTGCTCAAAGAGCTGGGTTGATCTTACAATGCTTGTAAAGGTTTAGTAAAAATGCTATGCCCTTGTGGAAAAGAAAATGAGTTGCTTTTTTCTTCAATGTTCTGAGGTTAAGGAAGTGCCAGTGTTTCCGAGTGCATTCCAGAGGGGTGCAAGCTGAAGATAATTTGTTACCCATTTAGAAAAAGAAAAGAGAATAAAAGCGTCCTCTTATTCTCCTTCCTTTCCATATGACCCAGAGTGGAGGAGAAGACAGGGAGCATCCTCGGACATTTTTCCTTCCCTGGTTTCTGGATCCTGGCCCCATGTTAAATGTGCCACCCATGGTTGAAGGCATGGTCCTTCAAACCATGGAATCAGATGAGCTAAGCAATGGGACTAACCACGCTTTACCCATGCAACCTTAGCTTCTCTGCCTTGTGTGATTCCCCTCTGACTTCCTAAAGCTGTGTGATCCTCCTGGCTCCCCGAAAAATGGATCTCGGGAGAGACTGTGTCACCTTTGGGCAAGGCTCCTTTAATGTAGGCAATGTGCTAGATTGCCTGCTATTATGGCCCGTGCTAAAGCATTTACCCTTAAAAAAAATGGTTCCGGTTATCTTCTGAATTTAAAATCCCCTTACTAATTAAGTACTATCTTAATTGGAGACAGAATAGGTGCCTTAAAAGAATGTAGCAACTGAATGGCCATTTTCCTGCTGATGGGACAATATCCAGACTAAAATTTGGCTGTGGAAGACATCTTACTCCTAACTGTTGCAGCAAAGGACCGGCAATGTGTCTTATGAAGAGGATTTCTATTTCCACTAGATGAAGCGCTGTTGGCTTAGAAATACCATGTGCTCATTAGCAGTGAGTGACCTCACTGTGGGTGAAAGGCGAGAACTCTCTTCCTAGAAGGTTGCAATGGCATTTTTCCTGAGCTATATCCCCAGTCTACAGCATTTCCTGATCTTGCCTAACAGGATTATTTCGCTAGCCCATAAAAGTTCCCACACATTCGACACACACACAGAGAGTAAGAGACTACAGATAGAGAAGAAAAGTTTGGCGACAGGATAGCTGGAGGAGAGCCTTGAAATTAAAGGACAGATTTAAGGTGGAAGTTCGCTCCTAATACTCACCACTCCGATGAATGAATTCTCGGCCCATGAACCAAAATGATACAGCTCTGATAAATGAAGGAATGGGGGGCTCGGAACAAAGAGGAACCCCGGGTGCAGCAAAGAAGTAGTTGCTTATATTGGGAAGCTAAAGGAGGCAGTATCTAATTTACGTAGGGCCCAGGGGATTGGTTTAACCAGGTGTATCATCCACATAGCCCATGAGAAACCTGGCCCTCCTACCTTAGCCCTTTAATATGCAAATGTGGGTCACCACACTGTTTTATCACATGGTGTTATCTAAAGGTGGCCATAATACTTGGCACATCTGGTAACAAGAAGGAAAAGGTGGGACTCGCCATGTTAAGTGGACCCAGATTTTAATCATCAGCATTTGCATATCAAAGCTTGCTGGCCTGGCCCTTCCTGTTGCGTTTTCTGTTAAGTAAGAAATGTTTCAGGGGGTTGTTTCTTATTACAGGAAAATTTGCACCAAGAACCTTTACCCTTTCTAGTGGCCTAAAAACTGTTTCTTAATAACTCCTGTATTATTGCCATGAACGTTGGTGTACAAATATTTTTATGAGTCTGCACTTTCAATTTTTGTAGGTATATACCCAAAAGTAGAAGGTTAGCTCGTATGGTAATTCTATGTTTAACTTTTTGAAGAGCTGTCATACTGTTTTCCACAGCAGCTGCACCATGTTCCATTCCCATTAGTAATGCACAAGGACTTCAGTTTCTTCCCGTTCTCACCAACAATTGTTATATTCAGTTTGTTTTATTAATAATAGTAATTCTAATGGGTGTGAAGTGGTATCATCTTGTAGGTTTGATTTTCATTTCCTTAATGATTAGTGATGTTGAGTGTCTTCTCCTGTGCTTATTTCTCATCTGTAGGTCTTCTTTGGAGAAATGTCTGTTCAAGTCCTTTGCCCATCTTTTAACTGCACTGTTGTTTTTGTTGCTATTGTTGTTATAGAGACTGGGGATTTCTTTATGTATTCTGGATATTAATTCCTTATCTGATATATGATTTGCAAATACTTTCTTCCATTCTGTGTGTTGCCATTTTACTCAGTTGATTGTGTCCACTGATGCACAATAGTTTCTAATTTTATGTTGGCTTTTCTGTGTATCCAGTTATAGTTTAGTCCATTCATCAAAAGCCACATTCACAAATTCCTTAAAAAATAGGCACCTTTACTCTGGGAGGCTTGCCAAGCTTCTGAGTGACAACTCCCTTAATATTAGAAACCGTTTTGTATAACTAAAGGGTGTCTACTAAGTACAATCTTAAATCTCTCAAAGGCCTCAACAAAATGTACTATAGTTACACCCTTGATGTGAGATAGTTTCTTACTTTGAGTGTGAATGGCTGGAGATAAGGATTCTCCTTACAATCGGAACAGTTTGTTCCTTTAGCATAACTCTTTCTTCTTTTACTTTATCAAAAACAGCAAATATAAGCTAATTGACACACTTAACACTCTGATTTTAAATTATTTTGCCAAAGTTCACAAATTGATTAGGTACATTTAAAATTTTTTTTCGAAGACTACACATTGGGTACAGAGTACACTGCTCAGGTGATGGGTGAACCTAAATCTCAGAAATCACCACTAAATAACTTAATTATGTAACCAGACACCACCCTTTGCAAGTAAACTCTCAGGATTTTAGTTCCAGCAAATGAAGGCAAAAGTGACTAATCAGAGCAAATGAGACTCAGCCAGGTGCATCAGTCGCAGGGTGCATGAGCCTCATCCAGCTGGCACAGAGCACTGCTTCTGTGACCACCAAGCTGCAGACAAACCAGCAGACTGCAAAGAACTACATCACTTAGAAGCTGATAGAAGTCTTATTATTGTGATAGATTATGCTGAAACATTGAGCCTTACTGTAATTAATCATTTCATATAATTTTCACAATGACAGTAAAATCCTGTCACAAGTGGCACTGTCAACTTTTCTGCTTTTCTATGTGCATTCCCTTTTCCTCACATTGACATTCAAATTACAGAGTCTCCTTCGTCTAAAGGAGCTGTCCTATTGAAGCAGCATCCTTGCCTGGGGAAATACCCGAGGTTTGTCGTCTCGTTCTGAGATTAATGACATGGACACACACACATGGAATGGGTTAAGGAGCAGGAAGTTAAATAGGCAGAAGAAAGGAGAGAGGAGAGCAGCTTGCTCTTTGTTATGAGAGAGAGATGTCCAAAAGGGAAAAGTCGGCCGGCGGCGGACTGCTCCAGATCTTATAGGCAGGATGGAGGAGGCAGTGTTGGATTTCCGTAGGCCCCACAGTTTGGTTTGATCAGGTGTAATGTTTACATGGTGCCCAGGGAAGGCTGGTTGCCCTGCCCTAATCTTATTATGCTAATGGACTTTCTACTTGGCCAGCGCCATCTTGTCTGCTCCTTACTGTACGTGTGGCTGGCAAAGAGAAGATGGAGCTGCCATTTTGAACATGCCTATTCCCAGGAGGCCTTTTCCTATTGGCACAACTGCCGGCATTCGCCTGTGCAAGCTTCTAGCTTGCTTGTCTATGTCTGCAGCTTGATTTTACAGGCTGATGTTTGTTAGAAAAGAAAATGATTTTGGAGTTGCTTTTCATTAAAAGGAAAACCTTACTGAGGACTCCCGTACCCTCAGTATCTGCCTAAGTAATTTCTTCTTAACTCCTATATAACCAGCTCGCTAATGGGACCAATTCATTTGACCTGCACTGCAGTACAGCCACAGAGCTGAGTAATATGTATAGGATCCAGGGGGAATGAGCCCTCCCAGCTGGCCCCTCCTGCCATTTGATTCAGAGATGAGAGTTCCTCTTTCTTTTGACTTAGGCTGATTTATAGAAAAAAAGCACATTCCAGAATAATTAAGTAAAGTATTAGCCAGATAGTCTTCAGCTGCTGGCTTGGATTATATAACAACTCGCTAATTCTAGAAGCTAAGGAACAGAAGGCCAGCATTTTCTCTGATTTCCTATAGTTTTAATGCTTTTCCACTCTCCCCTTCCCTTCTCCCAGCCCACTGTCCCACCACTTCACTGCATATGCCTTTGAAAGTCTATGTGGATCATATTCTTTAGCTATTTTGATTATCTTGGGTGCTTCTGCTTACACTGCCATGTATCCTGGCCTCATAAAATATTCACTTTACGTGACCCTTGCTTGCTGCCTTTAACACACTCACCATAGAACTCTTGCAGAGACAAAATTCCAGGAAAAGCACCTGCAACTGTTAGTGCGTTAAACCAGTATTCCGAGATGACTAAATGCATTGCTTCTGCCGTAGAAGAAAATGCTGGGGTGAAGCGAGAGCACAGGTGAAAGACCTGGTTTTCCTTAAATGGATAAAGCCTCAGAGGCTTTTATATTCTTGGAGGACCCAGTCCTGATTCTTCTGATCATTTTTCAAATCAACTTAATGAATATGAGATGGGCTGTACATTAAACTGATATAACAGGTAAATATCACCTGCATTTAGCATGGGCAGCTGATATAGGGCAACTGTTTTCTGTGATTGTAAAGAATTTGTAAGGGGAGTAAAAATGTGGGCCGGATTTCTGAATGAGATTTACGTTCTGCTCTCACTCTTGACCCGCTGCCACAATAAACACGGGGAGATATTTTTAAGCTCTCATGAGTAAAAGCAATGCCAACTGCTATGGATTGCTTTTGGTAGAATTTTGGGTAATTTCGCATTACAAATGTTTCCTCTACTTACGCCTTCCTTAAAAGATAACTAAATGCCAAGCCCACTGGAATAAACATGCAGAGTAAAGAGCTACATATACCCCAACATATTGTTTTTTCCAAAGCTACAAGCCTACGTCAGATGCTTTGTACCCCACACTGCTGTCCAAGTGAAGCCTCCTTCCTCTATCTTCCAAGTACAGCCCAAACCCTAAATATGACCTTTAAAAGGACCCTTTACAAAGTGGGTGTTTAAAGTGAATAAAATGTCATCTAATCATCTATTCCTTTTGCCTTAAGCTGCAGAGTCATCCACGTTTGCTATTTCCTTCAAGTCTACTTTCTTTTCCTAAACACCGGAAGCTTCAGAGCCACTCACGCATTGCAGTAATTCTGCTGGCTCAGGGTAAAAAATAAGGCCTTTTCTGTGTTGATGAAATCAGGCCGGTTCCTCAGTAGGATCTGTGGTCTAGGGTGACCCTGGAGAGACATGAATTTCTAATTTTTATACTTTACTCAAATTTCATAAATTATTTTTATTTCAAAATCCAGTGCTTTAGGGCTGGGCGCAGTGGCTCATGCCTGTAATCAGCACTTTGGGAGGCTGAGGCGGGCAGATTGCTTGATGCCAGGAGCTTGAGACCAGCCTGGCCAACATGGTGAAACCCGGTATCTACTAAAAATAAAATAAAAAATTAGCTGGGCGTGGTGGTGACACCTGTAGTCCCAGCGACTTGGGAGGCTGAGGCAGAAGAATTGCTTGAACCCAGGAGGCGGAGGTTGCAGTGAGCCGAGATCGTGCCACTGCACTCCAGCCTGGGTGACAGAGCGAGACTCCCTCTCAAAAACATTTTTTAAAAATCCAGTGCTTCATAATGAATTGATTAGGTGCCTAAGGGTATCGGGGAACCTGCCCCGATATTCACGTAGGTTCTTTTCTATTTTCCTTAAGCGTTGGCCAGCTTGATCTCCATTCATATTATATGGTATTTCATTCATGGCTTCTCTGGGAGAGAAGCACTGAGTTGTACCTCTCAGTCAGCCAACAACACTCCCGCTTGTGATGTTCCCGTATAATAATGAGAAAAGAGGCTCCCATGGGTATCCCACACACGTGCATAAAAGAAATGCCTTCAAAGTGAAAATGATGCCACGCTACACCTAGTGTAGGATCACCTGGGTTAGCTGGGGAAAAAAATGCTTCGGTGTCTGTAGTCATGAAGTGATTCTGTATTTTATTGTAGAAATCATATCAAGTATCAGTTTCAAACGATTTTTCTTTTTTTTTTTTTTTTGAGATGGAGTCTCGCTCTGTTGCCCAGGCTGCAGTGCAGTGGCACGATCTCTGCTCACTGCAGCCTCCGCTTCTCGGGTTCAAATGATTCTCCTGCCTCAGCCTCCCAAGTATCTGGGATTACAGGTGCTCACCACCGCACCCGGCTAATTTTTGTATTTTTAGTAGAGACAGTGTCTCACCACATTGGCCAGGCTGGTCTCGACTCCTGGCCTCAGGTGATCCACCTGCCTTGGCCTCCCAAAGTGCTGGGATTACAGGTGTGAGCCACCGTGCCTGGCTACAAGCAATTTTTACATACTCCATGCTTAAGTTGAGATGTTGCCTCTACTTTCTTTCTTTCTTTCCAGGAGTGTCAGCAGCTATAGTGAAGTTTCAAGAAGGGGGAATGCTGTCGGGACTGAGCAGGCAATGGCCTAAAAACAATAAAAAGCCCTACTAAAAGCTGGTTTTCTTTTTATTATTATCCTGTACTGACAATTCTTAGTAATATCAGTGATGAAATAAATCACTGGGGAAGACCTCTCCCACACCAGCCCCTAGTTGATATGGCACTGTGAAAGCACTCCAATATCTTTCTTTCTTTTTTTCTTTTTTGAGACGGAGTCTTGCTCTGTCACCCAGGCTGGAGTGAAGTGGCGCAACCTCGGCTCACTGCAAGCTCCGCCTCCCGGGTTCAGGCCATTCTCCTGCCTCAGCCTCCCAAGTAGCTGGGACTACAGGCACCCGCCACCACACCCGACTAATTTTTTGTAGTTTTAGTAGAGATGGAGTTTCACTGTGTTAGCCAGGATGGTCTCCATCTCCTGACCTCGTGATCCGCCCGTCTTGTCCTCTCAAAGTGCTGGGATTATAGGCGTGAGCCACTGCACCCGGCTTCCGATATCTTTCTTAGGAAGGATACATCATCATTTAAATAATGAAAGCAATATATATTCACTGTAGAACATCCAGAAAAATTTGAAAAAATATTTTTAGGAGAGAATCAAAATTCACATTAACTCCACCACTTATTGATAATCATAGATCTTTATGTCATTATTACTTTTTATTATTAAAAGTAATTCTGCCATATATATCCTTGTTACATATATTTCTTTTGACATTTGTGATTTTTTTGGGGAAGTACATTCTTGAAAGTTTAACTTTTAAAAAGCATCAAATATATATCATCATGTCCTTAAAAAGTATTTATCAATTTATAATTCCTAGATTAGTGTACACCTCTCCCAACACAAAACTTTATCATGAAAAATAAATCCTGATTATTTAATTGGCAAAACTTTTTTGAGTTTTCCAATTGTTTTGTTACTACGTTTAATAGGTCACTACTTTTTTCAGGATAATAGTCATTTCCTCATTGCTCTCTTAGCTTCTGATAACAAGCAGCTCACCATTTCTCTAGCCTTTGCTAGAGAAGAGCTCCCCTGATGCATCTGGAACCCTGGGTTGCTTTCTTAGACTGAGAGTAGTCACACATATTTGTGGTGCTTGTTATCATAGCACCTTACTTACAAGCACCAATTTTAAATACTCTAATACTCTGTAAAGAACCACCACAAAAAAGTGGCTTAATGCAAAAGCCATTTATTTAGCTAATAATTTTGCTAGATATTTCTTTTGGTCTGTATGTGGCTTGGCTGGGAAGTTCTGCTTGTCTCAGCTGGCCTCATTAATGCTTCTGAAATCAGCTTCTAGTCAAAAAGGTGTCTTTGATTCTGGAAGTTGGCTAAATATTAGATAGGGTCACTGGGCTTTGTGTTTTGTGTCTTCTAGGCGGGTAGGCCAGGCTTCTTCACATAACAAGTGTTGCAGGGATCCCACAGTGTCAAGAGAGAGAAATCCAGTGCTCAAACACTTTACCATCTTTGCATGTGTCACCTTTGCTGCTGTTCCACTAGCCAAAGAAACAGAATGTTCATCCTCCTGTCAAAACCCCCACTACCCTTCCCAGCCTCTGGTTACCATCCTTCTACTCTCTGTGACCATTAGTTCAATTGTCTTGATTTTTCAATCCCACAAATAAGTGAGAACATGCGATGTTTGTCTTTCTGTTCTTGGCTTATTTAACTTAACACAATAATCTCCAGCATCCATGTTGCTCCAAATGACTGGATCTCATACTTTTTTTATGGCTGAGTAGTACTCCATTGTGTATATGCACCACATTTTCTTATGCATTTATCTCTTGATGGACCCTTCTAAATCTTAGTTATTGCAAACAGTGCTCCAAGAAACATAGGGATGCACTGATTTCCTTGCTTTTGGGTATATACCCAGCAGTGAGATTGCTGGATCATATGGTAGCTCAATTTTGAGTGTTTTTGAGGAAAGTGCAAACTATTCTCCTCAGTGGTACATCCCCACTAGTACATCCCCACTAGCAGTGTACAAGGGTTTCCTTTTCTCTGCATCCTCTTCAGCATTTGTCATGTGATGAGCCTCTTATATATTGTGGTTATTAATCCCTTGTCAGATGGGCAGTTTGCAAATATTTTCTCCCATTCAATGGGTTGTCTCTTCACTTTGTTGATTGTATCTTTCAATGTGCAGGATTTTTTTTTGACAGAGTCTTGCTCCGTTGCCCAGGCTGGAGTGCAGTGACATGATCTCGGCTCACTGCAAGCTCTGCCTCCCAGGTTCACGCCATTCTCCTGCCTCAGCCTCCCAAGTAGCTGGGACTACAGGCGCCTGCCACCATGTCCAGCCAATTTTTTTTTTTGTATTTTTAGTAGAGACAGGGTTTCACCGTGTTAGCCAGGATGGTCTTGATCTCCTGACCTCGTGATGCACCTGCCTCGGCCTCCCAAAGTGCTGGGATTACAGGCGTGAGCCACTGCACCGGGCTTACTGGAAAAAGAAGAAATTAGAACATGTATTATAATATGTTGTGAAAAAGGATGTTTCTAACACAGTATACGGTATCATTTTAATGGTAATCCACTCATTGAGGATTTTCCCACTTTCTCCACATACTGTTTTTCAGTGTAGGATTACATTTATAATGATATCCATTTTAGAAATTCAGTATTCAATTTTCATAAAAAAGAAATAGTACTACAAATTGAGTGCATTAAACATTGCCTAAAATCATGTTGTTATATATTTTTATTAAATCATTATTTGCATATTATCACTGATTTCCTGGATTTCAATTGGAGTGGATTCCTATGGCTACTTTAGAATATAGCATATTGTAAAATGAAAGAGATGTGAAATATTAATTATATCCACTAGTTTTTAAAAATAATTTATCTTTTTCAGTTTGATTACATGGGCTCTGATATAAACACTGTAACGCAGAAGGTTATTCAGATAATTGGCCTTGTTAACAGTGTAAGTTTTTAAAAACTATTTTATTTTATTTATTTATTTTTTTAATTTTTAATTTTTTTAAAAGTATTTATTGATCATTCTTGGGTGTTTCTCGGAGAGGGGGATTTGGCAGGGTCACAGGACAATAGTGGAGGAAAGGTCGGCAGATAAACATGTGAACAAGGGTCTCTGGTTTTCCTAGGCAGAAGACCCTGCCGCCTTCCGCAGTGTTTGCGTCCCTGGGTACTGGAGATTAGGGAGTGGAGATGACTCTTAACGAGCATGCTGCCTTCAAGCATCTGTTTAACAAAGCACATCTTGCACCGCCCTTAATCCATTTAACCCTGAGTTGACACAGCACATGTTTCAGAGAGCACGGGGTTGGGGGTAAGGTTATAGATTAACAGCATCTCAAGGCAGAAGAATTTTTCTAAGTACAGAACAAAATGGAGTCTCCCATGTCTACTTCTTTCTACACAGACACCATAACAATCTGATTTCTCTTTCTTTTCCCCACATTTCCCCCTTTTTCTATTCGACAAAACCGCCATTGTCATCATGGCCCGTTCTGAATGAGCTGTTGGGTACACCTCCCAGACGGGGTGTCGGCCGGGCAGAGGGGCTCCTCACTTCCCAGACAGGGCAGCCAGGCAGAGGCGCCCCCCACCTCCCGGACGGGGCAGCTGCTGGGTGGGGGCTGCCCACCACCTCCCTCCCAGACGGGGCGGCTGGCCGGGCGGGGGCTGCCCCCCACCTCCCTCCCAGACGGGGCAGCTGGCTGGGCGGGGTCTGCCCCCCACCTCCCTCCCGGATGGGGCGGCTGGCTGGGCGGGGGCTGCCCCCCATCTCCCGGATGGGGCGGCTGCTGGGCGGAGGGGCTCCTCAGTTCCCAGATGGGGCGGCTGCCGGGCGGAGGGGCTCCTCACTTCTCAGACGGGGTGGCCGGGCGGAGATGCTCCTCACCTCCCAGACAGGGTGGCGGTTGGGCAGAGACACTCCTCAGTTCCCAGACGGGGTTGCCGCCGGGCAGAGGCGCTCCTCACATCCCAGACGGGGCGGCAGGGTAGAGGCGCTCCCCACATCTCAGACGATGGGCGGCCAGGCAGAGACGCTCCTCACTTCCCAGACGGGGTGGTAGCCGGGAAGAGGCGCTCCTCACTTCCCAGACTGGGCGGCTGGGCAGAGGGGCTCCTCACATCCCAGACGATGGTTGGCCAGGCAGAGACTCTCCTCACTTCCCAGACGGGATGGCGGCGGGGAAGAGGCGCTCCTCATTTCCCAGACTGGGCAGCAGGGCAGAGGGGCTCCTCACATCCCAGACTATGGGCGGCCAGGCAGAGACGCTCCTCACTTCCCAGACGGGGTGGCGGCCGGGCAGAGGCTGCAATCTCGGCACTTTCGGAGGCCAAGGCAGGCGGCTGGGAGGTGGAGGTTGTAGCGAGCGGAGATCACGCCACTGCACTCCAGCCTGGGCACCATTGAGCACTGAGTGAGCGAGACCCCGTCTGCAATCCCAGCACCTCGGGAGGCCGAGGCTGGCAGATCACTCCCGGTTAGGAGCTGGAGACCATCTTTGGTCTTTCTCACAATTCAAAATACATTCATTTCACCCAAGTAGCCCCCAAAGTATTAACTTCTAGCATCAACTAAAAAATCTGAAGTTCAAATTCTAATCTAAGTCAGATGAGGGTAAGACTCTAGGCATGGTTTATCCTGAGGCAAATTCCTCTCCAGCTGTAAGCCTGTGCAATTAACAAGTTGCATTGTTTTTTGGTGCTTCCAAAATACAATGGAGGAACAGGCACAGGATAGACATTCCCATTCCAAAAGGGAGAAATAGGCAAGAAGGAAGGGGTAACTGGTCTCACATAACTCCAAAACCCAACGTGGAAAAACAGTGTTGGCTTAAACCTGGAGAATAACCTCCTTTGACTCCATGTCCTCCATCCTGGGCATACTTGGGTGGAGGTTGAGTCTGTAAAACATCAGGATTCTTGCTTCTTTCTGGTCTTAGTCCACCCAGTAGCTTTCACATGTTGGAGTCTCATGCCTGTATCTCTCCCAGACTGAGGTTGCAAGCTGGTGGCTTTAAAGTTCTGGGGCCTCAGGGACTGCCCCACTCCCATGGCTTCACTAGGCATTTCCCTAGTGGGAGCTCTCTGTGATGGTCTCACTCTTATGGCCTTGATAGGTTTTGCTCTAGTGGGAGCTCTCTGCAGTGGCTCTATCCCTGTGACAAGTCTCTGCTTGGGCTCCCAGGTCGTTGATGACATTATTTGAAAAGATCTAGGTGGAGGTCACCATGGTCTGGCAACTGTTGTGTTCTGCAGGTTTGCAGAGTTAGCATCATGTGGACATTGTCAAGGCTTACCACTTGTGCCCTTTGGAGAGGTGGCTGAGCCACACCTGGGCCCACTTGAGTAATGGATGGGGAAGCTGAGAAGCACTGTGTCAGAATGCAGAGTCCCAGGGCAGCCCTGGGCAGTGAACCTGTGGAGCACACCTCAGGCCTGTTCTCTGAAACCATTCACCCCTTTTAGAGCTCTGAGCCTGTGATGGGATGATGGGAGAGGCATCCTCAGAGATCTCAGAAATGCCTTCAGGGTCATTCTCTTGTTGTCTTCCTAGTTAAGCAGGATAGAACCTGGCTTTATTGTATCCATATTAATCTCTTTAGCAAACAGTTGCTTTTTTTTTTTTTTTTTTGAGACGGAGTCTCACTCTGTCACCCAGGCTGGAGTGCAGTGGTGCGAGCTCAGCTCACTGCAACTTTCGCCTCCTGGGTTCAAGCAATTCTCCTGCCTCAGCCTCCAGAGTAGCTGGAATTATAGGCACGTGCTACCATGACTGGCTAATTTTTGTATTTTTAGTAGAGAAGGGGTTTCACCATATTGGCCAGGCTGGTCTCGAACTCCTGACCTCAAGTAATCCTCCTGCCTCAGCCTCCTAAAGTTCTGGGATTACAGGTGTGAGCCACCATGCCTGGTCACAGTTGCCTTTTTAAACATGCTTTTTTATTTCTTACATAGCCATCCTGAAAGTTTTCAAATCTGTCTGTTCTGCTTCTTTTAATGATAAATTCCATATTTAAATCATTTCCATTCTCATTTTACTATAAGCAGCCAAAAGAAGCCAGGCAGCACCTTGAACACTTTGCCACTTAGATATTTCTTCTGCCAGATATCCTAGTTCATCACTCTTAAATTGAGTCATGGATGGGGAAGCTGAGAAGCACTGTGCCAGATTGCAGAGTCCCAAGGCAGCCCTGAACAGTGAACCTGTGGAGCACAGGATGTCTTCCACATGGTCCTAGGACGCCAAAACAATTCCACTAAATTCTTTGCAACTGTGTAGCAAGGATGGCCTTTACTTCTGTTTCCAGTACCTTGTTTCTCATTTCCACCTGAGGCCTCATCAGAATGAACATTAAGTCCATATTTTTATTGGTTTTATGATCACAACCACTTAAGTAATATTTAAGAAGTTCCAGACTTTCTCTACACTTCTTCACTTCTTTTGAGCCCTCACCACAATCTCCCTTAATGCTCCATTTATGACAATCTAGGACTTTTCTGCTTCTCCAAACTCTTGTAGCCCCTACCCATTATTCAGTTCCAAAGCTGCTTTTACATTTTTAGAAATTTGTTATAGCAATAGCTCCACTACTGGTACCATTTTTTTTTCTTATTCTGATTTGTACTGTTAAAACAGAATGCCCACGACTGGGTAATTATAAAGAAGAGAGGTTTATTTGCCTTAGGGTTCTGGATCCTGATAAATTCAAGGTTGAGAGGCCCACATCTTGTGAGAGTTCCTTGCTGTGTTATCCCATGACAAAAGGCATAAGGGCAAGAAAGCAGACACACGTACTGGAGAGGGGATCAAACTCACTTTTATGACAAACCCACTGTTCTGAAAATGAACTTGTTCTTGTGATAATGACATTAGTACATTCATAAGGACAGAGCCCTCATGATTTAATCACCTCGTAAAGGTCCCACCTCTAAACACTGTTGCATTGGGTATTAAGTTTCTAACACATGAACATTAGGGGACACATTCAAATATGGGGGTGATATTATACATAATTCAGCCTTAAAAAACAAATACATTTTGTCATTTATGACAACATGGATGAATCTGGAGAAGATTATGCTGAGTGAAATATAATCCAGGCACAGAAAACAAATTCTGCCTGATTTTACTTATAGGTAGAATCTAAAAAAGTCAAACTCATCAAAGTAGAGAGTAGAATGGTGGTTACCAGAGGCTGGGGGTGGGGAGTGGGGAATGGGGAATGGAAAGATACTGGTAAAAACGTACAAAAGTTTGGTTAGAAAAAAGAAATAATTTTAGAGTAAATTGCACAGTGCAGTGACTATAGTTAATAATAACATGTTGTATATTTCAATATTGCCAAAGAGCACATTTTAAACATTCTCATCACAAAGAAATAATAAATACGTGAGGTGAGGGATATGCTAATTAGCGTGATTTATACATATATTGCAATATATACATGTATCGAAACATCACATTGTGCCTCATAAATATATATAATTATCATCAACTGAAAATAAAATTTTTAAGAGTTAAAATGCTTTGATACCTGCATTTAAAACTGGCATTGTACAATATAAAGATAAATGGTAAAATTCATGCTAATAACTTAGAATTTTAATTTAGGACAACACTGACTAGCAAACAAATAACACCATGACTCCTGAGAGACTGCTGAAAAAAGAAAAAGCTTTTTGTTTTAATACCATTAACAGTAATTTTCCCTGCTTTATACATAAGGGGCCCCATATTTCCATTCCTGAAAACTAAGCTGTTAGTCCTAGTTTTTCTGCATCAATGCCAAGACTTGATATGCTCAGTATGTTCAATTTACGTCTCTTTAGTTGGTATGTAGTATTATCTCATATAGGTTGTATATGTACTTCCCTAGAAGCTAATGATTTGAACATATTTTCATACTTCATATCCTTTGCATAGCTTATTTGGTAATGTGCCTATTTAGATCTTTTTTCCACTTTGTAAAATAAAAATATAGGTTTTTGTGCTGTTGATGAATTACAAGATTTGTTTGTATATTCTGGCTATGGTTTCTTTACCAGATACATGATTTTCAATTGTTTCTTTGTAGTCTGTGGCTTGTCTTTTTTCTTTATAGTTGTCTTCTCTGGAAGACAGGTTTTAAAATTTTGATTCAAAAGTCCAATTTATCAATTTTTATGCAACATGCGTTTATAGCTCTTATAGTTAGTTTATGATACATTTTGCAATTATTGTACATGTGTCCAAGTTCATTTTTATTTTGTCATATAGAGTGACAGTTATTCTAATACTATTTGTTGAAAAGACTAGCCTTTTACCCACTTAATTGTCTTGGCAATTTTGTCAAAAATCAATTTACCATGAATGTGTGGATTTATTATTGGAATATCTATTCTAATTCATTAACCTGTATGTCTATCCTTATAGGAAAGCACACTGTCTCTATTACTGTAGCTTTACACTGAGTTTGAAATCAGGTAGTGCAAGTGCCATGAGTTTTTAAATATTTTCCCAAATTGTTTTGGCTATTCTAGGTCCTTTACATATTCATCTATATTTTATTATCAGCTTTGTAATTTCTGCAAGAGTCCTGCTGGGATATTGCATTTTCAATATCATAGTTGTTTTTTTTTTTTAAGACGGAGTCTCGATCTGTTGCCCAGACTGGAGTGCAGTGGCATGATCTTGGCTCACCACAACCTCTGCCTTCTGGGTTCAAGCGATTCATCTGCCTCAGCCTCCCAAGTAGCTGGGACTGCAAGGTGCGTGCCACCACGCCTGGCTAATTTTTGTATTTTTAGTAGAGACAGGGTTTTGCCATGTTGGCCAGGCTGGTCTTGAACTCTTGACCTCAGGTTATCCGCCTACCTTGGCTTCCCAAAGTGCTGGGTTTACAGGTGTGAGCCACTGCGATTGGCCAAAACTCCTTTTAAGAAAGGATGAGACGGTATTGGTGATGGAGCTTGCTGTAGCAGGCAAGCAACATCAGTTTGCAAGGAAAAAAAATTCATCTTGTTTGTGCTGTCATTGAACAGGACTGACAACAGCATGAACAATAGTCAACACCACAGACATTTCAATTGGTTCAGCTAACACAATTCTGGCTGAAAAATTAAAGGTGAGCAAATTTTCCACTCAGTGGGTGCCAAAGTCATTGTGTCCAGAGATAGATAAGAGCAGATAAGAGCAGAACTTTGATGGAGATCAGATAAGAACAGAACTTTGATGGAAATTTTTTGAAGCAATTTTGAAAAAAAAATCAAATAAAACTAGTGAATTTTGCAAGTCATTGGATACACAATCAGTGTATTAATATAACAATGAATTGGATTTCTGTATATTTGGCAACAAATAGAAAATGAGATAAAAGGTACAATTCCATGTATAATGTTTTTCAAAACAGGAAGTATATAGATATAACATTCATGAAGTATGTACAATTGTGTACAAATAAAAATTAAGATTCTGAAACATTTCATTGAAGAATTGTAACAGGAGGTGGAACAGCTTTACCAGCACAATCCTGAAGATAAAACACAGTCAAAGCAATGGCTACCAAGTGGTGGACGTGGTCCAGCCAAAGCCAAAGTGAACCAGTCAAGAGCAAATGTCATGGCAAAAGCTTTTTGAGATACTCAAGATACTTTGCTTGTTGACTTTCTAGAGGGCCAAAAAACCTGCCAATTAGGAGACTATTTTGAGAAACTTAGCCAAAGCTTTCGCAGAAAAATGCCTATGAAAGTTTCACCCGAGAGTCCTTCATTATAACAATGCTCCTGCTCATTCTTCTCAACAATAAGAGCAATTTTGTGAGAGTTTTGATGGAAAATTATTAGGCATCCATCTTATAGTCTTGATTTGGCTCCTTCTGTCTTCTTTTTGTTTCCTAATCTTAAAAACTCTTTAAAGGGCACTCATTTTTCTTCAGTTAATAATGTAAAAAAGACTTCATTGACCTAGTAAAATTTCCAGGATCCTCAGTTATTTAGGTCCGGACTAAACAGTTGATATCATTGCTTACAAAACTGTCTTGAACTTGATGTTGAGAAATAAAGTTTATATATTTATTTTCATATTTTCATTTTATTTTTTCATGAACTTTTAGAGGTCCGTGTATCTATACCAGATCTTGTATAAAACAAGATGTATGACTAAAAAGAATTTTGGAATGTGTGTGTGTGTGTGTGTGTGTGTGTGTGTGTGTGTGTGTGTGTATATATATACATATATATATACACACACATATATTTATTTTATTATAAATATATATTATTCTTGGAGTTAAAAACATGTTAAAACATGTTAATATAATAAGTATATTTTAAGATTTGCTAATTGTCTTCTATGAAGAATAATGCTCTTTAAATCTCTCTTTAAAGCACCATATTATGGGATATATAAAAATATACAACATTAATTTGTGTCATACCCATATTTTTATATATTAGGTACTCTGGTGGTGTAAAGGATTTTAACATCTGTAGCTTGGATGACTTTAAATATATTTCTTCTCATAATGGCCTTACATGTCTTCAGACAAACCCTCTTGAAATGCCAACCTACACACACAGGAGAATATGTGGCAATGGGTTGTTGGAAGGAAGTGAAGAATGTGACTGTGGCACTAAAGACGTTAGTAGAATATTTTTTCTAAAATTTAAAAAATGTTCTAGTAGTAAAGAAGATAAATGCCTTATCTATTAGTAAAATAGATTTGAAAAATATATTCTTTGGAAAAGATGGGAGCCTTTGTTTTCTAATTTTATTATTTTTGGAAGCATGGTCCTTAGATAATTTTTGTCTTCAGTTATTGTCTTCTGACATTATTTAGTGTGTGTATTAGCTCCAAACGTAAATTTAATTACCACTAAGAGTGGTGAAGGGATTGAAAGATATACCCTCAACAACAAGCAGAAATAAAAACAGTTAACAACATCTAAAAACGGTAGATTATAACCAATGGGGTAGCAAAATGCATGGTTTGTTAATATAGGTAAAAACATTTTCTGTGGAAAGGTGATTCTAATTAAAATATTTTGAAATTAAATCTATCATAATTATAAAAAATATAAAAATATACAACCAAGATCAAACAAAAATAATTATAAAATATGATAAAGGGACATCCGCAAGATGGCCCATTAGACAGCACTAGAGGTGCCTAATGCTGGTCTCCCAACACAAGAGAGGACCAAAACAATGGATAAACAACTACATTTGACCAGAGTGAGTCATAGAGTGCTGGAGTACAGGAGGGGAGTGGCAAAAACCCAGTGGTGCACAGAAACTCAGAATGACTGCTTAGAGAGAAGAAGGAAACACTGCGGTTATGACAAGATAAACGCATAATGATAAAGAACAAGAAGTAAAACTCAGTCTGGCTTAGAAATATAGATTACTGGCAATCTTCAAAATAATAAAACTAATGAATCTTGCAAGTCATTGAATACAAAAGTCAACATATAACAATGAATTGGATTTCTGTGTAGAAACAGCGAACAGAAAATGAAATCAAAGGGACAATTCTACATATAATGTTTCCCAAAACATGATATGTATAGATATAACAAAATAACGTGCAATTGTGCGCAATAAAAATTAACATTACTCAGGAAAAGCAAAAAACATTGAAATGAATGGAGACATTTCCCACTTTCATGGATTGGGAGACATAATATTGAGATTTCAGCTCTACACAAATGGATCCATACATTTAACACAGCCCCAACCAAAATCCACTTATCTTTTTGTAGAAATTGACAAGCTGATTCTACGATTGATATGGAAATGGAAATGACCTAGAATAAACCAAGCCATGAAAAGAAAAACAATAAATTGGAGCACATATGCTAATTTTCTATAAATTTCAATATTTTCTATGAAGTTATAATAATGAAAAGGTAGTATTGACCAAAGGATAAATATATACAATTAATAAAGTAGAACAGAGAATCCAGCTATAAAATAATATTTATATGGCCATTTTGCATGGTAAGACAAAGGGCTATTCAATGGGTGAAGAAAATCTTTCCAACAAAATTGTATGAACTAAACATATGTGTAAATAAAATAAAACTTCACCTCTCACCAGACACAAAAAATTGACTTGAAATAAATCAAAGACCTAAAAATTAGAGCTAAAGCTCAAAAACTTTTGGGATAAAACATAAGAGAAAATCTTTGTGACTGGTGGTAGGCAAAATTTTTTAGATTATGGCGAAAAGAAGAAGTTTAAAGAGAAAAATGATAAGTTGTACTTTCTCAAATTTAGAACCTTTTTCACTTAGACTCTGATAAAAATAAAATGGCAAGCTCCAGAATGTGAGAAAATATGTACAATTTGTATATTGACAAGTGGCTTTTATTCAAATATGTGAAAAGACAAGACTTAGTTTCTGGTCAGGTATCTAAGACACTTGGAAGTTGCCACTCCAATGTGTCAACTAGTAAAAAGGTGAACAGACTGAATAAGCTGCAACTCTTTTTAGATCTGTTGGAGAAGTGAGATCACAGGATGAAGCACTGCCCCCAAATTCAATAGACCAACAAGTGAATACAGAGGATCACAACTTGCTAGAACAGAAGCATGTGAGTTAAACTTTCACACAGCCAGCGCTGGAGTAGAAAAGCCTAAACTAAAATTGACAAATGTCAGAGGCTCAGTGTATGTAACTATGAGAGTTAAGAACTCCAGGAGGACCCAGTTATTGAGGTTGTTATCATATTTTTATGAGCTTTACCTCTAGAAGTTTAATCTTGTTCTCACAGTGAATATCAGAGAAAAATTCCCTGTGCTTCCAGAAGAAGGAGGAGAAAAGGAACCATTTTGAAATAAGTCAGAGTGTTCAGTTCCTACCAAAAAGAAATGGAAGGGAAAAATTAGGATGATTATGTTATTATGAATTACACTATCCCTGAAGTGGTATAGTGTTATTTGAAAGTGGACTTGGATTAGTTGTAAATGTATATTTTCATCTCTAGGGCCACCACTAAAAAAATGTTTTAAAAAAGTATAACTGATACACTAAGAAAAGATAGAAAATAGCATTGTAAAATGCTCAGTTAAACACAAAAGGCAGGCTGGGCATCGTGACGTGCACCTGTAGTTTCAGCTACTTGAGAGGATGAGGTGAGAGGATTCCTTGAACCTAGAAGTTCAAATCAGCCTGAGCAACATGGTGAGATCCTTTTTCTAAAAAGAAATAAAAAAGGAAAAGAAAAAAAAGACAAAAACAAGAAGAACCAAAGTCACACAAATAGAAAACAGCAATAAATATAGTAGTTATTAATTTAACTGTATTCATTATCACTTTGCTTTCAATGATTTAAGTGCACCAATTTAAAAAATAAAAGAGATTGTCAGAATGGATCAAAAACCAAGATCTAGCTCTCTGTTGTGGTGGGTAATACTGAGTGTCAGATTGACTGGAATGAAGGATGCAAAGTATTGTTCCTGGGTGTGTCTGTGAGGGTGTTGCCAAAAGAGATTAACATTTGAGTCAGTGGACTGGGAGAGGCAGTGGACTGGGAGAGACCCACCCTTAATCTGGGTAGGCACCATCTAATCAGCTGCCAGCACGGCCAGAATAAAAGCAGGCAGAAGAACATTGAAAGACTAGACTGGCTGAGTCTTCTGGCCTACATCTTTCCCCCATGCTGAATGCTTCCTGCCCTTGAACATCGAACTCCAAGTTCTTCAGCTTTGGTACTCTTGGACCTTCGACCACAGACTGAAGGCTGCGCTATCGGATTCCCTACTTTTGAGATTTTGGGACTGAGACTGGCTTCCTTGCTCCTCAGTGTGCAGATGGCCTATTGTGGGACCTCACCTTCTGATCATGTGAGTCAATACTCTTTAATAAACTCCCCTTTATATATACATCTATCCTATTTGTTCTGTCCCTCTAGAGAACCCTGACAAATACAGTTGTCTACAAGGAGCCCTCTTTAATATAAATATACATGTAGATAAAAATTACAGAATGGAGAAAAATATGCTATGCAACAGTGATAAAAAAAAATCCAGGAGTAGCTATATTAATTTCAGACAAGCAGTCTGCAGAATGAGGGACAATTATAATGACAAAGGGGTCAATTCTGCAAGAAGACATAACAATTTTTAATGTGTATGTGACTAACAACAGAGTATCAAAATACATGAGGCAAAAACTGATAGAACTGTAAGGAGAAATAGATGAATCTGTTATTATAGCTGGAGACTTCAACACTGCTTTATCAGAAAAAGGCAGATCCAGCAGACAAAAAATCAGTAAAGACATAGTGGAACTCAACAATAACTTTAACCAACTGGATATAATGGACATCTATGGATGACTTCATCCAACAAAAGAATACACATTTTTCTCAAAGTCATATTGAACATTCAGCAAGACAGGCCATGTTCTGAGCCACAAATACCACTAAACAAACTTCAAGGAATAGATACCATAAAATGTCTGACCTCAGACCACAGTGAAAATGAACTAGAAATTTGTAACAGAAAGATTGCTGGAAAGTCCCAAAAACTTGGAGATTAAAAATCACATGTCTAAATAACACATGGGTTATCTAAGAAATATCAGGAGAAATTTAAAAATAGTTTGAACTGAATAAAAATAAATACACAGTTATCAAAAGCCATGGTATTCAGCAAAACAGTGCTCAGAGTAAAGTTTATAACATTGGTTGCATGTATTAGAAAAGGAAAAATATCTAAAATCAACAGTGTAAGCTTCCACCTTAAGAAACCAGTAAAAGAACAAACTAAAGTAAGCATAAGAAAAAAAATAATAAAAATTAGAGCAGAAATCAATGAAACTGAAAACAATAAATTAATAGGTACAATCAATAAGATTAAAAGATGGTTTTTTGAAAAGATCAATAAAATTAATATGCCTCTTATCAGACTAAGAAAAAAGAGAAATGACACATATTACTAACATCAGAAATAAAAGAGAGTACATCACTACAGACAGGGTATTAAAAGGATGATCAAAGAGCTATATGAACAACTCTATGCCCACAAATTTTATAACTTAGATAAATTGACTAAATCCTTGAAATACAATCTGCCAGATTTAAACAAAAACAGACAATATTAATAGGCCTACATCTATTTAAGAAATTGAATAAATAATTAATAACCTTCCAGAAGAGAAAGCATCAGGCCCAGGTGAATTTACCAGTAAATTCTACTAATCATGTAAAGAAAAAACATATACCAATTCTCTATAGTCTCTTTTAGAAGATAAAAGCAAAGGAAATACTTCTTAACTTATTCTGTGAAGTCAGCATACTCAAATACTGAAAACCAAAATGAAGGCCTTACAAAGAAAGAAAACTACAAAACAGTATCACTCAAAAGCATAGAGGCAAAAATACCCAACAAAATATTAGCAAATAAATTCCAACAATGTATAAAAAGAATTGTACAACATAATCAGGTAGGATTTATCCCAAATGTGCAAGGCTAGTTCAACATTTGAAAATCAGCTAATGTAATCCATCACATCAACAAAGTAAAGGTAGAAAAATTATGTGATCATATTAATAGATGCATTAAAAGCATTTTATAGAAGTTAACAATCATTCATGATAAAAACACTGAGTAAATTAAGAATGACAAAAACTTCCTCAACTCAATTAAAAAATATCAACAAAGAACCGACCTGTGAGGAATTGGAAGCTTTTTCACTAAATCAGGAACAAATGAAGGATGTCCCCTTTCACCACTACTTTTCAATATCACACTGGGAGCCCTAGGTAATGCAATAAATGATAAATGTAAATAAATTGATACACATTCGGAGGAAGGAAATTAAAGTGTCATTGTTCCCAAATGGCATGATAGTCTATGTAAAAAATCTGAAAAAATCAGCAACAGCAAAAAACCATGTGAAACAAATAAGTGGTTATAGCAAGGTTGTAGGATACAAGGTTAATATATGAAAGTCAACCTTTTTCATATATACCAACAATGAACAGGTAGAATTTGAAATTAAAAATGCGATACCATCTACATTCTCATTCCCTGAAATTAAATACTTAGGTATAAATCTAAAAAAATGTTCAAGATCTATATGAGGAAAAGTATAAAACTCTGATTTTAAAAAAAGAAAAAACCAAATAAGTTAAGCAATATTCCATGTTTATAAATAGGAAAACAATATTTTCAGATGTCAGCTCTTCCAACTTTGATCTAGAAATTCAATGCAATTCCAATCAAAATCTCAGAAAAGTTGTTTGTGGATACCGATAAAGTAATTCTAAAGTTTGTATGGAGAGGCAATAAACCCAGAATAGTCACAATATTAAAGGACAATAACAAAGTTTGAGGACTGATACTACCTGACTCAAGAGTTACTATAAACGTACAACAATGAGGAAAGTGTAGTATTTACATAAGAATACACAGATAGATTGATGGAATGGGATACAGAGCCCAGAAATAGACCGATATAAATATAGTCAACTGATTTTTGACAAAGGAGCTAAGATCATATGATGGAACAAAGATAGTATTTTCAACAAATGGTGCTAGAACAACTGGATATCCATGTGCACAAATGTGAATATTGACACAAACCTTATACGTTTTGCAAAAACTAACTTAAAATGGATCACACTCCTAAATGTAAAATGCAAAACTGTAACACTTCTATGAGATAACATAGGAGAAAATCTAGAAGATCTTGGGTTTGGCAATGACTTTTTAGATTAAAAAAACCAAAGGCACATACATGAAATAAATAATTGAGAAGATGGGCTGTATTGAAATTTAAATAATGTCTCTCTGCAGAAGATGCTTTCAAGAAAATGAAAAGACAAGTCACAGATTTTTGAGAAAATATTTGCAAAAGACAGACATTATAAAGGACTTTATCCAAAATACACAAAGAACTTTTAAAGCTCAATTATACAGTTTGACTGTGTCCCCACCCTAATCTTGTCTTGAACTGTAGTTCCCAGAATCCCCACATGTGGGGGGAGGGACCCAGTGGGAGGTAATTTAATCATGGGGGTGGCTACCCTCATGTTGTTCTTGTGATAGTGAATTCTCATGAGATCTGATGGTTTTATAAGAGGCTTTTCTCCCTTTTGCTTGGTACTTCTTGCTGCAGCCATGTGAAGGATGTGTTTGCTCCCCTTTTGCCATGATTGTAAGTGTCCTGGCTCCCCTGCCAGCCATGCTGAACTATGAGTCAATTAAACTTTTTTTATAAATTACCCACTGGCAGGTATGTCTTTATTAGCAATGTGAGACTGAACTAACATAGTAAGTTGGTACCAGGAGTGGGAGGCTGCTGTGGAATTGACTTTGGAACCTAAAGATGTGGAAGTGGCTTTGGAACTGGGTAACAGGCGAAGATTGGAACAGTTTGGAGGGTTCAGAAAAAGACAGGAAGATGTGGGAAATTTTGGAATGTCCTTGAGACTTGTTGAATAGCTTTGATGAAAATGTTGATAGTGATATGGACAATGAAGTTCAGGCTAAGGTGGTCTCAGATGGAGATGAGGAGCTTCTTGGGAACTGCAATAAAAGTAATTCTTGCTATGCTTCAGCAAGAGACTGGCAGCATTTTGCTCCTGCCCTAGAGATCTGTGGAACTTTGAACTTGAGAGAGATAATTTAGAGTATCTGGCAGAAAAAATTTCTAAGCAGCAAAGCATTCAAGATGTGACTTTTTAAAATTTATTCACAAAGATATTGTTTGGAATTGGAACTTATGTTTAAAAGGGAAACAGAGCATAAAAGTTTGGAAAATTCACAGGCTGATGATGTGATAGAGAAGAAAAAAAAAACCATTTTCTGAAGAGAAAGAGAAATTCAAGCTATCTCCAGAAATTTGCATAAGTAATGAGGAGCCAATGTTAATCACCAAGACAATGGGGAATATATCTCCAGGGCATGTCAGAAGGGCAGCCCTTCCCATCACAGACCCAGAGGACTAGGAGGAAAAATGGTTTCATGGGCTGGGCCCAGGGTCTTGCTGCTTTGTGCAGTCTCAGGATTTGGTGTCCTACATCCCAACCATGGCTAAAAGGGCAGAGGCACAGCTCAGGCTATGGCTTCAAAGGGTGCAAGCCCCCCAAGCCTTGGCAGCTTCTACGTGGTGTTTAGCCTGTGGGCACACAGAAGTCAAGAATTGAGGTTTGGAACCTCTGCCTAGATTTCAGAGGATGTATTGAAATGCCCGGATGTCCAGGCAGAAGTTTGCTGCAGGCTGGCACCCTCATGGAGAACCTCTGCTAGGGAAGTGCAAAAGGGAAATGTGGGGTTGGAGCCCCTCCCAAAGAAGTCCCCACCATGGCACTGCCTAGTGGAGCTGTGAGAAGAGGGCCACCATTCTCCTGAACCTAGAATGGTAGATCCATTGACAGCTTGCACTGTGCACCTGGAAAAGCCAGAGACACTCATGCCAGCCCACAAAGAAAGCTGGGAGGGGTGCTGTACCCTGAAAAGCCACAGGGGCACAGTTGCCCAAGGCTGTGGGAACCCACCTCTTGCATCAGTGTGACCTGGATGTGAGATGTGGAGTCAAAAGAGATCATTTCAGAGCTTTAAGATGTGACTGCCCCAATGGATTTTGGACTTGCATGGGGCCTGTAGCGCCTTCATTTTGGCCAATTTCTCCCATTTGGAATGGATGTATTTATGCAATGTCTATACCCCATTGCATCTAGAAAGTAACTAACTTGCTTTTGATTTTACAGGCTTATAGGCAGAAAGAACTTACCCTGCTGGGAAAGCATGATTGTGTTTTAAAATGTGACGACATGAGATTTGGGAAGGGCCATGGGCACAATGATATGGTTTTGCTGTGTCCCCACCCAAATCTCATTTTGAATTGCAGTTCTCATGATCCCCATGTTTTGTGGGAGGGACCCAGTGGGAAGTAATTGAATCATGGAGGTGGTTACCCTCATGCTGTTCTTGTGATAGTGAGTGAGTTCTCATGAGATCTGATAGTTTTATAAGGGGTTTTTCTCCCTATTGCTTGGCACTTCTCCTCGCTGCAGCCATATGAAGAAGGACATGTTTGCTTCCCATTCTCCCATGACTGTAAGTGTCCCGAGGCCTCCCCAGCCATGCTGAACTGTGAGTCAATTAAACCTCTTACCTTTATAAATTACCCAGCATTGGGTATGTTTTTACTAGCAGTTTGAGAAGAGACTAATACACTCAACAGTAAGAAAACAAACAACCTGAGTAAAAAAGAGCCAAGGACTTTAACAGACACCTTGCCAAAAAAAGGTATACAGATGGCAAATATGA
This sequence comes from Homo sapiens, assembly GCF_000001405.40. Taxonomy (NCBI): domain Eukaryota; kingdom Metazoa; phylum Chordata; class Mammalia; order Primates; family Hominidae; genus Homo; species Homo sapiens. The sequence goes on from NT_187577.1 coordinate 260,430, forward strand.
AAAGGTGCTCCACATCATATATTATTGCTGAAATGCAAATTAAAACACCAAGGTACCACTACCTACCTATTAAATGATCAAAAATCTAGAACACTAAAAACACAAAATGCTGATGAGGCTGTGGGGCAACAGGAATTCTCATTCATTATTTAATAAGCAAGATGAGTGGAATGCAAAATAGCACAGCCATTTTGGAAAATAGGATGGTGGTTTCTTTTAAAACTAAATATGCTCTTACCATATTATCCGGCAATCACTCTCTTTAGTATTTTACCCAAAAGAGTTGCAGATTTATGTCCACATATAAACATGCACACAGATGTTTCTAGTAGCTGCACACAGATGTTTCTAGTAGATTAATTTTTAATTGCCAAAACTTGGAAGCAACTAAAATATTTTTGAATAGGTAAATGAATAAATAGTCTTTGCTGCATTGGACAATGGAACAATGCTCTAAAAATATTGTCTATTAAATAAAAAGTGCTAAAAAGAAATGAGCTATCAAGCCATGAAAAAACATGAAGAAATCTAAGATATGTATTACTAGGTCAAAGAAGCCATCTGAAAAAGCTGTGTACCACATGGTTTCAACTATATGACATTCTAGAAAAGATAACAGTATGGGGACAGTAAAAAGATCAGCAGTTGCCAGGGGTTAAAGGGACGGGAGGGATGATTAGGTAGAACACAGAGGACTTTTAGGACAGTGAAACTACTCTGTATGATACTGTGGTGGTGGATACATGTCATTATAAATTTTTCAAACACATACCATGTACAACACCAAAGTAAACCCTAACTAATGTAAAATTGAACTCCAGGTGTAATGGTGTGTCAAGGTAGGGTTATCATTTGTAACAAATGTACCACTCTGATCTGTTGATAAGGAGGGAGGCTGTGTATGTGTGTGGGCGAGGCATGTGGAAAATCTCTGTACCTTCTGCCCAATTTTGCTGTGATCCTAACAATGCTCTAAAAATATTTTATATTAAACAAAATTTAAAAAGACAAAATCTGTATTTCTTGAGAGTACATATTATAACTCAATTAAAAGGAGACAAATGACCTAATAAAATTAGGCAAAATAATTTGGACAGTTTACAGTAGATTATTTATAAATGACAATAAGAAAATGAAATGATGTTTAATATCACTAGTCATCTGGGAAAAATAATTAAAACCACATCATATATACTGCACACATATTAGAATGTCTGTAATAATACATCCCCTTCTGATAAAAATAGTGAGTTTTGTTGAGATGTAGAGCAACTGAAATTTGTGTAAATTGCTAGTTGGGTGTAAAAATATTTGAAGCATTTTGGCCATGTCTTATAAAGTTAAATATATACTTTCCTTTTGACCTAGATTTCCATCTCTGAGTATTTTTTTTCCAAAGAAATGAAAATATATATCCCCCAAAATATTTCTACATGAATGTTTAGAGCTGCTTTATTCATGGCAGCCAAATACTAGAAATAATCCAAATACCTATCATTATTTGGACAGATACATTGTGGTATTTCTAGTCATTGGAAAACTACTCAGCAATAAAAAATGAACAAAATGCTGGTAAATTTATCACCATTGGTGAATCACAAAAAAGATTATGCTGATTGAAATGAGCCAGATTCACAAGGTTATGTGATATATGATTCTGTTTCTGTAAAATTATAAAAAAATGGCAAGTAATCTTTAGTGTGAAGAAGTGGTTGACTTCAATAAGTAGGAGATATCTCTGGTCGGCAATGGAAGTGTTCTGTAACTTGATTATATGAGTAAATGCATATGGCAAAATTCATTAAACTAAACATTTTAAATGGGTGTAGTTTATTGCAATTAAGTTAGTTGAAGGGTACATGCTTTCAGTTATGCAAGAATACCCTCTACTGTAAATTTATGTAGCCAGAATACTTCTCCCAGAATACTTTTGTTGATTCTGTAGTTAACTCAGTGTATGATTGTGATTCAACCATGATTTGATAATTGGAGTTCTATCCTAATTTGCTAACTCTTACCGAGTAAATTCATCTTTATTAAATCTGGTATATTAGTTGCTGTTGAATTATTTCTCAACCTCATACAAATTATATTAATTAACCCAAAACCTTTTAGCACGCACACCAAGACAATCAACAAAACCTGATTTGGGCCCTGATTTGTAGCACTTGCTGAATTCCTTCCTTTAAACACTCCCACAATGGCAGATTTAAAGTGACAAATGCAACATTATTAAATGCAGAGTTGGAAAAATGTGAATGGTAGCAGATCATTATACAGTATTTCCACCAAAAATTAATAATAGACATTAATATTTTCAAGAGCATAGGTAAAATTAAAATGTAGGAAAATAAGAAATGATGTTTTCAATATTTGTTACCTTTTAAAAATTTAATTTATTTCATTGTAAGTTAATGAAATTCAATTTTTATTAATGGCTTTGTTAGCAACCTGTTCACAAAATTTCTGAAAATTTAACAATTGGCCCTTGCAAGCCAGAACAGGGTTGGTCCAGCACACTAGGACATGTAATAATTCTAAATTAAAAATCACGCAAACATAGTTTCAAAATATTTTAAAGCGAAATTTTACTATGAGGAGAGACAGACAAATTCACAATCACTTTAAGAGTTGTTAACACATCTTTGGCAGGAAACAATAGAAAAAGCAAATGAAGGCCAGGCACAGTGGCTCACAGCTGTAATCCCAGCACTTTGGGAGGCCAAGATGGATGGATAGCTTGAGGTCAGCATTTTGAGACCAGCCTGACCAACATGGTGAAACCCCGTCTCTACTAAAAATACAAAAATTAGCCGGGTGTGGTGGCAGACGCCTGTAATCCCAGCTATTTGGGATTACTATAAGAAAAGATTCATTAAAGAGGGTAGGAAGGACAGTTTTACATTACCTGCATCGCCCCTCCCTGAACCCCAGGCAGCACCGCACAGCACAGCACAGCATAGCACAGCACAGCACAGCGAAAGATACTGTCTGCTTGCCAGAAAAAGAGGGAAGTGAGACTTGGACTGTACCTTTTAACCAATACCAGGTCAACCGCAGTAAAACCTGGCACTGGGCAGATGCCCAAGGCCCTTGAATCTTAGCTGGTAATTATGATCTGAGCTTTCAGACCTGCCGCAGCACCAAACAGTAACCTCTAGCCCCTGCAAGATGGCCTCAAGTTTCGGCCTGCATCACCACCCACCTACTACAACAGTGTTGGGCTTCAAAAGCCCACAGTGACAAGGTGACTTCAGCAGCTGGGAGGGTTGAATTCTAGCCCAGTGTAACTTTAGCAGCCAAGAGATTGAAAATCAAACAGGAATCCTGGAACTGAAAATACAATGAATGATGTTTAAAAATGCAGTAAAGAGTGCAAACAGCAGAACTGATAAAGCCAAAGAAAGAATCTGTGAAATAGGAGATAACTATTTTGAAAATATTCAGTTAGAGGAGAAAATAGAAAAAGAATGAAAAGGAATGAAGAAAACTCACAGGCTTTATGGGGCACCATCAAAAAAGGTAATATATGAGCAGCTGGTGTTGAAGAAAGAATAAAAAAGATGAAGAGATAGATGGTGGCCGGGTGCGGTGGCTCACGCCTGTAATCCCAGCACTTTGGGAGGCCCAGGTGGGCTGATCACAAGGTCAGGAGATCGAGACCATCCTGGCTAACACGATGAAACCCCGTCTCTATTAAAAATACAAAAAAATTAGCCAGGTGTGGTGGTGGGCGCCTGTAGCCCCAGCTACTCGGGAGGCTGAGGCAGGAGAATGGTGTGAACCCGGGAGGCGGAGCTTGCAGTGAACCAAGATCGCACCTCTGCACTCCAGCCTGTGGGACAGAGTGAGACTCCATCTCAAAAAAAAAAAAAAATAGCTTATTTACAGAAATAATAGAAGAGAAAACTCTCCAAACCTAGAGAAAGATATACTCCACGTACAGGAAAAGTCAAAAGTCTCCAATTAGATTCAATCCAAATAATCAATAAATGTATATGTTCTAATTGATCCCTATCCAGCCATTCCCCTGTCTTTCCCTCTCCACAGGCTTTTCTGTTCCTTGAAACACAACAATATTGACATTAGACCAATTAATAACCATACATGGCCTCTAAGCGTTCACCAGAAAGAAAGTTTCATGTTTTTCATTTTAAGTCAAAAGCTAGAAATGATCAAGATTCCTGCGACAGGCATGTCAAAAGCTGAAATAGGTTGAAAGCCAGGACTTTGTGCTAAACAGTTAGCCAAGTTAGGAATACAAAGGAAAGTTCTTGAAAGAAAGTAAAAGCACTAGCCCAGTGAACACACAAATGATAAGAAAGCAAAACAGGCTTATTGCTGATATGGAAAAAGTTTTAGTGGTTTGGATGGAAGATCCAACCGGCCACAACATTCCCTCAAGCCAAAGCCTAATCCAGAGCAAGGACCTAACTCTCTTTAATTTTATGATGGCTGAGAGAAGTGAGTAAGCTGCAGGAGAAAATTTTAAGCTAGCAGATGTTTGTTTATAAGATTTAAGGAAAGAAGATTTTTCCATAGCATGAGTGCAAGGTGAAGCAGCAAGTGCTGATACAGAAGCTGCAGCAAGTTATCCAAAAGATCTAGCTAAGATCATTGATGCTGGTATCTACACTAAACAATGGATTTTCAGTGTAGATGAAACAGCCTTTTATTGAAAAAAGATGCTAATATAGTTTGGCTATTTGTCCCTATCCAAATCTCTGTTAAATTGCAATCCCCACTGCTGGAGGTGGGGTCTGGTGGGAAGTGTTTGGATTTTGGGGGTGGATCCCTCATGGCTTGGTGCTATCTTCACGATAGTGATTAAGTTCTCATGAGATCTGATTGGTTAAAAGGGTGTGGCGTGTCTCCCTTCTCCCCCAACCAACTCCCTCTTGCTTTGGCTCCTGTTCTTGCCATGTGATGTGCCTGACCTCCTTTGCCTTCTGCCATGAATGGAAGCTTCCTGAGGCCTCCCCAGAAGAAGATGCCACTATGTTTCCTGTACAGCCTGCAGAACCATGAATCGATTAAATGTCTTTTCTTGTAAAGTACTCAATCTCAGATACTACTTTATGGCAGTGGAAGAATGGCCTAATACCGATGCTTTCTAGGACTTTCATAGCTAGAGAGAATTTAATGCCTGGCTTCAAAGCTTTAGGCTGACTCTCTTGTTATGGGCTAATACAACTGGTGACTTTAAGTTAAAGCCAATGATCATTTATCATTCCAAAAATCCCATGACCCTTAAGAATTGCGCTAAATCTGCTCTGCCTGTGCTCTATGTTGGAACAACAAAGCCTGGATGACAGCATATCTGTTTACAGCATGGCTTAATGAATATGTTCAGCTCATTGTTGAGACCCAATACTCAGGAAAAAAAGATTCCTTTGAAAACATTACTGCTCATTGACAATGCGACTAGTCACCCAAGAGCTCTGATGGAGATGTATAAGCAGATTAATGTTTTCATACCTGCTTAACACAATATCCATTCTGCAGCCCATGGTCAGACAAATGATCAAGGAGTCATTTTGACTTTCAAGCCTTATTATGTAAAGACTCTAGCTGCCATAGATAGTGTCTTCTGATGGGTGTGGGCAAAATTATCTAAAAATCTTCAGAAAGGATACACCATTTAAAATACCATTAAGAACATTTGCAATTCATAGATGGAGATCAAAATATCAACATTAACAAGAGTTTGGGAGAAGTTGATTCAAACTTTCATGGATGACTTTGAAGGGTTCAGGATTTCAGTGGAGGAGGTAGATGCAGATGTGATACAAATAGTAAGAGAACTAGAATTAGAGTCTGAAGATGTGACTGAATTGCTGCAATCTCCTAATAAAACTTGAATTGATGAGGAGTTGCTTCTTATGGATGAGCGAAGAAAGTGATTTCTTGAGATGGAATATATTCCTGGTGAAGGTACTGTGAACATTTTCAAAATGACAATATAGGATTTGGAATATTACATAAACAAAGTTGATAAAGCAGTGACAACATTTGAAGGGATTGACTTCAGTGTTGACAGAAGTTTTACTGTGAGTTAAATGCTATCAAACAGCATTGCATGCTACAGAGAAATCTTTCAGGAAAGAAAGAGTCAATTGATGTGGCCAATTTCATTGTTGTCCTATTTTAAGATATTGCCACAGCCACTTCAATTGTTAATAGCCATGACCCTGATTAGTCAGCGCCATCAACATTGAGGCAAGATCCTCCAGCAGCAAAAAGATTACCAGTAAACTGAAGGCTCAGATGATTGTTATCACTTTTTATCAATAAAATATTTTTTAATTAAAGTATGTATATTTTTTAGGCATAGCGCTATTATACACTACAATATAGTGTGAACACAACTTATATGCACTGGGAAACCCCAAAACTTATGTGGCTTGCTTTATTACTGTATTTGTTTTACTGAGGTTCTCTAGAACTGAATCCACAATACCTCTGAGGTACATCTATATATAGAAAACTCCACCAAAAAAACAAAACAAAACAAAAAAAAAACAACTGTTAGATTTAGTACATAAATTCAGTAAAGTTGTAGGATACAAAATGTACATACTAAAGTCAGTGGTGTTCCTATACATTAATAGTGAATTATCTCAAAAAGAAATCAAGAGAACAATCCCATTATGATAGATAAAAATAAAATACTTAAGAATAAATTTAACCAGGGAGTTAAATGATGTCTACACTGAAAACTAAAAAATATTGATGATAGAAATTGAAGACACAAATAAATGGAAAGCTATCCCCTGTTCATGGATTGGAAAAATTAATATTGTTAAAATATCTATAATACCCGAAGCAATCTACAGGTTAATTGCAATTCTTATCACAATACTAATGACACTCTTCACAGAAATAGAAAAATAATTCCTAAAGTTCAAATGAAATCAGAAAAGACCCCCAATAGCCAAAGCAATCTTGTGCAAAAAGAACAAAGCTATAGGCATCACACTACCTGACCTTGAAATATACTACACAGTTATAGTAACCAAAACAGCATGGTACTGGCATAAAACCAGATACTTAGACCAATGGAACAAAATACAGAGCCTAGAAATAATTCCACTCATTTACAGTCAACTGATTTTCTACAAAGGTCCAAGAATACATAACTGAAGAAAGGATAGTTTCTTCAATAAATGGTGTTGGAAAAACTGGATGTCCACATACAGCAGTATGAAGTTAGATCCTTATCTCTCTCCATGTGCAAAAATAAAACCGAAATGGATTAAAGACTTAAATATAAGACTCAAAGTTGTAAAACTACTTGAAGAAAACAGGGAAAAAGCTTTATGACATTGTTCTGGTCAGTTATTATTTCGGACATGACTTCAAAAACATAGACAACAAAAGCAAAAATATACAAATGGGATTATATCAAGCTGAAAAGCCTCTGCACAGCAAAGGAAACAATCAAAAACGTGAAGAGAGAATCTACAGAATGGGAGAAAATATTTGAAAACTATACATCTGATAAGGGTTAATATCCAAAATACATAAGGAATTCAAACAACTCAATAGCAAGAAAACAACCCAATTAAAAAATGTGGAAAAGATCTGAATAGGCATTTCTCAAAAGGAGTCATATAGATGGCCAATAGGTATATTTAAAAAGTGCTCAATATTACTATCTTGAGTATCTTGTCAATCAAAACCACAATGAGCTATCACCTCACTTCTGTTGGAATGGGTATGATCAAAAGACCACAGATAACAAGTCTTGGCAAGGATATGGAGTAAAGAGCACCCCTACACACTGTTTATAGGCTTGTAAATTAATACGGCCATTATGGAAGACAATAGGGGAGTTCCTCAAAATATTAAAAATAGAATTACCATGAGACCCAGTGATTCCTCTACTGGGTATGTATCCGAAGGAAATAAAATCTGTTTGTTGAAGAGACATTAACACTCCTGTGTTTATTCCAGCACTATTTACAATAGCCAAATTATGGAATCAACCTCTGTGTCCATCAGCAGATGATTGGATAAAGACAGTGTGGTATACATACACAGTGGAATACTATTTAGCCATAAAAAGTAGGAAATTCTGTAATTTGTGGCAGTATGGTTAAACTGGGAGGATATTATCTTAAGATAAATAAGCCAGGTACAGAAAGACAAATAACGTATAATCATACTCGTATGTAGAATCTTAAAAAGTTGATCTCATAGAATTAGAGATTAGAATGGTTGTTTCAGCGAGGAAGGAATGGGGAGATGTTGGTTGAAGGATGTGTAATTAAGTTAGAGAGGGGGAATAAATTCAAGATAACTATTGTATAGCATAGTTACTATAATTATGTTGTATTTTTGACAAATGCAGAGAATGGATAATAATGTTCTCACTACAAAAGAACTATATATATAGTTCACTTTAAAATATTGTGTTGTATATGATAAATACATGTAATTTTACCTATCAACTAAAAAATTCCCAAATAATTTTTCACACCCAGCAGAGTTCACTGAAATACTCTGGGAAAATGAAACAAACTCTGAAACAGGGTAAATGACAGACATCCATAAGATTGGAGGGAGTGTATGCTTTTAAAATTAAGTCATTATAGGCTCTATAAGCAATTTCAGAAAAAAAATAACATTCTCAAAAAAAAAAATTTCAAGGCTTGGCATCTTTGAACTAAGAGAATGTTGTAAAAATAGAACAAAATAAAACTGAAGGTGAATAAAGTGAAGAATCATTACAGATAAACTACATTCACAATTTAAACTTAAGATAAATGCCAAACTTAGAGAATATCAGAATTCTTATGGCTCAAACTAGTTATTGACATGGAAGATAAATATGAGAAATTACAGCCAAATGTAAGGATTATAGCAGAGAGAAAAACAGAAAAAAATAGATAGCACTGAACACACAGATAGTAAGTTTTTAAAATCAATATAAAAAATCAGTGGCTTCCAGCATTCTGTTTAGCTTTTTCATATTATTCCTAAAATTACGTAGAGTAACAATGTGCAGATCAAACCTTGCCAAAATAGGATGAGATAAAATGTTGGCATTAGAAGCAGACAGGTTCATTTAAAGCTTAAAGTTATTTGTTCATTCACTAATTCAGGAAATAGTTTACTCCACACTATCTAGTGGGAGATAGTAAACAGAATAAACATATAAGCAAACAAACACTAAACAAGATAGTTTCAGACAGTGATAAGTGATTTAAAAATAAAATAAAATAGGACGATAGAATAAAAAGTGAGGGAAGAGGGTATTTTAGCCAGAGTAAACAGGAAATGTCTTTCTGAGGGGTGACATTTGAGCTAAAACCTTAATGACAAAGAAAATAATTGGCATAGAGGCTTCAGGGAATAAATGAAGTGGTAGAGAGATCCTTATTTTGGACATGACTTCAAAACATAGACAACAAAAGCAAAAATATACAAATGGGATTACATCAACCTGAAAGGAAGATGTATACATAAAGGAAGAAAAGTGGCCTGTTTTGCTCTAATTTAATGACTAATAGAGAAATAGTGTACTGGTCCTAGTCAATGTGACTCTTCAGAATTATTCAGCCATGATTTTTTTTTTCTCAGTGTTACTGATGGAGAAACAAAAGTACGTAGCTAACAGTTATTTTCAAAGTATGGATTCTATCAAAATTGTCAACTCAAATCATAATTAGGTAAGATGATTTAGAACCACATTCTAAAATGTTGTTGACTGCATGTTCTCACTTATAAGTGGGAGTACACATGGACACAAAGAAGGAAACAGCAGACACCAGGGCTTAGATGAGAGTGGAGGGTGTGAGGAGAATGAGGATCGAAAAACTGCTTATCGGGTAAGCAGATAAGCTTACCTGGGTGACAAAATTATCTGTGCAGCAAATCCCTGTGACACATAATTTACCCATGTAGCAAACCTGCATATGTGTCCCTTGAATGTAAAAAAAAGTTGGAAAGAAAAAAAAAAGGAGATATTAAGCTAAAAAAAAAATGTGGTTGACTAATCAAACAATTTTTAAATTGGTTCCTGTTTTAAAGGTGATAAAAATGATTTCATTTGCATGTGAATATCAGCTTCTGAATTTACCAGCAGATTTGCTATAGTGTAGTGGTGGATGGTTTACCAGACAGAGTTTATGTGACTATTGAAATGGGCTCCATCATGGTTTGATGCTCAATTCTAATGCCAGATTGTTTTGAGAAGAAATGTTTCATGTGCTCTTTCCAGAGACAAATCTCCTGATAGAGCAATTACACAGGATATTTGGTAAAGCTCTGGCCAGTTTGATAATTCACTACGTAAGTCCAGATAGCCTGACTGGTGAATTCTAACAAATATTTAAAGAAGGGATAATACAAAAATACTCCACAATCTTTTGCATAAAATAGAAGAGGAAGGAACCCTTCTAAATTTATTTTATGAGAACAGTATTACCTTGATACTAACGCTAGACAAAGACAAGAAAAGAAAACTATAGATCAATATCCCTCACGAATATGGATGCAAAAAGTCCTTTAAAAATGGCAAACAGAATAAAGAAACATAAAAGGAAGTATCCAACATGACCAAAAAGGATTATCTCAGTAATGCAAAAGTGGTATAGTTAATGTAACACACCATACTAACATAATAAAGGACAAGAAAATACAAGATCATCTCAAATGATGCAGAAAAGGGATATAACAAAATGTAACACCCATTATAGATTATTAACAAATTGTAAATAGAAGGGAACTTCCCCTACCTGATGCAAAGTATTTATGAAAAACCTACAGCTAACATCATACTAACCATGAAATTCTCACTGCTCTCCACCCTAAAATCAGAATGAAAGTGAGGATGCAAGCTCTCAGTACTTCTACTAAACATTGTATTGGAGGTCCAAGAGAGTAAAATCAGGTAGGAATAAAAATTAAAATGCATCTAACTTGGAAGACAAAAAGTATAACTGTCTTTATTTGCAGATTACACCACCCCGTGTATGTAAAATCTTAGGAAATTTACCAAAATACCTGTTTGAATAAATAAATGAATTCAGCAAAGTCACAGGATACCCAATTGCTATGCAAAAATGAATTGCACTTCTATATATTAGCAATGGAAAATAGAAAAATAAAATTAAGAATAGAATTTCATTCACAATAGCATAAAAATACATACTTAGGCATATATTAAGAATACAAAATATACATGCAAACAACAAAAAATTTCTGAGAAAAATACAAAAACCTAAATAAATGCTGAGATCTTCCATGTGAATGGGTTGAAAAATGGTATTGTTAAGACAGCGATTCTCCCTTCTGTCAGGGATCCCCAGTATTACCCCTTGGTTCAGTAAATCAGTAGGAAGACTCACGTGATTGAGCATAGAATGTACTCATCACTATAATTTATTACAGAAAAAGGATACAAAGCAAAATTAGCAAAGGAAAAAGGCTCATGGGTCAAGTGTGAAGGAAAGTAGTCACAGGCTTCCAAGAGTCATTTCCTAGTAGAGTCACCCATGATGGACTTAATTCCTCCAGCAATGAATTATGACAATATGTGTGAAATCTTGACTGCCGGGAACCCAGACCCTAAGATTTTTATTAGAGGCTGGTCACATAGGCATCGTTTGCCTAGTATCTACCCAAATTCCAAATTCTTAGATGGAAATTGGTTGTTCACTATAAATAACAAGGTCTAAACAGTTCAGGCACAGTGACTTATTAGTTAGGCAATGGTGTGGGAACGGTAACTGAGGTGTCAGCCAAAGGCCAGCTTTCGAATATACCTTTCTAAGTATAGCAGTCTGAAGTCTGCTATGTTAACTCTTCTGTACATCTCTAAATTGATCTATGGATTTAAGACAAGCTTTGGCGAAATTCTAGTAGGCTTCTTTGCAGAAATTGATGACATAATCCTAAAAATTCTGGAAATGCAAGGCACCCAGAAGTGCTAAAACAATCCTGAAGAACAAATTGATGGAGTCATCATTTCATATTTCAAAAATTACTACAAAGCTAAAGTAATCTAGCTTAACATTGTACTGGCATAACATTAAATACATGGATAAATGGGATGGAATTGAGAGTCCAGAAATAAACTCTTATATTTATAGTCCATTGATTTTTGACAAATGTGTCAAGACAATTTGATAGAGGAATAATAGTCTTTTCAGCAAAGGCTATTGGGACAATTCAATATCCACATACAAAAATGTAAATTTGGACCCTTTTATCATGCCATACACAAAATTTAACTCAAAATAGACAATCAACCTAACTGCAGTAGTTAAAACTATACATCTGTTGGAAGAAAACATAGGAAAAATTATTCATAACCTTGGATTTGGCAGAAACTTCCAAGACACAACATCACAAGTATAATTCATAAAAGAAATAGTTGGTAAACTGGACTTTATCAAAATTAAAAACCTTCGTGCCTCAGAAAACACTATTAAGACAATAAAAAGACAAGTCACAGAGGGGAAGAAAATATTTACAAACTGTGTTTCTGATATAGTACTTGTATACAGAATCTATTAATAATGCTAACAACTCAATAATTGAAGGGAAACAATCCAATTACAAATGTATGAAATATTTGAACAGGTAAAATACCTGTTAAAAGAAGATAGGCAAATATATACAAAGTTATATACAATGATATACAAAATATATAGAAATATATACAAAATAATTACATAGAATAATAAATACATGAAAAATAGTAAAGACATTGTTAGTCATTAGCAATGTGTATATTCAAACAAGATACTACCAGACACCCACTAGAATGGCTGTAATCAAATGACAGAAAATAACAAATACTGGTGAAAACATAGAGAAACAGGAACTCATAGACTGCTAGTAGGACCAAAAAATGGTGTTGCTACTTTGGGAAACAGTTTGACAGTCTGTTAAGCAGTTTAACATAAGTTTACCAATTGAACGAAGGATTCTACTCCTAGGTCTACTCAAGATAAATGAAAACACGTATTTACAAAAATTCGCATATGGATGTCTATAGCAACATTATTCAACGACCAAAATCTGAAAACAACTCAAATATCTATAAACTAATTGACAAAAACTATGATATATCCATACAATGGAATACTAGAGAGCAATAAACGTTGACAGAATACTCATACATACTACAATCTCAAAAACACTACTGTGCAAGAGAAGCTAAATACAAAACCCCACCCATTTTATCATTTTATTTGTAGAAGAGGTCCCAAAATGCAAATTTATAGAGACAGTAAGTAGATTAGTGGTTACCTGGGGCCAGCCACAGACATGGGGATTAACTATAAATGGATACCTGGGATCTTATCCTATGCTAATAGAAATGTCCTAAACTTGGGTTGTGGTGCTGGTTGCACAACTATGTAAATTTTCTTAAAATATCACTAAAGTGTACACTTAACATAGGTGAATTTTATGGTATGTACGTTATAAATTAAACCTCAATAAAGTTAAAAACAGAAAAGGTCACCCTGATGAAGATAAACTCCCACCTAGTGGACAAGAAACATGTTTCTCCTGAATTTAGTGATTGTGGACTCAAGAGTTGTGTTAGTTGATAATAAGTGAAAAAAATGATTTCAGCATATCTGTAGGCCATGGGAAATATTTATTAAAATGGTGTCCTTGAAGGTTTTACAGTGAGAATTGTAGAATGATGGAAATGTCATCCAGTATGTCAGTGGAGCAGATGATATCTCTAAAAAGAAAAAGTAAATAAGAATGTGTAGGTGTTATTGAAAATAATATCACATTGTGAGAAACAATGTGGCATAACAGAACAAAACTGAAATCAGAATGTTTGGATTTAAATTTGTGTCTATACTTTTGTCTCTCATAATGTCATATAGTTGTAAGAATATACGCATGTAGCCTTTTCAGATTGGCTTTTTTCCATTACCAACATATATTTATAGTTCATCTATGTTCTATAGCTATAGTTCATGGCTTGGTAGCTAATTGCTTTTTATAGCTGGATAATATTCAATTATATGAATGTACCAGAGTTTACTTATGTATTTATCTATTGAAAGACATTTAATTTACTTCCCAATTTTGGCAATTATAAATAAATCTGTAATAAGCCTTTAAAAAATAAAAAATTCCATTACCCATCTTGTCGAGTCACATTATAGGCTCACAATTTCCTAACTTTAAAAACAGTGTTTGTTCTAATTATTTAACAGATATATATTTGGGGTGCAATGTATTTGAAAATTGTTTTTTTGAAATATGCTAATTCAGTAAGCTATTCTTTTTTATAATACATTTTATTTGAGATTGCTACAGATTTCTGGACACACACACACACACATGCACACACATGAATAAGCAAAAAATAATAGATTGACCCTGAAAAAAGCATAATTTTCAAAAAATTATAAGGGCTACTCTCATAATATACAATTAATGTGTCAGAGTTTTATTCAACTCATTAATGAGGGAACTAGAAAGAATAATAGGCTTGTTCAAGAGTAAGTAACAAAACTAGATAAATAGGATTTGGAAACAAAAGAATGTTAGCATAATATTACTATGTTCAAAACTGGTTAATATCCACAGGAAAAAAACAATAACTTATTTGGTTATCTTTTCTAAATGACAGGAATTATTTCCTATTCTATCAGACAAAAACCTAAAAGTTAATATGTAACTTCACAAAGTCTATGACAATTAATCAATATTTCTTAGTTTCATTACTTTTTTCTAGCCTCTATTTCATTTATTTCTGTTCCTATCTTTATTTCCTTTTTTCTACTAACTTTGGATTTTGCTTTTTCTAGTCCCTTGAGGTGTAATTACATTAGGTTGATTATTTGATATCTTTCTTCTTTTTTGATGTAGATATTTATTGCTATAAACTTCCCCACTGGAATGATTTTTGCTGCATCTGATAAGTTTTAGTATATTGTTTGACTATTATTGTTTGTATCAAGATATTTCAAAATATTTTTAAATTTTCATTTTAAGTGCCTCTTTGATCCATTGATTGTTCAGCAGTATGTTGCTTAATTTTCATATACTTGTAAAATTTCCAAATTCCAAGTCCTGTTATTGACTTCTTGTTATATCAATGTGGTGAGAAAGATACTTGATACTATTTTAATTATTTTAAATTTTCTAAGACTTACTTTGCTGCCTGACATATGATCTATCCTGGAGCATATTTCATGTGTTCTTGAGAAAAATATATATTCTGTTGCTGTTTGATAGAATGTTTTTTATGTGTATAGTAGGTCCATTTGGTCTAAAGTGTAGTTTGAGTCTGATGTTTTCTTATTAATTTTCTGTCTGGATTATCTGTCTGTTGTTGAAAGTGGAATATTGAAGTCCATTATGATTATTGTATTACAGTATATCTCTTCTTTAAAATCTATTAATATTGATATATATCATACTTTATATATTATATATATTATACACACACAATTACTACTAGACCTCAGAAATGAAGTTGATGGCAACACAATGATAGTGGGGGTCTTCAATGCTCCACTGAGAGCACTAGAAAGGTCCAAGACAGAAAGTCAACAAAGAAACAATGGACTTAAAGTATACCCTAGAACAAATGGACTTAACACATATTTATAGAACATTCTACCCAACGACTGCAGAATGTACATTCTGTTCATCAGCACACGGAACATACTCCAAGATAGACCATATGATAGACCACAAAACAAGTCTCAATAAAGATAAGAAAATCGAAATCATTATCAAGTGCTCTCTCAGACCACAGTGCAATACAATTGGAAATCAACTTCAAAAGGAACCCTCAAAACCATGCAAATATATCAAGTTGAATAACCTGCTCCTGAATGATCATTGGGTCACCAATGAAATCAAGATGGAAATTTAAAAATTCTTTGAACTGAATGGTAATAGTACACAACCTATCAAAACCTCTGGGATACAGCAAAAGCAGTGCTGAGAGGAAAGTTCACAGCATTAAATGGCTACATCAAAAAGTCTGAAAGAGTACAAATAGGCAATCTAAGGTCACACCTCAAAAAACTCAGAAAACAAGAATAAACCAAATCCAACCCCAGCAGAAAAAGAGAAATAACAAAGATCAGAGCAGAACTAAATGAAATTGAAATAAAAAAATACAAAAAATAAATGAAACAAAAAGTTGGTTCTTTGAAAAGATAAACAAATATGATAGACCGTTAGTGAGATTAACCAAGAAGAGAAGAGAGAGGATCCAAATAACCTCAATTAGAAACAAAATAGGAGACATTACAACTGATGTTACAGACATACAAAAGATAATTCAAGGCTACTATAAACACCTTTATGTGCACAAACTAGAAAACCTAGAGGAGACAGATAAATTCCTGGAAATATACAATCCTCCTAGATTAAACCAGAAAGAAATAGAAGCTCTGAACAGATCGATAATGGGTAGCAAGATTGAAACAGTAATAAAAAAAATGCCAACAAAAAAAAAGTTCAGGACCACATGGATTCACAACTGAATTCTTTCAGACATTGAAAGAATTGGTGCCAATCCTACTGAAACTATTCCAAAAGATAAAGAGGGAATCTTCCCTAAATCATTCTATTAAGCCAGTATTACCCTAATACCAAAACCAGGAAAGGACATAACATAAAAAGAAAACTACAGACCAATATCACTGATGAACATAGAAGCAAAAATCCTCAACTCAATACTAGATAAATGAATTCAACAGCATATTAAAAAGATAATCTACCATGATCAAGTGAGTTTTAAACAAGGGATGCAGGGATGGTTTAACATACAGAAGTCAACAAATGTGATACACTACATAAACAGAAGTGAAAACAAAAATCATATGATCCTCAATAGATGCATAAAAGCATTTGACAAAATCCAGCATTCTTTTATGATTAAGACCTTCAGCAAAATTGGCATAGAAGGGACATACCTAAATGGGAAAAAGTTGAAAGCGTTCCCCCCTGAGAACTGGAACAAGATAAGGATGCTCACTTTCACCACTTCTATTAAACATAGTACTGAAAGTCCTAGCCAGAGCAATCAGACGAGAAAAAAATAAAGGGGATCCAAATTGATAATGAGGAAGTCAAACCGTGGCTGTTCACCGATGATATGATCATATACCTAGAAAACCCTAGAGACTTATTAAAAAAGCTCCCGGATCTGATGAATGAATTCAATAAGTTTCTGGATACAAAATCAGTGTGCACAAACCAGTAGCACTGCTATCCACCAACAGCGACCAAGCTGAGAATCAAATTGAGAACTCAACCCCCTTCACAACAGCTGCAAAAAGAAACCCTTAAGAATATACCTAACCAAAGAGGTGAAAGATCTCTACAAGGAAAACTACAAAACACTGGTGAAAGAAATCATAGATGACACAAACAAATGGAAACATCCCATGCTCATGGATGGGTAGAATCAATAATATGAAAATGACCAATGGCAAAAAACAATCTGTAATTTCAATGCAATTTTCATCAAAATACCATCATCGTTCTTCACAGAACTAGAAAAACAATCCTAAAATGTATAGGGAACACAAAAAGAGCCCACATAGCCAAAGCAAGACTAAGCAAAAAGAACAAATCTGCAAGTACCACATTACCAGACTTCACACTATACCACAAAGCTATAGTTACCAGAACAGCATGATACTGATATAAAAACAGGCAAGTAGACCAATAGAACAGAATAGAGGATGCAGAAATAAGGCCAAATACTTACAGCCAACTGAACTTCAACAAAGCAAACAAAAACATAAAGTGTGGAAAGGACACCCTATTCAACAAATGGTGCTGGGATAATTGGCAAGCCACATGTGGAAGAATGAAACTGGATCCTCATCACTCACCTTGTACAAAAATCAATCAAGATGAATTAAAGACTTAAATTTAACATCATCTGAACGATAAAATTCTAGGAGATAACATGGTAAAAACTCTTCTAGACATTGGCCTAGGCAAAGACTTCATGACTGAGGACCGAAAATCAAATGCAACTAAAACAAAGATAAATAGATGGGACTTAATTAAAAAGCTTCTGCACAGCAAAAGAAATGATCAGCAGAGTAAACAGGCAACACACAGGGTAGAAGAAAATCTTCACAAACTGTGCATCAGACAAAGGACCAATATCCAGAATCTACAAGGAATGCAAACAAATCAGCAAGAAAAACAACAGCAACAAATAATCCTATCAAAAAGTGGGCTAAGGGCATGAATAGACAATTCTCAAAAGAAGATATACAAATGACCAACAAACATATGAAAAAATGCTCAACATCACTAATTATCAGGGAATTGAGAATCAAAGCCACAATGTGATACCACCTTACTCCTGCAAGAATGGCCATAATTAAAACTTTTAAAAAAAAAATATGTTGGTGTGGATGTGGTGAAAAGGGAAAACTTTTACACTGCTGGTGGGAATGTGAACTAGTACAACCACTGTGGAAAGGACTATGGACATTCCTTAAATAACCAAAAGTAGATCCGCCATTTGATCCAGCAATCCCACTGGGGGCATCTACCCAGAGGAAAATAAATCATTATATGAAAAAGACGCTTGCTTATGCATGTTTATAGCAGCAGAATTCACAATTGCAAAAATATGGAACCAGTCTAAATGACTATCAACCAACAAGTGGACAAAGAACCAACAAGTGGATAAAGAATTTGTGGTATATATGTATGTGTATATATATTTGTGTGTATATATGTATATATATGTGTATATATATGTATGTGTATATATGTGTATATATGTATGTGTATATATGTATGTATATATGTATATATGTATGTATATATATGCATATATATGTGTATATGTGTATATATAGTGTATATATGTGTATATATACACACATATACATATATAGTGTATATATGTGTAAATATATACACATATATACATATACACATATACACATATATACATATACTCATATATATACACTATATATACACATATATATACACACACATATATATATACACATACATATATACACGTATATATACACATATATATATACACATACATATATACACATACATATATACACATACACATATACAATGGAATACTACTCTGCCATAAAAAGGAATGAAATAATGGCATTTGCAGTAACCTGGATGGAATTGGAGACTGTTATTCTAAGTGAAGTAACTCAAGAATGGAAAACCAAACATCGTATGTTCTCACTTATAAGTGGGAGCTAAGCTATAAGGATACAAAGGCGTAAGAGTAATATAATGGACTCTGGAGATGCGTGGGAAGGTATGGGAGTGGGGTGAGGGATAAAAGACTACACACTGGGTGCAGTGTACACTGCTTGGGTCATGGGTGCAACAAAATTTCAGAAATCACACCTAACGAACTTATCCATGTAGCCAAACCCCACCTGTTCTCCCAAACGATTGAAATAATTAATAATAATAAAGGTGAGATCCAGAACAAAACAAGATGAGCCCATGAGGTGCACTTCTTGAGCAACACAATTCAATTTATTTAATTTTACCTCAATGATTGTGAAAATATAGTTTTTCAATATTCTAAAGTCACGACTCTCATATACCTACAAAGTAAAAATATTTTTAAAAGAATTTTCTCTGCCTCTCAATGAAGGAGCCAGTAGGATGATAAAGCTTGATTCAAAGAGTACTTGAGGAAGTGAGTGTTCACAGGTATTTTTAAAAATGTTAGAGTAGGCTGGGGGCAGTGGCTCATGCCTGTAATCCCAGTACTTTGGGAGGCCGAGGCGCGCGGATCATGAGGTCAGGAGATCGAGACCATCCTGGCTAACACGGTGAAACCCTGTCTCTACTAAAAAATACAACAAAAATTAGCCAGGCGTGGTGGTGTGCGCCTGTAGTCCCAGCTACTCGGGAGGCTGAGGCAGGTACTAAAAGTACCAGGACTAATAAGAATTTAACAAGTCACATGAAATAGAGGAATTAGCATTGTTAAATTGTTCATTATTCCCAAATTGATCTGTAGATTCAGTGCAATACTAATGGGAATTCTAGGAAGCATTTTTTTTTGTAAAAATTGGTTATCAAATTCATAAAGAAATTCAAATATCCTAGAGTAGTCAAACAGTTTTATAAGGTAGAATAAGAAGGACAACTTGTATTTTTCTTAAAAGGAAAGGAGAACATACTTCTTAAAAGACCAGATTGTAAATATCTTAAGCTTGTGAGAAATGTGGTCTGTTGAATCCACTTCATTCTGCCTTTGTAACATGAAAGCTGCATAAATGATATGTAAATAAATGATTATGGCTGTGTTCCAATGAAATATTATTTTGAAAACAGGGCCATAGTTTGCTGACCCCTGCATATTGTGTTATTGGCATAAGAATAGACATATAGAACAGTAAAACAGAATGGAGAAATCAGAAGTAGACCTATATATTATTGGTTGACTTTTTACAAAGGTGCAAGGACTTTCAAAGGGTAAAAAATTATCTTTTCAACAAAGGATGCTGGAAGAATTGTATACCATATAGAATAAAATATACTTTGACTCATGTAGAAAATGAATTAGACATAGACTTATATGTCAAGGCTAAACAAAATTTCTAGTGGAAACTTTAGGAAAAAACAAATTAGTGGGTCACAAACATGTGAAAGATATTCAACATCATTACTCATCAGAGAATGGCAAAGAAAACCTCAGTGAGCTGTCAATACAGACCAACAAGAATAAATATAACAAAAAAGACTGACAATACAAAATATAGGTAAGGATGTGGAGCAATGGGAATTGATTTATTCTTGTTGAGAATGAAAATGATCAAACACTTAGGAAAGCGATTTGGCTTATTTGTACTATTTATACACTCACAATTACCATATGACTCAGGTATTCTATTTATACATATTTACCAAGAAAAATAAGAACACATAACTGCACAAAGACCTGGATATTCAGAGAGGCTTTATTTATAATTGCTAAAATGTGTTAGTAATCCAAGTGACCATCACCAGGTGAATGTATAAACAAATTGTGATGTATCTATAAATGGTACACTACTTAGCAATAAAAACTAATGGACAACTAGTAATCACAACATTGATGAATACTGAGTGAAAGAAGCCAGATATTTTAAAAGTGCATGCCATATGATTCCAGTTATATGAAATTTCAGAACAGATTATTGATAGTAAGAGGAAGCAGATCATCTGTTGTCTTGAATCATGTGATCTATTGACACAGTAGAGGATGTTGGAAACATTCTTTATCTTAGTTGTGAAAAATGCATATGTAGGAGTGTACTGCAACTCTTATAACTTTATACTTAAACCTGATGCATTTTATTGGAACATAAAGCTCAACAAAGTTAATATAAAAGTTATAAGTATAAAAATGATGAGAAAAGAGAGACATCATTTGGGGTAAAGTTGTTTAGCTTAAAGGTAAGGGTGATACCTTACAGAGTACCCACGAATTTTTCAGAGGATGGAAACATTAAATTCTCTCATTTTTTGAAGACATTAATTAGGAAGAATATAAAATTAAAGCTTCCTGTTGTTTACTAAAATTCTTATTTGGACTCTGACCTGCTTATTTACTAAGTAGATATGCATCCCCTTATTTTCCTATGATCTACATCTATATCTATTGTCAGAGCTATAGCTATATCTATGTGTCTGTATCTGTGTTTGTATAGAACTGTATCTACTTTACCTCTGTGCAGGTGTGTATACATATATGGTATATATAAATATATAGCATATAATAATTTCAATGTAAAATTTTTGAAATTGGTTTAATTCGTGTACTCTGTTTCACAGAAAGAGTCACATGTTGCACTATTGAAAAGAACCCTGAAAATACAAATCATTATGGATAAAGCTTTGGTATGCATTACTGATATATTTCATTATATCTTTGTTTTTTGTTTAAAATCAGGAGGAATATGCAAAAGAAATTTCTATTGTTTGCAATGCAGGCATATTTTACTCTGTTCAAAATATGTGTCTCGGTAAAACAGGACATTAAGAAATGTTATCAATGGTCTTTATATTGACATAGGGAGATATATTTAGGTATTGATTACCAAATTCATATAAAAGTCTAGCAATAGTGTACACATTTTTACAGAAGAGCTCTACCACACTATAATCTACTGGATTATAACTAGTAGCAGATATTCTGGATCCACTTCAGCTCTTAGATGAAGCCTTTTACCTAAATTGATTATCATTTTAAAACAAGCTATTTCACTTATTCAATTGGAAATCTTTCTCATTAAATACTATATGTATCAAAATTATGATATGCTTTATAATTGCTCGAGTTCTCTTTTAGCGGCTCTGTATTTTAAAAATGAGAAGAATTATTTATAAGAACATTCAGGTTGCTACAGAAATTATTGTTTACATCAATCAGTTTCAGCAAGAACTTATTGTCAGTAAGTTAAATTAACTGATTTGTTCATTATCATTGATATTTTTGCATAAAGTCTCTTAATGAGTGTCAGAATGTTCTAAATTTTGTTCCTAAAACAAAATGTTTGTATAACTTAATACATTTTTATAAAAATAATAATAGAAAAATATAGATGAATAAAATAATTTATGACAAGGTGATAAATTATATGCATATATTTCTGTTTTTCATATAATGTATATATACATAAACCTTTATTTTATATATGCTATTTTATGAACTGTTTTATAATGTTTTCCCTCATATTCATTAAATACATCATGTCAATTTAATTTCAATATTTATATATTGTCTATTTAATATGTTTAATGGAATTTAATCTATTTTACTAGCAAATGCCTTTCAGGACATTTAGATTTTATTATTATTGTTATTACATGAGGAATAATACTCTTTGGCAGAAAAACAAGATCACAAGCATTGAAATTGTGCTTTGCCGCAGCTAAAATTAAATCCATCAGCCTACTTTCCTGTCCCCACTTAGCCATATACCTTCTTACCATCCCAGTAACAATGGAAACCATTTTTAATGAAAAAGCCATCCTTCAAAAACAACCAGAGAGTTTTTTTGAAATAATATCCTATGATTAGTATTTCCCCTCTTTTTATTTTAAACTTATCTATCTTTAGTTTTAAAGTATAACACTGGGAAACAGCATATTGATTGACAGTCTTTGTCCCTCCCTATCTAGTGAGATAACCCCTGCCTTTTCATTAGAACCTTTAGTTGGTTTATGTTTATCAAAAGTACTGATAACTATATATGTAAGTTAAGTTCTACTTTGCTATTAGTGTTCTTTTTTTCAAATCACTTATTTGCTGCTTTGTTCCTTGTTTCCTACCCGTGGGTTATTGGCTTATTTTTAGTACTTATTTTTATCTTTTATACTGATTTTTTTTTTTTTTGCTATCTTCTGTTTCCAGACCTTCATCCCAGCAGTTTTTCTAGTTGCTACAATTAGCACTCTTATCATTATCTAGAATTACCACCTCATATATGATGTAAGAGCCATAAAACAGTAAAGCTTCATTTAACCCAAATCAGTCATTGTTATTATTGTTATTTTGTTGTTATATATATATATATATATATATATATATATATATATATATATATATATTTTTTTTTTTTTTTTTTTTTTTGAGACAGAGTTTGGCTCTTGTTGCCCAGGCTGGAGTACAATGGCACAATCGCAGCACACTGCAACCTCCGACTCCGGGGTTCAAGCAATTCTCCTGCCTCAGCCTCCTGAGTAGCTAGGATTACAAGCATGCACCACCATGTCCGATTAATTTTGTATTTTTAGTAGAGATGGGGTTTCTGCAAGTTGGTCAGACTGGTCTTGAACTCCCGACCTCAGGTGATCCACCTGCCTCGGTCTCCCAAAGTGCTGGGATTACAGGCGTGAGTCACTGTGCCCGGCCCATTGTAATATATTTTCATTCTTATGTGTCATAAATTCACAAGAAATTAATTTTTAATTGAGTAGTTGTTGTTTAAAGAAATTAAAGAAAGAATATATTTTATGTTTCTCCACATATTTACCATTTCCAAGGCTTTTAATTCCTTCTAATAGGTCTGTGTTTCTGATATGTATCTTTTGACTGTTGAATTCTCTTTAGCTTTTGTTTGTCTGAAATTATCTTTACTTGTTAAATACTTTACTTGTAAATAACATCAACTTTCAGAAAAGTTGCAACATTGAGAATTATACAAAGAATGCCTCTATTCTCTTTATCTATATGATTTGTTAATTTGTATCTTATTATCACTTTGCTCTCTCCATGTAAAAGCAAGTTGTATATTGCATCATGGAGCATTATTCTCAAATATTTCAGAGTGTATTTACATAGAACAAGAACGTTATCTTTTATAATCACAGTGGAGTTATATGCCTCAGAAAGAATAGCCACATACTTTTATCTTCTATCACTTCATTGCTCTGTAGTTGGATAATATAAGTGATACGATGTATTATATTTAAAGAAGCTGTTTTATGGTCTAACATGGATCAGTTTAAATAAGACTTTCATATATGTTTGAAAAATATATATAATCTCTGAAGCTTACATATATGTGTATGATATCCGCCATTTGCTTGGGTTTTAAAATCTTGTGTATTGTTACCGTTAATTCATCTGCCTGATCTATTAGTTATTGAGATAAATGCATAGCAATATCTCACTCTAATAGTCAATTCCTATTTATTATTTTATTAGTTTCTTTCATGTATTTTATAGCCATATTATTAGGTATAAGTAAGTTTAGAATAGGTTTTTCTGATGAGTTGAATATTTTTATCAATATGTTGTGATAAGCATGTCCATTTTTTGCCTTTAAGCTCTATAATAGTTATATATTAAACACAACTATTAATATATAACTATCAATGTAACTATTATGTTAACTAATATAACTATCATATAACATAAAATGCTTATTTTCTAGTATTTTTCTGGTATATTGTCATCCTTTAGCTCTTAGTATTTCTGTGTCCTTATGTTTTCAGGGTTTTAAATTTGTTTATACAGGGTTTTCTTTACCCTCTTTGTCCTTTAGTATTTGATCTGTTGATATCTTGTGGTTATTTGGATTCACTTCCACTATCATGCTTTTGTTTTCTGCTGTCTTGCTTTTCATATGTTTAGCCTTGTAAAGGAGCACCTTCCCTCATACCACATATCCTACATTGTGTAAACGTGTAATACGGTTAATTGAGGAAGGTTACATACAGAGAACTAGGAAAATGTAAAACTGTTTCTAAAAGGCCTGGACTCCAAGTTAGGAAGATAACATCTCTTTTGTCTATATCAGAGAGGAAAATTCTATTTCATTATTTTTTTCTGTCAGGAGTCTTCTGCAGACTTGCTGGAGACTATTGAAGATCCCAAGCTATGAATTTTTGTGTTTTCAGCAAACAGAAATGTGTGTGTACACTATTTGCTACAATGTTTCAGAGAAAATACTGTAATTTTTCTCTTGAATGAGGATATATTATTGAAATTAATAACCATTGCAGTACTCAGGGCAGTGTGTTTAGAAGGCACATTGTTTATCCAGGATATATAGTCATGTTGTTTTATTGGAATGAAAATGAATGATGGAAGTATACAACAGTAGACAAAATAGGCTTAGTAGTTGAGTAAAAAGTCTGAGGCCTGGTTCTGATCTTTGATGAATATGTGCTCTTGTGGAACAGGAATTAAGAAAAATTAAGGAGTGTGTAAGCAGAAACTCAGTTGTATGTAAGAAAACCCAATTCCCCCTAAGAAAGAGAAAGAGTTGGAGTCCTTTAAAAATTAACTGCCTGTTTTACTGCGGCCAGTGAGCCTTATCTCTCCTCCTTTCCCAGGCATTGTGAAAACCCTGATTCCCTAGCTGTGCAGCTGCAAGGTCACTAGACAGATAAACTCAAGTCGCAAAACATGTTTTTCCTTGAAAAGTAAGAAATGATGTAATGCATGTCACGATTAATTAAATAACTGTCTTTGTTTCTCGCTTCTGTAATATGCTTCCCCCTGCACAGATCTGCCCCCGCCCCCATGAAATGCTTAAAAGGTAACAACTTGTTGTTCAGGGCTCGGTCCTTTGGATGTTAACCTGACTGGGCCGGTGCACCTAAATAATTAATAAATATCCTTCTGAACCCCATCTGTCTCTCTGATTCCTTAAAAATATCCTGCAACATTGGAAACTTCACTTTTTGACTTTTCATATATACATATATGTAAGGAAGATAATCACAACTATCTCATTTTAATATCATTAATTAATGTATAAAGTCTCTAGGGTTATGCCTCAAACTTAGCAGTTAATTTTGTTTTTGTCTCTTCACTTTAGCACTGCATTATTCTAACATTTTATATTTAAATACATTTACAATGTGATAGTTCAGTCATTTTCACTAGGGATTAAGAAAGAAAATTTGTCTTTCAGTATGCTTATATGGGCTCTGATGTGACAGCTGCAGCTGAGAAAGTTGTCCATATCTTTGGTCTTATCAACACTGTAAGTATTTATCTTCAGTATTTAATAACAAACATTTATTTTAATGCAGTAGCACTGTTTATATAAATAGCATTTTCATTTTTATAAAAACTACAGTTGTGCTAACTAGTTTCATCCACCAATGGATTCTTCTCCAAAAAATAGTAAATTGAATATATTAGCATTATGTATGGAGATGTAATGTTATATTTATGGTCACCCAAAACTGTATATCATATAGCTTCTGTTTTCAGATGTTTTCTCAGCTTAAAACAAGTATTACGCTATCTTCTTTGGAGCTCTGGTCAGATGAAAATAAGATTTCAACTAATGGGGTTGCTGATGATGTACTACAAAGGTTTTTATCATGGAAACAAAAATTTATGTCTCAAAAGTCCAATATCGTGGCATATTTATTAATGTAAGCAATTTATTCACACTGATAGGAGGGTTTTCAAATATTTAATATGTTCACTATCAAAATTATACACAAAATTTATTATATGTATAATGCTAAGACACCTTAAAAAGATTTATTAATACTGCATTACCAAAATGCAGAATATAAAAATCTGATAACCATATAATGCACTAATTAAATCATAGTAGGACATTGTTCTTAAAGTGGACCATTTACTTATGGAAATGTAATGAGCTGAAAAATGTAAAGCTTTTGGATAAACATTGTGCCTTAATAATTGTAAAGCTCTTCTTAGTGATAAATAGTTAAAACCATCATTTTATCATTATTTAAAATGTAAACCAATGGGATGCAAAATATGCAAAAATAATGAAATGCAAAAATTTCATATGATGCTGGCTACAACACAAAACATTAAAATAGTAAATCACTGAAATGGATTACTTTATGATCCCTGTGGTTCTTCTGGCATTTCTATGATAATATAATGTATAGCTGTTAAAACACTTGCTGTGTATCTTTGAAGAGTCTTTACGTGGATTTTTTTTTTAATTTTACTAATTTGATTATTTGGGGCCAAAAACACAATCCTAAAGATCTTAAGCAATACGTAATAAATTTGCAAATCTGTGATGTCTACTGTGGAAGCAGAAATAAGGTTTAGGAATTCAGAAGCAAAATTAACAAATGACTAAAATGTGTGAGGATATCGTACTACATCATCTCTCTCTTTTTTGTAATGAATGTACTGCATGTTCTATCTCTCTCTCTCACCTTTAACATTCCTTACAACGTTTAGTATTGGTTTACTATATGAAAATCATGGCAGTAAATAACCCTGACTTTTAGATTTTAGAATTTTATCCAGCCAGTTATGATGACAGCAATAATTAATTTTGCGGAAATTATCTTGCAAAATTGAAACTCTAAACCTGTTATACAACCCTCATTTTACCCCTGCCCCCAATCTCTGATAACAACCAGTTTACTTTCTATTTCTACAAATGTGACAACTTTAGATTATTTATATAAGTAGAATTATGTAGTATTTTTCTTTTTGCAACTGACTTATTTCACTTAACATAATGTCCTTACGGTTTGTTCATGTTGTAGTGTGTGACAAGATTTCATTCCTTTTTAAGGCTGAATAATAGTACATTGTTTGTGTATGTGTGTACTTGTGATTTTATTCATTCACATGTCAATGGACACTTAGGTTGTTTCATAATTTGGCTATTTTGAATAATGCTGAAAACATAGGAGTACAGATAGCTCTTTAAAATCCTGATTTTAATTCTTTTGGATATACACCCAAGAGTGGGATTGACGGATCATATAATAGTTATATCATTAATTTTTGGGGAAATCACCATACTAATTCCATAGCAGTAGCACCATTTTATAATCCCATCAATAGTACGTAATTGTTCACATCTTATACACCACACTTTTATTCCTAGTTCATTTAATATTTTTATTACAAAAGTGTGTGAAATCTTATGAAATGTATTTTCTACAACAATTGAGATGATCACTAGGTTTTTGTCCTTCATTATGCTAAAATAGTGTATCAAATTGTTTTATTTGTATATGTTGAGCCATCATCGCATTCCAGGATTGAATCCCACTTGGTCATGATGCTTAATCCCTTTAACGTGCTACTGACTTCAATTTCGTATTATTTTGTTGGGGAGTTATGCATCAGTGGGTAATGGGGATATTGGGCTCTAGTTTTCTTTTCTTGTTGAGCCTTTGTCTGGCATTGCTATTAAGGTAATGCTGGCCTCATAGAATGAGTTGAGACGTATTTCCTTTTCTTAATTCTTTGAAAGAGTTTGAAAAGAATTGATGTTAAATCTTCTTTACATGTTTCGTAGAAATCTCCACTGTAGAAATCTTATCCTGGGATTTTCTTTATTCAGATTTTGGAATACTATGTCTATTTTTTTACTAGTTCTGTGTCTTTCAGATTTTCTATTTCTTCACGAGGCAATCTTGATAGTTTGTGTGTGTGTAGTAATTTCTACATTTCCTCTAGTTTATCCACTTTTTTGGCATATAGTTGTTCCTAGAATTGTCTTGTAAAATGTTTTTATTTCTGTGGCATCAGTTGTAATACCTCCTATTTCATTTCATATTTTAATTATTTGAGTATTTTCTCTTGTTTCTTAATCTAGCTAAGGGTTTGCCAATTTTGTTGATCTTTTCAAAAAAACAAAATCTTTGTTTCTTGATTTTTTTCTATTTGTTTTCTAGTTTTATTATATTTGTCCCTGCTTTAATCTTTACTATTTCTTTCTTCTGCTTGCTTGGGTTTAATTTAATTTTATTTTATTAGTTCCTTGAAATGTAACATTAGATTATCGATTTTAGATCTTTCTTCTTTTGTAACGTGTGTGTTTAGAGGTATTAACTTCCCTTCTAGTAATGTTTTCACTGGACCCCATAACTTTTGGTATACTGTGTTTTCATTTTAATTTGAGAGAGTATTTTCTACTTTTCCTTGTGATTTCTTTGACTCGCCAATCATATAAGATTGTCTTGTTTGATTTCTATGTATTTCTGGATATACAAGTTTTCCATCTCTCATTGATTTTTAGTTTCTTTTCATTGAAACTGTAAAATATATTTTGCATAATTTGAATATTTTTAAAATTGTTGAGACTTGTTTCATTGTCTAACAGACATGCTGTGCTGTAAATGTTCAATTGCTCTTGACAAGAACATGCATTCTAATGTTGAGTGCAATGTTCTGTAAATATCTGTAAGGTCTAATTGGTTTATACTGTTGTACAAGTTCATTATTTACTTACTCATCTTCTATCTAGTTATTCTGTCTATTGTTGAAAGTGGAGTATTGAAGTATCCAACTACTATTGTGCTGCCATTGTTTCCTTCAATTATTTAAAAACAATTGCTTCCTATATTTAGAAGCTCTGATATTTGATGTATAAGTACTTATAATTGTTATATCTTCTTGGTGAACTGACACTTTCGTCTGTAACTAGTGTCCTTTTTAGTCTCTTGTAACAGTTTTGGTTTACAGTATATTTTGTCTGATATTAATATAGCTATTTTGACTCTTCTCTGGCTACTATATGCATGAAATATGTTTTACAATCCTTTCCCTTTAGGCTAATGTGTGTCCTTGTATCTAAAGTGATTCTCCTGTAGAGAACATATACTTGGATCTTGTTTTTCATCTGATCAGCTAATCTGTTTTTGTAATGAGAGTTTATTCCATTTACATTTAAATGTATTACTGATAGGAAAGAACCTATCACTGCTATTTTATTGCTTTCTTTATACCTTGTAGATTTTTGGTTCTCTATTAGTGCCTCCCTCTGTGTTTTATTGATTGTTGTGTGTTATATGATTTCAATTCCTTCTCATTTTCTTCTGTATATAATCTCTAGACATTCTCTCTTTGTGGTTATCATTACAATTAGATGAAGTATCTTAATGTCATAACAGTCAATTTTAAACTTGTAACTTCAGTCAAATGCAAACCTCTATTATTTATAGATTCACTTCCATTTTATGTTATTGATATAACACATTATATCTTGACATGTTGTGTACCCATTATATAGATGTCCAGGAGAATTTTTTGTCTTTTAAATTCTATGAAAGAATTAAAAGTAAATTTGTGTCCCAAAATTATGACAATTTTATCACACTTTTACCTTTATCAGAGAACTTTATAATTTTTATATGGCTTTGTGTTGCTCTCTGTTTTCTTTTGTTTTCCAACTTAAAAGCCTCCTTTCTCTAACATTTCTCACACATAAGGTTAGCTGTCAATGAACTCCCTCAACTTTGCTTTATCTGGAAAATTCTTGTTTCTACTTTTACTTTAGGTTCAGGGGGTACATGTGTGGGTTTGCTGCATGGGTAAGTTGCATGTAACTTAGACTTGATGTACAAATTGGCCTATCACCAAACTGTGACTACAGTACCCAATATGTAGCCTTACAACCCACAGGCCCTTCCCACCCTTCCTCCTCAAGCATTTCCCAGAGTCTGTCTTTCCCATGTTTGTGTCCATGTGCATTCAATGTTCAGCTCCCACTTCTAAGGGAAAATGTGCATATTTGTTTTTCTGTTCCTACATTGGTCCATTTATGACAATGTCTTCCAGCTGTATCCATGGTGCTGTAAAAGACATTATTTCATTTTTTATGGCTATGTAGTATTTCATGGTGAATATGTACCACATTTTCTTTATCCAATCCACTATTGATGGACACCTTGGTTGATTCCATGTCTTTGCTACTGTAAATAGTCCTGCGATGAACATATGGGTGCATGTGTCTTTTGGGTAGAATGATTTATTTTCCTTCGGGTATATACCAAATAGTGAGATTGCTGGGTTGAATGGTAGTTCTAAGTTCTATGAGAAAACTCCACAGTGCTTTCCACAGTGTCTGAGCTAAATTAAATCCCAAGCAGCAGCATATAAGGGTTCCCTTTTCTCCACAGCCTTGCCAGCATCTGTGGTTTTTTTAGTTTTTAATAATGGCTATTCTACTGGTATAAAATGGTATCTCATTGTGGTTTTGATATGTATTTCTCTGATGATTGGTGATGTTGAGCATTTTTTCATATGCTTTTAGGCTGTGCATATTTCTTCTTTTGAGAAGTGTGTTAATGTCCTTTGCCCAATTTTTAATGTGGTTATTTATTTTTGCTTGTTCATTTGTTTAAGTTCCTTATAGATTCTGAATATTAAATCTTTGTTGGAGGCAGTTTGTGAACATTTTTTCCATTCTGTAGGCAGTCTACTTAATCTGTTAGTTTCTTTTGCTGTGCAGGAACTCTTTGGTTTAATTAGGTCCAACTTGTCAATTTGTGTTTTGTTGTGAATTCCTTTTGGGGATTTAGTCATAAAATGTTTACCAAGGCTAATGTTCAGAATGATATTTCCTGAGTTTTCTTCTAAAGTTTTTATTGTTTTAGGTTTTACATTTAAACGTGATCCGTCTTGAGTTAGTTTTTGTATATTGTGAAAGGAAGATATATGGTTTAAATTATTTGCATATGGCTAGCCAGTTATCCAAGCACCATATTAAGTAGGGAGTCCTGTCTCGTTATTTGTCATTGTCTACTTTGTTGAAGATCAAGTGGCTGTAGGTTTGTGGATTTTTTTCTCAGTTCTCTGTCCTCTTTCTTTGGTGTATGTGTCCTTTTTTTGTATCAGTATCATGCAGTTTTGGTTACTGTAGTCTTGCACTATAGTTTGAAGTCAGTATAGTATGAGGCCTCCAGCTTAGTTGATTTTGCTTAGGCTTACTTTGGCTATTAATGATCTTTTTTGGTTGCATATGAATTTTAGAATAGTTTTTCCTAATTCTGGGAAGAATGGTGTTAGTAGTTTAATAATAGCATTGAATCTGTAAATTTCTTTGGGGAGTATGGCTATTTTAACAATATTGATTCTTCTTATCCAAGAGTATGGAATATTTTCCATTTGTTTGCGTCATCTATGATTTTTTTTCAGCAGTGTTTTGTAATTCTCATTGTAGATATCTTTTACTTTGGTGAACTGTATTCCTAGGAATTTTATTCTTTGTTATTTTAAATGGGACTGAGTTTTTGATTTTGCTCTTAGCTAGAATATCATTGGTGTATACCAATACTACTGGCTTTTGTACATTTATTTTGTATCCCAAAGGTTCACTGAAGTTATTAGTTCTAGAAATCTTCTGGTGGAGTCTATGGTGTTTTCTAGGTACGGAATCATATCTTCTGTGAAGAGAGATAGTTTGACTTTCCTTCTTTCTATTTGGATGCCTTTTATTTCCTCCTCTGGCCTGATTGCTTTGGCTAGTACTTCCAATATTGTGTTGGATAGGAGTGGTGAGAGTGGGCATCCTTTTATTGTTCCAGTTGTCAATGCTTCTAGCTTTTGTTCATTCATTATGATGTTGGCAGTGGTTTTCCCATAGATGGCTTTTATTATTTTGAACTATATTTACTCAATGTCTAGCCTGTAGAAGGTCTTTATCGTGAGGGAATTCTGGATTTTATGGAGGGATTTTCTGCATCTATTGAGATGATCATGTGGTTTTTGTTGTTAGTCTTATGTGATGAATTACATTTATTGATTCATGTATGTGGAACTAACTTTGCTTTCCAGGAGTAAAGGCTGTATGATTGTGGTTAATTAACCTTCTGATGTGCTCCTGGATTTAGTTTGCTAGTATTTTCTTGAGGATTTTTGTGTCTATGTTCATTGGGGTTATTGCCCTGAAGTTTCCTCTTTTTGTTTTGTCTCTACCAGGCTTTAGTATTAGAATGATGCTGGCTTCACAGAATGAGTTAGAGAGGATTCCTTTTTCCTTGATTTATTGGAATAATTTCAGTCAGATTGGTACTTGCTCTTCTTTGTATGGTTGGTAACATTAGGCTGTGAATGCGTCTTGTCCAGGGCTTTTTTTGGTTGGGACGTGTATTAGTCTGTTCTCATGCTGCTAATAAAAACATACCTGAGACTCTGAGACTGGGTAATTTGTAGAGGAAAAAGCTTTAATTGACTCACAGTTCCATATGGCTGGGGAGGTCTCACAATTATGGCAGAAGACAAATTAGGAGCAAAGTCATGTCTTACATGGCAGTAAGCAAGAGAAAGTGTGTAGGGGAATTTCCCTTTATAAAACCAACAGATCTTGTGAGACTTACTCACTATCATGGGAACTGCATGAGAAAGACCTGCCCCCCATAATTCAATTACCTCCTACCACGTCCCTCCCACAACATGTGGGAATTATGGGAGCTACAATTCAAGATGAGATTTGGGTGGGAACATAGCTAAACCATATCGTTCCACCCTGGTCCCTCCCAAATCTCATATCCTCATATTTCTAAACCCATCATGTCTTCCCAACAGTCCCCCAAAGTCTTAACTCATTTCAGCATTAACTCAAAATTCCACAGTCCAAAGTCTCATCTGAGACAAGACAAGTCCCTTCAACCTATGAGCCTGTAAAATCAAAAGCAAGTTAGTTACTTCCTAACTCTGGAATGGAAAACCAAACATTGTATGTTCTCACTGATATGTGGGAGCTAAGCTTATGAGGATGCAAAGGCATGAGAATAATGCAATGGACTTTAAGACTTGGGGGGAAGAATGGGAGGGGACTGAGAGATAAAAGACTACAAATAGGGTGCAATGTATAGTGTGATGAGTATACATACAGGGTGATGAGTGCACCAAAATCTTACAAAGCAACAGTAAAGAAATTACTCATGTAACCACATACCACCTGTACCTCAATAACCTATGGATAAATAAAAAATAAATGTAAAAAGCAAGTTAGTTATTTCCTAGATACAGTGGGGGTACAGGCATTGGGTAAATACAACCATTCCAAATGGGAGAAATTGGCCAAAATGAAGGGGTACAAGCCCCATGCAAGTCTGAAATCCAGCAGGGCAGTCAAATCTTAAAGCTCCAAAATGATCTCCTTTGAATCCATATCTCACATCGAGGTCATGGTGATGCACGAGGTGAGTTCCCATGGTCTTGAGCAGCTCCACCCCTGTGGCTTTGCAGGGTACAGCCCCCATCTTGGCTGCTTTCACAGGCTGGTGTTGAGTGTCTGCCACTTTTCTAGGTGCATGGTGTAAGCTGTCAGTGGATCTGCCATTCTGGGGTCTGGAGGATGGTGGCTCTCTTCTCAAAGCTCCACTAGGCAGTGCCCAAGGTGGGACTCTGTGTAGGGGCTCACACCCCACATTTTCCTTTCACATTGCCCTAGTAGAGGTTCTCCATAAGAGCTCTGCCCCTGCAGCACACCTCTGCCTGGACATTCAGGCATTTCCATACATCCTGTGAAATCTAGGCAGAGGTTCCCTAACCTCAATTCTTGACTTCTGTGTACTCACAAGCCCAATACCACATGTAAACCACCAAGGCTTGGGGCTTGCCCGCTCTGAAGCAGTGGCCTGAACCCTGTGTTGGCCCCTGTTAGCCTTTGCTGGAGTGGCTGGGACGCAGGGCACCAAGTCCTGAGACTGCACAAAGCAGCAAGGCTCTGGGCCTGGCCCACAAAACCATTTTTTTCTTCCTAGGCCTCCTAGTTTGTGATGGGAGGGGCTGCTGTGAAGACCTCTGACAGTAACTTTTTATTACTGATTCAATTTTGAAATGCATTATTGGTCTGTTCAAGATTTTAATATCTTCCTGGTTCAATTTTGAGTGACTGTGTGTTTCCAGGAAAGTATTTAATGTAGGTTTTCTAGTTTGTCTGTATAGAAATGTTTGTAGTAATGTTTGAGGATTTTTTTGTATTTCTGTGGTTTGGGTTGTAATGTCACCTTTGTCATTTCTGATTGTGCTTATTTGGATCCTCTCTCTTTTGTTCTTAATTAATATCGGTAGCAGTCTATCAATCTTGTTTAATTTTTGAAGAACCAACTTTTTCTTTTGTTTTTTTTTATGGATTTTTCCAACTCAATTTCATTCAGTTCAGGTCTGATTTTGCTTATTTATTTTCTGCTGCTAGCTTTGCAGTTGGTATGCTCTTGTTTCTCAAGTTTCTCTGGGTACAATGTTAGGCTGTTAATTTGAGAACTTTCTAACTTCTTGATGTAGGTTAGGTGTTTAGTGCTATAAACATTCTGCTCATGTGCTTTAGCTGTGTCCCAAAGATTCAGATATGTTGTGTCTCTATTTTCATTAGTTTCAAAGAATTTTTTGATTTCTGATTAATTTCACTGTTTACACAAAAGTCGTTCAGGAGCAGATTGTTTAACTTCCATGTAATTGTATAGTTGTAATAGATCTTTTTGATATTAATTTCTATGTTTATTTTGCTGTGGCTCAAGAGCGTGGTTGATATGAATTATTATTTTTCTTAGTTTGTTGAGACTTGTTTTATGGTTGAGCATATAGTTGATCTTAGTGTATGTGCCATGTACAGATAATAAGAATCTATATTCTGTTGTTTGTGGTGGAGTGTTCTGTAGATATCTATTAAGTCCAGTTGGCCAACTGTCAAGTTTAAGTCCAGAATATCTTTTTTAGTTTTCTTCCTTGATGACCTGTCTAATGCTGAAGTCCCACAGTAATACTATGTCATTGTCTAGATCCCTTCATAGTTCTCTAAGAACTTGTTTTATGGATCTGGATAGTCTAGTTTTGGGTTTGTATATATTTAGGATAGTTAAGTTTTCTTTATGGATTGAGCTATTTTATCATTATGTAATGCCATTTTTTGTCCTTTGTGATTATATTGTTTTAAAGAAGTCTGCTTTATCTGATATAAGAGTAGCAACTCCTGCTTTTCTTGTTTTCCATTTGCCTGGTAGATCTTTCTCCATCCCTTTACTTTGAGCCTATGCGTATTATTACTTATGAGATAGGTCTCTTGAAGTCAGCAGACAGTTGCAGCCTCCTTTTTTATCTAACTTGCCACTCTATGTTCTTTAAGTGGAGCATTTAGCCCATTTACATTCAGGCTCAATATTGATATTGAGGATTTGGTTCTATCATTGTCTTGTTATGTAGACTTGATTGTATAGCTGCTTTACAGTGTCAATGTAGTACATGCTTAAGTATATTTCTGTGGTGGCAGGTATTGTTCTTTCTTTTCCATTTTTAGCACTCCCTTCAGGATCTCTTGTAAAGCAGGTCTAGTGGTAACAAATTTCCTTAGCATTTGCTTGTCTGAGAAGAATTTCACTTCTCCTTCACGTATCAAGCTTAGTTTGGTGGAATATGAAATTCTTGGTTGGAATTTATTTTCTTTAAAGGTATTGAAAATAGGTCCCCAGTCTCTTGTGGCTTGTAAATTTCTGCTGAAACATCCGTGGTTGGCCTGATGGTCTTCCCTTTGTAAGTGACCTGGTCCTTTTCTAGCTGCATTTAAGATATTTTCTTTCATGTTGACCTTGCAGAATCTAATGACTATGTGTCTTGGGGATGGTCATCTTGCATAATATGTCACAGGGGTTCTCTGAATTTCTTGAATTTGCATGTCAACTTATCTAATGAGATTTGGGAAAAATTTGTGAACTATATTCTTAAATATGAGTTCTAAGTTGCTTTTCTCTCACCTCTTTCAGGAACGCTATCAAATCATACATTTGGTATCTTGACATAATCCCATATTTCACAGAGGTTTTATTCATTTATTAATATTCTTCATTCTTCATTTTTATCTGCCTGTGTTACTTTAAAGGAATTGTCTTCAAGCTCTGAGATTCTTTCCTCATCTTGGTTTATTCTGTTGTTAATTCTTCCAATTGTATTTTGAAATTTCTATAGTAAATTTTTTATTTCCAGTCTTTCAACTTTTAAATCATTTTGCTGTTTTCTTTTGGATTGGATTTCAACTTTTTCTTGAGCTTCCTTGTCATTCAGATTCTGAGTCTGACATTTCAGCCATTTCAGTTTGGTTAAGAGAAAACACTCTGGCATTTAAGATTGCCAGTTCTTTCGCTGGATCTTTCTAATCTATGAGGGCTGATGATCCTTTATCCTGTGAGGTAACTGTCCTTTGGATGGCACTTTTTGTTCTTATGATCTATAATGCCATTGAAAATTAGACTGTGGTACAAGTTGGATGTAATTGAATGGCTTCATTTCTGGATGCTTTCAGAGGTCCATGGCTCAACTCCACAATTCTGGGCTGCATGATCTAACTCTGGGTGGCTGGGACTGGGTCCACAGCTTTGTCCTCTGGTTTCTCAAGGTCAAGCACCAGCTGGGCTGGAGAAACCAGACTGCTTCCATACCACTGGTAACAATATTGTTTAGGGTACTGCATGGGGGCCGCAGGCATTAGTGCTCTGGAGGAAGTGACAGGGTTGCTTCAGGCTGGAGGTTCTCTGGTGAAGGGAAGTGGGAGCACTGCAGGCAGGAGGTGCTCTAGCAGGGGCACCACAGATGAGTGATGCTTCAGTGGAGGTGGGGGGCATTGCAGGTGGGAGGCACTTTGGTGGGTCACCTGGAGTGCTGTGGCCTAATGCGCTTTGAAGAGGTGGCAGTGGCATTGCATGCAATCACATTCCAGCAGAAAGCTGTCAGCCAAAAAGCTCCAGTGGCTGTCCCATTGTGCTGATGAAAGCACTATGGCAGTGGCCACCTGGAAAAGCATTCTGATAGGATTTCTGTGGCTGCACTGCATGCAGTCACGGCCAGGCAGGAACTCTGGGAAGGGTTGGTGGACAGTGATGTGAGCAGATCAGACTTGCTTCTGTGCCCTGGCAAAGACAGCTTTGCCCTCTCAAGGTCTGTCAGCTTCCACAGCTCAGACCCACCCCTTCCTTAGGAGTCATCCAGGGCTGAAATACATGCTGGCATGCAGCAACCCCATGCACGGTTACCAGCTTCCTACTTAAACTGTTGAGAGTTTTTATCAAGAAAGGGCATGGCATTTTGTCAAATTCTCTTCCTGCATCTGTTGAGATAATAATGTGATTTTATCTTTTGTTCTGTAAATGTGATGTATAACATTGATTTGTATACGTTAAACTAGCTTTTCATGTCAGAGATATGTGCCTCTTGGACATCGTGTAGAATTCCTTTTATCTGTTGTTGAATTCAGTTTCCTAATAATTTATCATGGCTTTTTGCATCAGTGTTCATCAGACATATTGGTCTTTAGCTTTGTTTTCCTGTGGCATTTTTGCTTGGATTTGGAATGTGTTTGTAAATATTCCCTCCAGTTGTATTTTTTGGAAAAGTTTAAAATCGAAGTGCATTAATTCTTCTTTGAATGGTTGGCAGAATTCTGCCATAAAGCCATCCAGCCTTGAGCTTTCTTTTCTGGGAGGTTTTAAATTACCATTTTAATCTATTTGTTATTGATCAAGTAAGGCTTTCTATTTATTTATGATTCAATCTTAGTAGGTTGTATTTTTCTAGGAATTCATTCATTTCTTCTGGGTTATCCAGTTTTTTGGCATACAATTTTTATAATAGCTCCTTAGAGTACTTTTGTAGTTCAGAGACATCCTTTGTACTGTCTCCACTAATATTTCAGCTATTTGTTTGTTGATTTTTTTTAATGTTTTTAAGTTCTGCATGTGAATATTTCTGTTCTGATCTTTATTATTTCCTTTTTTATACTAAACTTGGGTTTTGTTTGTTCTTTTTTCTAGTTTCCTGAGTCATAATGTTATGCTATTTATTTGAGATCTTTCCTTTTTTAATGCAGAGAGTTGTTGCTATAAATTTGCATGTTAAATCTGCTTTTACTACATCTCCCATGTTTTGGTATTTTGGGGTTTTTTGTCATTTTTCTCAAGATAATTGTTAGTTTTCCTTTTAATTTATTCTTTGTCCCATTAGCTTTCATTTAATTTTCACATATTTGTGTATTTTTAATGATTCCTACTTTTGACAAACTGTACTTTTATACTGTTATGGATAGGAATAATACTTGATATGATTAGAATCTTTTTATATTTGTTAAAATTTGTTTTGTAACCTAACATATGGTCTGTACTGGAGAATGTGCCATGTGAGCTAGAAAATAATGCGTATTCTGCTACTGTTGAACAGAATGTTCTATGTATTTCTGTTAGGTCTATTTGTTCTAAAGTGCTGTTCAAATCAAATATTTCTTCATTACTTTTCTGCCTGAATGTCCTATTCATTCTTAAAAATGGGATATTTAATTGTCCTTACTATTATTGTATTGTTATTTATCTCTCCCTTCATTGCATTAATTCTTACTTTATACTTTCAGTTGTTTCAGTGTTAAGTGTTTATATGTTTATAATTATTATGTCCTCTTGAGGTATTGATCTTTTTATTACATAATGATATCCTTTGTATCTAGTGACAGTTTTTGACTTGAAATCTATATTTTAATGATACAAGTACGGCCATGTCTGCTGTCTTTTGTTTACCATTTTCATGGGGTATATTTTTCCATCCCTTCACTTTCAGCCAGTGTGTGTCCTTATAAATGAAGTAAGTCTCTTGTAGGCAGCATATAGTGAGGTCTGGTTTGTAATACATTTGTCCATTTTATGTCTTTTGTTAAAAAATTTAATCCATTTATATTTCAAATATTGACAGGTAAGAACTTATTACTGCCACTTTGCAAATGGTTTTCTGATTTATTGTAGATCCTTTGTTTCTTCCTCTCTTATTCCCATCCTTTGTAATTAGTCAATTTTCTCTTGCTGCTTGTATGATTCTTTCTTTGCCTTTCACTTTTTTTTTTTTTTTTTTTTTTTTTTGAGACGGAGTCTCGCTCTGTCGCCCAGGCCGGACTGCGGACTGCAGTGGCGCAATCTCGGCTCACTGCAAGCTCTGCTTCCCAGGTTCACGCCATTCTCCTGCCTCAGCCTCCCGAGTAGCTGGGTCTACAGGCACCCGCCACCACACCCGGCTAATTTTTTGTATTTTTAGTAGAGATGGGGTTTCACCTTGTTAGCCAGGATGGTCTCGATCTCCTGACCTCATGATCCACCCGCCTCGGCCTCCCAAAGTGCTGGGATTACAGGCGTGAGCCACCGTGCCCGGCCTGCCTTTCACTTTTGACAGGTTGATTATAATGTGTCTCCATGAATACCTCTTTGAGCTTTTCCTAAAGTTGTTAATCTTGAAAATCGATGTCCATTTTCTTCCTCTTCTTCAAATTAAGTTTCCCCTTCTTTCTCTTTTCCTTTTGAAACACCCATTGGTAAGGTTTCATAAGATGATAGACAATCTTCATTTTCTCATTTTTTCTACTTCCATGACTCAGTTATTTTAAATAACCTGTCTTCAAGTTCACTGATTCTTTTACCTGATCAAGTGTGCTTTTAGCCTATTTAATAAATGTTTCAGTTTATTTATTATGTTTAAGCATGGAATCCTGGTGGTTTATTTTTAAAATTTCTATTTTCTTGTTGATATATATATATACAATTTCTTCTAGGTTGTAAAGCTGGTTCATCATTTGTAAATCAATTAATGTAACATGTCTTGTCAATAGGCTAAAGAAGAAAAGACATGATTTTATCAATAGAAGGAGAAAAATTTTTACCGAATTTAAGCCAAATTATGATAAAACTTTTTAGAAAACTAAGAATATAAGAAAACTTTCTGAATTTGAGAAAGAATA
Source organism: Homo sapiens (assembly GCF_000001405.40). Taxonomy (NCBI): domain Eukaryota; kingdom Metazoa; phylum Chordata; class Mammalia; order Primates; family Hominidae; genus Homo; species Homo sapiens. The sequence goes on from NT_187577.1 coordinate 301,358, forward strand.
TCTACAAAAATACAGCTAATATTAGACTTAATGGTAAGAAACAAAATGATTTATTACGAAGATAAAGAACAAGGCAAGAATGTAGCTATGAGCCATCATGTTTGCAGTTCAAAATGCAAACCACACCAAATGTATTGTTGATGGGAATGCAAAATGATACAGTCACGTTGGACAGTTTGACAGTTTCTCAACTTACTCTTCCTGGATGATCCAACAATTGTCCTTGGTACATATCCAAATGAGTTGAAAACATATTCACACAAAAACATGCACATGAATGTTCATGCACATGAGCTGTTGAGAAATTTTCATGCTCAGCAAATATATATCCAAATGAGTTGAAATCATATCCACACAAAAACATACACATGAATATTTATTGCAGCCTTATTAATAATTAACACAAATTGGAAGTAAGCAATATGCCCTTTAATAGGCAAATGAATACATACTGTTAGTTACATAGACATAATGGGGCATTATTTGGTGATTTAAAAAGTGAGACATTAGGTCACAAAAAGATATGACAGACGTTTAAATGCTACTGTTAAGTTAAGCCATCTGAAAAGATTACATATTGTACTATTCCAACTATGTCACATTTTAGAAAATGTAAAACTATGGAAAACCCACTGGTTTCCAGGGATTTATGTCTTACTGACCTAGTTCCCTCTAACATTTTACTTTTTTAGACCAAATAAATGCTACTAACAAGATATACTATTATGTTTTTAGAAAAAAAGTAATAAAAAGTAATTTGACTATCCTAAAACTGTTTCTGAAGTCAAAACTTATTGACAATCCAAACCTTCAAAATCTGTGTATATTTTCCAAGTGTTCACTTGAAAATTAATATAGTCATAAAAATATGCTTCTACTTTTCAAAACGTTTTTGAAATTTATTAGAATTTAATTTCAAGTGTCATAAAACATATTGTGGCATTAATCTTATTTTATTATGACAATACTATTTAGATTAAAAATGCTACTATTCAAAAAATTAACATATTTTTGTTTTTTATTTCTAAGAAAGTAATTAGCTTTGGTATACCAGTTTCTTAAATTTGTATTTGCATATGGTAGTATGGCCAGAATTGCTTGACAAGATCAATGAGGTAAGTCAATTTTGATGTTTTTCTTTGTTTCTTTTTTTAGTATTCAAAGACAGTAACTTTAGAGGGATTTTCAGTTGTTATGACACAGTTGCTTGGAATTAATCTGGGATTGACATATGATGACATCTACAACTGTAACTGTCCAGGAGCTACATGCGTAATGAATTCTAAGGCAATGTAAGGTGTTTTTTTTTAATCAAATATATGTCTTCTCTTGGAAAATGTAGGCATTATTCCTTGATGTGTGATTTTTGCATTGTAACTTGAGTAAGAATGTTATTAAATATATATGTGCTTATTTAAGACTTTACAAGTTTGACTATGGGATTTTGTAGAAACCATGTTTAATAGTATTGCATTCAACATTATAGTATATATAGAGAGCAGATGTTGATGATTGTATACTTGGGTTTACTAAAGTTTATTGGAGCTGTTGAAAAATTTTTCAAGCCCAGCAAGTAAAACGGTTATTGGCTAGCAAGAAGCTTGAAAAGCTTAATAGACCTGGAATAAGGAGATTGCAGTAGGTAAAATGTTTTTAAAAAGTAGAAAGGCTGGCACTGTAAATAGGAATATTCTAGACATAGTGAAAATAAAGTGAAATACCATCAGGCCGAATAACTTTGAGTCAGGGGAAGAAACCCAGGGGTTAATATAAGAAATGAAGGAAAGCACCTGATCATGCAATCATGATACAGGGATTTGAATTTCATTTTACACACATGCACACACACACACATAAACACACACACATACATTTTAATCAATTTATTCAGTATGGGTAATAAAAAATATCTCATAAAATCAATGTAAAATAAATCAAAGGGAAAAACAATAATAATATTTGGGAGGTGGTAATTTTCATAATAATCTATAGTGGTTTATAATGATTTAGATAAAGGGAGATGCCAAGAATTATCCATAGGTTTTCATATATTATAACTTATTAACAAATATTTTAAGAGGTCATTAATTTAGGAAACGAGAATAGTGAGGGTAAATCTTGACGACGTTTTATATACATTGTATCTGGGGTATTTTAAGTAATTCACTGGAGCTGTTAACACAGAATGAGTTATATAGTTCCAGATCTCAGAGAACAAGCGATATAAAATGTACAAGCCATCAGTATATGAGTAACAATTAAAACCACAGACAGATCATTTAGAAAGAAGTTATCAAGTTAAAAGAGGTATCTTAGAGAAAGCTTTGAAAATTGCTTATATTTATAGGCTAAAAATTGAGGGAAAGTCAGTAATATGAAGGATCAGAAAGAAAGAAAATATTAGGACAACAACCATGTTAAGGTGTAATTTTACCTAGAGTGGAATCAGATCACAAGTTCAGGAGATCGAGACCATCCTGGCTAACGTGGTGAAACCCCATCTCTACTAAAAATACAAAAAATTAACCAGGCATGGTGGTGGGCACTTGTGGTCCCAGCTACTCGGGAGGCTGAGGCAGGAGAATGGCGTGAACCCAGGAGGCAAAGCTTGCAATGAGCCGAGATTGCACCACTGCACTCCAGCCTGGGCATCAGAGCAAGACTCCATCTCAAAAAAAAAAAAAAAAAAAAAAAAAGAATAAAGGAAGGGTTGGGAGCCAAGTGGTAAAAACATCAGGATGTAGTTTAGTGTCTCCAAATTATCTTATAAAATAGAAAGAAAAACTATAAAAACATATGTATATACATACAAACACATAGAGACACACAGACACACAAAAGCATATGCAAGTTCCCCAAAACCAGAACACACAGAATACCAGCAGGTGGGGCCAATCAACTGCCAAAATAAAACCTGCATTTAATAAGTAGTGGTGTGGGAGGAAATGGAATACAATGGGGACCTAAAAATCATACAGACTGGGAACTCAGAAATTTTGGACTAATAAAAACCTCAAAAATTTTTTGTTCCCATGAAGAATGTTTATTTGTAAGTTCATAGCATTATAGGAGCTGAAATTGGTGGAGATTTTGCAAATTGTGGGTGAGAGGAAAAGAGCTATTAACATTACTTAAGATGCTGATATGGTCTCGATCTCTGTCCAGAAAAAATCTGGTAAAAATGAGCAAATGTCTCATCCAGATTACACTTTTTCAATATTATTTTCCACTAAAAGAAATATGGATATCTTGAAGAAATGACTGGTTCCAAGGCTCAGGCAGAGAAAATTAAAAATTAGCCTGGAATGCCTTCTATAAAAAATAAGGAGATTCACAAAGTATCATGGAGATAACACAAAGGCCAGTTAGAAAGGGCTCCAACAGGCCAAAACTGGGACAATTCGAATGTCAAAGATTATAATGGTACTAATGGATTACAACCCATTGAGTAAAATATGAAAACATGATTCCAAACTGATATAAATACATTAATGTATTTAAAATATAATTAGAAATGGATTGTTTACATAAAACCAAAGGGTTTCTCTCCAAGGAATTATCAACAGACAAAGGAAAAAAAAGTAATTTTCCAGGGAATACTGGCATGGACACCTTAATCAACTGATCAAAGTGACTATTCTCAGTAATATAACAAATCGAGATTGTTCACAACTTTTTGTATTGCAATGAAACAAACAAAGCAACACTGCTATAATAATATTGTAAAGATGCATAACCTCAGTCTAATCATAAAAATATATTTTATAAACCTAAATTAAGGTAATTTCTACCCCAAAATTGGCCTGTAATCATCAAACTTATCAAAATCATGAAAATCAATCAAAAAAAAAATCTTAGGAATGTAAGGTAAGGAGATGTGAGAACTAAACGTGATGTTTGATTCTGAACTGCATCATTTTGCTACAAAATGCCAATATTGTGATGTATATAAATGTTTGTACCACACCATTATTTCCTGATTTTGAAGGGTCTGCTGTGCCTATGTAGGAAAATTCAAATTTATGTAAGATCTATATATTAAAATATTGACATAGTTTGCACCTGTGTCCCAACCCAAATCTCATATTGAAATGTAATCCCCCAATGTTGGAGGTGGAGCCTTGTGGGAGGTGATTGGATCATGGGGGCATATTTTTCATGAATGGTTTAGCACTATTCTCCTTGGTACAGTTCTAACACTAGGGAGTGTGTTCTCATGAGATCTGGTCATTTAAAAGTATGTAGCACCCCACCCCTTGCTCTCTTGCTCCTGCTTTCACCATGTGATGTGACTGCTTCCCCTTTGCCTTCCGCCATAATTGGAAGCATCCTGAAGTCTCCCCAGAAACAGATACTGCTATGCTTCCTGTACCGCCTGCAGAACCATGAGCCTATTAAACCTATTTTCTTATGAATTACCCAGTCTCAGGTATTTTTTTATAGCAATTCAAGAATGGCCAAATACAGAAAATTGGTACCAGAGGTGAGGTATTGCTGTAAAGATACCTGAAAATGTTGACGTGACTTTGGAATTGAGTAACAAGTAAAGGCTGGAAGAGTTTGGAGGACTATGAAAAATACAGGAATATGAGGGAAAGTTTGGAACTTCATTTAGAGACTGATTAAATGCTTGTGGCCAAAATGCTGATAGTGATATGGACAATGAAGTCTAGACTGAGGTGGTCTCAGATGGAAATGAGGAACTTATTGGGACCTGGATCAATTGTCACAAATTTTATGCCTCATCAAAGAGCTTGGCTGCATTCTGTTCATGTCTTAGGGATCTGTGGAAGTTGAATTAAAGAGTGATGATTTATAATAACTGGTAGAAGAAATTTCTAGGAAGCAGTATTTAAGTTTGGCTTGGCTGCTTCTAACAGCCTATGTTCATACACAAGAGAAAAGAAATGACTTAAAGCTGGAACCTTATTTAAAAGAAAAGCAGAGCATCAAAGTTTGGAAAATTTACAGCCTAACCAGGAGAAAAATTCAAGGAGGCTTCTGAGTAACCCAAAGTGTAAGACAGGAAGTTTTTATTGCTCTCTTTTACTATTGATCGTAAGTACAAAAAACTTTCTGTTTTTCTTTTCTGTCTACTCTCTAACAGGCCAGTTTCAATAAAGCTTGTATTAAATTTAAGGATTTGATGCAATTTTTAAAAATACATTTCCTGCTTACTAATAGACACAACCCTAAGTTCAAAGATAAAAAAGAAACAGCTGCTTTGTTGAAACAGCTGCTTTGCTAACACATAACAGTGATTAACATGTTTGTAATCATTATTAAGATATTCCTCTTCGTAATGTCTAAAAAAATATGATTGGTACTAGATAATATTGGTAATGTATTGGTCAGTTTGTCTTGATAATGAATGGCCATAAAAGGAAAACACTGCAGAAGATCAGGTGGAAGATGGGGCTAGCCTCCTGCTAAGTGAATCTTTGTTTCAAATAGTAACAAGATTTTTGATCTATGTATCTCTTGGGTATCTTTGCATTCTGGCTGACAATTCTAACAAGCTTTCATATATGATAGCAATAGGTCATTTTAGCTCTTTGCTTTTTTAGTCCACAGTGTGCAATATTTCAGAAGAGTAGAGAGAGCTTCTCCCTTCCAACATTCATTTCAATACTTGGTAGTGGAGGAAAACATGACTGATCTTGTGAAACTGAATTTCCCATCACTGTACTATCACTGTATCTGAGGGTGAGTGTTCAGATTATTACCCTGTGTCAGAAGCAGATTCATGAGATTTATAACCCCCTCATAGTGGAGGTGGAACAGATCTTGAAAAGAAAATTACTTGAACTGCAAAATGAAAAAGATGTCTATCAGACATTTTATTTTCATTAAGCATAAATACTTTCTAGTTTTTTTTGAAGAAAAAAGATATTTTGAAGAAAATAGGATGCATTTTAACTATGAGTGCTTTCACTAGAAATTTTTTTAAATTGGAGTGAAATTCACAAATCATAAAATTGACCATTTTCAAGTGGCCAACTCAGTGGCATTTAGTACATACACAACGTTGTACATCTATCTACTTCCAAAACATGTTCATCAACACAAAAGGAAACCCCTGACCCATTAAGCAGTTGCTCACATTCTCCCTTCCCCTCAGACCCTGGAAACCGCCCCTCTGTGTTGTCTTAATGGAGTCCCCTATTCTGGATATTTCATATAAGTAGAATTGTACAATAGTTGACCTTTTGCATCTGACTTTCTTCACTTAGCATAGTGTTTTTGAGGTTCATCCTCCTTGCAATATGTATCCATACTCCATTTCTTTTTATTATTTGAAAGTATGCTATTTTATGTATATTTACAATGTATTTATCCCTTCATCAATAGATGGATATTTGGGTCCTTTCCAGTTTATTTCACTAGAATTTTTTTAGTAAATCCGTAGTTTAAATTGTTAAGTGATAGAAATGATAGATGCTAATACAATGTACCTTTTGAAATTTTTGACATTTTTTATTAACCCCTTTATATGTATGTGTGAGTGTGTGTATATATATATCTATATACACACATTTTGTTTCCCTTTGTCTCACAGATACATAAAAGAGGACATGTTTGCAGGAAAAGCATAGATCTGTGTGGTTTTACAGAATATTACAATGGAACATCTGAGTTTTGTGTACCTGATGTGAAATCTGCTGATTATGAGCTATGCAATAAGACTGCCTATTGTCTTAGAGGAATATTCCAAGATAGGGATGGACAGTGCATGCAATTATTTGGACAATGTAATAATTGTATATTTCTAGGTTCATTTTTAAACTGTAGTTATTCTAAAGTCAGTAATCCATCCTATAACCATGAAAAGAGTGTTGTTTTTTTAAATCCAAATTTAAAAATAAAATTGCAATTTAAAGCAACTTTGAACTATATCAAGAGGTAAAATGGACTTAATAATCACAGGACCAAAAAAATAGAGCATTAGTCAAATATCAGATGACAGAAAGGGAGCACACTATTAGAATAGTAAATAAGAGAGAAAATGACTGATCTCTCAATTATTTCTACACTAAAATATCACTTTTGCTCTTTCTACCCAAGTGGGTAGTTTTTAGCAGGTGTTTCTCCTTTGTGTATAGACAATAATTACATCAAAAAGTTGTGGTGGATGACACTGAATGGGCATTATTGCTATATAGATATCTCCATATTAATTTACTACATTTTTATTTGTAACTAATTTTTTAAAATGAGTAATTGGGACTTCTTTATTTATGTTTTCAGTTGCTCAGGGTGCTCCTTATCTGTGTTCACAAGAAGTGAATTTGCATGCCAACAATTTTGGAAACTGTAAAACTAGTTCCTATAATTTCGAGTACACATTTTTAAACGTATACATTTTTCTAACGTTGGTATGTGCGTGTGTATTTCAGAGGGTCACTTAATACAAATGAGAGATGTAGCATATACAGGTGAGTTTATATTTTGCACTTTATAAAGTGTTGTAGGTTCTGAATATAGTTGGTGGTGTAATCTAAGTAACATTTTGAATTATCATTATATTTTGAGCTGTTATTTACCTAGTATATTGTGTCCTTAAGTGAAAAATGGCTAATTTTTTCTGCCTTATATTCCCAGACGTGTCCTTTGTGCAAAGCTAGTTTGTCACTGGAAAAGTACAGAACTAATACGACATAAAGATGATGATGCTTAATATACTTACCTTGGAAACCATGTATGTGTGTCTACATTTTTACGAAATTCATGTGGTAGCATAAAGGATAACTCCTATGTAAAAAATGGTACTTTTTGTGGTCTAGAAAAGGTAAATAAAAATTTTACTTGATACTATATGGTGTGTTTCTGCATACGCATAACAGTGTGAGTGAGAGAGATAGGCATCTTTACTGTTTTATTACTGTTACACATGTTTATTACTGCATGATCTTGAGATTCAACATCAGAATTCTTGTTGGTCAAAGGAACTCTTATTTTACTACCTGTCATTTTTTATTTTGAATTTTGCCATAGGTATTTAAATTTTTCTCATATTTGAGAACTAAATCTCTTTGTGAGGCAAGAATCTTATCTGAAATAATATGCCTAAACCTAGAACAAAAAATGAAATCAAACAACATTCCAAAAAATAAGGTCAGAAAATCTGAATAATTAGAACATTAAAGAAATACAGAAAAAAAAAACCCAAGTATTTAGTAATTGGCAAGGACTTGTTTAATTATAATGAAAGTAAAATATTTATTTGCTCATCGACCTACTCTCTGAATTCTTTCTCCAAAATCATGACATACCTATTAAAAATTTGGCACGTGCTTAACAGTAAAACATAGAGTTTAAGCTTTACTTATTTTTGAGAGGCATAATAGATGAAGGTTTTTGAACCAGTGCCATTGAAAAATTAGTTGACTGATGAAAAAGTACAAACTTATCACACATTTTACATAATTTTTATATAGAGCCAATATTTTAAGAAAAGAAAAACAAGAGGAAAATGGAAATTAATAGTAAACTTATCTCAGAATGGGAAAAGTTGTTACCACATAAAAATAATGAAGTAATAAAGAAACATTCTTGTGCTGGTTACATTATAAAGGAATATGTCAACCTTTCAAAGGATGACAAAATTGATAAAACAAACTGACAAAAATGTTTACTATAAATATGACAGGGTAAATATATAATTTACAGCTAATTTAATCATCAATTAATTAAAGAAAAAGCACAAAAATGATGTGTATATGTGCTATACTTCAGAAGACATTTGATCTTTGTCCCTGGTTCCTGGTGCAGAGCACCTAAAACTATTAGAATTTCCTGAGTGACAGGCCTGTCCTTTGTTATTCATAATGAGCCCTTTTCAATCAACATCTGAGTTTATGTTAATGCAGTAACTTAGGGTAGGGCCCCTAGATAGCCTCAGGATGGGGCTGGTCACCAGAAAGACCAAGTGATTAGAAGGTTGACACTCTCAGTCCTACCCAATGACCTTTGGAAAGGGACAAGGTGAAGCTGGTGATTGAGCTCCATAAAGACTCTGTATGTGGCTCATGCCTGTAGTCCTGGCTACTTGAGAGGCTGAGGCAGGAGGACTGCTTGAGCCCTGGGGTTCGAGGGAAGCTCCAGTGTGTTTGAATTGTGCCTGTGAATACTCAACTGCACTCCAGCCTGGGCAGCATATGGAGGCCCTATGTCTAAAAACAAGCAAACAAATAAACTTCTGAACAAAGAGATTCAGAGACAGCTTATGGATTGGTGAACACAATGACTTGCTGGGAGGGTGACGTGTCAGGAGAGGGCATGGAAACTCTGCCTGTACCACCTTGTCCCCATCAAATACCTTGCCCAACGCATCTCTTCCAGTGGGCTGCTCCTGAGTTATACCTTTATACTCCTATACTTTTTTTTACAGTTCTATTTTATTTTTAACAGACAAATGACAGTTGTGTATTTGCATGGTATACAATATGATGTTTTGAAACATGTATATACTGTGAAATGAACAAATCAGTCTAATAATTATCATATTCATTACTTCAAATAGCTGTAATTTCCTTGCAGTGAGAACATTTATAATCCCCTTTCGGGTATTTTGAAATATACAATATATTATAATTAAGTATACTCACCTTGTTGTGCAATAGAAGATCCAAACTCATAATTAGCTTTGTACTCACTGACATGTTTTTCTTTTCTTTGTTCACTCCTCCCCTAACTCCTTGTAACCACCATTCTAGTCTCTACTTCCATGAGTTCAACATGTTTAGATTGCACATGTGAGTGAGATTATATTTGTCTCTCTGTGCCTGGCTTATTTTACTTAATGTCATATAGGCTCACCAGTGTTGTTGAAAATGAATTTCCTGTTATTTTTAAGTCTGAATAATATTTCATTGTGTGTGTGTGTGTGTGTGTGTGTGTATATATATATACATATATATATATATATGTCTACATTTTTACAAAATTCATGTGTAGCATAAAGGATAACTCCTATGTAAAAAATGGTACCTTTTGTGGTCTAGAAAAGGTAAATAAAAATTTTACTTGATACTGTATGGTGTGTTTCTGCATACCCATAACAGTGTGAGTGAGAGAGATAGGCATCTTTACTGTTTTATTACTGTTACACATTTTTATTACTGCATGATCTTGAGATTCAACATCAGAATTCTTGTTGGTCAAAGGAACTCTTATTTTACTACCTGTCATTTTTTATTTTGAATTTTGTGTGTATGTGTATATATATATATATATATATATATATATATATATATATATACATACACATACACACACACACACACACACACATATACACATCACATTAAAAAATATATATGCATCTGTTGATGGACACTTAGGTTGTTTGCATACCTTGTCTATTGTGAATAATACTACAATAAACACGGGAGTCAGATATCTCTTTGGCATACTAATTTTATTTCCATTAGATAAATACACAACAGTGGGACTGCTGGATCATATGATAGTTCTCTTTTTAGTTTTTTGAGGAATCACTGTACTGGTTTTCCAAAATCACTGTATCAATTTACAATGCCACCAACAATGTATAAGCATTCCCTTTTCTCCACATCCTAACCAACACTTGTTATTTTTAATACTTTTGATAATAGCTAATCCGACAGGTTTGATGTGATGCTTCATGTGGTTGTAACTTGCATTTCTCTGATGATTAGAGATATTGAAAATCTAATTGGGTGCTTTCTCTATGTGACTAGGGTTTATCAAATGACAGCCTTCATCTTGGAAGCTGAGTTTAGGCCATGATCGCTAAACAAGATACTATACTAACCACTGATTTAATTGGGTAGTGCTTATTCTAGAGGACAGAACACTCTAGAAGCCTGAATTCCACAGTCTTATGAGTCTAGTTGCTTTAGGAAACAAAATACCCTTCTAAATCTTTGGGATAAAAGTGCTGTGTGAACTGCATTCAGTCATTGAGAGGGAGAGGGAAAAGTGAGTATTGGATGTTGAGAGCAAAGTAAGTTTTGTGTACAGACTTCTGTGGATAAGTCCACATCTTAGCCATCCCTCCCCTTCCTGTCCTTTCAGCTCTTCTCCCTCAGTTTTTCCTTATAATCTTGAGGCTGCAGCTCTTCAAAGCATTGCCAGGCTAATCAACCAGGCTCCTCTTTGCCACTGTCTTTGATATGGTTGCTTTCCCACTTCATTTTATCCATTGTTGATCTTCCTTTTTATTTCGGTATTCCAGGAAGTTCTTACATCTCTCTTCTTCCAATTGCGTCTTTTTGATTCTCCTTTATTCTCTTTTATTGGAAAAAGAGGGCTTTTGTGTTCACCAGCTCTGTCAATTCAAATTGGAATTCTCTGGCTATTTTAAAAATTCATCAAAGGTGTGCTTTGTTTTCATTTGTTGTTCAACATTGTTCAAACGATTTCAGAGAGATAAGAAAGTAGAGACTTCTTTACCTCACCTTCATGAAATGTGGGTCCTTTGTAAAAATTAAATTTAACATATATTTATATTTACCTCTATCCATACATACCTATATGAAAAGATAGATGCACTTTAACATATATCCACATCTACATCTATCTATACCTATATGACTTTAGACAGATGTACTTTATTTCTTATTTGTCAGTATCAATATACATATATCTTATTAATTTGAATAAAGATTATAAATAAAACACTCATAGATTTAACATAGTAATATACTAAGTCAACAGTATACTACATGGAAATAGGCATTTCCAGCAAGGCAAATTTGCTTAATACTGGTTGTGATACAAAGTGCCTTTGAATTTGTTATTTATAAAACTTAAACAGGAGAAGAGGTTATCAAACTGATCCTAGTCCATGTATATTAGCTAGGAGAGATAAGAACATCTAAGTATAATCATTTGATAACTGAAAAGGAATATGCTTCGGGCATATTGATGAGATCATCAACAGAGAGTTTTTCAAACTAATAAGCTAGCCAGTGAATTTAAAAAATAACATTAACTGCCTTTCTTTTACTCATTCTTATACACAGGACTATAAGTAAATATGATATTCAATATTTTATAAATATATTTAATATTTTATAAAGTAATTTAATTTTAATTTACTTCATTGCTTAATTTTTCTATAAAGTTATAAAGTAATAACATATCATTTTGATAGTGACTTCAGGTTCTATTACTACAATGAACAAAAGTCATCAAATCCAAATTTATGTTTGTGTTTATATCTTATGAATATAGTTCTTGTACAAAATACAGTTGCTCAACTCTTGACTTTGCGTTTAAAATTTTTTCTTGTTATTGGTTACTTTAACATTTTAGTTATGTGATAATGGAGTTTGCCAACTTGTGAGCACATATGCAGATAGAAGACAAGGTAACTGGGAAGAAAAATGCGGTGGACATGGGGTATGTAACAGTTACCCTATTTTCAAATAAAGTTATTTTAATCCTTATCAATAACATTTTCAAGGAAAATAATAAGCTAGAGAATTTTCTGATGTAAAAATTTCTTTTAGAAAATTGCAGCTAAATAAAGGTAACATATTCTACTATTTTAACATATATATGTGATTTATATTTACAATCAAACTGTTACAGGCCTGAGAAGCAAATAAGGTTTGAACCTTGTACAAAAATACAAAAGTAAACATAATTCTTTATTATAATGTTAGAGTCAGATTACTATAATGTTAGCTTTAGAATTTTGAAAATGGATTTAATAAGGATTACACACATATATTTATATATACACATACACATTACTCATAATTGAGTGTATGTGTATACAAATATATTTATAAACACTCATACACTTAATGTATTTATCTTATACACATTGCTTATAATCTAAGTTTTTTTGTGGGAGTAGGGTTTCCTGTTCATCTGTTAAACCCTTTAAAGACTTTATTTCCCTGTATGGATCTTGAAAAGTCAATGAATCTGAAAAATCATTTACTGTTGGTCTTTTGGATAATGTTAAATTTTAATGTAACTATTGCAAATAGTAGTACAAGATACATTGTTGTACAATGACCTTTGCACATTTATCTGATAGTTTAAGTTATTAGCAATGAAATGTGATGATCCAAATATATGCACCACTTAAATATTCATAAGTATCATTATCTTCAAGAAATATCATGACTGTTTTTTTTTTTTTGCCACGTATCATATACAGAAATATACACTTCAATATATTCTGGCCAGACTAATTTATCAGTCTGTTAAATACGTTCTAAACATGCTAAATCAATTGTTAATTTGAATTTATTTGATAACTAATAATTGAGTTCTTCAGAATGCATTTGGCTTGCACTTTGGGACCAGTGTCTTCTTCCATACTTGCATTTCATATTTATATAGGTATTTCATATTTATATATGTATATATATTTATATGTATATATTCAGAAAAAAGTGACCTATCTGCATGTCTTAGATCAGAATTTTCTCCTAAATTACTTATATATCCTATTACTTAGAGTTTCTTTTCTTATTCTTTATTATTTAATTTTAATTTACTTTGTTACTTAATTTTTTCATAAGCCTATTTCTGGGTTCCCAATTCTGCCACTGATTGTTTTCTTTTTCTGTTTTTTTTTTTTCACCTTTTAAGTTCAAGGTTGCATGCACAAGTTTGTTAACATAGGTAAACTTGTGTCTTTGGGGTTTGTTACATAGATTATTTCATCCCCAGGTATTAAGCCTAGTACACATTAGTTATTTTTCCTGATCCTCTCCCTTCTCCAACCCTCCATCCTCCAATAGGCCCCACTACGTATTTTTCCCCTTTATGTGTCCATGTAGTCTCATCATTTGCTCCCACTTATAAGTGAGAACATGTGGTATTTGTCCCTGCAAAGGAGATGGCATTGTTCTTTTTTATGGCTTCATAGTATTCCATGGTGTATAGTTGTAGGTGTGCAGTCTTATTCCTGAATTCTCCATGTTGTCCCTTGGTCTATGTGTCCGTTTTTGTACCAGTACTATGCTGTTTTGGTTACTATAGCTCTGTAGTATAGTTTGAATTCAGGTAGTGTGATGCTTCCAGCTTTGTTCTTTTTGCTTAGGATTGCCTTGGATGTTTGGGCTCTTTTTTGGTTTCATATGAATTTTAAAATAGTTTTTTTTCTAGTTCTGTGAAGAGTCTCGATGGTAGTTTAATAGGAATAACATTGAATTTGGAAATTGCTTTGGGCAGTATGGCCATTTTTGCAATATTGATTCTTCCTATTCATGAGCATGGAATGTTTTTCCATTTGTTTGTGTCACATCTGATTTATTTGAGCAGCGGTTTGTAATTCTCCTTGTAGAGATCTTTCATCTCACTAGCTAGCTATATTCCTAAGTATTTTATTCCTTGACAATTGTGATTCCTTGATGTTCATCAATGAAAAAATCCTCAAGAAAATACTGGCAAACCGAATCCAGCAGCAAATCAAAAACCTTATCCACCATGATCATCTAGGCTTTATGTCTGGATGCAAGGCTGGTTCAACATACACAAATAAATAAATGTGATTCATCACATAAACAGAGCTAAAGACAAAAACACATGATTATCTCAATAGATGCAGAAAAGGCTTTTGATAAAATTCAACATCCATTCATGTTAAAAACACTCAATAAACTAGGTATTGAAGGAACATACCTCATAATAAGAGCCATCTATAACAAACACACAGACAACATCATACTAAATGGGCAAAAGCTGGAAGCATTCCCCTTGAAAACTGTCACAAGACAAGGTTGCCCTCTCTCACCACTCACATTCAATGTAATTTTGAAAGTTCTGGCCAGTGCATTTAGGCAAGAGAATGAAATAAAGAGCATTCAAATAGGAAGACACGGAGTCAAATTGTCCCTTTTTGCAGAGGACATGATCCTATATCTAGAAAACCCTATAGTCTCAGCCCAAAAGCTTCTTAAAATAATAAACAACTTCAGCAAAGTCTCAGGATACAAAATCGGTAGGAAAAATTACTAACATTCCTATACAACAACAACAGTCAAGCTGAGGGTCAAATCAGAAGTGAACTCCCATTCACAGTTGCCACAAAAAGAATAAAATACCTAGGGATACAGCTAACTAGGGAGGTGATCATTTTCTTATTCATCCACTACATCACATTTGAAATATTTTTTAGTTTTACATATAAATGTTGATATCTGTATCCGAAAGCACACTTGCCCTTTGTTTTTGTTTGCTTGTTTGTTTTCATAAAAGTTGGCTCTGATTGCAGCTATTTTACTTAAACCTATCACAATTCAGAATACATTTTTACTTCAATCACAACATAGTTTCTAGCTTCATAATTTCTATGCCTTTCTAGCATAAGGCATTTCAATCGTATCAAGAATGTTATCTAGTTTTATTTAAAAATGCAAGAGACAAGCCCTTGCATTTTGTGGTGGCTCACTTCTGTAATCCCAGCACTTTGGGAGGCCGAGGCAGGTGAATCACCTGAGGTCAAGAGTTCGAGACCAACCTGGCCAACATGATGAAACCCCATCTCTACTAAAAAGACAAAAATTAGCCAGGCAAGGTGGTGCTGCCTGTAATCCCAGCTACTCGGGAGGCTGAGGCATGAGAATCGCTTGAACCCAGGAGATGGAGGTTGTAGTGAGCCAAGATTATGCCACTGTACTCCAGCCTGGGCAAGAGAGCAAGGGGAAAAAAATATAAGAGACAAGAGGAAACCTTTATGATACTTAGGTATTGCATGAATATTTATCATATTAATATTTTTTCACATGAAAATAAAAACTTATAATAAAATATACTATATTATTATAATAAATCAAATTGTATTATAAATATAAATTATAAAATACTTATAAATAATTTATATTGTATACAATTAATTATATATTATATTTTATATATTATAAAATTATATTATAATTTACATTAACTGTCACAAATAATTTAATTTTTATGTTGTATATATATAATGCTCTTATTTTATTTGCTTTTGGTTTTAGGTTTGCAATACTCTGAATAATTGTCAACGTGATGTTGCATATTCTCCTCAAACTTGTAGGCAAGATAGTTCATCACCAGGAGGAAGTATTGATGATGGGTTTTGGATTTTAGGTTAGTCTCTAGATCTATGTTCCAATAGAGGTTTCTGCTCTCAAAGAAATGGTCTACATCTCTGCTGTCCTATGTGGCTATTGAGCACCTGACGTGGATGGTACAACCAAGGAACTGAAATTTCAACTGTATTTTACTTTAATTTAAATTTATATAACCATTTGTGGCTAGTGGCTGGTATATTGGATAGTGCAGCTCTAGATTGTACTGTCAACCAAACTTTTCTGTACTCTTAATTTTCATCCAGAAGTCAACATTTGAAGAATCCTTTCCTCAGCTTAATTATTAACTGAGGTCCCAAGAGCATTTCTATTTATTTAAACTTCAAAGGACCTGCCAAACCATTTTCCAGAATGGCTGTGTCATTTGACATTCCCACCAATAATATATGAATGACCCAATTTTTCGGCATTCTCACTAACATTAGATGGTATCATTATTTTTTAAGCCATTCTAATAGGAGTATATTAATATCTATTGTCGTTTTAATTGTGCTTCCTTCAGTATGTAGTGATGTTAAACATGTTTACTGTGTTTATTTGGTATCTGTATATTCTCTTCAGGGAAAAGTCTATTCATATATTTTGCCCATTTGTAAAATTGGATTGTTTGTGTTTTTTTAATATTGCATTTTGAGAAATTTTACATTTTCTAGATACAAGTATTTTTTTGAGAATACGTTGCTTCACACGTATTTTCTTCAAGTCTGTAATTAATTTTTTCAGATTAATTATTTTTTAAGTTTTATTTTGATAGGGCATTTTTTTTTCCAGTTTAGGATCATGCTATATTGAACTCTCTACCTGTCCTAAGTTCTAAAGATTTTTTGCAATGATATTTCTAAAAAATATAGTTCTTTATTTTTCATTTAGGTTCATTATATATTTTGAGTTATTTTTATGAAAGATGGGAGATACTAAGACAACACTAATTTTTTTATTTATGGATGTCCAAGTTTTCCAGCAGCATTTTTTGAAAAAGCTATTACTCATCCATTGAATTTCTTCTCTCACCTATGTCCCAAACATTGGATAGATTTCTGTTGGTGTATTTCTTAATCCTCTCTTCTTATCTTTTGATCTTTGCGTCATTTTCTCCACCAGTACCACACTGCTTATTATAGCTATGTCATAATTTTTAACATTGTAAAATAATACTTGTTCTTCAAAGTCATTGTGCCTATTTTAGAATTTCTCCTTTCATATGTATTTTAGAATGAGCAGAATAAGCTTATCTATGTTTATAAAATATCTTGCTGTGATTTCGATACAAATTGTATTAAACCTATAGACCATTTTTGGAAGAATTTGCCTCTCTTCTATTATTGAATCTTCCGGTTTATGGACATATGTATCTCCCTGCATTAGTCTGTTATCACACTGCTATAAAGATACTACCTGAGACTGGGTAATTTACCAAAAAAAGAGAATTAGTTGACTCACAGTTTCACATGGCTTGGGAGGCCTCAGAAAACTTACAATCATGATGGATATGATGGGGAAGCAGGCACCTTCTTCTCAAGACAGCAGGAGAGAGAAGAGAGAGAGAGAGAGAGAGAGAGAGAGAGAGAGAGATTGAGATAAGGGGAAACAGCCACACACTCATGAAGCAACCAGATCTCATGAGAACTCCACCATGAGAACAGCATGAGGGAAACCACCCCCATGATCCAATCACCCTACCAGGTCCCTCCCTCCACACATGGGAATTACAATTAGAGATAAGATTTGGTTGGGGACACAGAGCCAAACCATGTCACTCCATTTATATAGGTCTTCTTAGATTTCTTTCATCAGAATATTGTAACTTTCAAAAATACATGTTTTGTTGTTTCATTATTGAGTACTTCATTTTCTTTAGAGCAATTATAAATGATTTTTTTTTTAAATTTTCACTTGTTCACTGTAAGTATACAGATACGCAATTAATTTTTGGGTGTTGATCTTGGATTCTGCAACATAATAGAATTCATTTTTAGTTCTGAGGTTTTTTTCTAAGTACCTTCAGATTTCTATGTAGACTATCATGTTATTTTTAAAAACAGATAGTTTTTTTCAGTATAAATCCCTTTTATTTCTTATTATATTGGCTAGAATTGAAGTGAGAGTAAAGATTCTAGCTTTAATAATGATTTTAGGAGGAGAATAATTCAGGCTTTTACTATCAAGTCTGATGCTAGCTGTAGGGATTTTGCTTTGTTTTGTTTGGAGATAATCCTTATGAGTTTGAGGAAATTTCTCTCAATACCTAGTTTCTGAGATAGTTTTTTAATATATAGCATTGGGTTTTATGAATGTATTTAGTTTCAATGGCTAGGATCATATGATTTTACCTTTTTGTCTGTTGACATAATGGATTACATGAATTTTGGATACTGAACTAATCTTGACTATCTAAAATAAATTCTTCTTGTCTATAATCTATTATTTTATCGTTAGTTATATTTTTATAAAGATAATATTCTTATTATTGCTTTTATTATTTATTTTGATTATCTATTATTTATTGCACATTACTAAATTTGACTTGTTAATACTTTGTTGAGGATATTTGTATTTTTTTTAAGATAATGGTTTATATCTGTCATTCTTTCTTCATTGTACTGTCTTTATTTTGTTTAGGTATCAGTAATACTAGCCTCACAAAATGAGATGTGAAGTATTTACTTCTATATTCAATATTACTTAAAATCGACAGTATTGCTTTTTAAAGAACATTTTCCAGTTAATTCTCATGGGCCAGTAGATTTCTTTTCAGGGAGTTTTTGAATTTTTAAAACAATTATTTTTAAATTTAAAGACAAAATTGCATATATTTATCATGTACAACATCTCATATATTGATCATTTTGGTCATGAGAACATTTTAAATCCACTCTCTTTGCATTTTTAAGAACACATCTTTATTTTCTTAATACATATGTAGCCATTCATAGCATCCATTTCATATTAGCTGAGTTGAGTAGTTTGTACTTTCTGAATAATTGGTCTAAATAATTCTTTTCTACTTCTATCAAATACTGAGACAGAAGTTTTTAAAAGCTCCAATCATGATTGTGGATTTATTTCTGTATTTGTTATTTCACTGTATTTTTCATTCCATCTTGAATCTTCATTAATTGCTGCATTCATTGGATTTTAATGTTTTCGTGTGGAATAGCTTCTTTTATTACCTCTGTAATGTATTTCTTCATATTTGTCTTGAAGTCTACTTTATCCGAAAATAACCCTCAGAGGTCATCTTTAACCTGGGGCCCATTAAATCTTTATTTTGTGTCCTTTAAAAGTCATATCACAGATTATTTAGAGAAGTAGGAATAAAAGTAGCAAAAACCAGCTTTATAAAATCTTAAATTGAAATTTAAACATAGAAAATCAACTTTTTAGTCTACATTTTTATTGTATTTCAATATGAATGAGATGAGATTAGTGCACTTGTAAAAGAGATCCCAGTGAAATTCTTCACCCTTTCCACAAGTGAGGTTATAGCAAGAAGATGGCTATCTATGAATGAGGAAGCAGGCCCTGACCACACAATGTCCCTAGCACCTTGATCTTGGACTTCCTAGCTCCAGAACTGTGAGAAGCACAATTCTGTTGCTTATAAGCCACCAAGTCCGTGATATTTTTGTAATAGCAGCCTAAACAGACTAAGATAATTATCATTACAGATTAGAGTCTTGCTTTATGTTTCTTTGGATTTGTCTGATTCATATTGTGTAATGTCTTCTTGTACTGATTTTTAAAAATTATTATGGGCAGTACAGAAAAATCTGAATTCTCACTTGTGTTCAATAATAGCTAAAATAAATAGACAATTTGTCTTCAAGACTCTTCTGTACCTTCTTGAAAACTGACACATTACTTTGGAAAACAAATTAAGAAAATGAAAGATTTACAAAGAAATAAAAAAGGATCCCAGGAATAAATCCTTTCTCGTATATGGTATAATAATTTTCAACAACACCAACAAGACCATTTGATAGAGAAAGGACAATCTTTTTAAAAAATTGTGTTGGGAAAACTGGATAATCACATGCAAAAGGATGACATTGTACCCATGCTTGTACTATACACAAAAAAATAACTCACAATGGATTCAAGATCTAAACGTGAGTTTTAAAACTATAAAAATATCAGAAGAAAATACAGGGGGAAATCTTCATGACATTGGATTTGAAAATAATTTCTTGTATATGACATCAAAACCATAGAAAACAAAATAAAAAATAGATAAATTGGAGTTTAATAATTAAGAATTGTGCATTAAAGAACACATTCAACTGAGTAAAAAAGAAATATATGAAATGGGAGAAAATATTTGAAAATTATATATCTGATAAATATCCAGAATATGTCAAAAATTCCTACAGCTCAAAACAATAAAACCCGTTAAAAATGGGCCAAGGACTTGAATACAGACATTTCTTCAAAGAAGATATATAGAACACTAATGAGTACATGAAAGAAGATATATAGATGACTAATGAGTACATGAAAGAAGATATATAGATGGCTAATGAGTACATGAAAATATATTTACCATCACTAACCTTTAGAAAAACGCAGGTCAAAACTATAATGAGATAACAATTTTAACCTACTAAAATGGCTAGTATAAAAAAATTTTAAAAAATTGTGTTGACAAGAGTGTGGAAAAATGGAAAGCCTTGCACATAACTGATGGTATGTAAAGTGATCCAGGCTTTGTGGAAAATATTCTAGTGGTTCCTCAAAAAAAGAAGCACAGAATTACCATATTAGCCAGCAATTTGCATATACATATAAACCCAAAAGTATTGAAAGCAGAGACACAGACAGATATTTTTGCATCCATTTTCATAGCAGCATTATTTCCAATAGCCAAAATAGCATGGAAATAACCTTTTCTCATACATGAGGCAGTGAAGAATCTTAAAAGCATTGAGCTCTACCATAGTTTAAGGTTGCTGCATGTTTGCTTAATTTCAACAGTTTTGCATTGCAATTCATTTCTTATATAAAACATTCTGAATCACTTTTCTTTAGACAAATCACTTTGAATCAAGATATCATTGGATTGTCTGCCTGTATGTGTGTGTGCATGCATGCAAATGTGTTTTAAAGTTACTGTTTCCTTGTCTTTTTTGATGGTTACTAAATTTATTTACATTTAATGTCATAATATTTTGGTGGCAATACTGATTGCTTAATTCATTACATTGATATTTTAGTTGTCTGGTTTATTTTTTTCATTTAACTATATAGATATTTTTGCATAGATTTTTTTTCCTCTCTAATTCTCTTGATACTTATTCATTTTTATGTTAGAGGAATATCTATTTTTCTAATTAATACAGTCAAAAGTAGAATAATGTCACATTATACAAATAATGTGGAAATTTTCCATAGAAATTTTGCCATTAACTTACTTTAAAATTAGTTCCCAAGTGTGTCAATAATTTTTCATAAAATTATTTTTGAAACAGCTTATATAGTTCTACTTTAAAATTTACTTTTAAATATTTGTAATTTTAACCAACAACTTATAATTGTATATACTTATGAGGTAAGAAGTGATGTTATGACATGTCATGACATGTTATGATATGTTATATGTATACATACAATGTGGAATGATTGAATCGAGTTAATTAGCATATCAGTTCTATTGAATACTTATCATTTAATCCTCCTATCTAACTAAAACTTTGCATCCTTTGACCAACATCTCATTTTTGCTACGCCCCTAGCCTCTGGTAACCACCATTCTACTTTTTCTATATATGTTTATATTGTGGTTCCATATGAATTTTATAAATTTTTATTTATATGAAATATAGCATTGATATTTTTATAAAAATTTCATTGAATCTGTAGATCACTTTGGGTAGTATGGACATTTAAGCAATATTAATTCTAATTCATGAAGACATGAACATGTGTATTTCTATTTATTCATTATTTCAATTTAAGTACTATCATTTATTAATTTTTAGGATTCACCCTCAGATATGTCAATAATTTTTTATAAAATTATTTTGAAACAGTTTTTTTGCTCCATTTTTAATCTGAAGAACACCTTATTAGATAATATTAAGTTAATGTGTTACATGTAGCCGTTCACAGAAGGGAATATGTTAGAATATGATAGATTAGAATATATCATGTAAATAAAGATTAAATATAGCTAAAAGTTTAAAACTAAATTTGTCAATAATATTGTATATTGCCAATGGCTGTATATTGCCAAAGATATGTGTAAGTGTACTGAGTTGACATAAATATATAATGCACTTTGGGGCACAGTTATAGAAGATTAGAAAACACTTTTAAATTCAAATTTATGTATTTATTCTATAACTGTATTTGAATTTCAAATTTTAAAATTCAAATCAGCAGTATGCTTTAAATATCATATTTGTAAAAGTCACTCTCATGTTTTCAGGAAAAAGTACACCCTTGTTTGTGAAATGACATGCTGTTCCTCAGAAAAATGGCCTTTAATCAGTTGCTACATTTTTCTACCTTTCCTCATTTTAACTGCCATCATTGGTCTTAAATGGAACAAAATGAAGGGATTTTGACACTGAGCAAAAAGTGTAAGTGGAAGGTAAGTAAACTTGTTATTTTGTATATTTAATTTTACAAAAGGACTATGGGAAGAATTTGAGTATAAATTTAAATATTACAAATAGGAATTTTGAGAAGGATTGGGTTAATGTTTAGAAAAACTGAATGAGATATTGAATAAGAAGGTCTTACTATACACCAAAGTTTCTTTTCAGATTTTGGGCAGTTAGGTGTTCTACATATTCTTACAGGGCAAGGAACAACTGAAGCTGCTCATTAAATCCTCATTGCCTTTCAAATAGAAAGCCCATATTGGGGCGGGGCATGGTGGCTCATGCCTGTAATGCCGGCACTTTGGGAGACCGAGGAGGGTGGATCACGAGGTCAGGAGTTTGAGACCAGCGTGGCCAGCATGATGAAACCCTGTGTCTTAAAAATACAAAAAATGAGAAGGGCGTGGTGGCACATGCCTGTAGTCCCGGCTACTTGGGAGGCTGAGGCAGGAGAATTGCTTGAACCACAGGCAGAGGTTGCAGTGAGCCGAGATCATGCCACTGCACTCCAGAGTGAGACTCCGTCTCCAAAATAAATAAATAAATAAAAGCCATATTGGCTGAAATTGTTTGAGGATGTTCTTTGGATTTCCCAGACAACCCCACTTTTCATGCATTGACAGTCATTTGTATCAAGGATATCAATAGAGACAGTTGGGGAAGCAACTTTTGTGAATAGAATATGTAGAAGGTAAGAAAATAAAACAGGAAACGAGGGAGAGAAAGTAGATAGGAAACTGCACTTTGTGCACAATTAATATTCTTCAATGGTTTCTAAAATTATTACAAAGGTTTTTGCAGTTATTTTCTTTGCTGTAACATCATTGCATACTCAGTAAATATTTAGGGACAGAAGAATACGGATAATAAGGATAATAAGTGGATTTCTGTTTCTCACAGTTGAAGATGAAGATTAAATAATGATATAGAATTTCTACTAACACCTCTGTTTGCAAGCTAGATAATTTTATGTATCAACAAGTTAGCAGTAGCTAGCAGTTTAAAGTAATTGCAAAAACCGTAATTACTTTTGCACCAACCTAATAATTTCAGAGTAATATTCTGGATTTTTTGGAAGACACATAATTATCACATTGTTATAAATTAACTTAATTGAATGATAGCTAGCATAAGTCTTCTTTTGCTCTTAAGACATCTTGGAAATATGTGAATATTTACTATAAGTAAATATGAGTAATGGAAAAAATGTTGTAATAAGAGATTAATGGTTACAAATGACAAAATCTGTTCAAGCAGCCTCTTTTACAACCATAAGTGGTTTCAAGGCTGCAAGGGTAAGAAACTAACTAGAGTTGAAGCACAAAAGACAGTAATGAACTGGATGGCCAGGAACTAAGTCATTTCATCCATTACTGATTGACATTACCCCTTCTTGTCCCTGTCTATTCTCTTTATATTGACTGCTCTGGCTTTGACTTGGCCCAATACCTCTATCTCAACCCTTTCTATATTCACTTCCAAACAAAATAACAATAATCTTAGTCAATGTCTTTTAGTTAATATTCTCTGGAGACAGAAGAAAATAGCAGTGCAAGGGCACCTAAATTCATCCTGTATTCTATCTGGATTTATAATTCTGAGTTAGTTGTTCAAAACTTATCTTAAGAAAAAAACGGAGGCTTTATAAATACCACAAAATGAAACTAAATGTATCTGAAAGACACAGAGGCCTCATTAAGGGCCTCATTAATGAAAGAGAAATTATAGTCCAAATAGTTATTTACATAGTTATTAGTAGAAATACTGTAACTGTGTAAATGGTAATGTAAGAATTTGAAGATGTGCACTTATATATCTTTTTAACTGTGGAGAGGCATTATCATAGATATATTAGTATCTCATTCCATCTTCCATGTAGACAGGATAGAAAAAAATAATAGATTTTTAGTTTGAAATTTTTTAAAAAAGTCTTAAAACCTTTAAAAGTTAGACCAACATTAGATAAAGGCCAAACACAAAAATAGATGCTGTCTGAGAGGTATATGGAAAGCAAAGTGGATATTGGTACCTACTAATTAACTATCACAAATGTAGCTTTTTTACTCTTCTTGATTTTGCTTAAGATTTTGCTTCTTGATTTTACAATGGCTATTAACCCTAAAACCAATGTTAATCTCTTTTATACGGTTCTACATCAGAAGACAGCAGTAGTAGCAGCAACAGTAACAGCAGTAGTGACAGCAACCAGTCATAGAGGTAAGTGATATAATTCATAATACATACATATTTAAAAATTTTTAACAACACCTTAGTATGAGAAAGCTATTATTCCCATATTTTATCATCCGAACTTCTACATTTTAATATCATATGCTAAGCAAAGACTAAAGTATTTTATGTTATTATTATTTTATGCTTATTTGGAAATATTTTAATGTAACTGATATTAGCCAGATATTTATAAAAAATATTTTTGTAATAAGAAGTGACTTCCAAATTATTTTACATACATTCTTAGAATATTTATGAATAATCATATTTCCTGCTCCTTCATTTAAGATTCTAATGTGTTTAGAAATTGGTAGATCTAATTGATTTACACAGATTGTTTCCCTATATTTACATTTTTTCCTTAATAACACTACATTGGTATTATTATCCTTATTTTAGAAATAAGAATATGGATGTAAAGAATTTAAATAATTCTTCATATGTATAGAGTTTTAGTGAGTTTTGCATTGGCGTTTAACTTAAAGCAATCAAACTCTAGAGTAGAAGCTTACAATCTTAAAACATATAGCCTGATATGTGGCTAGGGATAAGGAATAGAATAAACATGGATTGAGGACCTAGTTGATGCTTAGCAAAATGCTAAGTATACTCTCCCTCTGAGGCAGAAAGACAATTAATTATTTACTATGAAATGGCTTGAAATAGGCATATGTATGTACTATTCAAATTCATATGTGTAGAAAAATAATAAAGTTTGATGTTAGGCCTATCACTGGCAGTAAATTGAAAAGTTCAAAAATTCAATCTAGAGCAAGATCAAGATTTCATCCAATTGTTTATCTCCCATTCCTTCATATCAGACTTTGAGTAATAATTATGTCCATGGGTCTCTATTTCCTTATCTGCCACCAAATAAAACCTTTATAACTAGTAACCTCAGTGTAAAAATTTTATTCATGCCTAGACCAATCTCTACATCCTCCTTAAAAACTTTATTAGAAGCCCATGTCTTACCTGAGGATTCTGGCACTTGGCTACTGCCTTCTTCTCATGTCCTTCAATCAGAATCTCACCATCCTGCTGCGTGTCTTCACCTGAACTCCCTACCACCACCATCGGCCAACCACAGCCATTTTCTCCTAGAGCTTACCATTTCCCTGATTTCTTCCAACTCATAAGTCATAAATGCAACATCTTGCTTTCCTTTTTTCCTCTTTTCACAGCTTCCTTCTGCCAACAGTACCTTCTGGTTGCATTGAAGTCTTGCCTCAATAATTTGAGATAGAGGGTTAGGCTATCAGTCCATAAATAATAGACATATAAGTTGATGATATAGTAAATTGAAACATTATTAATCATATACAAAAGATTATAGCAGTAAGGATGAGTGGGGGAGTTGCTGTTGAGGAAGGTATTGGATAACAATTTTACATATTTTTTCTCTCAATAAGTCCTATAGCACAAGTGATTTGTAAGCAAATAATCTGAAGGAGGTGAAATAATTACTCAGTTTTAATCATTGAAAGGAGTTACCTGAGTTCAAAGGATGAACTCACAAAAAGCTTTTATTTAAACGCAAAGGGTACAGTGTAGCAAGAGAGAGTGCAGGCAAGCATTGGGGGTCAGAAAGACAAGGGGCTCCAAGGTTCCTTAATGTAGATTTTAAACAGCCCATTAACAATCCCAATGCCTTTTTCTCAACAAAAAGTCAAAACCAGATACCCAGGCTTTCCTAGAGATAAAGATTGAGTTTTTCCATTCTAGCTGTAAATCAAATCTATCCTACAGAGGCATGGAATTGGCAGAATTACTCATGCATATATCTAGGCAGTATATTTCCAAGCACATGAATGATATGATACAAAATAAGTTGGGAATGTTTGAAGAATACCAAAGATGTCAGTCCACCTGGAGCAGAGTTACTAAGAGGGCTATAGTTGTGGTTAGATCAGAGAAGTAACACCATGGAGGGTCTTGGAGCTTTTGGAGTCTGTCTCTGTTTTACTTTGAGTGAAAGGAAGGAATTACTGAATAGTTCAGATTCCAGCCACACGGCCTTACTCTTTAAAAGGCCGACTTGTTGAAAACTGTCTGTATGATCACAAGAGTAGAAGTAGAGAAAATACTGCAATAATACATGAGAGAAAAGATAGTACTTCAAACCAGGAGTGGTAAGGATAATCTTATGGATAAAATTTGAAGGTGACTCAGCAGAATGCATTGACTGTTTGGATGCAGAATGTAAGAAAAAGTGCTTAAATAATATGTCTATTGATGTAAAGCAGGAAAACAGCAAGGCTAAAATGTAAAACTAGGCCTGTTTCTAGAATGTGGGCTCTTCATACTTTTTAAAAGTCATTTGCAAGTCTATGAATACTGAGATATAAAAAAAATAGGTAACAGTGAGCCAAGACAAGTAACTGGTATGCCACAATAAGGATTTTAAATGTTTTTCTATATGAGCAAGAACATAAAGTATTTTTGAGGTTGTAAGAGAGATCTGGCATGACATGTTTTGCATTTACCTATTTCATTGGGATAAAGTAGGCAGAATGGATTCTGTCAGAACTGCAGACTGGTGAAGCAGCTAAGAGACTACTGAGTGCACAGGAAAGGTGTGATGAGGGCAGGATTAGAGAGGAGGAAAAGCACAAAAATATTTTCAGGAATATGACAGAGGCAGAATCTGTTGGATTGGTTACTGAATGGATATATTTGGATTAGAATAAAAGAGAGAACTACAAAGACCTCTACTTTTCTGGCAGAATGGATAGTGACACCTTTTACCAATTGTTGCAGGAAGTCAGGGACCCTGAATGGAGGGACTGGCTGGAGCCATGGCAGAGGAACATAAATGGTGAAGATTTCATGGACATTTATCAGTTCCCAAATAATACTTTATAATTTCTTATGCCTGTCTTTACTTTAATTTCTTAATCCTGTTATCTTCATAAGCCGAGAATGTGTGTCACCTCAGGACCACTGTGATAATTGTGTTAATTGTAAAAATTGATTGTAAAACATGTGTGTTTGAACAATATGAAATCAGTGCACCTTGAAAAAGAACAGAATAACAGTGATTTTTAGGGAACAAGGGAAGACAACCGTAAGGTCTGACTGCCTGCAGGGTCTGGCAAAAAGAGCCATATTTTTTATCCTGCAGAGAGCCTATAAATGGACTTGTAAGTAGGAGAGATATGACTAAATTCTTTTCCTAGCAAGGAATGTTAATATTAATACCCTGGGAAAGGAATGCAGTCCTGGTGGGGGGAGGGGGGCTGCAGTCTATAAAGGGCCGCTCTGGGAGTGTCTGTCTTATGTGGTTGAGATAAGGACTGAGATACGCCCTGGTCTCCTGCAGTACCCTCAGGCTTATTAGGGTGGGGAAAAACTCCGCCCTGGTAAATTTGTGGTCAGACCAGTTCTCTGCTCTCGAACCCTGTTTTCTGTTGTTTAAGACGTTTATCAAGACAATACGTGCACAGCTGAACATAGACTCTTATCAGTAGTTCTGTTTTGCCTTTTGTCCTGTTCCCTCAGAAGCATGTGATCTTTGTTCTGCTTTTTGCCCTTTGAATCATGTGATCTTTGTACCTACTCCCTGTTTTACACCCCCTCCTCTTTTGAAACCCTTAGTAAAAACTTGCTGGTCTGAGACTCAGGCGGGCATCATGGTCCTACCGATATGTGATGTCACCCCTGGAGGCCCAGGTGTAAAATTCCCCTCTTTGTACTCTTTCTCTTTATTTCTCAGCCAGCCAACACTTATGGAAAATAGAAAGAACCTACGTTGAAATATTGGGGGCGGGTTCCCCCAATAACCAATGACATACTGTATAGTAGGGAAAGAACTGTCTTAGGTTGGGGTGAGGAAGTGGAGGGGAGTGAATGATGATTATGGTTTTGAACGTGTATATGTGGAAACCTGTTGGAAATACACTGAGGGCTTTTGAAAATTCTCTCCCTCTGCAGATACATATATAATAGAGAAATTAATAGGAACTCTTTTGTATTTCTTCACAGGTTTGCATTGCTCTTTCCCCCTCTGTTTTCTCGTTGGTGATTTCCATTTATTGATGTAAATTTAGAGACCATGTTAATGAAACCTGTGTGACTACCAATTTATAACATTTACTTTTAATGTGGCTATCACAAATTATTCACGAATAAGGAACTTTGCTTTATGAATGTCCTGAATACCAGGCACAAATTATTAATACAACAGTATAGCAAGCAGTGTCTTATTTGAGTAATTAATTGCTATACCTGTAGTTGCATTATAAAAGTAGACAACTTTTATTAACAACGAAAATTTAACATTTCTATTTTTCTATATTTCTTTTACAACAGTAACTACATGATAACATCAAAAGCCATAAGATAGAGAAAGGATATTACCAAGAAACTTACCATTAACTGGCTTGATTCAACAATGAAAACAAAAATCGCCTTTTTTCTCCTTTCATTATGGCTTAAAGCTTTCAATTGCACAAACAAAATAAATTATATGACAGGAAGTATGCAAGCGTGTGTCTATTTATTATTCTACCTGCCATGAATCTTTAAGTAGGAAAAAACCACTTTTGCTCTTTTTCACCCAGAAACCTGTTGTCACGCGCATCCGTGTGAAGACACCACCAAGCAGGCTTTGTGTGAGCAATAAAGCTTTTTAATCACCTGGGTGCAGGCAGGCTGAGTCTGAAAAAGGCGTCAGCAAAGGGAGATGGGGTGGGGCAGTTTTATAGGATTTGGGTAGGTAGTGGAAAATAACAGTCAAAGGGGGTTTTTCTCTTGCAGGCAAGGGCAGAGGCTACAAGGTGCTCGGTGGGGAGCTTCTGATATTCATTGTCCAAGAGAAAGAATTTCACAAGGTCAATTGATCAGTTAGGGTGGGGCAGGAACAAATCACAATGGTGGAATGTCATCAGTTAAGGCAGGAACCAGCCATTTTCACTTCTTCTGTGGTTCTTCAGTTGCCTCAGGCCATCTGGATGTATACGTCCAGGTTTGGGCTCAGAGGCCTGACACCTGTTACATCCTAAACTGAAAACTTTCAGATTCTTCAGATGCCCACGGTCATGCTGACTGCTCCCGTCTCAAGAGAGGACACCAATAGCCACACCTCCAATAGTTCATGATTCCCCTGCCCTCTCTGTTCCAGGCATTAGGATACCGACTGGAAGAATTGATAGATATTCACTCTCATAGCCCCCAGATAGTCACTAGTATCCCTTCTACTTTAAAGAAATTGCTCAAACTGAGTTTGAGGTCATAGTACCATCAGGTACGTATGCTTCGTTGGCCCTGTATAAACTGATCTGGAAGATTTCTCTGTCCTTTGAGAAAACTCAAACTTGCTGCTCTATCTTCCCTGAAGTTGGGCATTTCTGGGTAAGATTTTCTTGCCTCAGTCTCCCCTCCCATCTGTCTCTTGCTAAGATGGGGGCACTTCTACATATCGCAGAGCATTACACATGGGTTAGGGATCCATCAGCCCACCTGGAGTCCAATTAGGACCTACAGAGTCTTCATCACAAACCAAGATGCTCCTTAGACAGGGGTGGAGGAACCTCACCACAGAGGTCCAGAGTTTCCTATTCCAAATATCCATCAACTGAAAAATGGGTAAACAAAATGTGGTATATCCAAACAATGGAATATTATTCAGCCCTAAAAAGGAATGAAGCACTGACACTGGTACAACATGATTGGTCCTTGAAACCATTATGCTAAGTGAATAAAGCCAGTCACAAACATCAGATATTTACATGTGTATTTGAAGAAGCCTCATTGTCTAGGGTAAGTACCAAGGTTCTCGGTCTCATGGCCAAGGAGATGGAGGTCGTGGACACACACACACAGACAAACACACAGACACACACACACACACACACACACACACACACACACACACACAGAGGGAATTTGGAGCAGGAGTTTAATAGACAAAAGGAAAGAACAGCTCTCTGTCTCAGAGAGGGGTCCCAAGCGGGTTGCCAAGTTGTCAGGGTTTTTATAAATGGGCTAGTGAGGACGGGGCTCGTGAGGAGGGGATGTCTTATCCTCCTAGGGCCAGATGGTTTGATTGAGAACAGGTGTGTTATCTGTATGGTGCAGAGTTTTTGTCAGTTCTCATCCCATTCCCTGCCCACATAGGCAGAATCTCAGTCTGTGTAACTTTGTTCTGCTTATCTGGGAGGGAGAGTTTCTGTGTCTGTTCCCAGACATCTTCCTGCATCCGCAGGCATCCCCCTGCCCCCACAAGTCTGCTTTTGGCTTCCCTATCTCAGTGTGCCTAAAGGGAAAGGAATGTGCTTATTAAAGCCCTCTGTTTTACTGGGGCCCATTGTGTAAGTGTGAAGTCTGGTGATTACCCAGGAGACCTTCCCCTTCTTTCTGTGCCCAAGCTGTTGATGTGTGATTTACAGCCTGAACTTTCAGCCTGCTTGTTGTTAGAAGAGAAGCGATTTCTTTGAACTGCCTGAGGTTAGAAAGGGAGGTATTTTTGAGCTGCTTTTTGTTAAAAGGAAAGATTTCTGCCAGGGACTCACTTTACCCTGTCTACCTAAATAATTTCTTTCTGCCTCCTATAACATATTCATTTGTATGAAAAGTCCAGAATAGAGACATCTCTTAAGATAGAAATTAGTTTAGTGGTTGTTTAGGGAGTAGAGGGGTGGGATAAAGAACTTGTTTTGGGGGTGGGAGGGTACTTTATGGCTAATGGGCACAGAGTTTCTTCATGATGTGATGAAACTAATTTCAAATTGACTATAGTGATGTTCACACATATCTGAGAACATATTAAAAATCACTTAATTGTATGCTTTAAATGGGTAAATTGCATGGCATATGAATT
The DNA here is from genome assembly GCF_000001405.40 of Homo sapiens. Lineage (NCBI taxonomy): Eukaryota > Metazoa > Chordata > Mammalia > Primates > Hominidae > Homo > Homo sapiens. The sequence goes on from NT_187577.1 coordinate 333,091, forward strand.
ATATCTCAATAAAGCTGTTTAAAAATACAACCTGGGATAAATTTACCAGAAAATATAACCTGGGATAATTCTACCAGATTTCTCTCATCTTCATTGCCACTAACTTATTTTGGGTCATTGTGCTCAATGGCCTGCTTCTTGTCAATAATAATTTTTGAGCTATCTGTTCAGGCGTACCAGCACTTAGCAGATCCAAGTTTTAGTCCTGATCAGTCTTATTTATTTTATTTGTTTTTTATTTTTTGAGATGGAGTTTTGCTCTTGTTGCCCACGCTGGAGTGCAATGGCACGATCTTGGCTCACTGCAACCTCTGCCTTTGGGGTTCAAGCAATTCTCCTGCCTCAGCCTTCCAAGTACCTGGGATTACAGGCGCCCACCACCACACCAGGGTAATTTTATATTTTTAGTAGAGATGGAGTTTCACCATGTTGGCCAGGCTGGTCTCGAACTCCTGACCTCAGGTGATCCACCCATCTTGGTCTCCCAAAGTGCTGGGATTACAGGCATGAGCCACCACTCCCGGCCCTGATCAGTTTTATTTTTGCACACAATTTTGCACACAATTTTTGCACACATATTTTGACACAATTCATCCCTGAAATAGGGGGTACTGGAGTAAAAGGCTTGAGTGTGATAGATGGGTTGGGTTTTGGACATGTGCCATTTAAGATATTTGTCAAAAAGTTAAGGGAGGCAGTTGCATAGTCTTCTACAGTGGTCTCAATTTTTCTCTCTCCCCTTGCCTTGCTGCCCTTCCTGTCTCCACAGTTTCTTACTTAGAGCTTAGAGTCACTGTTAACAAAACAGTCAGATTGCATTGTAAAGGTTTTCTTTTCCCTTAGAACACTATATTATAATCTTGTGTAGTAAGCAAGGTACACAGTTGAAGTAAAGTGCTTTCTGATTGTCTTTTCAAGATAAAGTTCCATTTTCTTGAATTCTCTTTATTTGCAAAAATAACACTAAATATTAAAGCTTTCCTTTCTCTTTCCTCCACTGATTATAATATAGTTTTATGAGAAAAATACACTGTTGAAGAAATGTGCTTTTTGATGGTCTTAGTGGGATCAACTCCATTTTCTTTTCTGCAAATTTATTTCAAATAATTTTGTGTATTTATAGGGTACAGCGTGATGTTTTGATCTATCTATACATTATAGAATGCTTCAGTCAAGCTAGTTAATATACCCATCTCCTCATCAATTTATCATTTCTTTGTGGTGAGAACATTGAAAATAAATTTTAGCAATTTTGAAATATGCATTATTATTAACTGTGATCACCATGTAGTGCAAGAGATCATTAAAACTTATTCTTTCAGTCTGACTCATATTTTGTACCTTTAGATCAACATTTTCCCTTTCCCCATCCCTCATCCCACCTTCCCTGGCCTCTAGTAATCATCCTTCTATAAGATAGACTTTATTAGATTCCACATTCAAATGAGATCATACAGTATTTGTCTTTCTGTGCCTGGCATATTTCCCTTAGCATAACGTTCTCTGGTTCCATCCCTGTTGTTGCAAATGAATTTCCTTCGTTAAGGCTGTATACTATTCCACTGTGTATATTTACCACATTTTCTTTATTTACTCATTCCTCATTGACACTTAGGTTGATTCCATATCTTGGTTATCATGAATAACGGTGAAATCGTACCAGCATTAAAAAGTTCAATTTTCTTGATTTTTCCGTATTTGCAAAGATATTTAAGTCAGCAGTAGCATGTAGAAAATTGCTAGTAATAATAGCTAATAATAATAGCTGTCATTTCCCTTTTCCTCTTTCTCCTCCACCTTAGTAAATAAAACCTGCCATAAAACTGTGATATGGAGAAACAAAATTACCAACCTCACTAAAGAAAACCTCACTAAAAAGGAAAATCTAGCTTATTTACCCCAATGTAACTACTGAGGGCTTTAAACAACTTAAACGTCTCTGCAACAAATTTTGTGCAAACACCTATGCTTGCATCTGGCATTTCCCCTCCCCGCCCTGCGGAAGTGGCCCAGCTCTCAGAGCTCCTCAGACCTCACCCCCAGGGTCCTGGGGCAGCACAGGGTCCTCCCTGGCCCAGGCGCCCGGTGGCCGAGAGCCTGCCCGCGAGCTCAACGCTGCTCAACGGTCTCTGTCCTTGGCTGTGGCTCCTGCGCTCTGGCTGAGCCATGTTCCTTCTCCTCGCCCTCCTCACTGAGCTTGGAAGACTGCAAGCCCACGAAGGTAAGTCCATGGGAGCCTCCCCTTTCTTCTTCGACTTTATAGCTGGGCTGGGCTCTTACTGGGAGCAGTTTCTTGTCATTCTGGGACCCTCCCCCGCTCCCTTCTGGGATCCCATGCTGGTGCTTCTGGTGTGTCAGGGACACCTTTCCACGCCAGGCCAGGGGGAACTAAAGGCCTTAGCGGAGGACCTGTTAGCGCTCTGCATCAGCGCCCATGGTCTCAGTGGCCCACACGCAGTGCGTCTTCTGGCATCTTCCCACTCTGTGAAGGAGGGTGGAGGTGGTGGAGTACTAACTGCCTTCAGCGAACTCCTCAGAGTCCTGAGGAAGCAAGTCTCTCATCGATTCTAAAAGGGAACCAGAGGGGCCTGTAGAACTGCAATGTCTAATTTTTTTTTCTTTTTTTGTGTCTTAGCCATTTTCAATGTGCTGTTGATTATGTAGTGAAATTTGTGGACTAGAAAGAGTGTGAGCACATGAGAGAACTTCTACTTAAAATTTTAGGCGCCACCATGCAGTCCGGGATAAGAACCCGTGCTTGACTGAGACGATTGTTGATGCAAAACAAAGACAAAAACAAACACATTTTCTTACTGCAGGTTCTGAAGGAATATTTCTGCATGTCACAGTTCCACGGAAGATTAAGTCAAATGACAGTGAAGTTTCAGAGAGGAAGGTAAATGATGAGGAATATTTATTCTATATTTAAAGCTTTATGGCAATTTTTATTTACCCTTATATTAAGTCAGATCATACTAATTTGTATTCATTGCCAAATCATAATATTTTGCCTGTGCTATTTTGTCTCCTACCGTGTTTTGATCCTCTTGTTCCCCCATTTCTGCTGCTTATTTCCCTGTCTTTTCTCTTCATCTCTTCTTAACATACTACTTGTTCACAATTTCCAAGAAATGCTCAGCAATCAAACTGGTGGGAAAAAGAAATCAATATAAAATATTCATGACCATGGTTCAGCCAACAAATTAACAAATTTTTTATTGTCCAGTAAATGATGTAGAAATTTGTCATAAGTAAAATTTAGACATGCAAAATTTGACCCACAAGCATCAGTCTTAATAGCACGTAATGTACAAAGAAATTTTAAAAAAGCAAAGAAAAAATAAAAATATCACATTTGCCCTATTATGATGAAAAATATTACAATAAGTAAATATTAACTGGAAAAAGAAGTTGGAAAATTACTAACCTGCCTGCTAGATTAAAAACTGATTAAACTGAAGGCATTCAGTCTTGCATGTTTTCTTGATTGAAACACCTGAAATTGACAGATTTAAAATGTTTTATTTTACAAACTGGAAGTCACAATATAGGGGTTTATATTTCTATGCAGTCAAAATGGGCACAATATATGTCAACTCTGAAAATGTTTCAGGTTGAAAGAGTGATTTTAAAATTATGAGTAAGGAAAAGATTAATCTATTAATTCTATTTTGGCACACAATATTGGGACCTACCATGGCTATGTTCTACTAGTGAACAATTATAATAAAGTATATGTCAAATTATGTTTGGGAATCACAATAAAATGAATACTTTCTTTTAGAGAAGTTGGAAAGGATTTTCATATATAAATCTTATTTATCACATTATCCTTCTGAAATAGGATTATTTATTACATATATTCTTTTTAAAAGACAGAGGATTAAAAAATATTAATGGCATCAAATCTGTGTTAGCATGTAGAGTCTAATCTTTAATTTTTAACTCCATTTCCACTACAGTAAGCTGCTTTCTGTTGAAGAATTATTTGCATAAGTTATTTTCTGCCAACACAATCCCATCCCAACACTTTGGGATCCCAAGGTTGGAGGATCGCTTGAGCCTAGGAGTTTGAGGCCGGCTTGGGCAAGTTGGTGAGACCCCATCTCTACAAAAATAACTTAACTGGGTGTGGTGGTGTGTGCCTGTAGTCCCAGCGGTTCTGGAGGCTGAGGTGGGAGTACCCCTTGAGCCCAGCGGTTGGAGGCTGCAGTCAGCTGTGATTGTGTCACTGTACTCCAGCCTGGATGACAGAGCAAGACTTCATCTCTTAAAAACAAAAAACAAACAAACAAAAAACTATCTATCTATCTATCTATCTATCTATCTATCTATCTATCTATCTATATCTATCTATCATCTATTCTGTTTTTTCCCCAGATTTACTACTATTGTACATTGTCATTGCATAATCACTGTAAACTTCAAATTTCTTACTACTTGTCAAGAAGCATATAGCAACTACGCAGGGCTTGATGAAATAGTTTTACTATGAGAGACATGCAGTATTCATTCGTTGTCTACACTTTTGGTATTATTTATATGGAATTCTTGAAGCTATATTTTATTGTATAGGGTATTATTTTCATGTTTTTAAAACTTTATTGAGTTATAATTGATATAAAAATTGCACATATCTAACGTAGACATTTTCCTGAGTTTGAATATATGCATACACCCATGATATCATGACCACAGTCGATGTACTAAACATATCCATCACCTCCAAAAATGTCCTTGCATACTTTTGTTTTGTGTTTTGTGCTAAGAATGCTGAACATGAGAATGATTCTCTTAACATATTTTCAAGTGCACAATGGTGTATCGTTAACTATAGGTACTATGTTATACAGCATATCTCTAGAACTTATTCATCTTTCATTACTGGAACTTTGTATTCATTGAGCAATAATTCCCTATTTCTCTCGACCCAGACCCCTGGCAACCACTATTCTATTCTCTGCTTTTATGATTTCCACTGTTTTATTTTATTTATTTGTTTGAGATGGAGTTTTGCTCTGTTGCCCAGGCTGGAGTGCAGTGGTGTGATCTTGGCTCACTGAAACCTCTGCCTCCTGGGCTCAAGCAATTCTTGTTCTTCACCCTCCTGAGTGGCTGGGATTACAGGTGCATGCCACCACACCTGGATAATTTTGTATTTTTTTAGTAGAGATGGAGTTTCCCCATGTTGGCCAAGCTGGTCTTGAACTCCTGAACTCAAGTGATACACCAGACTCGGCCTCCCAAAGTGCTGGCATTACAGGCGTTAGCCACCACACCCACCTATTTTAGCTATTTTAGATTCCTCATATAAGTAAGTGGAATCATATAGTGTTTGTCCTTCTGTGACTGTCTCATTTAACATAACATAATGTTCTGTGGGTTCATTCACGTCTCAAATAGGATTTCCTTCTTTTTTGAAGCTAAATAGTGTTCCAATATGTTTATATGCCACATTTTCTTTATGCATTCATGTCATTGAACATTTGGGTTGCTTCCAAACCACGAATATTGTGAATAATGTTGGAATTAACATGGGGCTGCAGATATCTCTTCAATTTCATGGCTTTAATTTTTTTGGATATGTAGCCAGAAGTTGCATTGCTGGATTATATGGTAGTTCTATTTTTAATTTTTTGTGGAACCTCCATACTGGTTTTCATAATGGCTGCACCATTCTCCATTCCCACCAATAGTGTACAAAGATTCCAACTTCTCCACATCTTTGCCAGTGCTTGTCACCTTTTGCTTTTGTTTGTGGGTGTGGGTTTTGTTTTTTTTTTTTAACAAAACCCATTATAATAGCTGTGAGGTGATATTTCACTGTGGTTTTGATCCTGCATTTTTCTGATGATTAATGATATTGAGTACTATTTCTTATACCTGATGGTCATTTGTATGTTTTCTTTGGACAGAAGTTTATTCAGGTCCTTTGCCCATTGTTTAATCAGGTTATTTGTTTTGTTTTGTTTTTGGCTGTTGAGTTGTAGAAGGTCCTTTTGACATTTTGGATATTAGCTCTTTGTCATATAGATCATTTGAAATATATTCTTCTATTCCATAAAACAATGGCTTAAATTTTAGGATATTACAGGAACTATGAAGAAGGTTTCAAACTTTCTGTTTTATCTAAGTATACATATGGAAGCCATAGTGCCATTGTTGGTTCAACACTGGGAAACAACTCTCCAGTTGGGGAGAGCTGACCTCAGTTGGGATGTGTTTATTTCCTGCTATCAATGCCTTCTTGCCAAAGACCATTGCAAGCACGCCTGCAATTGAACAAGTGAGGATTATTACACACTGCAGTGAGGGAGAATGCACACCTTGGGGAGCCATGGAGCATCTCTTTAGGAGGTTGTTAAAGTACTTATAAGATTTTGGCTTGTGTTTTGGGAATTTGGGGGAAGTTTTAGGATGCGTGCCTTTGTTCTGGTTTAGATATGGTCAGGAAGTAGGCATAATACTATGATTGTGTATCTTAGTAAGTCTTATCTAGGGCACGGGAAGACCAGAACATTCCTAAATCTGTCATTAGTTAAGAAGCAGCAGCCATTCATGCTAGCCCAATAAGGGCATATTCAATCTTTCTGTTTTTTTGGCTTGGGAGGGCTTACATTTAGTTGGTGTTCACACATGATTATGAAGTAGTCTTGGTTTTGTCTTGATGCATAATTGTCTCACAGTGGTCCTGTGTTACGTTGATGTCCTTTTAAAGTGCTTATATTCAACAGCAGAATTCCAAGTCTAGCTGATAGTGCCAAGCCAACTCCTTAATGTTACTGGCTGCTTTCCCCTTTCTTATTCTTTATGTGATTAATTTATGTTAGGCACATTATATCTTACTCAGACTATAGCCAGAAGCAAGCATTGGAATCATAAATGTCTGCACAAGACATATATATATATACTTCATAATGAATTAAGTTGTCATGGTAAGGTTGAGAAGAACCATCTATGCAGAGTATCTATTCCAAATGACTGTTGTTTATAGCTATTAATATAGAGAATATAAGAATATATGTAAGTACATATTGTGTATAAATTATGTATGATTATGTGTATGTTATGTATATCAAGATGTATGTATATTTTCCTTGACATGCGTATTTTACACACACAAACATGTCAATGATTGTGTACACACATGAAGAAATATATATATAAATATATACACCAACATGGGTGTATGTATGTATATATTTATTATTAATATTTTTATTAGAAATAATTTTTAATTACTAATTTTGTAACATGTTTAAAAATTTTAAACTTTCATTTTAAGTACTCCTGAGTCATATTCTACACTTTTTATTCATTTTTCAATATTTTAAAATGAATGCCATTTATGCAGCCAAAATACACATGAAAAAATGCTCATCATCACTGGCCATCAGAGAAATGCAAATCAAAACCACAATGAGATACCATCTCACACCAGTTAGAATGGCAGTCATTAAAAAGTCAGGAAACAACAGGTGCTGGAGAGGATGTGGAGAAATAGGAACACTTTTACACTGTTGGTGGGACTGTAAACTAGTTCAACCATTGTGGAAGTCAGTGTGGCAATTCCTCAGGGATCTAGAACTAGAAATACCATTTGACCCATCCATCCCATTACTGGGTATATACCCAAAGGACTATAAATCATGCTGCTATAAAGACACATGCACACGTATGTTTATTGTGGCATTATTCACAATAGCAAAGACTTGGAACCAACCCGAATGTCCAACAATGATAGACTGGATTAAGAAAATGTGGCACATATACACCATGGAATACTATGCAGCCATAAAAAATGATGAGTTCATGTCCTTTGTGGGGACATGGATGAAATTGGAAATCATCATTCTCAGTAAACTATCGCAAGAACAAAAAACCAAACACCGCATATTCTCACTCATAGGTGGGAATTGAGCAATGAGATCACATGGACACAGGAAGGGCAACATCACACTCTGGGGACTGTTGTCGGGTGAGGGGAGAGGGGAGGGACAGCATTGGGAGATCTACCTAATGCTAGATGACAAGTTAGTGGGTGCAGCGCACCAGCATGGCACATGTATACATATGTAACTAACCTGCACAATGTGCACATGTACCCTAAAACTTAAAGTGTAATAAAAAATAAAATAAAATAAAAAAAATAAAATGAATGCTATCATTCCTTTTGGCTCAAGTATTTTGGGAAGAGGACATTTTGCCTTTAATTTCCAAAATAAATTTTTTCTAGATTTTCTTTTTTAAACTAAAATAACATTTTACATTGATAAATAACACATATATCTCAATGAATTTTCACAAAGTAGACACACCTCCAAAATTAGCACTCGATTCAGAAATAGAACATAAGAGCAAGTCACAAACTCTCTCATGATTCCTTCTGGTTATTTTCCTGTTTATTTTGACTTATAATACTTTTGCTTATTATTGTTCAAAACTGAAAGTTCCAGGCATGTCTTGGAGATATTGCAGGTTTGGTTCTAGACTACCAAACTAAAGTAAGTCACACAAACTGGTATCCCAGTGCATACCAAACTTATGTTTGGTATACTATATACTATAGTTTATTAAGTGTGCAATAGTGCTATGGCTAAAAATAACATTGTATAAACCTTAATTTAAAACACTTTATTACTAAAAAATTGTAACTATCATCTGAATTTTCAGTGAGTTGTAATCTTTTGCTGGTTACAATCAGGCCTTGTCTGATGTTGATGGCTGCTGACTGATCAGGGTGGTGGTTGAAGGTTGGGGTGGCTGTGCCAATTTCTTAAAATAAGACAATGATGAAGTTTGCTGTGTCGGTTGACTCTTCCTTTCATGAAAGATTTCTCTATAGTATGCAATGCTGTTTGATAGCATTTTACCCACAGTAGAACTTATTTTAAAATTGGACTCAATCTTCTCCAACCCTGCCACTGCTTTATCAACTAAGTTTATGTAATTTTGTAAACTCTTTTTTTGTAATTTTAACAGTATTTACAGCATCTTTACTAGGAGTAGATTCCATCTCAGGAAACCAACTTCTTTGCTCATCCGTGAGAAGTAACTCCTCATCGATTCAAGTTTTATTATGAGATAGCAAAATTTCAGTCATATCTTCAGCCTCCACTCCTAATTCTAGTTCTCTTGCCATTTCTACCACATCTGTAGTTATTTTCTCCACTAAATTCTTGAATCCCTCAAAGTCATTCATGAGAGTTGTAATTAACTTTTTCTGAATTCCTGTTAGTGTTGATATCTTAACCTCTTTCCATGAATCGTGAATTGTCTTAATGACATGTAGAATGGTGAATTCTTTTCATACTTTTTCAATAGACTTTGCCCAGATCCAACAGAGGAATCACTATTTATGGCAGCTATAGCCTTACAAAATGTATTTCTTAAGTAATAAGACTTGAAAGTCAAAATAGCTCCTTGACTGGGCTGCAGAATGGACGCTGTGTTCGCAGGCAGGAAAACAGCCTTAATTTCCTTGCACATCTCCGTTAGAGCTCCTAGGTGACCAGGTACATTGTCAATGAGCAGTAATATTTTGAAAATAATCTTTTTTTCTGAGCAGTAGGTCTCAACAGTCAGCTTCAAATATTTAGTAAACCATATTATAGTTATACTATCATCCAGACTTTGTTGTTACATTTCTCATCACAGGCATAAGTACATTTAGCATAATTCTTAAGGGCCCTAGCATTGTTAGAACGGTCACTGAGTATCAGCTTCAATTTAAAGTCACCAGCTGTAATAAGCATTAACAAGAGAGTCAGCTCGTCTTTTAAAGCTAGACATTAAGATTGGGTAGAATGATAGTTCTATTTTTAGTTTTTTGATGTTTGACCCAGCAATTTCACTAACTGGTATCTAAATACCCATTTTACATTGATAAAAAAAGGAATATAGATCATTTTAAAAAGACACCTGCACTTGTATGTTTATTGCAGCACTATTCACCATAACAAAGTCATGGAACCAATCTAAATGTCCACCAACAGTTCACTGGATAAATAAAAGGTGGTATATATACACCATGGAATATTATGCAGCCATAAAAAAGAATGAAATCATGTCTGCTCTAGCAACATGGAGGAACTGGAGGCCATTATCCTATGTGGAATAACCCAGAAGTAAAAAAATAAAATATTACATGTTCTCATTTATAAGTGGGAGCTAAATAAATGGTACAGTTGGACATAAAATGATGAAGAAAATAGACTCTGGGGACTCCAAAATGGGGGATGGGGACAGAATACCTACTGGGAACAATGTCCAATATTTGAGTGATGGGTACACTAGAAGCCCAACCCCCAGCATCATGCATGTAATTCCCATGTAACAATCAAGCACGTGTACCCCTGAATCTAAAATAACAATTTAAAAAGTGCTATGCATGGATTTCCCCTCTCTAGCTATGAAAGTCTCTAGCTGAGTCCTAGATGGTGTATTCTTCCAGTAGAAGGCTGTTTTATCTACACTGAAAATCTGTTGTTTAGTAGAGCGGTCTTCATCAATTATCTTAGCTAGATCTTACAGATCACTTGTTTCAGCTTCTGTATTGGGACTTGCTGCATCACCTTGCATTTTTGTTATGGAGATATCTTCTTAAATCTCATGAACCAACCTCTGTTAGCTTCACTCTTTTCTTCTTCACTTTCTTTTCATTTTCAGTCTTCATAGAAATGAAGAAAGTTAGGACTTTTTTCCAGATTAAGCTTTAGCTTAAGGGAATGTTACGGCTGGTTTGATTGTCTATCCAGACGATGAAACCTTCTCCATATCAGCAATAGCTTGTTTGCTTTTATGTTATGGGGCCATTGATTTTTATTCTTGAGTAATGTTGCTAAAATGTCCATACTACCCAAAGCAATAGGCAGATTCAGTGCAATCCCAATCAAAATTCCAATGGCATTCGTCACAGAAATACAAAATACAATGCTAAATTTTGTGTGGAACCACAAAATAACCTCGAGTAGCCAAAGCAATACTGAGGAAAAAAGTTAGAGGCATCATACTTCCTGATTTAAAATTATATTTAAAAAACATAATATTCAAAACAGTATGGTTTTGTCATAAAAAAAAAATCAGACATGTAGACCAATAGAAGAGAACAGAGAGCCCAGAAATGAATCCAAACATATACAGTCAACAGATTTTCCACAAGTTCACCAAAAGGATACAATGGGGAAGGATAGTCGAAAGACTATCTTCTGTCAGGTTTTGCTTCTTATATTTTGCAGTTCTGTCTTTTGGGGCATACCCATTTAGGATTATTACATCTTGCTGGATTGATACCCTTTATCATTATATAATGCCTTTCTCATTCTCTGATAAATATCTTTGCATTATTTGATACTAATATAACAATTTCTACTTTCCTTTGATTTATGTTTACATGATAAGTTTTCTTCAATATTATTGCTTTCAGCCAGCCTAGGCAATTGTCTTTGATGTGAAATTATTTTTAACAGAATATAGCTTTGTCAATTTTTAAATCCAGTCAATCTGTAATTTTGCCTATTCATATCATTTATATTTAACGTCACCATTGGTGTTACATCTACCAAGTAATTTTTTGTTTTGCTTTTAATTTTTATTTTCTTTTTCATGCGTATGTATAAATTACCAGAATAACATAGTTTTTTGCTGTGGGGTTGGTTCAAGAATATATACTTGTAGAGCTCTTTTAGTGGTTACTTTAGATATTACATTACATGTACGTAACTTTTCACAGCCTACTGTCATCATTTCACCAGGTTAAGCAAACTATTTAAACCTTAATGTGTTTCTAAATATATGTTGAGGAAATATTTAAGGCAATTATAAATGGGCTAAAGTAAAGGAACACAAAGAAATAAGTGTAATAATTTTTGCCTCAATCTTCAAATTAATTTGGAAAACTCAATATGAAAAGGTAAACTTTTGTAATTACCCATACTTTCCCCTCTATGTTTTTTGTTCATTCTGGGTGTTTCAATCCTTCCTCTTTTATTTTTCCTTTTTTGTTTAGAGAAATTTATTTAGTCGTTTTCTTAGTGTAGGTTTGTATGAGACAAATTCTCTTAGTTTCCTGATCTGAGAATGTCTTGATTATCTCTTCATTTATGAAGGATATTTTAAAGTGGATTTTCATAGAATTCTAGATTTATGGGTCTTTTTTTTCATCGTATTTATGTTACGACATTTCCTTTGATCTTCATGTCTTCTTATGAGAAATTTGCTGTCATTTGTTTTTTTTTCCCTAATGGGTAAGTTGTCATTTCTTTCATTACTTTCAAGATTTTAAAAATTTCCTTTAGTTTTCAGAAATTGAACTATGATGCATTTTGCTGTGAGTTTTTTTTTTTTTTTTTTTTTTGGTAATTGTTTCCTTTGTAGTCTCAATAGTTTCTAGCTTCTTAAATCAATAGGTTTATGATTTTGTCAAATTTGGTAAATTTTCACCCGCTATTTCTTGTGAGTACCTTTTCAACTGTAGCCTCCGTCTCTATTTGGGATTCTAATGACACTGGTAGAATTTTTGTTATAGTACCCTAGGTCCCCGAAGCTCTGTGCATTTTTTGTCATTTTCTGGTAGAATTTTTGTTATAGTACCCTAGGTCCCTGAAGCTCTGTGCATTTTTTATCATTTCCTCTCTACATTTTTTGTAAGTTTCCTCAATTTTCAGATTGGATAATTTCTATTATTCTGTCTCCCATTTCAGTATTTTCTCCCCTAACCCCATGCTGTGGTTGAGCCCTTCCACTTAGATTTTTATTTTGGTAACTTTGTTTTCATGTGTTATTCATTGTACCTAACTGGAATCCTGAATAGGTGAAGCACAGGGCTGACTTTCACTGCCATGGAGGTGGTGCTTCATCACTACAAGGAGGGACTGCAATCTCAGCTCTACACTGGACCCTGTTGACACTGTGCCTGTTGGTAGTTCCAGGTTGCTGTCTTCTCCAGCAAACCATTTACAAGCATGGGAGTCAAAAGAAAACCAGTGAACTGTTTTTATTTTTTATTTTTATTTTTTTAAATATGTATTTATTTGTTTATTTTGAGATGGAGATTCACTCTGGCTGGATTCACTCCAGGAGATTCACTCTGGAAATTCACTCCAGGCTGGAGTACAGTGGCATGATCTCAGCTCACTGTAACCTCTGCCTCAGAGGTTTCAAGAGATTCTCCTGCCTCAGCCTCCCAAATAGCTGGGATTAGAGGTGCACACCACCATACCTGGCTAATTTTTTTGTATTTTTAGTGGAGATGGGGTTTCACCATGTTGGCCAGGCTGGTTTCAAACTCTTGACCTCAAGTGATCCACCCACCTCGGCCTCCCAAAGTGCTGGGATTGCAGGAGTGAGCCACCATGCCCGGCCTGAACTAGTTATTGCTCAAGTCCTTATATCACTGGTTAGTCTGCCTTCTTGTTTCCATTTCTCCAAAATTTTTTATTTTTATTTTTCAATTATATTCCCAGGATTTCTTAGCTTTAAGAGGGAAGAACTTGGAAGAATGAGGCTATTCCATTTTGGCTGGAACCAGAAATCTGATCTTATCCATTTTTAATTTCAAGAATTTCTAAAATAAACTGTGTGTGTGGTGTTTTTTTAGAGCAATATTAGGTTCAGAGAAAAGATGAGAAGAAAGTACAGAATCTTTCAGCTTACCACTGTCCTTATGGATGTGTGGCCTCGCTGACTATCAGATCTCAGATGTTTGTTTCAATTAACAAATCTATATTGACACATCATCACTCAAAATTTCATAGTATACATTAGTGCTGTGTACCATGTGGGTTTGAACAAATGTATAATGACATGTATCCACTAATAGTATCATACAGAATAAGTTCACTGTTCTAAAACTCCTTTGTGCTCTACCTAATCATCCCTCCCCACCAACCAAATCCTTGACATTTACTTATTCTTTTACAGTCTCTATAGTTTGGCCTTTTCCAGAGTGTGTTATAATTGGAATCTTGAAGTATGTAGCCTTTTCAGATGGCTTTTCTTCCCACTTAGTATGCATTTAAGATTCTTTTATGTCTTTTAATGGTTTGATAGTTCATTTCTATCACTGAATAATAATCTATTGTCTGCTGTACCACAGTTTATTTATGTATACCTACTGAAGGATGTGTTGGCTGCTTCTAAGATTTGGCAGCTATGAATTAAGCTGCCATAAATATTTCTGTATAGATATTTGTATGGACATAAGTTTTCAGCTCTTTTCAGTAAATACCAAGGAACACAATTGCTGGATTATATGGTAAGAGTATGTGTAGTATTGTAAGAAACTGCCAGCTTATCCTCCAAAGCTGATCTATTATTTTGCATTTCTACAAACGAAGAATAAGAGTTCCTGTGGCTCCTCATCTTTACTTCAATTGGGGTTGTCAGTGTTTGCGTTTTGACTATTCAAATCAATGTGTAATAATATTTTATTTTTAATTTGCAATTCCTTAATAATGTATAAGGATTAATTTTTTTAGAGCAGTATTAGGTTCAGAGAAAAGATTAGAAGAAAGTACAGAATCTTTCAATATACCACTGTCCTTATGGATGCACAGCCTCCCTGACTATCAGGTCTCATGTTTGTTTGACATATGTCTTATTTGCTTGACATATATCTTATTTGATGAGATGTCTGTTTAGGTTTTTGTCTCTTTTTAAAGTCTGACTGTTCATTTTATTATTGTTGAGTTTTAGGAGTTGTTTAGATATTTTGGTCCTTTATCATATAGGCCTTTTGCAAATATTTTCTTTTAATCTGTGGTTTATCTCTTCATATACTTGACAGTGTCTTTCACAGAGAAGAAATTTTCAGTTTTAATTAAATCCAGTTTATCAATTATTTATTCATGGATCATGCCTCTGGGGTTGTACTAAAAAGTCACTGCCATAGCTAAGGTCACCTAGATTTTCTCCTGTGTTCTCTTCAAGTAGTTTTATAGTTGTGTATTTTACATTTTGGTCTGTTATTAATTTTAAGTCAATTTTGGTGAACTATTATGTTATGTGTCTAGATTTATTTATTTTTTTACGTTTGGATATCCAGTTGTCCCAACACCATTTGTTGAAAAGACTGTCTTTACTTCATTGTATTTCCTATGCTTTTTTGTCAAAGGTCAGTTTACTTTATTTACATAGATCAATTTCTGTGCTCTTTTTTCTGTTCCATTATTCTATTTGTTTATTCTTTAGCCAATACCACAATCTGCTAATTACTGTAGCTTTATAGTTCAGTCTTGACATCAGGTAGTGTCAGTCCTCCAACTTTGTATTTCTCTTTTAGTATTGTGTTGTGTTGCCTGTTCTTGGTCTTTTGCCTCTCCACATAAACTGTAGAATTTGTTTGTCGATATTTGCAAAATAACTAAGTGGAATTTTGATTGGAACTATCTTGAATCTATTAATCAAGTTGGAAATAACTAATGTCTTAATGATATTTAGTGTTGCTATCCATAACATGGAATATTTCACTTAGTTCTTATTTAATTTTTTCATCAATTTTGAAGTTTTTCTCATGTAGATGTTGTACATATTTTGCTAGATTTGTATCTAAATATTTTGAGTTTTGGATGCTAATGTAAATGGCATTGTTTTTACTTCACATTCCCCTCCTTCATTGCTAGTATGTAGGAAAGCAATTGACTTTTGTATGTTTACCTTCTACCCTGCAACCTTGCTGTAATTGTTTTTTGGTTCCAGAAGGTTTTTTCATCAATCCTCTCAGAATTTCTACATAGACAATCTTTTCATCTATGAACAAAGACAGTTTCATTTCTTTTTTCCCAATCTAGTATACCTTTTCTTATTGCATTGGCTAGGACTGGTAGTGTGATGTTGAAAGGAGTAGCTATCTGTGCCTTGATCCTGATCTTAGCATGAAAGGGTCTAGTTTTTCAAAACCTATGTATGATGTTAGCCCTAGGTTTTTTTAAATAGATGTTCTTTATTAAGGTTAGAACATGGCCTGCTATTCTTAGTTTGCTGAAAATTTTTATCGCCATCGTTATTATTATTCAAAGTGGGTGTTGGCCAGGCATGGTGGCTCACACCTGTAATTCTAGCACTTTGAAAGGCCAAGGCAGGTGGATCATCTGAGGCTAGGAGTTCGAGACCTGCCTGGCCAACATGGCAAAACCTGGTCTCTACTAAAAATATGAAAATTAACAGGATGTGGTGGTGCATGCCTGTGATCCCAGCTACTCGGGAGGCTGAGGAAGGAGAGTCACTTGAACCTGGGAGGCAGATGTTGCCGTGAGCTGTGATCATGCCACTGCACTCTAGCTTTGGTGGCAGAGCAAGACTCCGTCTCAAAAAAAAAAAAAAACAACAAAAAAAAGAAAAGGGTGTTGGATTTTTTCTTTTTTCTTTTTTGAGAGAGAGTCTTGCTTTCTCACCCAGGCTGGAGTGCCGTGGTGCGATCCCAGCTCACTGCAACCATCACCTCCTGGGTTCAAGTGATTATCCTGCCCCAGCCTCCTGAGTAGCTGGGATCACAGGAACCCACCAACACGCCCGGCTAATGTTGTATTTTTAGTGGAGACAGGGTTTCGCCATGTTGGCCAGGCTGGTCTCAAACTCCTGACCTCTGGTGATCCACTCACCTCGGCTTCCCAAAGCGCTAGGATTACATGCATGAGCCACTGCGCCAGGCTGGATTTTTTCAAATGCCTTTTCCATGTCTATTGAAATGATCTCATGTGATTCTTTTCCTTTAGACAATGTGATGATTACATGAATTGATTTTCAAGTGTTGCGTTACCTTTGCACATCTAGGGTAAACCTCACTTGGTTGTAATGTATAAAAAAATTTGTATAAAATATGTAAATAGTTTTTATAATGTATAAAAATAATTATTTTATACACTGTTGAATAAGATTTGCTAATATTTTGTGGAGGATTTTTCATCTAGCTTTATAGAAAAAGAAGTATTCCCTGTGCTTCTATCTCTTGAAAGAGATTGTAGAAAATTAGTATACATTATTTCTTAAATGTTTAGTAGAATTTACCAGTGAATCCATCTGGGCCTGGTGCTTCCTGTTGTGGAAGGTTAATTATCAATTCAATGTCTTTAATAGATGTATCTCAATGGGTTTATATATGTATATACACACACACACATTTATTTATGTCTTTGTTAATTTCACTAATCATTTTTCTGAAGCTTTCTAGACACAGATATTGCTCATATATTTTATAACTTTTAAAAAATGTCATGTTTTTGATGCTTGTGTAAATTCCATTTTTATTGCATATTCTTATTATCCATTGTTGTTATGTAGAACTAAATTAAATTTTAAATATTGAGCTTCCATCCTTCATATTATTAAATTCACGCATTAGTTCTAGCAACTTTTTTCATATATTACTTAGAATTTTTTCTGTGTATTATCATGTGTTTTGAAGATTTAAAAAATTTGTGTTTTTTTTTTTAAATTCTGCCTACCAGTTATTCCTTTTCCTTGTGGTATTGCACTGGCTAGAACCTCCAGTACCATATTCAATAAAAAGTGTGAAATAAATTGTCAATAAATATTTATTTCTTGAGATTGCAGAGAGGATGCATTCGATTATTCACCATTAAGTCTGACATTAGCTGTAGATTTTGTTCAATGCCTTTTAATAATTTAAGAAAGTTTTCATCTGTTCTTGGTTATTTCTTGCTAATAAAAACATATAAATTTGTAAATTTTTTTAAAGCACTGTTAAAGAAAGGTCTGTAAACTTTCTTTTAATCACAGTTTTTATTTTTCTGCAGGCCACAAAGTTTTATGGGTTATGGCTTTAATCATCATTTGTTTAAAATTATTTCTAAATTCTTATAATTGCTTCTTTGACTTAGGTAATATTTAGAAGTGAGTTATTTAATATCTAAAAACTTGAGAAGTTGTCTAGATATTTCTGATACTGATTTATATTTTAATTTGATTGGATCCAGGTAACTTGCTTTCAGTGGCTTAAATATTTTTAGAGTATTGAGGCTTGGCATAAAATAAGGTATATCTTAGTAATTGTTCTTTGTGGATTTAAAAAATGTGTTTATTTCATCTTGGTGGATTGTGTGGTCTATAAATGTAAATTATTTCAAGTTGATTGATAGTGTTTAATATTCTAGGTCTTTGCTAATTTTCTGTCACTAATGCTATTTCTGTGGATAACTGCTCTCAGTTTGAGAAACAGTTTTTGACTTGCTAACGAGCCTTAATAAGACTGAATGCTTAATCAGGGCACCAGGTTACCCTGGGACCTGAGCTGCCCATGAGGAACTGGGTGTTATCTGACCTGCAAAGCTTATGGTGGGACATGCACAACAGGATTTCACAATCAATTGGAAGGGGTATAAACATGACTGGGCTTTTGAATGTGTCTGAAGGCAGTATGAAGTTACATGATGAAGTGGCCCAAATGCCCACAGTCTCAATTTCTATTTGTATTAGTCTGTTCTCACATTGCTATAAAGAAATAACTAAGACTGGATAATTTTTAAAGAAAAGAGGTTTAATTGGCTCACAGTTGGGCAGGTTGTACAGGAAGCATGGCTGGGGAGGCCTCAGGAAACATTCAGTCATGGTGGAAGGGGAAGGGGAAGTAGGCATGCTTTACATGGCCAGAGCAGGAGGAAGAGAGAGGAGGAGGAGATGCTGCACACTTTTAAACAACCAAATCTCGCGATAACTATCACAAGAACAGCACCAAAAGGGAAATCTGCCTTTCTGATCTAATCACCTCCCACCATGCCCCACCTCCAACATTGGAGATTACAATTTGATATGAGATTTGAGTGGGGACACAGACCCAAAACATATCACTGCTGCACTGTCTTCTGTCTTCCAGCCCAATGTGGCAGGGGCCAGGTGGTGGCACTTTGCTCTCAGTGAAGTGTTTACATCTCCATTTATAAGTAATACTTGTTTCCTCCACATTTGAGTTTTTCATGCATTTTACAGCTTTATGCACATTTAGATTTATATTGCCTTCTTGAGGAATTGACACTTTTATCATTATGAAATGTTTCTGCTTATTCCTAATATTATTTCTTATTATCGTGGTTTGCCTTCTTAGTTTTTAATGTACACATTTAGTTTATTTATGATTAGCATTTGGATGATATATTTCTCTTTGTTCTCTTAATCAACCCATGTCTCTGTGGGCATATAATTGGGTCTTGGTTTTTTATCCAATCTCACATTACCTGTCTTTTAGAAAAATGTATTGTACAATAACGTACATAAGATAAAATATACCACTGTAACTATTTTTAAGTATATGATTCAATGCTGTTAATTAAATTCACACTGTTATGCAACAAATCTCTAGAATTTTTTTATATTGGAAAACTGAATCTGTATACCCATTAAATACTAATTTCCTTGATGGCCTTCCCCAGCCCTTTCCAACCATCTTTCTACTTTTTGTTTCCATGATTTTGACTACATTAGATATTTTATATTAGTGCAAACATAAATGATGTATTTCATGTCTGGCTTATTTCAGTTAGTATAGTGTCCTCAAGATTCAACCTTGTTTTAGCATGTAGTAGGATTTCCTTCTTTTTTAATGCTGCATAATAATCTGTTGCATTTTCCACATTTTATTCGTCTATTCGTTACTGATGGGCATTTGGGTTGCTTCCACCTCTTGGCTATTGTTAATTATGATACCAAGAACATTGGTGTGCAGATAACCTCTTCAAGATACTGCTTTGAATTGTTTTGGATGCATACCCCACAGTGAGGTTTTAAATCATATAATAATTCTATATTTTATATGATTCTATTTTTATGTGATTTTTTGGATGAACCTCTCTAGTATTTTTTGTAATGGTTGCATCATTTTAAATTTCCACCAGCACAAGGATTCCAATTACTCTACGTACACACCAACATTTGCTGTTGCTTGTTCTTTTGATAGAAGCCATGCTATAGAGTTTAAGGTTTTGACTTGCATTACTCTTATGATTTTATAGGTGACCATGTCTCATGTAATAGACTGAAAGTCACAGTTCCACCCTTACTGGAACTGCCTTGAATCCAGATGAGAACTTTAGGGTCATTTCTGCCACACTCTTGTGTACCTTCTTGACCTTCAATCTCTTGCAAAATCCCTCTTCTGGTCTAAGATTTTAAAAATATACCGTTATTTTCCATCTGTATATCTTCTTTGTAAGATTCAGACATTTTGTTCATTTTTAAATTGGGTTGTTTCTTGTTTTTGAGTTTCAAAAGCTTTTTATGTACTCTAGTTAAGTCTTTTATGAGATATGTGATTTCCAAATATTTTTCCCTGTCTATAGCTTTTTTTCATTCTTTTAATAATGTCTTTCTTTGAGCTAGTATTTTCACAAAAATGAAGTCCAACTTGTATTTTTTTTCTCCTGTATGGATTATGCTTTTGCTATCATATCTAAAAACTCATCATCAACACCAGGAATACAGAGGTTTTTGTCCTGTGTTTCATTTTAGATATTCTGTGGTTTTGTGTATTACCTTTAAGTCTACAATTTCTTTCCACACTTGTGCAAGGTGTGATGTCTGTATTGAGATTCATCTTTTTGCATGTGGACATCCAATTGTTCTATCTTGCACACTTGTGCAAGGTGTGATGTCTGTATTGAGATTCGTCTTTTTGCATGTGGACATCCAATTGTTCTATCACCGTCAATTGAAATGACGACCCTTTCTCCATTGAACTGCCTTTGAATCTTTTTCAAAAATCAGTTGAAGGTCTATTTCTGGGCTCTTTTTTCTATTCCATTTTTCTGTGCGTCCATTTTGTTTTGCCAATATCATTCTGTCTTGATTATGGTAGCTTTAGAGGAAAATCTTGAAATTAGATAAGGTAATTTCTCCAAACTTGGTTCTTTCTTCTCAAAATTTTGGTGGCTATTCTGTGTCCCTCACTACAGGCATACCTTATTTTATTGTGCTTTACTTAATTGCAATTCACACCTGTGTCAAGCAAGTTACCTGTGCCACTTGTACAACAGCATGTGCTCGTTTTGTATCTGTTTGCCTTTTTTAGCAATAAATCATTTTTTAACTAAGGTTGAACATTTATAGACATAATTTGCTTTACACATTCAGTGGACTACAGTATAGTGTAAACATAACTTTTATATGCACTGGGAAACCAAAAAATATACATCACTTGCTTCATTGAAATACTTGCTTTATTGCAATGGTTTGGAAATAAACCTGCAACATCTCTGAGGTAAGCCTATATTGTTAGTTTTGTGTTTTAAACTCTCTATATGACCCTTGATGAGCACATTAAATGATAATACTTATGTGTTCAATTTTGAAGTAGTAGTTTTTAACTATTAATATTTCTTTCACTTTATTTTTGCCTTCTTAAATTCTTATTAGTTGATATTGGAAGTCCTGGAAATAGCTTCTCTGTTTCTTATTTATTCTTTCAGATCTTTCACTTTTAAAATATTTTTGTGTTTAATTCACAGAAACTTTCTAGTTTTGATGTTCAACCTCACTAATTATCTTTCAGATATAGCCAGACTCTTATTCAGGATAATGATTTACTTAAAAATCATCAGTTACGTGGTCATTTATATCATCTATAATTGATTCATTTTTATGATTTTCTGTCTTTTCTTCAGTAAGAACTCTCTGCTCTTCGCCACATGCTGGCATTGTCACACAGTGGTAAAGCACATTGCTTCTCTGCCAGGCTCTTACACTCATTTGATGTATCATCTTTGGAGAGTTACTTAATCTCTGTTTCTTGAAATGAAAAATAGTTTTTCTGAGGATAAAAAATTACAAAAAAACATACGAAGTGCTTCGGACCATACTAGGCATTTGATAAGCCCTCATTACGCATTAGAAAATTATAGAACTAGTTTTTTGTTACACTCAATCCCTACTCCTTATAATGTCTATTTTTATTTTTCTAAAGATATTAAATATACTTATATTAAGGTCCTGTTTTATTCACACATGATACAGTTTTGTATATGTGTTCGCTCCAAATCTCATGTTGAAATGTGGTTCTCAGTGTTGGAGGTGAGGTCTGGTGAGAGGTGTTTGGGTCATGGGGGTGGATCCCTCATGGCTTGGTGCTGTCCTTGCAATGGTGAGTGAGTTCTCGTGAGATCTGGTCATGTAAAAGTGTGTGGCACTTCCCCCTACCCCCACTCTCCTCCTTGCTTCTGCTTTTGCCATGTGCAAGTTCCTGCTTCACCTTCTGCCATGAGTAAAAACTCTCTGAGGCCTCCCCAGAAGCCAAGCAGATGTTGGTCCCATGCCTGTAGAGCCTGCAGAACGGTGAGCCAACTAAACCTCTTTTCTTTATAAACTACCCAGTCTCAGGTAGTTCTTTATAGGAATGCAAGAACAGCCTAATACAACACACTTTATGGTTTTCTCAGGAGTGATTTGATAAATTACTCCTTTTATTTGTTGAATTTGTTATTGTCCCTTCTTGGTGTAGATGTACCTCAGAAGTTAGATAGATTTTTATTGTGGACTTGCCATTGGAGTGGAGATTGTGTCAGACCTTTTGCTGCCTTTGTTTTGCATTCAGTCTGGGAGAATGCATTGGATTTAACTTAGTAGCTTACATTGGTTTAAGGGAATAATGGGATGAGATTTGCCTCCAGTCTGGGTGATGAGCAGATAGCCTTCTGAGCCTGTGTGCTCCTTTTTCTTTCTGCCATTTCCAGTCATAGGCAGTATTGCCCTGTTTCTCTCTACCCAATTCACAGACTGTTCCAGCTTAAAATTAGAGACTTCTCTTGACATTTGTTTGCCTTGGAAGAGAAATGGTGGGTTTAGTAGGATAGACCTCTGTCTGCATCTGTAGACTTAGTCCAGTTACGCCCCCCTGAAGAATTTAATGGCATCACCTGCTGTTTCTGGATGCCATCACAATAGGATCATGAGCATTGTTAGTACCCAATTTGTGATAGTTTATAACTCTTGTCCCTGGAGGTATAGTCTTCCTCACTAGCTTCTTGTCTGCTTTCAGTCTCTTAGCTCTTTTTCCACAGTTTTATATGTTGAGAGAGAGATGCTAAATGTCTCTAAATAGGTATGACTGCACATATGTATGTATATATTAAAATTTGTTACCGGTTCGTTATATTTTGTGTGGCATGTGTGCCTGCAGCCATGTCTAATTTATCTTGACTAAAAATGCAAGTGTTTTTCTAAATAGAAGCAGTTAATATAGTGTTAATAATGCTAAAATGCTAAATATATATATTTTTTTAAAAATGTACTTTTCATTTTTATTTTATTTTATTTTTATTTATAGGTTTTTGGGGAGCAGGTGGTATTTGGTTACATGAGTAAGTTCTTTAGTGGTGATTTGTGAGATTTTGTTGCACCCATCACCTGAGCAGTATACACTGAACCCAATTCATAGCCTTTTATCCTTCAGCCCCTTCCTACCCTTTCCCCCAAGTCCCCAAATTCCATTGTGTCATTCTTATGCCTTTGCATCCATAGCTTAGTTCCCACTTATGAGTGAGAACATGTGATGTTTGGTTTTCTATTCTTGAGTTACTTCACTTAGAATAATGGTCTCCAAACTCACCCAGGTCACTGCAAATGCCATTAATTCCTTTCTTTTTATGGCTGAGTAGTATTCCATCATGTATATATACCACAGTTCCCCTTCACTTTTATTTTAAAAAGTCACCCCACACATTAAATTGGTCACATTGTTCCTGAATTTATTAAGATATTAAATTCTTACTATTTAGAATAATAAATTCTAAAGATTATGTTCATTTTTAATAGATAGACTCTTTTTATTAACTTGGATGAATATTGTTTTATTTTATATATTTCTGGTTTCCTTCACAATCTTTACTGATGTGTTTTATTTCAGATGATTTACATCATTACAATTGATGGACAACCTTACACTCTACATCTCGGAAAACAGTAAGATATGATTTTTTTTTCATTAAGGAAAAGGGAAAGCTTTAAGTTTAGATTTTACAGCCTTAAAGTTTTTGTGCAGTATTTAAATTCAGGAATGCTGTATAATGTAGACTTGTTTTATCAATCAACTTCCCAATTTAGGATTCATTAGGTTTTGAATATCAGATCTATAGAGCTCTTTCATTTTAATTTTCGCTTGATATTTTCAAATTATGAAATAAACTACATACTTGTAAAATCTCAAATTGCATATAAGCCGTTGAACCCAAGAACAGCAAGTTATATATTAAGTATATCTGGTGTGAAATCAAACATAGTTATGTCACTGGTGTCCGTGTGAAGAGACCACCAAACAGGCTTTGTGTGAGCAATAAAGCTTTTTAATCACCTGGGGGCAGGCGGGCTGAGTCCGAACAGAGAGTCAGCAAAGGGAGATAGGGGTGGGGATTATAGGATTTGGGTAGGTAGTGGAAAATTACAGTCAAAGGGGGTTGTTCTCTGGCGGGCAGGGGCGGGGAACACAAGGTGCTCAGTGGGGGAACTTCTGAGCCAGGAGAAGGAATTTCACAAGGAAATGTCATCAGTTAAGGCAGGAACTGGCCATTTTCACTTCTTTTGTGATTCTTCATTTGCTTCAGGCCATCTGGATGTATACGACAAGTTACACATCAAGTGATTATGGTGGGAAATTCAACTAGTGACACAATTTTTATGATATGCTGATTACAAGTGTGTCTATTTTTAACAAGTTTACTGAACCTACTTTACATGTAAAATTCTCTAAAGTATAAAGTTCAATAATTTTAATGAATTTGTGCACTGTTGCCACCATCAAATATAAATCAGTTTTAGAACATTCTTTCCCCACGTAAGAGCCCTCATGTTTTCTCAGTTAGCCTCTTTCTCACTCACAACTCCAAGCAACAATCTACTGTTTGTATCTTGATTTGTATTTTCTCAACATTTTATAAAAATAAAGTAGCCTCTTCTCTGTCTGCATCTTCAAACATATGTATTTATAGCAACTGTCCCTTGTCTGCCTGCTTCTTTGTAATTGAACAAGGCTAGAGGAAATTATTCTCACTTAATTCATGACTACCCTACTTAATTCACGTTTACTTTTCTTCCTCTACAACTCCACAAGTGTTTTCTGATAGAATCATCAGTGGTCCTCATGTTTTTGAATGCTCTGTTTGTGTTTTAGTCTTAATTTTTCTTAACCAGTTGGCAGCATTGATCATAGTTGACCAGTGTCTCCCCCGTAAAATACTTTCTTCATTTGGCTTCCAGAATACCACAGACTCCTGCTCCTGATTTTACTCTGAAGTACTCTGGGTACTTCAGTGCTCTCTCACTCTCTCTCTGTCTCTCCTTTCTCTATTTTTTTTTTTTTAATTCTTTCTCATCTCTCGAATCTTAGAGTACTCCATAGTATGGTTTCTGCATTCTGGTTTTTTTTTTTCCCCCTAGCTATATTCAATCATCTGGTTGTTTAATTCTTGTGACTTTAAATACCATCCACATGTTGGTTGCTCCCAAATTAACATCTCTACCTTATTCCTCTTAAATAAATGCCATATTCACTTATCTGAGTACTTAGTTGATAACCAAGTATTTACTAGAATCCTCATAGGTAACATGTCCAAATGGAATTCTGACTTTCTTCTCAATTTGTCTTTCTCACAGTCATGTCAGGAATTGGCAAATATATAAGTTTTTCAGGAAAAAAAAACATGTAAAAAGTCGGAGTCATACTTGACATCTTTCTGTCGTTTTCCCCTATTTCCAGTGGATTATAAACCTCTGTATTCAAAATATATCTATATCTATATCTAAACCCTACAAAATATATCCAGAATTAGACCTACCCCACTGATGCTATCTTAGTTCAAAGCACCATCATGTCTTACATCTAAATGTCTCCCTGTTTCTTCTGCTTGTTTGTCCTGCAGATTATTCTCAACACAGTGCTGATTTTATTAAAACATTGGTCTGATGCTGTCTTTATCTGCTCAAACCCTCCAATGCGTCTCATCTCTGTGACACTGTCTCTTACTATAGTCTGTCTTCATCACTCCACACTCCAGTCATATTGCCCCCTAGTTGTTCCTTGTTTGTACAAAGCATATTTCTGCTTGAGGGTCCTTGCATTTTCTATTAATTCTTTCTAGAATAACACTTCTGTGAAAATTCATGTGGTTTATTCCTCAGGTATTTAATCATCTATTCAGAGAGGTTTTCCATGCCACCCTATCTACATTTTGTAACCACCCTCCCCAGGCCTTATCTATTGTCATCTAATTGCTAGTACTATGTGCCCCTGGCTGTCACAAAGACTAAGGCTTTTTGTCTCTTGCCTAACTCTGAATCCCAGCACCTACATGAGGGTCCGTCAGATAGTGAACACTCAGTACATTTGTTGAACGTCATCATACACAGCTATACATACATATGTCTGATGCAGAGGAATCCCAGAGTCTGTCCCAGTGCTAAGTCTAAACTCTTTGATTCACCAGTTCTATGAATTTCAACTGTTATGCCTCACTAAAATCACTCAATTAAATCATGCCATTATATAAAGCTAATTAAATCGTGTTATATAAAATGTATGTAATATTTGTTTTTAACATTATATTAAGATTATGATTCATACTTTTTTATTATTTCTTGGTTTTTTAGATCATTCTTACCCCAGAACTTTTTGGTTTATACATATAATGAAACTGGATCTTTGCATTCTGTGTCTCCATATTTTATGGTAAAGTAAGATACCTTATTTTTTTTGTTAAAGTGGTTATATTATTACCATTAGAATGTGTTTCATGTTGACAGTTTAATACAAATGTTTTATCCTTACTGACATGTTACTGACTTTTGTACATAGAAATGGCATGTGATAGAGATGAAACCCAGCTGCAAGCGAATACTCACAGGGACTCTCTTGTGCCTGTGGTGCAAAATAAAGAGAATTGTCACAAATCTTTTTTTTTCTGAAAATATGCATTAATAATTAATGATCTTATTATTAAATCTTTTAATATTTTGAATCTTCTGACATGTTTGACAATACATTTTTTATTCACAACGAATTTATATACTTGCCTTTCTATACTGTTTTTCAGATGCATTGCCATTACCAAGGATATGCTGCCGAATTTCCAAATTCATTTGTGACACTCAGTATATGTTCTGGTCTCAGGTAATAGCACCTTATAAGAAATCTATAGATGGAGAACTTAAGATAGTCTTTAAAACAAAACTTAGTGACTAGCAGACACAAATCATGGAAGTTTAAGGGAAATCAAAATGGAAAGTTTTCTTTCTAACAGCTTTATTCTATTTGTATTAATGTTAATACTTAGACCTAAGGGCCTATTCCCATGAAATCAATCCAGGGTTATCGTGGAAAATGGAATAGTTTCATGGAAGAAAACTTTAAAATATCTCCTTAAGTATGATTGTTGCATTCTGCATCTGTTTTCTCAAATAGTTATGGAAAATGGCATTAGTTAGTTATATAAATATAATAGGAAAATATAGTATGGTCTCAGCTTAGTACCAGATATAAAACAACTAGTTAAGAAGATCCCTCAGGAATAAAGGATAGGGATAAGTGATTTCTGTTAGTGATGCTGGGAGTCTCACTTATGATAAGTTCATCAGGAAAAAAAGGATCCGGAGCAGAGAAAAAATGCTCCCTCTAACTTTCCTTTGGTTTCAATTGCCTGATTTCCAGAATTGAGTCACATCAACTCAGAAACTTGGCATTCTCTGAATGTGGTTTTTATAGATAACAACCTCATTAGATATATAGTCTACATACATGCCGTCCCTTATCAAACCTCTGGAAGAACAGGAACGTTTTTCCTGGAATTCTCAACAAATATATTTGTTTGTGGCAAATTTGGCCTTAATTAATGTGATTGCCTTACAAAAATGTTCTTTATTGCATTTAGATCTTTAAAATTTAAGCAAAACGAAGCCAGATATGGTGGCTCTTACTAATGATAAACTGCCCCCCCAAAAAATAATGGAAAAAGAAAATGGGCTTAAAATGTGTTCTTTAGTATAGTTTTTTAATTTCTTATGCCATTTCAGATTATCATTTTGAAGGGATCATTTGTGAGATTTTTATAACTATTTTCTTATGCCTTCTAAATTTTCAGGGGATTTCTCCAGTTTGAAAATATCAGTTATGGAATTGAACCAGTAGAATCTTCAGCAAGATTTGAGCATATAATTTATCAAATGAAAAATAATGATCCAAATGTATCCATTTTAGCAGTAAATTACAGTCATATTTGGCAGAAAGACCAGCCCTACAAAGTTCCTTTAAACTCACAGGTGACTGTCATCATTCTGATGTTATGACATACTAGAACATTGCCTGTGTAGTTTTCTTGTAAATCATGAAAGGAATTTAGTTAGCTGTTGAGTAGGAATATTAAATTTTATGTATTTTTCTACCTTTAAATAAAACATTGAAACTTCATCTAAAATATTTGGAAAGTTACATATTTCAAGCTTAATATTTTATGATGTATTATGTAACATTAATTTTTATATTTTTTTCAAACAAAATGATACTATTGAAAAAGTTTAGAAATGCAGAAAGAACAGAGTCACTGTTATTCTAGTACCTTGGTAAAATTACTTTTAATATTTTGTTATATATCTTACATACTACCTGAACATATCTTTCTAAAATGCACAGCCATTTGCATGTTGCCAGATGCTCTTAATTTGCTGGTAGACTAGGTATAGAATTCTTGCTGGCAGTTTCTTTCTTTCAGCACTTTGAATATTTCAATCCATCACCATGTGGCCTCTGTTTTTTCTGATAAAAATATTCTATTATTCTTATTGGGAATTCCTTGGACAAAATGAGTTGCTTCTCTTTTGTTTCTTTTGAGATTCTTCCTTTGCCTTTGTCTTATGGCAGTGTGCTTATCATGTTTCTATGAATGTATCTCTTTGTGTTTACCATACTTGGAGCTCAAAGCACTTCTTGGGTCTGAAAATGGATGTGTTTTGAAATTAAATTAGCTTGTGTGAATCCTGAAAAAAAAAAATCCCATGAAGCTATGAAACCAACTATCTGTATGGTTCCTAGAGACTTCACACTTTTATTCTACTTTAAAATTTGTCTCGATTTTGTAGTTCATTATTGCCAAAAGTATTTACTGGGATAAATAAAAAAAGCATTCTTCTCGGGTTTCTGGTTTCAGGTAAGAGATATGGAAAGCTGGAAACAGCATTGCTTCCACATATACATCAGAGTAAAAGTTGGACAAACTGCACATTAATTATTTTTATGGAATACATCAAAAAGCTGAGGTTGCAGATTAAATCATTATCCAACATGTGGAGAAAAAAAAAAGTGCCTATAGGTTGTGATGGGAACCAAATGTATAAAAAATAGAGTTTTTCTTTTTCCTTTTCTTGTGACCACAATTAATTTGGTATCAGTTCAAAATAACCTGCTAAGACTATATGATGTTCTTTCTAAGCCTCATGATAACCACAAAGCAAACATTTTTAACAGACACACTAAAAGTGGAAAGCAAGAAATCAAAACATACTTGATAGAGAAAAAATCACTTAACCACAAAGGAAGATAGCAAGACATGAAAAAAATGAAGAAGTTTATACAAAACAACTAGAAAACAAATAAGAATATGGTAATACCAACTTCTTACCCATAAACAATTACCTTGAATGTAAATGAATTATACTATCCAGCTAAAAGAAATAATGTGGCTTAATTAGTGAAAAAAAAAAAGGGAGGGAGGAGAGCAAAGATGGCCAACTGGACACAGCCAGGAAGGTTATCTCCCACCGGAAAACCAGACAAAGAAGATCAACACATTCTGAGCAAATCTTTGGAAGGAAGGAATTGAGGGTGGGTGGAGGGAGGATGTAGACCCTGTGCTGAATGGGGAGGAAGCTGGGGACCCTGCACAGGGCTGTTAAGAACTGGGACTCATCCCTGGCTCCCAGCAGCTCCTAGGGAAGAGGTGAGTTAAATGTTAGAGGAGTGGCCCACTCTCACTATAAAAACCTCCAGAATTCTAGCTGCAGGAGACCCCATGACCCCCACAGACACTTGATCTGGCAGAGAGAGCTGCTTGGAGAAGTGGCAGGGACAGGACCCCAGCCTGTGCAGAACCCAGGGGGTTTGGTTCAGGAAGAGCTGCAGTGGAGTAAAGCCAGGAGCGCTCATACCCCAAGGCTCTTCACACTCCTCTAGGTGGCGTTGGTTTTTGTTGATTGTTGGACCTGGACAAAACAAGCCTGCCTTGCCTGTGGGACAAGGCCATTCTGATTTGAGCACCCTACTGTCTGACATATTCTTCTGGGGTTCCTCCTTGGCTACATTCATTTGCAGCACAACCTCAGATGCCCAACCTGAATGCTTCCCTGTTGCTGCTGCCATAGCTCCTTCATCAGCAGACCCTGCCTAACCATTGGAGAGATTTAGCAAATGGGCTCTTGCCAACATGCATGTGCTAATAGCCTCCTCCCACCACTTTGTTGGTGCACACTCACCCATAGCCTCCCCCATTATTTTTCTGGTATGTGTGCATGGACCTTGCTGTTGCAGCCTCACCCCTGCCAGTACATGTACACATGCAGACCCCATAGAGCTACCACCGCTAGAACACACCTGGATGCGTGGACTCCACCATGTCTCCCTGTTGCTGCTGCCATGCATGCATGCATCGAACCCAACATGCCGCTACCACCACAGGTACATACATGCATGCAGACCCTGCTACACCACTGGCCAGCCACTGCTGGTCTGCATGCAGGAGTGCAGACCCTGCTGCCATCACCCTGACAGAGCACTTTTGACAGCACCCCCAAATGGAATATTGTTGCCAGCATATCAGGAATAACTTGGCCTCTCAAGCACAGCAGGTACTTAACCTTGATGGGCCAAAGAACAAAGCCATGGGCCTGATTTCAGCCCCCCAGGGTTAGAGCATGCAGCCCAGGAGTACTAAACCAAGTATGAGCCCTCTAAAATCATCCAGAAACAAAGTCGGTTGACTGAACCCAACTTACAAACATGGTCAAACTCTCAAAGCATCAAAGAATATAAAAGCAAAAAGCCCCACCCAAAGGACAAAAACTTTAAACAAACATCAACCCACACAGATCAGGAAGAACCAGCACAAGAACTCTGGCAACTCAGAAGCCAGAGTGTCTTCCTACCTACAAATGACTGTACTGTATCTCTGTCAATGGTTCTTAACCAAGCTGAAACGACTGAAATTACATACTTAGAATTCAGAATCTGGATGGCAATAAAGATCATCAAGATTTAGGAGAAAGTTGAAACCCAATCTAAGGAATCTAAAGAATCCAATTAAACAATGAGGAGGTGAAAGAGGATATAGCCATTTAAAGAAAGAATCAAACTGCTATAATAAAGCTGAAAAATTCACTAGAAGAGTTTCATAGTACAATCAGAAGTATTAACAACAGAATAGACAAAACTAAAGAAATAATTTCAGAGCTCAAAAACTGTTTTGTCAAATCAATTCAGTCAGACAAAAATAAAGAAAAAATGCAAAAGAATGAATAAAACCTCTGAGAAATATGGGATTATGTAAAGAGAACGAACCTATCATTGTCATCCCTGAAATGGAGTGAAAGAGAGAGAGCAAGCAACTTGGAAAACATATTTGAGGATATTTTTCACAAAATATTTCCAAACTTTACTAGAAAGGTTATCATCCAAATTTAGGAAATTCAGAGAACCCCAGGAAAATGCTATACGAGACAACCATCCCAAGACACATAGTCATCAGATTCTCCAAACTCAATGTGAAAGAAAAAATATTGCAAATAGAGACAAGGGACAGGCCACCTACAAAGAACACCCCATTAGGTGAAGAGTAGATTTCTCAGCAAAACCCTGTGAGCCAGAAGAGATTGAGAGCCTATATTCAGCATTCTTAAAGAAAATAAATTTCAACCAAGAATTAAATATCCATCCAAACTAAACTTCATAAGCAAAGAAGAAATAAAATCCTTTTCAGACAAGCAAATGCAGAGAGAATTTGTTCCACCAGACCCTGCTTTACAAGAGGCCCTTAAGGGAATGCTAAACATGGAAACAAAAGACCATACAGGGCACAAAAGAACACTAAGTACATAGACAGTTGACACTATAGAGAAACTACACAATCAAATCTTCTTAACAGCCAGCTAACAACACAATAACAGGATCAAATCTGCACATATCAATATTAACTTTGAATGTAAAGGGGAAAAACACCCCACATAAAAGCATGGCAGGTTGCATGAAGAAGCAAGACCCAACTGTATAATTTCTTCAAGGGATCCATTTCACATTCAGTGACACCCATAGATTCAAAGCAAGAGATGGAGAAAAATCTACCAAGCAAACTGAAAACACAAAACACAGGGGTTGCTATTCTAATTTCAGATGGAATAAACTATAAACCAACAACAATAAAAATGGACAAAGAGCACTGCATAGTGATAAAGGGTTCATATCAACAAGAAGATTTAACTATCCTAAACAGATTTTCACTTAACACTGGCACGCCCAGATTCATAAAGCAAGTTCTTGGAGACCTACAAAGAGATGTAGATAACTGTGCAATAACAGTAGGAGACTTCAACACTCCACTGACAGCATTAGACAAAATATTAAGGCAGAAAACTAACAAAAATATCTGGGACCTAAACTCAGCATTTGACCAAATGGACCTAACATACATCTACAAAACACTCCACCCTAAGAACAGAATATACATTTTTCTCATGTGCACATGGCATGTACTCTAAAATCAACCACATGCTCGACCATAATGCAATTCTCAACAAATTAAAAAAAAAAAAACATACGGACCACACTTTTTGGAACACAGTACAATAAAGATAGAAGTTCACACCAAGAAGATCTCTAAAAACCATACAATTACATGAAAAGTCAGCAACTTACTCCTGAATGACTTTTGGATAAATGATGAAATTAAGGCAGAAATCAAGAAATTCTTTTAAACCAATGAAAACAAAGATACAACATACCAGAATCTCATTCAGTAGCAGGTTGTTTAACAAAATCCCACATGAGCATCTCAGCAGATACAGAAAAGACTTTCAATAAAATTCAATATCCTGTTATGTAAAGGACCCTTAACAAACTAGGTATTGAAGGAACATACTTCAAAATAATGAGTCATCTATGACAAACCCACAGTAAACATACTCAACAGGCAAAAGCTGGAAGCATTCCCCTTAAGAACCAGAACAAGACAAGCATGCCCACACTCACCACTCCCATTCAACATAGTACTAGAAGACCTCACCAGAGCAATCACGTAAGAGAAAGAAAAGGCATTCAAATAGGAAGAGAAGAGGTCAATCTCTCTCTCTTCATGGATGATATGATTTTATACCTTGAAAACCCTGTAGTCTCTGCCCAAAGGCTCTTAGATGTAGCAAACAACTTCAGCAAAGTTTCAGGATACAAAATCAATGTAAAAAAAATAAGTAGCACTTGTATAAGCTAATAACAACCAAACTGAGGGGCAAATCAAGAACACAATCTCATTCACATTAGCCACAAAAAAAATATCTAGGAATATAGATAATCAGAGAGGTGAAAGATCTCTATAATGAGAATCACAAAACATTGCTGAAAGAAATCAGGTGACAGAAACAAATGGGGAAAATATTTTATGCCCATGGTTAGGAAGGAAGGATCAATATTGTTAAAATGGGCCAGCCACAGTGGCTCATGCCTGTAATCTCAGCACTTTGGGAGGCTGAGGCAGGCAGATGATCTGTTGTCAGGAGTTTGAGACCAGCCTGGCCAACATGGTGAAACCTTGTCTCTACAAAAAAAAAATTAGTCAAGAGTGGTGGCGTGCACGTGTATTCCCATGTATTCCCAGTTACTGGAAAGGCTGAGGCAGGAGAATCACTTGAACCCAGGAAGCTGAGGTTGCAGTGAGCCGAGATGGCACTACTGCACTCCAGCTTGGGTGACAGAACAAGACTCCTTCTCAAAAAGAAAAAAAATTGTTAAAATGACAGTGCATCCCAAAACAATTTACAGATTCAATGCTATTCCTATCAAACAACCAACAACGTTTTTCACGCAATTAGACAAAACTATTCTAAAATTCATATGGGACCAAAAAAAGAGCCTGAATAGCCAAAGGAATTCTGAGCTAAAAGAACAAAGCTGCAATCATCACATTATCCAACTTCTAACTAGACTTTAAGGAGGTAACCAAAACAGCAGGGTACTGGTAGAAAAACAGAAACATAGACCAAATGGAACAGGTTAGAACCCAGAAATAAAGCTGCACATCTACAACCATCTTATCTTCAACAGCATTAACAATAACAAACAACTGGGAAAATAATTTCTATTCAATAAATGTGCTGGGATAACTGGCTAGTCACATGCAAAAGATTGAAGATGAACCCCTTCCTTTCACAATATACAAAAATCAAATCAAGATGTATTAAAGACTTAAAAGTAAAAGCTAAAACTATAAAAACTCCAAAATAAAACCTAAGAAATATCACTCTGAACATAGGCCGTAGCAAAGATTTTATGATGAAGATACCAAAAGCAATTGTAACAAAACCAAAAATTGACAATTGGGACCTAATTAAACTGAAAAGCTTCTGCACAACAAAAGAAACAATCAACAGAGTAAACAGACAACCTACAGAATGGGAGAAAACATTCACAAAGTATGAATCCAGCAAATGTCTAATATCTAAAATTTACAAGAAAAAAAAGAATCCTATTTAAAAATGAACAAAGGACATGAACAAGCACATTTCAAGAGAAAACATACATGCAGCCAACAAGCATATGAAAAAATGCTCATCATCAGTAATCATTAGAGAAATACAAATCATAACCACAATGAGATACCATTCCACACCAGTTAGAATGGCTATTACTAAAAAGAAAAAGTTACAGATACTCACGAGGCTGTGGAGAAAAGGGAACACTTGTGCACTGCTGATGAGAATGTAAATTAGTTCAGGCACTGTGGAAAGCAGATTGGAAATTTCTCAGAGAACATGGAACTATCATTCGACCCAGCAACTCCATTATTGGGTATATACCCAAAGGAATAAAAATCATTCCACCATAAAAACACATGCACACATATACTTATCATAGTACTATTCACAGTAGCAAAGACATAGTATCAATCTAGATGTCCATCAGTGATGGAATGCACAATGAAAATCTGTTACATATGCACCATGGAATACTACACAGCCATAAAGAATACTGAAATTATGTTCTGTGTAGCAATATGAATGGACTTGGAGGCCATTATTCTAAGCAAAGTAATGCAGAAATAGTAACTCAAATACCACATGTTCTCACTGATAAGTGGGAGGTAAACATCGAGTACACATAGACACAAAGAAGGGAACAATAGACACTGGGCCTACTTGAGAATGTAGGGTGGGTGTAGGGTGGGGACCTATTGGGTACAATGCTCATTACCTGGGTGACACATTGATCTGTACATTAAACCCCTGTGACATGCAATTTACCTATGTATCAAACCAGCACTTCTATCCCTCCAAACCTAAAATAAAAATTGGAAATGAATAAAGTTAATAAAACCAGAAACCCTAAAACAAGACCTATTTGACGCCTCCAAAGACTCACTTTATCTGTAAGTATACACATAGACTGAAAGTAAATGGATGAAAAGTATATATTTAATACAATAAAAACCAAAATAAATTAGTATTGTGGGATCTGGCCAGCAGCCCGCAATGCAACGAGGCTCTCTCTTTGTTCCCAGGTGGATCGGCAGGTTGAGAAATAATAGACACACACAAGCTAGTGAAAACTGGGTCCAGGGGGGTCACCGCCTTCTGGTCCTGTGGTGCCCAACAATGCATTCGATATACCAGCATTTATTATTAAGTTTAGTAAGGGTGGGGGTAGGTTAGTGAGGGATTTAGGGTCATTTGATTGTGAGGTGAGATGGTCACATGGGGATGAACTAATTCTTTAACATAACATCTGTATGCAGAAGTACAGTATACAGAGATAAGAATTTACAATATAGTGTGTGCATCAGTAATTTCTAACAGAGCCTTAAACAGAAACACAGTCTTTCCATAACCTGTGATTAGCAAGATATTAATCAGCAGTAACAGTTGCAGCAAAAGCTGGTTACAAACAATCCATAGAAACACGACGTGAAGCTAGACAACCGGTTAGACCAGAAATTCTCAGAAGGGAGTATGCCTTAACCCTAAAGAGGCCTAGAAGAGCCGTGGCAAGATGAGGGCATTTATAGCCCTTTCTTATCCATATGGACAGGTGCCCCCCATGTGTCCGTTTATAGACTCCCGCAAGGGTCGCATTCCATTCCCAGAGCTATGAACATCTGCTTTTCTGGGATAGGAATCTTGGTGATGTGAAACCTCCCTGACTGCACGTTCATTCATAGGCTCTCTGCAGGGGGAAGCACATCACGCGCTGTTGGCTCATTCTGGCAGTCCAACTTGGCATTGTCTTTGCACAATCCTGCATACAACTTGGTGTTTACAATAATCAGGAGCATTTCATCTTTTATCGAGCAATAGTTTCAGGGGGTCTCCCTACAAATTAGGAGTAGCTATACTTAGATAAAAATATTCTCCAAGGAAAAAAGTATAAAAAAAGACCAACAAGGGCATTATATAATGACAAAGTGGTCAATACAAGAAAAGGATAAAACAATCACAAATATCTTTGCACCCAATATTGTAGCACCTAAATAGATAAAGCAAACATTAATAGATCTAAAGGAAAAGATAGACACATATACAATAATAGGGGATTTCAACACCTCACTTTCAGTATAGGAGGAAACATGCAGGTATAAAATCAACAAAGAAATACCACGTTTTAACTCTACTCAAGATAAAAGCGACCGAATGGACATTTACAGGAGATCTGATCCAACAACTTCAGAATTCACATGTTTTTCAACTGCTTATGGAGCATTCTCCAGGATAAGTCATATTCTGTGACACAAAACAAGTCTTAACAAAGTTTTTAAAAATTGAAATTGCATTGAATAGTTTTTCTAACTATAATGGGATAAAACTAGAAATCAATTATAAGAGAAACATTGGAAACTGTACAAATACATGGAAATTAAAAGCAACATGCTCCACATAAAAAAAAGTATCATTTCTATATGCCAATAATAACCTATCTGATAAAGAATTCAAGAAAACAATCCCATTTATAATACCTACAAAAATGAAATAACTATTAGTAAGTTTTTATAAGGAGATTGAAGATCTCCACATGAAAACTATAAAACATGGATGAAAGAAATTGAAATAGACACAGTAAATGGAAAGATATTTAATGTTCATGAATTGGAATAATTAATATTGTTAAAATGTTCATATTACTTAAAGAGACTTACAGATTCAATGCAATTTCTGTCAAAATTCTAATACCAGTCTTTACAGAAATAGAAAAAAGTCAATCCTAAAATGTATATGCAACAAGAGAACACCCCAAATATCTAAAGCAATCTTGAGCAAAAAGAGGAAAATATACTATAAAGCTATAGTAACTGAAACAGCATGGTATTGGCATTAAAACAGACACATAGACCAATGAAATAATATAGGGAGCCCAGAAACAGAACTATGCATTTACAGCCATCCTTTTTTATTTTTTATTTTTTGACAATGTTGCCAAGAACTCACAACAGAGAAAGGACAGTCTCTTCAATATATGGTGCTGGGAAAACTGAATATTCACACACAAAAGAGTGAAAGTAAATTCCTATCTCTGAACTTATACAAAAAGATCAAAATGTATTAAAGATTTAAGCTTAAAACCCCAGACCATGAAATTATTAGATGAAAAGCCTAAACGAAACACTATATGACATAGGTCTGAGCAAAGATTTTTTTAGACCGGACCTCAAAAGCACATGCAACAAAAGCAAAAAAAAAAAAAAAACAAAAAAAAAATCACAAAACAAAACAAAGAAAAAATGTAAAAAAAAACCAACAACCAACCAACCAAACAAAAACACTACAACAAACTAAAAAGCTTTTGCTTGCAAATGGGCAAGATATTTGAACAGGTAAACATACTTTCTCAAAAGAACACATACAAGTAGCCAACTGTTATATTAAAAATATAATAATTTATATATTATATATGTAATATATAATATATATATTATATAACAATTTATATATTAAAATATATATAACATATATTTATATATTGTTATATATAAAAATATAACTATATATTAAAAAAGAAATGAAATCCTATCAGCGGCAACAGCATAGATGAACTGATTAACTGGAGGCCTTTATCTTAAATGAGACAAGTCAGACACAGAAAGATAAACACTGGATGTAGTTACTTATAAATGGGATATAAATACTGTGCACACAGAGATGTAGAGTGTGGAATGATAGACAATAGAGATTTGGATGGGTGAGGAGGTGAGAGGGGTAGATAGTGAGAGAATATTTAATGGATACAATATACATTATTTGGGTGATGGATACCCTAAAAGCTCTGAGTTCACCACTACACAATCTATGCATAGAACAAAATTATGTACATTTATATGCCAAAAAGACAAGCTACAGACCTGGAAAATGTGATAATGGACTGATATCTAGACTATATAAATAACTCAAAAGCCAACATTTAAAAAATACAATTAAAGAATAGCCAAAACATTAAGAGGCATTTCACTGAAAAGGACATAGACATGGCAAAAACAAAATGAAACAAAATAAAAATACATTAAAATATTTACATCATCACTACCCATTAGAAAAATGCAAATTAAGAACATCATCAGATACTATTACATACTTAATAGAGCAGCTGAGTTTTTTAAATGTGACATGAACACATGCATGACAAAATCACACACACACACACACACACACACACACACACACACACACACACACACACTGTACCCATGTCAATGTCCTGGTTTTGATAAGTTTATGACCACTGGGGAAAACTGGATGAATGACACATGAGTTCCCTGATCTTTGGCATTTTCTAGTGTTTCAATTTTTTTTTATTTTTAAGTATAAAATATGGAAAATAAAAATAATCTATTAATATAATAATAATTTTGGAAGTTAATTTTATTGCAGGTAACATCCAATAATATTGTGAATATTATTTTAATTTATTTAAATGCTCAGATACTAAAGATATTTATTTTTGTTTTGAGACTAACAAGAATATAAAGTCACAATAGTAATGACATGGAATCAACCTAAATGCCCATCAGTAATACACTGGATAAAGAAAATATGGTACATATACACCATGGAATACTATGCAGCCATACAAAAGAATGAGATCATGTAATTGCAGGGATATGGATGGAGCTGGAAGCTGTTATCCTCATCAAACTAAAGCAGGAACAGAAAACCAAACACTGAATGTTCTTTTATAAGTGGGAGCTAAATGATGAGAACACATGGACACATGTGGGGAAACAACACACACTGGGTTCTGTCAGAGGGTGGAGGATGAGAAGAGGAAGAGGATCAGGAAGAAAAGCTAATGGATGCTGGCCTTAATACTTGGGTGATGGGATGATCTGAGCAGCAAACCACCATGGCACATGTTTACCTATGTAACAGACCTGCATGTCCTGTACATGTACCCCTGAACTTAAAATAAAAGTAGGAGATTTTTAAAAAGTGTATATATACATATATATTTAATTTCCAACTTTTATTTTTAACTACTTCTACTTAAAAGTTATTGACAAAACTGGTTGTTTTTCTAAAAACAAGTACATCAGCACACAAGGCAAAATTATATTCTCATTGATTAAAAACAGCATAAGTAAAATTATATGTAATATATTATGTATATTATATACATAATTTTACATATATAATATACATAATACATATATATAATGGCCTCTAGAAAGATTCCATTGAAAATGTTCACAATTTTAAATGTGTTAACCATAAAATGCAATTTTGAAAAAATCATAGGCAATGTAATGAAAATATTAAGATGATATTGAAAAATATATTGCTCTAAAATATCAGAAATATAGCATTAGAAGGAGAGACACCTAAGAAAATAAAGCACATGAGAATCTATCAAGAGCAATTATTTTACTTATGCAATTTTTAATCATTGAGAATTTGTCTTGTGTGCTGTTATATTTGTTTAGAAAAACATCTAGTTTTGTCAATAACTTGTAAGTAGTTTTAGTTATATCAAAATAATACAATCAAACTTATTAATTTTTCATTTCATGTCTTATTTAATGCTATTTACATCATGCTTGTCATATTTTACAGATACGTAACTGAGGTTATAATAAGTTACATAACTTAATAGAAGGCACAGAGATAAAAGATTTAGAGGAGTCATACACAACACACACTGATGTTTGTAAACCTCTAAGACTTTCTAGTTTTCCAGGTTACCAGTCTGTATATATTTATATATATATTTTTTCGTTTCAGTTGCTTTTTGGTATGAGGGGACAGTTACATGGATGAATTGTATAGTGGTGATGTCTGAGATTTACTCCACCCATCACTTGAGTAGTGTTCATTGTACCCAATATGTGGCTTTTAATCCCTCACTCCCCCTCTCACCTTCCCCATTTCTGAATCTCCAATTTCCATGATACCACTCTGTATGTCTTTGCATACCACTTAAAAGTGAGAACATATAGTATCTGTTTTTCCATTCCTGAGTTACTTCACTTAGAATAATGGCCTCCTCCATTCAAGTTGCTGCAAAAGACATTATTTCATTCTTTTTTATGGCTGAGTAGCATTCCATGGTGTATACATTATCCACTCACTGATTGATGTTCACTTAGGTTGGTTCCATATCTTTGAAATAATGAATTGTGCTGGAGTAAACATATGTGTGCAGAATTCTTTTTGATATAATAATTTCTTTTTTGGGGGATAATCAACAGTGGGTTTGGTAGATCTACTTTTACTTCTTTGAGAAATCCCCATACTGCTTTTCCATAGTAGTTGTACTAATTTAGATTCCCACCGGCAGTATGTACATATACTCCTGAGCTTGAAATAAGTTCCCTTTTCACCACATGCACACATTTTTTTTTTTTTAGTTTTTTAATAATGACCATTCTGGCTGGGATAAAGTGGTATCTCATTATAATTTTTTGTTTGTTTTTTTGTTTTTGTTTTTGTTTTTGTTTTGAGACGGAGTCTCGCTCTGTCGCCCAGGCTGGAGTGCAGTGGGGTGATCTCGGCTCACTGCAAGCTTCGCCTCCCGGGTTCACGCCACTCCCTTCCCTCAGCCTCCCGAGTAGCTGGGACTACAGACACCTGCCACCATGCCCGGCTAATTTTTTGTATTTTTAGTAGAGAAGCGGTTTCACAGTGTTAGCCAGGATGGTGTTGATCTCCTGACCTCGTGATCCACCTGCCTTGGCCTCCCAAAGTGCTGGGATTATCATTATAGTTTTAATTTGCATTTCCGTGTTGATTAGTGATGTTTAGCATTTTTCATGTTTGTTGGCCATTTGTATATCTTCTTTTGAGAAAGGCCTATTTGTGTAATTTGCCTACTTTATGGTGGGATTATTTGTTTTTATCTTGCTGATTTGTTTGAGTTCCTTGTATATTTTGGATATTAGTCCTTTGTCAGATGCATGGTTTACAAATATTTTCTCCCCTTCTTTAGGTTGTCTGTTTGTTCTGATGATTACTTCTTTTTCTGTGCAGAAGCTTTTTAGTTTAATGATGTCCCATTTATTTATCTTTGTTGCATTTGCTTTTGGGGTCTTAGTCATAATTTCTTTGCCTAGGGCAATGTCCAGAAGAGTTTTTCCTAAGCTTTCTTCTAGAATTTTTATGGTTTCAGGTGTTAAATTTAAGTCTTTGATCCATCTTGAGTTGATTTTTGTATATGGTGAGAGAGATAGGGATGCAGTTTCCTTCTTCCACATGTGGCTATCCAGTATTCCCAGCGTCATTCATTGAATAGAGGGTCCTTCCCCCAATTTATGTTTTTGTGTGCTTTGCTGAAGATCAGTTGGTGGTATTTGGCTTTATTTCTGGGTTCTCTAGTATATTCCATTGGTCTATGTATCTACTTTTATACCAGTACAATGCTATTTTGGTTAGTAAAGTTTGTAGTG
Organism: Homo sapiens; assembly: GCF_000001405.40. Lineage (NCBI taxonomy): Eukaryota > Metazoa > Chordata > Mammalia > Primates > Hominidae > Homo > Homo sapiens. The sequence goes on from NT_187577.1 coordinate 375,189, forward strand.
TGGTTTGAAGTCAGGTCATGTAGCGTCTCCAGATATGTTATTTTGCTTAAGAATGCTGATATGTTTCTGTATCCTCCCAAATCTCATGTGAAATTGTAATCCTCAGTGTTGGAGGTGGGGCCTCGTGGAAGGTGATTAGATCACGGAGGTGGTTTCTCATGGCTTAACACCATCCTCCTAGTGCTGTTCTCGTGGTAGAGTTCTCAGGAGATCTGGTTGTTTAAAAGTGTGTAGCACCTCCCCTGCTCTCTCTTTCTCCTGCTCCGTCCATGTAAGACATGCCTGCTTTTCCTTTGCCTTCCACCATGATTGAAAGTTTTCTGAGGTTTCCCAGAAGCTGTCATGCTTCCTGTACAGCCTGTGGAACCGTAAGCCAATTAAATCTCTTCTTTATAAATCATCCAGTCTCAGGTATTCTTTTATAGCAGTGCAAGAATGGACTAATAAAATTGCTTTGGCTATTCAGGCTCTTCTTTGGTTCCATGTGAATTTTAGGATTACTTTTTTCTAATTCTGTGAAAACTGATCTTGGTATTTTGATAGGAATTGCTTGAATATGTAGATTGCTTTCGGCAGTATGGTAATTTTCACAATGTTGATTCTTCCATCCATGAGCATGGGATGAATTTCCAGTTTTTTCTGCTATCTAGGATTTAGTGTTCTGTAGTTTTTCTTGTAAAGAGCTTTCACCTCCTTGGGTAGGTATATTCTTAATTATTTTATTTTATTTTTGCAGCTGTTGTAACAGGGATTGAGATCTCGATTTGATTCTCAGCTTGGTCATTGTTGGTGTATAGCCATGCTACTAATTTGTGTACATTGATTTTGTAACCTGAGACTTTACATAATTCACTGGTCAAATGTAGGAGTCTTCTAGAGGAGCCTTTTAGGGTTTTTTAGGTATATGATTATAACATTGGTAGACAGAGTTAGCTTGACTTTCTATTTTCCAATTTGGATTTCCTTTATTTATGTCTTTTGCCTGATTGCTGTGGCTAGGACTTCCAGCACTATGTTGAATAGAAGTAGTGAAAGTATCCTTCTTTGTCTTTTTCCAGTTCTTGGGGAATGCTTTCAGCTTTTTACCCATTCAGTATGATGCTCTCTGTGGGTTTGTCATATATAGCTTTTATTATTTTCAGGTATGTTCCTTCTGTGCCTAGTTTGTTGAATTTTTTTATTATAAAGAGATGCTGGATTTTATTGCTTTTTTCAGCATCTGTAGAGATTATTATTTTCAATTTTTTATGTGGTGAATCACATTTATGGATATGCATATAGTGATCCATCCCTCCTGCATCCCTGAGGTGAAACCTTCTGATCATGGGTGAATTATCTTTTTGATGTGTTATTGGATTCTATTTGCTAGTATTTTGCTGAGGATTTTTGCGTCTGTGCTCTCAATACTTTGCAATAGTTTCAGCAGCATTGGTATCAATTGTTGTTTGAATATCTGGTAGAATTTGGTTGTGAATTCCTGTGGCCTTGGGTTTTCTTTGGCAGTTTTTTAAAATTAGTGACTCAATCTCACTGATGGATATTGGTCTAGTCAGGATTTCTATTTCATCTTGATTCAAGCTAGTAGGGTTGTGTGTTTCCAGCAATTTATCCATTTCTTCCAGATTTTCTAGTTTGTGTGCATAGAAGTGTTCATAGTAGTCTTGGATGATCTTTTATATTTCTGTGATGTCAGGTGTAATATTTTCATTTTTATTTCTAAAACTTCTTTTAATCTTGTCTCTTCTTGGCTAATGGAACTAATGGTCTATTAGTTTTGTTAATCTTTTCAAAGAACCAAGTTTTCATTTCATTGATCATTTTAATATTTTTGTTTCAATTTCATTTAAACCTGCTCCGATCTTTGTTGTTTCTTTCCTTCTGCTTGCTTTGGGTTTGGTTTGTTCTTATTTCTCTAGTTCGTTGAGGTTGAGATTTAAATTGTCAATTTGTGGTCTTTCAGTCTTTTTGATGTAGGCATTTGGTGCTATAAACTTTCCTCTCAGCGCTGCATTTGCTGTATCCCAGAGGTTTTGATAATTTGTATTACTATTATCATTCATTTTGAAGAATTTTTAAATTTTCATCTTGAGTTTATTGTTAACCCCAAAATCATTCAGGATCAGATTGTTTAAAATTCTTGTATTTCTATAGTTTTGAGGGTTCCTTTTGGAGTTGATTTTTGGTTTTACTCCACTGTGTCTGAGAAGATACTTGATATAATTTTGATTTTTAAAAAATTTATTGAGACTTATTTTGTGGCCTATCATATTATCTGTCTTGGAGAATGTTCTATGTGTTGATGAGAAGAATATAGTTCTTGGGTAGAATAGTTTGTAAATATGTGTTAGGTCCATTTGTTCTAGAGTATGGTTTAAGTCCTATGTTTCTTTGTTGACTTTCTGCCTTGAAATCTGTCTAGTGCTGTCAGGGGAGCGTTGAAGTCATCCACTATTATTGTGTTGCTGTCTATCTCTTTTCATAGGACTAGTAGTCATTGTTTTATGAATGTGGGAGCACCAAAGTTAGATTATATATATATGCATATATATTTAGGATTATAATATCTTCTTGTTGGATTGATCCTTTTGTTCTCACACTGCTGATAAAGACATACCCGAGACTGGGTAATTTGTAAAGTAAAAAGGTTTAATGGATTCACAGCTCCACATGGCTGGGGAGACCTCACAATCATGGCAGAAGATGAAGGAAGAGCAAAGGGACATCTTACATGTCAGCAGGCAAGAGAGCTTGGGCAAGGGAACTCCCGCAGAAGATCTCATGAGATTTATTCACTTCAATGAGAACAGTATGGGGGAAACTGCCCCCATGATTCAATTATCTCCACCTGACCCCACCTTTGACAGATGGGGATTATTACCATATTTAGGTGGGGACACAGTCAAACCATATCAACATCCTTTTGTCTTTTAAAACTGTTTTTGCTTAAAAGTCTATTTTATCTAAGAATAGCACCTCCTGCTTGCCTTTAGTTTCTATTTGTCTGGAATGTCTTTTCCACCCCTTTGCCTTGAATCTATAAGAATCTTTACATGTTAGGTGAGTCTCTAGAAGACAGCAGATGTTTGGTTTGTGATTTTTTTTTATCCATTCTGCAAATCTGTGTCTTCTAAGTGGTGTATTTAGACCATTTATATTCAACATTAATATTGAGATGTGAGATACTGTTCCAGTCATGCTGATTGTCACAAAGATACTTTGTATTCTTCATTGTGTTACTGTTTTATAGGTCCTATGCATTGTATGCTTTCAAGAGGTCCTATTCTGGTGTATATTGACGTTTTGTTTTAAGATGTACAACTCCTTTTAGCATTTCTTCTAGGGCTGATCTAGTAGTAACAAATTCCCTTAGCATTTGGTTGTCTGAAAAAGACTTTACTTATCCTTCATTTATAAAACTTAGTTTTGCTGGCTATGAAATTCTTGGCAGAGTTATTCTTTATAAAGAGACTAAAGATGAATGTCAACACTTCTTGTTTGCAAGGTTTCTGCTGAGAAAGTTAAACTTTTTAGTCATTAAATATCAATTTTAATAATTATATAATTTTGATTATTTTAGTGCCCCCTTTTCTCACTCAACATTATTTCAGTTTGAGCAATAAGTTGTATGGTCATGCAATAGTATGATCACAAAAAACACACCAATAATGAAAGTTTAAAAGACCAAACTCACATATTTTAGAATATTGAAAAAAAATGAGAGTCCCCTTTTTTACAAAATTGCAGTATACATGTATACACAAAGAGAGGATATATAGATGGATAGATAAATAAACATGTATGTCTTGATAGATGATAGACTGATAGATTTAGATGATGAATTGATAGACTGATAGATCAATAGATAGATAGATAGATAGATAGATAGATAGATAGATAGATAAACAACAATAGATATATGAGATGAGGCATACTTTACTTTCCCATGGAAATATAAACCAACCTATTTAAACAGAGACTCTATCCAGTAAGTTTGGGTTATTTGTTTGCTTGTTTACTTATTTTAACTCAGACTATTCTATTGCAGATTCAACACCCTCTTTACTCTTGTATTTTGTGGCCTGTAAATATGCTTAGATCAAAGAAGAAATTTCTCTGAAGTTTCTATATGTGAGAAGGCACTTCAGCTTGTTAGAAATAAAGCTCATGTAAAATTATCAATAAAGTGTTAAATGAGGATGTAATAATTGATGATTTATAGGTGATAATCATATGAGTACACAGGGAAGAACAGAATGTAAAATATCAGAAATAATTCAATAGGTCCAGAGCATAGGCTTTGTGTGTCATTTGATATAAAGCAATAATTATTGATTGTGCTAACATAATAACCTATAAATCATCAATTATTAATAGACAAATCACAATATTTACCTGAATTTCAGTGTAGACTATGAGTTCTCAAATATTTCCTATATCTTTATGAATGGACAATTTTCAGTATGCCACAGTTAGTGTTGCTATAGTCCTTCATAAGACAGTCAGTGAAAAATGTTCAAAGTGTAGAGTTGTCTGCAGATGAAGACAGCATAAGGTGTATTTTTATGTTTATGTTTTTTTTTTCTCATTCAGCATTAACAGAGACTAGACCCTTACATTACTCTGGCAGGTTCATTGTAAATATTTTAAGCTTGGAATATGTTTTGAAGTAAAATTTTCTACATCAGAATTAATTTTTATACTTAAGTCCTCATGAAAATCTTATATGCAATTTTTCGCTGTCTTTACATGTCATCTTTTTCTCTTAAATTCAATACATGTTAACATTTTATAAATCCCGTTGTTGTTGTTTTCCAGATAAAAAATCTTTCAAAACTATTACCCCAATATCTGGAAATATACATTATAGTGGAAAAAGCTTTGGTAAGTATGCTTTCAAGAGGTCTTTCAAGAAGGAACTAAGTATGCTTTCAAGAAAGAACTTTCTTTCTTGCATTCCTGTCTTCTTCCTTTTCTCTCTTCCTCCTTCTTTCCCTTCCTCCATTGTCTCCTTATTTTCTCCCTCTCCTCTCTTTTCCTCCCCTCCCCTCTGTCTTCCCTTTCCTTCCTCTACCCCTCCTTCACTCACTCCCTTTGTTTTCCTCCCTCCCTCCCTTCTTTCCTTGCTTCCTTCCTTCCTCTTTCTTTCACTCTTTCTTTCTTTTTATAACTTAGTGAAAGTTTTGTTTTAATTTTAAAGACATAATACAATTTTCTTAATATTTTAAAATAAAAGATATTTTATTTTAGGGGTGTTAGATAAATCAACATTTGTGACCTTTTACAACCAATTATGAGTAACAGCCCAAACTAGCCTAGAATGCCCTACACTATCGCTTCCTCCACTCCAGCTCAGTCAGTATCTCTTTGACTTTAACTCCTAATGGGCCATCCTTTCTCTTAATCTGCTCCATCCTTTCTGGTCACATTGTTTTATTGAATGCATATTTTTACCATCTTATAAAGCATATTCACTTGATATTTTCTCTTTTGCAAAGTTTTCAACTAATTCAGTTTGTTGCCTTAATGTCATTTTAAAACCTTTATTGCTAACAAAAATTTCACTTCAATAATAGTAGTGTTTATATTTTTTGTTTATTATTCTTAAAATATGTTTCAGCATAGTTTTTGAATAAATACACTTCTGGTTTTAAATGTATATTTATTTTTAAAATTAGTACTATTATATATTTACTAAATGCAAAACACAGACTAATCACTGGAAATTCTACTTTCAAGAATTCATATTTTAATGGAAAAGACAGATATGCAACCAAATAATTATGAGGCACTACGTACATTATGTATGTGTGTATATAAGTTATATATATACTTATATATCTATATATATACTCACAAAGTAACAGGATAGAATTGAGAAAGATGTAGGAATTGTTAAGGAAAGTCTTCATAGAATAGATTTTTAGATGAATGACTAGCATTTAGCAGATAAATATAATACAATCAGGTAGATCCAAAAGTGTAAATTGTAGATTATACATTCTATAGCATCTAGGTTATTTTGTTAATATAATGTCTTTAAGATTTATTCACATTGTTGCCCATAACAGTAGTTTATTTCTTGTATACTAACGTGAAGAATACCACAATTTGGTGCTATTATGAATAAAATTGTTATCACCAATCTTGCTCATGTCTTTTGGTAGACATAATTTCTTTTGGTATCTGCCTAGGAGTGAAATTGTTATATCATGGGATTGGTATGTTACCTTTGGACAATATTGGTAAACAGTTGAAAAGTTATTATAGTAATTTCGTATTCTATCAGCATTGTATGAAAGGTCCAGGAATTCTGTATCATTACAAACAATTACAATTGATAAACTTTTAAAAATCTTAGCCATTTTAGTGGATATATAGTGATATCATATGGTGGTTTTTAGGTGCATTTAACACATGATTGAGTTTGAGCATATTTTCATACCATTGTTTACTATTTGGATTTTTTGAAGAGTAAATGTATAAGTTTTTACCCATTTTAATAGTTTCCTTACTATTTTGTGGGGATTCCTTATATATTCCAAATATGAGGACTTTTTCAGATAGCTGTATTAAGGCTATTTTCTCGTAGTCTGTGGCTTAATTTTAAACTCATTTAATGATGTCTTTTGATAGACATGCATTCTGAACCACAGTTAATTTAAGTCCAATTTATGTTTTCTTAATTTCCTTTTGTTTTTAAGAAATATTTTCTTATTCCAAGGACATAATTTTACTTTCTTCCATATCATTTTATGTATTTTTCTTTACCTTTTAAAATAAGTTTTATGGTATATTTTTAATTGAGCAATGTGTACGCTGTGAGGCAGGGTTCTCTTTTTTCCATATAGACATCCATTCGCTCCATCTCCACTTACGGAAAATGTCTCTTACTCCATTCAGTTGTGTTAGCAATTTTTAAAAATTATGTAGTATAATTGTGTGTGGCCTATTCCTTAGGTTGCTGTTCACTTCCATTGCCCTATTTCTGTTTTATTGAATCAATAATTCACTGTGTTCATTACTGTAGCTTTATTGTTATATAATTTATTTGGTTTTGTCCTTTTTCTAATCTTAATTATTGCTTTGACTATTCTGGGCCCCTTTTATTTAAATCCATTTTGGAATCACCCTCTAAAATTTTCCAAAAATACTGTAATTTTGATTTTGGAATTACATTGAATGGTTAGCTCACTTTGGAAAGAATTGTGATCTTAACAATATTGAGTCATCCAATCTCTGAATAAGGAGAACCCCCTCACATTCGTCTTTACATTTTTTGTTAATTCCTTTCGTCAGTGTTCTATGGTGTTCTTGAACATCTTTGTTAGTTTTATTGTTATGCATTTGATGATTTTGTGATGCCCTAGTAAATGGTATTCTTAATTTAACATTTAAGTATTTTTGCCCTGGTTTCTGAAAACATAGTTGACACACAATTTATCTTATATCCTGTTATTTTTTGCATAATTTACTTGTTAATTCTTGTGTTTCATTTTTGGTAGATTTTTTAATGTTCTATGTACACAATCATATTATTTATGAATTTTAATTTTTTTAATTTCAAATTTTAATTTTTAATTTTTTTCTTTATCAATTTTTACTCCGTTTTGCATTTATGTATACATGTATTTAGTAATTTACCTATTTATTTTACTTTTATTTCATTTTATTGTTTTATTGTCCTTGCTTGACTCTGCAGTACAATGTTAAATAGACTGATGTGTATATTCCTAAATTTTCCCCTAACTTGCAGATTAACCATTCTTGCTAAGTTTCATGTTAGCTCTTAGTTTTTGGTAGGTGATCTTTATAATATTGGGAAGGCTCCCTTATATTCCCTGTTTTCCAAGATTTTTGTCATGGATAGCTGTTTTTCATCAAATTTTTTTTCTGCTCTTACAGAGATAATCAATGGATATAGAGAACCATACTTGTGTTTCTAAAATACACCCTACTTATCACATTTTAATCAATTTTTACAAGTAACCTGATCTTTTATTTAATATTTTGTTTTTGATTTTAGGATTTATGTTCATGAAATAATGGTATGCTATATTCCTTTCTTATAATGATTTTTCTTCTTGTTATCAAGATTATCCTAGCCTCATCAAATAAGTTAGTGAGTTTTCTTCTTCTTATAGTCTCTTCGAGAATTTAGATATTATGAGTATGACCCCTTCCACATATAGTTGGAAGAATTTACTCTGAAACCCTGTAGACCTTAAGTTTTCTTTGAGGAAATATTTTAAAGTACACATTAAATTTCTTTACATATGATATACATAGGGAAGTTGAGATTTTCTTTAAACTTGTTTTACTTTCTACAAGTTAGATTGCTATGGTTTGAATGTGTCCCCTTCATAATTCATGTATTGAAACATAATGGCCAATGTTATGACTTTAAGGCATGAGGCAATTCTGTCATGAAAGCTCCTTCCCTCATGTATGGGATTAAGTCTCTTATAAAAGAGACTTCATGCAGCATTCTGTAGCTTGCCTTTCTGCTTTCCTCTCCACGAGGACATAGCAAAAAGGTCCTCACCAGACCTGTTTGTGGAGCCTTGATGTGAGACTTCTCAGCCTCTAGGACTATGAACAATAAATTTGTGTTCTTTACAAACTACCCAATCTGTCATATTCTGTCATAGCAGCACAAATGGACCAAGACAGAAATTGGTATCAGGAGTGGGTGTTGCCATTGCAAATGCCTAAAAATGTGGAAATAGTTTTGGTACCTGGCAATGGGTTGAAGCGGGAGCTGTTTTGAAGCAAATAATGGAAAAAGCTTGTATTACTGCAAATGGAGAATGAAGGGTGATTCTGATGAGAGCTCATAAGAAGAGAAGTAGGGAAGTTGTGAATCTTTTTAGAGATTAGTGGTTATGAACAGTTTTTAGAAATTACTTAAGTGGTCATGAACAGAATGCTGGTAGAAATATGGACAGTAAAGGCTGTTCTTATGAGAGCTCAGATGGAAGTGAGGTCCAAGGTATTGGAAATTGGGAGAAAGGCCACTCTTGTTAAAAAGTGGCCAATCACTTGGCTGAATTATGCCCATGCCATAGAACTTTATGGAAGTCAGAACTTAAGAATGATGAACTCAGATATTTGGCAAAAGAAATCTCTAAACAGCAAGGTGTTCAGGATGCTGCATGGCTTTTCCTACTTATTTATAGTAAAATTTGAGACAAGATAAATGGTTTAAATATGGATTTTATAATTAAAATGGAAGAAGAATGTAAAGATTTGAAAAACTCTCAGCCTTGCCCTGTAAAAAAAAAAAAAGGTGGGGGATGGGGGGTTGGGGGAAGTATGTATGGGAGAGAATAGCAAGAGTGTGTCAAGTGACCTTTAAAGAAAATTGTGTGGATAGAGCAAGTCAGCTGCTATTTATCAACACAAGAGCAGAATAACCCCAAAGACATTTTGGAGATCTTCAAGGCTGCCTTCCCATTACAAGCCCAGAGTGCTGGGGATTTGTAAGCAAGACAGGTTAAAGAGAGAAGCCAGAATGCTTATAGGACCTTGAGACTTGCACACCAGGGCCACCTCAGGTCTAAGATCCTTTCATCACAGCCAGGCACTTCTCTGCTGCCCTGGCTTTAGCTCAGCTGGGCCCAGGTACATCTCAGACTGTGGTTTCAAAGGGTGCAGACTGTGAACCTTGGCTGTGTCCACCTGGTGCTAACTCTCCAGGCTCACAGAGTGCAAGAGCTGTGGTGGCATGGCTACTTCCACCTATAAGTCAAAGGATGCCTCAGAGAGACCCCACTAAGGCAATGCCCAGTGGAGACATAGGTGCTGGGCCACCCACAACACCCCAGAACTATAGAGCCACCAGGAAGGAACACCTGGGAAAGCTGCATGCATGCATTTTCGATGTGTGAGAGCTGAAACATGGGCTGCACACAGCAAAGCTATTAGGGTGGTGCCACTCAAAGCCTTTGGGGCTCAAATCCCACCCCAATGTGTCTCATGGGTGGGTCATGGAGTCAAAGAGGATCACTTGCAGGCCTTAAGATTTAATATTGTTTGCTCTGTTGGGTTTTCATTGGCTTGGGACCTGCTATTCCCTTCTTCTTGACTCTTTCTTCTTTCTGAAATGGGAATGTCTGTTCTATGTCTGTCCCACCATTGTATCTTGGAATCATATAACTTGTTCAATTTCATAGACTCACAGCTGGAAATGAATTTGCCCCAGAATAAATCTTGCCTTGAGTCTTACTCATATAATGTTTAGGTGAGATTTTGAAATTAGATTTTAAAGTTGATGATAGAACAAGTTAGGATTTTTTAGGACTATTTGGATGGGATGAAGGTATTTTGTACGTGAGAATGACATGAATTTTGGGAAACTAGGGGTGGAATGTTAGGGTTTGAATATGTTCCTTCCAAAATTCAGGTATTAAAACTTAATGGCCAATGTGATGGTATTAAGGAATGGGACCATTTAGAGGTGATTAGTGCACAAGAACTTCTTCCCTTACAGATGAGATTAAGGCCCTTATAAAAGCACTGTGTAGCTTTCTCTTCTGCCTTCTGCCATGTGAGGATACAGCAAGAAGGCCCTCACCAGACCAGATGCTAGCAACTTGTTCTTGGACTTCTCCACTCCCAGAAATGTGAGGAAATAGATTTCTCTTTTTTATAATACCCAGTCTGTGTTATTCTTTTGTAGCAGGGCAAATGGACTAAGGCATAGGTTTTCAAGTAGATTTTTAAAATGATCTAAATTATCAAATTTCTTAGAATGAATTTGTAACACATTCTTTTATCTTTTAAAAATTGGTATATTTGTAGTATCAGCATTTCTAATGTTCACTAATGATATTGGTGAGATATCCCTCTTTGCTCTTTAGCTGCATTTTATTATTTTAAACTTATTATTTTGAAAGAACTTTAGACTTACATGAAAGTTAAGAAACAGTAAAGATTCTTTTCACAACTTCTCCTAAGTTAACTTCTTATATAATCATAATATAGTAATCAAAACATAAAAGTTAATGTTTCTACATTATTAACAACTATTATAAAATTTTTGACATTTTTCCCACAAGTGTCTTTTTCCTAATTCAGTCCTCAATTATAAGATCCTACATTCCATTGAGTTGACATGTTTCTTTTTTCTACTCCAATCTGTGGCATTACTATGATCTTTGTCTTTCATGTACCTTGGCACAATTGGAGAATACGTGCCAGTTATTTTCTAGAAATGTTTCTCAGTTTGGACTTGCCTGAGTTTTCTCGTGGTTACATTGAGAATCCGTTTTATGTTTGACAAGAATATCCAAAAAAGACCTTTTCTTGTTAAGCTGTTGTTAAAGCAGTGTTGGTTTCATAAAACTAATTACAATGTCTGCCCTTTTCCTACATTCTGAATGATTTTTGTACAAATGCCTTTACTTATTCTTTACTTATTATTTAAATATCTGTAACCATTAAGTTTTTTTGTTTTTTTTTTTTTGAGAGAGAGAGAGAGAGAGAGGGCCTCACTCTCTCATGCAGCCTGGAGTGCAGTGACAAAATCATAGCTCACCGCAATCTCGAACTTCTGGCCTCAACCAATTCTTCTGCCTCATCCTTCCAAGTAGCTGGGACTACAGGCATGCACCACAATGCCTGGATAATTTTTTTAAAATTTTTTAAAGAGATGAAGTCTCACCATGTTGTCCACGCCTCAGTCTCCCAAAGTGTTGGGGTTATAGGCGTGAGTCACTGCACCTGTCCAACAATTAACCCTTATATTTCTTTATTAACCTGATATTTTAATGGGAAGGTTTAAAATTACAGAATCCACTTTAATAGTTATATGATTATATATTCTTTGAACTTTATCTTTGGCCATTTTGGCAAATGCCATTTTAAATAATATTTTCAAGTGTATTAAAATGTAATAAGTTATTGACATCAGTACTTTCATACTTTATTATCATCCTTTGATATTATAATCCTCTTTCATTCCTGATGTTGGCAATTTATATCTTCTCTCTAACCTTTTATTCTTTTTAAAAGTATATATGTTTAAGATGTATACATCATAATGTTTTTATATACATAGTGTTACATTTTTATGGTAAAAGTACCTAAAATCTACTCTTTTAGCTAATTTTCAGTATATAAAACAATATTGTTAATTGTAGTTCTCGCTTTGTACATTAGGTCTCTAGACTTACTTATTCTACATAACCCAAACTTTGTATCCTATGAATGCCGTTTCCACATTTCTCCCCACACTCAGCCCTCTGCCCCTTGACAACCACCTTTTCACTTTGTTTCCATGTATTTGAATATATTTGTTTTGTTTTGTTTAGATACCACATATAAGTGAGATCATGTAGTATTTTCTTTTCTGTATCTGGCTTATTTCACTTAGCATAATGTCCTCCAGATTCATCCATGTTTTCACAAATGACAGGACAACCATTTTCAAGGCTTAATAATATTTCCGCATGTGTGTATTATATATATATATATACATATATATATATATATGTGTATATATATATGTATATACATAATATATAATCCATAAAATCTTGTCTCATATAAAATAGTGTAGAATTTGCTCAAATCTGCACACATTCTCCTATGTACTTTAAAACAGCTCTAGATTACTTATAATATCTAATACAATGCCTAAATATCATTTCATTCACATGGATTCAAAATAATACTTTCATGAAAAATAAAATTTCTTTTTCAGTATGATTATATGGGATCTGAAATGATGGCTGTAACACAAAAAATTGTCCAGGTTATTGGGCTTGTCAACACTGTAAGTTTTTACTTTTTCACATTTCCATTTTCATGAAAGTTTCTTTAATATAATTTGGGTTCTATCTTGGCCAATGAATAACTTAAATACTTTTTATTAGTTTAATACTGAAAATACTGGAACATGTTGTTTATTTTTTAATGTACCTTTTAAATGTAATAACTTGTTTCTTTAAAAATGTACAATACATCTTATTTTTAGATGTTTACCCAGTTCAAATTGACTGTTATACTGTCTTCCTTGGAATTGTGGTCAAATGAAAACCAGATTTCCACCAGTGGGGATGCTGATGATATATTACAAAGATTTTTGGCATGGAAACGGGACTATCTCATCCTACGGCCCCATGACATAGCATACTTACTTGTGTAAGCACAATGTTCTACATTAATAAAGATATCTGCATAATTATTTTAAATTGGTAATTTAGTGAATTTATTGCGTTCTTCAGTTTTTTGTAAGCCCCTTTGAAAGTGTTTAAAAATTAGTAGCCTTTGTCATAGAGGTGCTAGTGTACTTAAAAATATAATAAAAGTAACAATAATCAGTTTTGTATTAGAATAGTTTGGAGTGTAAGTATTATTTCAAAAACCTGCATTTCATGAACTTCTGTAATGTTGACTTTGCTACAGAAAACATATAATCCTTAGTTTATGAATGATGTAAAAACGGAGACTATTCAGTTAAAATTATTCATGATAAATTAATACATTTCATGTCTACTTTTTACTAGGAGGGATTTGGGTTTTTTTTAATATTTAATATTTAAAAATGCTTATCTTTAGGACTAGTAAGATTGCTTCTTCCACAAATTAAAAATTATTTTCTCTTTAACTTTTGATAACCAAACTAAGTTGAATTTGAGCTAATAAAATTATATCCATTTTAGGAGATATACAAGGAAATTACATTGGTATTAAAGTGAATTGATTAAGTCAATGATTTTAGTATTTAGATTTAGTATTTAGTATTTAGTATTTTGTAATGTTTATTAGATATTACCTAGTTTGAAGCTTTATATATTTGCAAAGTCATTTTTAAAATTTTATGTGAAGAAGGTTTAATTTAATACATAAGCTTACAAATTGTTTTGCATAACTACGTTAATAAAAAATTATAATAATGTAGTTACAGGAAACATCCTAAATATGTGGGAGCAACATTTCCTGGCACCGTATGCAATAAAAGCTATGATGCAGGTATTGCTATGGTATGTAATTTTTATTCTTCTTTACATCACTATTTTTAGGCCTTATATTATATTTTGTAAGTATTAATTTAAGTAGTTAAATAGTGTAAAACCATTTGATCTTTTTCTGTATATGTATATTCATTATTATTTTATTAGGACAAAATTAATAGAATCTCAGAAAGTTTATTTATTTATAAAGTTCAAACACAAAGAATATTATGTGAACAAACCTTAGTGTAATCACTCACCAACTGGTCATAATGGACACGAACATTTGCTTTAGATTTTTAAATAAACAAAGCATTAGAGCAATGTTAAAGCCTCCTGCACATTTCCTCCAAGTTCAATAAATAGCAAAAATCATGAATTTGTGCTTGCAATTTTACACATACTTTATGCTATTTTAATAAATATATGAATGCATAAATAATATATATTGTTTTTAGATATTGAAAATTTGTATATTGATAAAACTGTTTCCTGCAAAATTTACAACCCTTAAATCATCTTTCTCAATTAGAAAATTTCTTCTTTGTAACCATATAACTCCATGTTAATTTCTTTTCAAAGAAAAGTTTTGTTGAAGTACAAAATATAGTATATAGATAAAATTCCACAAGTCAAAGTTTATAGCACAATTAATTTTTATCGAGTTTATGCATAGGTATAAACACCACAAAGATCAAAAAATAGAATATTATCAACACTTCAGAAGGTACTTGTGAATCATGCGTCCTCCCACCTATTACCCATACCAAAGGAAACCACTATCCAATTGCCTTTGTTTAATTTTACTTCTTTTTGAAGTTTATGTAAGCAGAACACAGTGTGTATTCTTCCCTGCTCTATTTTGCTCAATATTATGTCTATAGCAATCATTTATGTTCTTATGAGTAGGAATAGTTTGTTCATTCTTTTACCATGTATTTCTTAAAAATACGCCCATGAAGTTTCCTGACTCTTTAAATGTGAGTATTATCTATTGACTTCCTATTATTGAAGTTAGAATGTAACATCTTAATAGTTCATCATATCCATATTTCGACTGCTTCATTCCCCCTCTATAATTATATACCTCATTTGAATTGTGTCTTATTCCCTAATGAGCCAAGTAATGAACTAAGATTTTAATCTTAGTTCAATTGCCTTGATTGTGTGCCTTTTTGTTCTTCCTAAATTTAATAATTGCATTATATTGATTTGCACAACTATTTAATAAAATCATACATTGTTTCTAGTTTTCTCCTTGTTTCAGAAATTCGTCTTTCCTTTCTTGGAGACATTCTGGAGAAATTGTCTGTTTTACCAATCTATATTACACTTGATGCATAGACAGGGTTGGAGAATTTTCAGTCTGGTTTCCTTTGTATTATGTGTATCCCTCTTTCATATTTTGCTCATTTTGGTAGAAATGAGCTCCTATAATTTACTGACAAAGAAAAATGGGAAGTAAATTGTGTGAAAGTTATATGATAGACAAAATTTTAATTTTTTTAATTCCAACTTTTAAATTCAAGGGTACATGTACAGGATGTGCAGGTTTGTTACCTAGTTAAAAGTGTGCCATGCTGTTTAGCTGCACATATCATTCCATCACATAGATATTAAGCCCAACATCCTTTAGCTATTCTTCCTGATCCTCTCCCACCTCCCACTCCTCCAACCTCCAACAGGCTCCAGTGTGTGTTGTTCCCCCATGTGTCCATGTGTTCTCATCATTCAGCTCCCACTTATAAGTGAGAATATGTGGTATTTGACTTTTTGTTCCTGCATTAGTTTGCTGAGGATAATGGCTTCCAGCTCCATCGATGTCCCTGCAAAGGACATAATCTCATTCCTTTTATGGCTGCATAGTATTGCATGATGTATATGTACCACATTTTCTTTATCCAGTCTATCTTGGTGGCCATTTAGGTTGATTCAATGTCTTTGCTATTGTGACTAGTGCTGCAATAAATAAATGTGTGCATGTGTCTTTATTACAGAATGATTTATATTCCTTTGGGTATATAGTTAGTAATGGGATTCATGAGTCAAATGGTATTTCTGCCTCTAAGTCTTTGAGGAATTGCCACACTGTGTTCCACAATGGTTGAAGTAATTTACACTCCCATGAACAGTGTAAAAGCATTCCTTTTTCTTTATAACCTCGCCAGCATCTGTTGTTTATTGACTTTTTAATAATAGCAATTCTGACTGATGTAAGGTGCTATCTCATTGTGGTTTCGATTTACATTTCTCTAATGACCAGTGATGTTGAGCTTTTTTTCATATTTTTGGCCACATATTTTTTTTTTTATGAGAAGTGTCTGTTCTTGTCCTTTGTCCACTTTGTAATGGTTTTTTTTTTCTTGTTAATTTGTTTATGTTCCATGTAGATGCTGGATAGTAGACCTTTGTCAGATGGGTAGATTGCAAAAATTTTCTCCCATTCTGTAGGTTGTCTGTTTACTCTGTTGATCATTTATTTTGTTGTGCAAAAGTTCTTTAGTTTAATTAGTCAATTTTTGGTTTTGTTGCAATTGCTTTTGGCATCTTTTTCATGAAATCATTGCCCATGTCTATGTCCCAAATGGTACTGCATAGCTTGTCTTCCAGGGTTTTTCAGTTTGGGGTTTTACATTTAAGTCTTTAATCCATCTTAAGTTTTGTATATGGTGTAAGGAAGGGGTCCAGTTTCATTCTTCTGCTTATGGCTAGCCAGTTCTCCCAGCACCATTTATTAAATAGGCAATCCTTTCCCCACTGCTTGTTTTTGTTCGATCAGACAGTTGTATGTGTGTGGTCTTATTTCTGGGTTCTCTATTTTGTTGTATTGGTTTGTGCGTCTGTTCTTGTACCAATACCATGCTGTTTTGGTTACTGTAGCTTTGTTATATAGTTTGTTGTACAGATTATTTCAACATCCAGGTATTAAGCCTAGTACCCATTAGTTATTCTTTCTGATCCTCTCCCTCCTCCTACCCTCCATCCTCTGATAGGCTTCAGTGTGTGTTGTTCCATGTGTCTAGGTGTCCATGTGTTCTAGGCGTCCATATGTTCTCATCATTCTAGGTGTCCATGTGTTCTCATCATTTAGCTCCCACTTATAAGTGAGAACATGTGGTATTTGGTTTTCTGTTCCTGTGTTAGTTTGCTAAGGATAGTGACCTCTAGCTCCATCCATGTCCCTGCAAAGGACATAATCTCATTCTTTTTTATGGCCACATAGTATTTAGAATGATTTATATTCCTTTGGGTATATACCCAGTAATGAAATTTCTGGGTCTAATAGTATTTCTGTCTTTGGGTCTTTGAGGAAACACCACGCTGTTTTCCACAATGGCTGAACTAATTTACACTCCCACCTGCAGTGTATAAGTGTTCCTCTTTCTCCACAACCTCTCCAGCATCTGTTATTTTTTGACTTTTTAGTAATAGCCACTCTTACTAGTGTGAGATGGTATCTCACTGTGATTTTGATTTGCATTTCTCTAATGATCAGTGATGTTGAGCTTTTTCTCATATGATTGTTGGCCACATGTATTTCTTCTTTTGAAAAATGCCTGTTCGTGTCCTTTGCCCAATTTTTATGGAGTTGTTAGTTTTTGTCTTCTAGTAAATTTCCTTAAGTTCCCTACAGATGCTAGATATTAAACCTTTGTCAGATGCATAGTTGGCAAAAATTTTCTCCCATTCTGTAGATAGTTTACTCTATTGAGAGTTTCCTATGCTGTGCAGAAGCTCTTTAGTTTAATTAGATCCTATTTGTCAATTTTTGGTTTTGTTGCAATTGCTGTGGCATCTTCATAATGAAATCTCTGCCCCTGCCTATGTCCTGAATGGTACTGCCTAGCTTGTCTTCCAGGGATTTTATAGTTTTGAGTTTTACATTTAAGTCTTTAATCCATCTTGAGTTAACTTTTGTGTATGGTATAAGGAAGGGGCCCTGTTTCATTCTTCTGCTTGTGGCTAGTTATCTCAGCATCATTTATTAAATAGAGAATTCTTTCCCCTTTGCTTGTTTTTGTTAGGTTTGTTGAAGGTCAGATAGTTGTAGGCCTGTGGTATTATTTCTGGGATCTCTATTCTGTTCCATTAGTCTAGGTGTCTGTTTTTCTATCAGTACCATGCTGTTTTGGTTACTGTAGCCCTATAGTATAGTTTGAAGTCAGGTAGCAACCATGATGTCTCCAGCTTTGTTTTCTTGTTGTTTTCATTTTTTGTTTGTTTTTTGCTTACAATTGCCTTTCTAGTCAGTCTCTTTTGTGGTTCCATATGAATTTTAAGATACTTTTCTCTAGCTCTGTGAAGAATGTAAATAGTAGTTTAATAGCAGTAGTACTGAATCTATAAACTGCTTTGGGCAGCATGACCATTTTAACAATATTGATTCTTTCTGTCCATGAGCATGGGATGTTTTTCCACTTGTTTTTATCATCTCTGATTTTTTTGAACAGTGGTTTGTGATGCTCCTTGTAGAGATCTTTCACCTCCCTAGTTAGCTGCATCCTAGGTATTTTATTCTTTTTGTCACAATTGTGAATGTGAGTCCCTTTATGACTTGGCTCTTGGCTTGATTATTGTTGGTGTATAGGAATACCAGTGATTTTTGCATATGATTTTGTATTCTAAGACTTTGCTGAAATTGTTTATCAGTTTAAGACGTATTTGGGATGAGATTGTGGGGTTTCTAGAGATAGTATCATGTTATCTGCAAACACAGATAGTTTGACTTCTTCTTTGGATGCCTTCTTTCTCTTGCCTGATTGCCTTGCTAGAACTTTTAATAGTATGTTGAATAGGAGTGGTGAGAGAGGGCATCCTTATCTAGAGCCACTTTTAAGGAGATTTTCCTCCTGTTTACTCTTTTGCACTGTTCTGATGACAACTTTGCTGTAATTCTTACCTTTTCCTCACTATGTAATGTATCTTCCCCATTCCTGGGCACTTTTAAGATATATTACTTTGGGTTTTGATATATTAGGGGGTCTGTATTAGATTTCCAGGGCTGCCATAACAAAATACCGCAAACTGAGCACTTGATCAACAGAAATGTATTACTTCACAGTTCTGGATAAAATAGAGTTCTGAAATCAAAATGAACAGAGTGGTTCCTCTTGAGGGCTGCGAACGACAATCTTTTCTCTGCCTTTGCCCTAGCTTCTGGTGGTTTGCTGGCAATCTTTGGCATTTCTTGGCTTATGGATGCATTACCCCAATATTTGCCTTTCTGTTCACATGAAGTTCTTTCTGTGTCTCTGTCACTTTATCTAAATACCTTCTTTTTATAAGAGTGCCATTTATGCTGGAAGTGCAAGACCATATTTCCCTCTCTGATCTAGTATCAAAAGTCTAGCTTTTGGTTTTTGTATCTTGCCCCAAAACATGATGGTCAGCCTAGATATCATTCCTCATATTCTGCTCTGGCTTTAACTCCTTTCAAATTCTGACACTGTAACTTTTAAGCATATTTATTACAGGATAATAGGAAAGGATACTTATTAGTTTATTTTTTCATATTGCCAATTCTGTGTTTTCAGTCATATACATACAAACATGTACACAATCTTTTTTCTTTTAGTTATGCATTACACAGATTTTCTAGTTATACATTTAAATGATACAGAAAAATTAGACATGTTCTCAGATTTTTGTTTGTAATGATTAAAGAGCTAAGAAATATATCATTATTTATTTATCAAAGATAAATAATATGAAAAACACTTTGAGTCCACACTGTTAGCAAGCATTTTTTAATATCTTCTCACTTCAAATTTATTTTTTGTTTTGTTTTGGTCTTTGAGACAGGGTCTCACTCTGTAGCCCAGGCTGGAGTACAGTGGTGCAATCAGCTCACTGCAACCCCAAACTCCTGGGCTCAAGTCATTCTCCTGCCTTCTCCCAAATAGCTGGGACTGCAAGTGTGCATCATCTTGCTGGCTATTTTTAATTTTTTTTTGTAGAGACGGAGTCTCACTATGTTGCCCAGGCTGGTCTTGAGTTCCTGGCCTCAAGCAGTCCTACTGCCTTGGCTTCTCAAAACGCTGGGATTAGAGGCCTAAGCCACTGCACCTGGCCCAAATTTCTTTACTGTGATTGTGTCTGACTCTCTGGCTTCTGTCCTGTCATTTCTTCACTTTAGTCATTATACACAACTTTTCGGTAGGTCCACATTCCAGCCCCCTATATGTATACATAATGTTGGGTCATTTCCCATACTTTGTATCTCAGCCTAAATATAAATTTCACAAAGAAGATGTTCTAACTACCTTACTTAACTACCTTATTTTATACCCCTCCATAAAATTTTCTATTGGAGTACTTTATTTTCTTAAAAGCATGTGTAACAATCTATTTTTACATAGAAAGTTTATTGCAGATTACTGTTGTCTTTCTCTCTTTCTATAATATAAGCTATAGATGTGAACAAAGTCCTTTTCTTTCATACATGCCACTGTATTCCTACCATCTATCATAATGCCTGACACATGAGTACACTGAATTGATATCTATTCATTGGATGAACTGATTCAATGAGAAAGTGAAATAAACATGTTGTATTGTATCAGAAATACCACCTGTTCAAAGCTATAGAATTTTGGCGTGCAAAATTTAAAACCAGAGACTATCATAGTTTGATTACTTGTTTCATGCTTCTTAATCAATAAATTACGGCAGATAAATAAATGGCATACCAAAATAATTGTTGTGAAGTATGCTTAACATAAGAAGTATTAAAATAGAAAATATGATAGGAGTAAAAATATTTCAAGTTATTACTTTTATTTTCACACATAATAATTTTCTTTTTCATGTCTTTTATTTTAGTATCCAGATGCAATAGGTTTGGAGGGATTTTCGGTTATTATAGCTCAACTGCTTGGCCTTAATGTAGGATTAACATATGATGACATCACTCAGTGTTTCTGTCTGAGAGCTACATGCATCATGAATCATGAAGCAGTGTAAGATGTTTTCTTAATTAATTTCATTTATATTTTTATAAGGTTGTTTCCAAAATGTGATAATGTTTTTAAACTTTTATATTCGACACCACATCAATGGCTAGAAAGTTACATCATGCTTGTAAAGTTATCACACAAAAATTATGTATACTTAGGGATATATACTATAGATTGATCTATATCTTTGTCTGTGCACACACATACACATCACTGACATCGCATTCATATTCTTTCTTGTCATGCCCAACTTTTAAGCAGAGGTTTCAAAACTTAGTTGCTTTGTAACCATCTTAAACAAAAGTCTTATTTTGTAAACAATATTTTTAATTTTCAGTTGTTGGAAATTATATACTCCAGGTAGAAGATAACTTCTGAGTCCATATCTATTTATACACTAATTTTGTGTGAAGAGATTTTAGTGCTCAGTATTTGTAGCTTTTTGCATGAGAGTGTCTTGCAAAAGTATGGTAATACTTATTCCTATTAAAACAAAGTATTTTAAAATAATAGAGACAATCTGATTAAATAACATTATTCTGTGTAATATTCCTCTTACTTTTTCATATTTGTTCCACAACAAATGGCTGTTAAAATAAGCTAAGGCATTTCTTTTTGCTCTTAAACTTTCAACTCTGAAACTTTAGAAACTATACATTTCTTTCCTTGGAGGCTTAAAGGACTACCCAGAACCTCTGTCATCTCAGATTTTGCTCTTTAAGTATTGCTATCTGAGACGATTGTCTAACATAGTGCTATAGTGCTGTCTAATACATGATTGTCTACCTTGGTGCTATCCAATAGAAATAAAATGTGAGTCACATATGTAATTTTAAATTTTCTAGAAGCAATTAAACATAATGAAAATTAAACATAATTTTATGTTTTAATTAAACATAATTAAAAACAATTAAAACAATTAAAATAATCAGGTGAAATTAATTGTGGTAATATATTTTAATGATATATTTTATGTAACCCAATAGATCCAAAATATTATCACTTTAACAAGTAACCAAAATAAAAATTGTTAATTGGTTATGTTCTATTCTAGTGTGTATGTGTATTTGTGTTGGGTATGGATGGTGAGAGAAAGAACAGAGTCCAGGGTCACACCAATGCTATCAGCCTTTAGCAACTGAAAGAATGGAGTATTCAGCAACTGAGAACAGACATGGTTGTCATAAGTAGTTCAATATCACATACAGTATATTTGAAATGTGTGTTGTGCATCTATTAGACATTTCTCCTAGATATACTAGTGGAAATATACATGTGAACATGTAAATAAAGATCTCCCCGGGACTTATATTTTAGTGTGAAACTTAGGTAATATGAGATGAAATTTTGAAAATAAAAATTAATGAAGCTTATTTTTACATAATGCAAAAGTGCTGTATAGAAAAATATTGAAAGTAGAAGGAGAATGAAGAGGGGGCACAATTTAAGATAGTGTTGTCAAGAAGGATCTCTCTGGAGGGTAACATTTGAGCAGACATCTGACTGAAATGTGAAGGGGTGGCCTGCCCCTCCACACCTGTGGGATATCTCGTCAGGTGGGACGAGAGACTGAGAAAAGAAATAAGACACAGAGACAAAGTATAGAGAAAAACAGTGGGCCCAGGAGACCGGCACTCAGTATACCAAGGACCTGCACCGGCACCGGTCTCTGAGTTCCCTCTGTTTTTATTGATTATTATTTTCATTATCTCAGCAAGAGGAATGCGGTAGGAGAGCAGAGTGATAATAAGTAGAAAGTCAGCAAAAAAAAAAAAAAAAAAATCTGAGCAAAAGAATCTATGTCATAATTAAGTTCAAGGAGAGGTACTATGCCTGGATGTGCACGTAGGCCAGATTTATGTTTCTCTCCTCCCAAACATCTCAGTGAAGTAAAGAATAACAAGGCAGCATAGCTGCCAACATGTCTCGCCTCCCGCCATAGGGCGGTTTTTCTCCTATCTCAGAATTGAACAAATGTACAATCGGGTTTTATACCGAGACATTCAGTTCCCAGGGGCAGGCAGGAGACAGTGGCCTTCCTCTATCTCAACTGCAAGAGGCTCTTTTACTAATCCACCTCAGCACAGACCATTTACGGGTGTCAGGCTGGGGGACGGTCAGGTCTTTGTCATCCCACGAGGCCATATTTCAGACTATCACATGGGGAGAAACCTTGGACAATACCCGGCTTTCCAGGGCAGAAGTCCCTGTGGCTTTCCGCAGTGCATTGTGCCCCTGGTTTATTGAGTCTAGAGAATGGCGATGACTTTTACCAAGCATACTGCTTGTAAACATTTTGTTAACAAGGCACGTCCTGCACAGCCCTAGATTCCTTAAACCTTGATTCCATACAGCACATGTTTTTGTGAGCTCAAGGTTGGGGCAAAGTGGCTGGGGCAAAGTTACAAATTAACAACATCTCAGCAAAGCAATTGTTTAAGGTACAGGTCAAAATGGAATTTCTTATGTCTTCTCTTTCTACATAGACAGAGTAACAGTCTGATCTCTCTTTCTTTTCCCTACAAAATGAAGGAAGAAAGCTTGAACTATATAACAGAAGAGCACACTATGCAGAGGGAACAATAGATAGATGGTTAGATATAGAGATATGTAAATGCATAGATATAGATACATAGATTTAACCACCATACCTTATTGCATTACCTTGATGAGAAAATAGGTTTTTAATGCAATTTTTTAAGAGAATGTTAAAGATAAGCAATATTAAAATTTAATTATCCTTGGTTGAATCTCTGCTAAAGTATAAATTTTGGGGTGGCCATCTTGTGATTTACATGATTATGTATGGAGTGTTGTTTAGATGTGGTTTTATTAGCAAGGCTTATTTGCCTGAGGAATATTATTTTATTTTAGGAGTGCCAGTGGTAGAAAGATTTTTAGCAACTGCAGCATGCACGACTATAGATATTTTGTTTCAAAATTTGAGACTAAATGCCTTCAGAAGCTTTCAAATTTGCAACCATTACATCAAAATCAACCAGTGTGTGGTAATGGGATTTTGGAATCCAATGAAGAATGTGACTGTGGTAATAAAAATGTGAGTAACAAAGATTGAAACTCGAGCACAATTTTTATGTTTCTGATAAAACATAAGACATGTTTGTCATGGTATATATAAATGATATATGCAACAATGCCATTAATTTATAACTGAAATATGAGAAACAGGATGAGTTAAGATGTATAAATCACGTTCCCACAACTCTTAAACTGAGAAGGCAAGTCTGTCATTAACACTAGGTTTGCATTACTGTTGCCAATCATGCCAGCAGATTGATTTTGAATATATTGGCTAAATGAAGTCCTTTTTATTATACACATCTCAGTTCCTAACTCATTTGGCTTCATTCTCTATTTTCTCTACAAACTTTTACTAAATGTGATCCAAATTTTTCCCTATCTCTTGTTCTTGCAAGAATTGCTAAACATTATAATGAGGTTTTTAAATCCTTCTCAGACATTCCTGCATTTACAAATTTTTGAATGACCAAAATTTGTTTTATTTATTCATTTTAAAATATATGTATATACCCGATTATAATTTCATCAATCAAATGTTCAATGAACATTATTTTCAACAGGTGAGATGACATACTTAATCTATTTTAAATGTTATTATCTTATAATATTTAACAATTTGTCTCTATTTCAATAAAGTTTCTTCATGATTTATCCCCCAACAGTTACACGAATTCCTCCTCCCTACATAAACAGCTGTCACCACATTTTAACATACCATTAAATTCTCTCAATTCTTTTAAGTCATCCTATATTTCACAAGGTAAAACCTATATGTATGAGGCTGTGTGTATCTCTATATGTGTATATACACACACATATATCACACTTAAATGTATGTAGTACATATATAGTACACACACACATACATGTATATATATATATATGTTTCCAATTATCTCATATTTTCCCATGCTGTCTTAGTTTTCTGATAAGCTGTACTGTGCTCATCTTGCAGTCTCCTACCCCTAAATATGGTATCATTTACTGCCAATAAATACTAGCTATTTTTTATGAATCATAAAATAAAGCAACACAATCTGGGGCTAGGTTTTCACATTTTGGGTTTCTACAACTATAGAATGTAGGCAGATTGACACTAAGAGCAGATATAGCCAGTGTCCCATCAGTATTCCCTTTATATTTGCTGTTCCGGCAGTATTTTTGTTTCAAATATCAGAGACATTCTGCTGGAGTGTGCTTCCTGTTACCTCAGTGGTATGTGCATCCATTAGCAGGGTGGGCTCAATGTGCTTGGAAACTAATGACCAGCCATCAGATAATTATGATGGTGAGTACCAGATTCCTTTCTCCTTTGTGAGGAAATTCTCGGAGGCATTTTCTATATCATAGTTCTTTAACTGTGGCCAGTTGGTTAAATCCAGCTGCCGCCCGCCTCTTCTTGTAAATGAAGTTTTATTGAAATACAGCCTTGCCCATGTGTTTGAATGTTGTCCATGCTGCTTTTGTGCTATAATAGCAGAGGTAAATAGTTGCAACAGATACTATATGACAAGCAAGTCTGGAAATAATATTTGATTTTTTACAGAAAACGTTTGTTAATCAAAAGGGAATTTATTGAGTAATTTGAACTATATGAAAGTTAAATGAAATGAAAACCAAGACATTTCAGAAAGATTCTATACAGAATCTGTGATAACACTCCTGACATCAGAGGCCCTGAAACACCATTACAGTTATCACAGATTCTATATTCAGTCACTTTGAAAACCAATTGTAGGCTTTTTGTAAAATAAATAAAGTTATAAATTTCTACTAATAGCAGTGAAGAAAAAATTTCTTATGCAATACTAAGAAATAAAAGGTATCAAATTCAGAAAAGAAGTTAAATTGTCTCTGCAGATGACTTGATCATATATATAGAAAACCCTAGTGTCCAACAAAAATTTACAACTAATAAATAAATTCAGTAAAGTTGCAGGATACAAAATCAATATACAAAAATCAGTAGCTCTTCCTACACTAACAACAAACTGTATGAAAAAGAAATCAAGAACACAGTCTCATTTACAATATCTACAAAAAATAAATACTTGGGAATAAATTTAACCAAGGTGATGAAAGATCTGTATACTGAAAACTATAAAGCATTGTTGCAGGAATGAAAGGAAACAAATTAATGGAAAGATAAACCATGTTCAAGAGCTGGAAAAGTTAATATTGTTAAAATATCTATAGTGGCTAAAGTGATCTACATGTTCAATGTAATCTCTATCAAAATCCCAATAACATTTTGCACGAAAATAGAGAAACAATTTTCAATTTTGAAGGGGTGGCCTCCCCCTCCACACCTGTGGGCGTTTCTTGTCAGGTGGAATGAGAGACTTGAGAAAAGAAAGAGACACAGAGACAAAGTATAGAGAAAGAAAAGTGGACCCAGGGGACTGGTGCTCAGCATACAGAGGACCTGCGCTGGCACCAGTCTCTGAGTTCCCTCAGTATTTATTGATCATTATCGGGCGTTTCTCAGAGAGGGGGATGTGGCAGGACAATAGGGTAAGAGTGGAGAGAGGGTCAGCAGGAAAACATGTGAACAAATGTCTCTGCATCATAAACAAGGTAAAGAAAAAAGTGCTGTGCTTTTGATGTGTATATACATAAACATCTCAATGCCTTAAAGAGCAGTATTGCCGCCAGTATGTCTCACCTCCAGCCCTAAGGCAGTTTTCTCCTATCTCAGTAGATGGAATATACAATCGGGTTTTACACCAAGACGTTCCATTGCCCAGGGACAGCAGGAGACAGATGCCTTTCTCTTATCTCAACTGCAAAAAGGCCTTCCTCTTTTACTAATCCTCCTTAGCACAGACCCTTTACGGGTGTCGGGCTGGGGGACGTTCAGGTCTTTGCCTTCCCACGAGGCCATATTTCAGACTATTACATGGAGAGAAACCTTGGACAATACATGGCTTTCCTAGGCAGAGGTCCCTGCGGCCTTCCGCAGTGTATTGTGTCTCTGGGTACTTGAGATTAGGGAGTGGTGATGACTCTTAACAAGCATTCTGCCTTCAAGCATTTGTTTAACAAAGCACATCCTGCACGGCCCTTAATCCATTTAACCTTGAGTTGACAGCACATGTTTCAGGGAGCACAGGGTTGGGGGTAGGGTACAGATTAACAGCATCTCAAGGCAGAAGAATTTTTCTTAGTACAGAACAAAATGGAGTCTCTTATGCCTACTTCTTTCTACATAGACACAGTAACAGTCTGGTCTTTCTTTTCCCCACAAAATTTATAAGAAACCACATAAGACCTTAAAACCCAAGCAATTCTGAGTGAAAAGAGCAAAGTTGGAGGCATCACAATACCTGACTTCAAAATATACTATAAAGCTATAGTAATCAAAACAGCATGATAATGACATAAAAACACATAGATCAATGAAACAAAGAGCCCAAAAATAAATGGACACATTTATAGTCAATTGATTTGTGACAATAAAGATGTTTACTAACTGGATATTCACATGTAGAAGAACAAAATTAGACTCTTGTCTCACAAAATATAAAAAACCAATGCAAAATGGACTAAAGACTTAAAACTAAGACCTGAAACTATAAAATTATTAGAAGAAAATATAGGAAAAAGCTCCACAACATTGGATCTGGCAATGATTCATAAATATGACACCAAAAACACAGACAGCAAAAGCAAAAATATAGAAATGGAATTATATCTAACTAAAAAGCTTCTACACAACAAAGGAAACAGTCAACAAAGTAAAGAGAGAACTTAAGGAATTAGAGGAAATATTTGCAAACTATACATCTGATAAAAGGTTAATATAAAAATATATAAAGAACTCCAACCACTCAATAGCAGGAAAACAATCCAGTTAAAAATGGGCAAAGGACCTGAATAGACATTGCTCAAAATAAGACAAACAAATGGACAACAGGTATATGAAAATATGCTCAAAATCACTAATAATCACAGTAATTCAAATTAAAATCAGAAAGAGATATTACCTCACACCTGTCAGAATACGATCATCAAAATAGATGAATGGTAACAGATGTTGGTAAGGGTGTGGAGTAAAGGAAACCTTTGCACACTATGATGGAAATATAAATTAGTACAGCCATTACAAAAACAGTATGGAGGTTCATCAAAAACTTAGAACTTCATATAATCCAGTGATCCCATTACTGGATATATATTCACAGGAAACAATAGCAGTATGTTGAAGAGATGTCTGCACTTTCATTTTAATTTCAGCCTTGTGTACAATAGCCAAGGAATCAACCTAAGTGTCTATCAATAAATGAATGGATTAAAAATCTGGTAGAGATACACAATGGACTACTATTCAGACTTTTTTAAAAGAAAAAATTCCTGTAGTTGGTGACAACATGGATGAACCTGGAGGACATGTTGAGTGAAATAAGGCAGGCATAGAAAGACAAATACATCATCTTCTCACTTATTGTGGAATCTAAAAATGTGAAAGTCATACCAGCAAGGAGTAAAATGGTGCTACCAGGGGCTGGGAGTGGGAAACTGGGGTGATGGTGGTCAAAGGATACAGAATTTAAATGAGATAGGAGGCATAAGTTCATGGTGACTATGGTTAATAAAGATGGATTGTATACTTGAAAATTGCTAAGAAAGTAGATTTTAAGTGTTTTTACCACAAAATAATCAGAAGTTTGTGTGTCAACGCATGTGTTAATTAGCTTGATTTAGCCACTTTAGAATGTATACATGTATCAAAACATCATGCTGTACATCATTAATACATAACATTTTTATTTGTCGATTTTTTAAAAAATGTATTTTTAAAAAAAACAACAATAATGGTCATTAAAGTTGAAATATCACTAAAGATCTATACAGATATTAAAAAATGGTAAGATGATATCATGCACATTATATAAGTAAACAACAATCAGATAAAATTGACAAATTATCCTAAAATTGTATTTATAAACACCAACATAAGTCAATATTAAAAAAGTGAATAAATAGCCTTAAAAGAAATCACATCCATAATTTCACAACCTCTCATCAGAGAGAAGTTCATGCCACATGACTCTACAAGTAATTATTTAAAAGTTAAGGAATTCTACTGATTTTAGACTTAGGAAAAAACCTAATATGCCCTAACTTCTTCGAGGATAAAATAATCTTGATGCAAAAATCTGATGAGGATATTTCAAGAATAGTTTTTATGTGTTTTTAATTGATATATCATAGTTGTACATATTTTGGGGGTACATGTTATATTTTGATACATGTATACAATGTGAAATGTTCAAATCAGGGTACCTGGGGTATATTTTCTTTGTGTTGTGAACGTTACAATTCTTCTCTTCTAGCTATTTTAAAATATGCAATAAATAATTTTAAACTATAATTTACTTATTGTGCTATTGAACACTAGAACTTATGTTTTCTATTTAATTGTATTTCTGTACCCATTAACCAACTTCTATTCATCCCACTTCCCTTCCCAGCCTCTGGTAACAACCATTCTACTCTCTGCCTTCATGAGATCCACTTTATATGCTTCCACACATGATTGAGAACATGTGATATTTGCCTTCTTGTGTCTGACTTATTTCACTTAAGATAATGTCCTCCGGTTACATCCATGTTGCTGCCACTGACAGGATTTCATTCTTTTTTTTTTTTTTTTTTTTTGGAGACAGAGTCTCGCTGAGTCACCTGGGCTGGAGTGCAGTGGCGCGATCTCAGCTCACTGCAAGCTCCGCCTTCCAGGTTCACGCGATTCTCCTGCCTCAGCCTCCCGAGTAGCTGGATCTCCTGACCTTGTGATCCACCCGCCTTGGCCTCCCAAAGTGCTGGGATTACAGGCGTGAGCCGCCGCACCTGGCTGATTTCATTCTTTTTATGGCTGAATAATATTCTATTGTGTATATAAACCACGTTTTCTTTTTCCATTCATTTGTTGATGGGCTCAGGTTGATTACACACCTTGGCTATTGTAAATAGTGCTTGCTGCAATAGACATGAGAGTGCAGGTATCTTTTGAGTATACTAATTTCCTCTCTTTTGGATGTATATCCAGCAGTGGGATTGCTGGATCCTGTGGTAGTTCTATTTTTTGTTTGTTGAGGAAGCTTCATACTACTTTCCATAATAACTATAATACTTTAGATTTCCATTAACAGTGTGCAAGCGTTTCCCTTTCTCAGCATCCACATTAGCATTTGTTATTTTCTGTCATTTTGATAATAGCCATTCTAACTAGGATGAGATGATATCTCATTGTGGGTTTGATTTGTATGTCCCTGATGATAACTGATGAATGTTTTCTTCATATATCTGTTGTCATTTGAATGTCTTATTTTGAGAAGTGCAGGGGATTTTTGTCCATTTTTAAATTGGATTATTTGGTTTTTGCTATTCGGTTGTTTGAGTTCCTTATATGCTTTTATATTAAGTTATTATCAAATGTGTAATTGGCAAATATTTTCTCCCATTCTTTAGGTTGTCTCTTCACTCTGTTAATTGTTTCATTTGCTGTACAGAAGCTTTTTAGCTTGATGTAATCCCATCCATTTTTACTTTTGTTCCCTCTGCTTTTAGTCTTGCTTAAAAAAAAACTTAGCCCAATTTCCCGTAGTGTTTCCACAATGTGTTCTTCTGGTAGTTTCATATTTTCAGGTATTACATTTAAGTCTTTAACTCACTTTTAGTTAATTTTTGTAAATGGTGAAAGATGGAGATCTAGTTTCATTCTCTTGCATATAGATATTTCATTTTCCCAGTGCCATTTATTAAAGAGACTGTTCTTTTCCCAGTGTATGTTGTTGGATATATCCATATTTCTCATGAACACAAAATCTTCACTAAATGATTAACAAATTGAAAATAATGATACAACATATACATAAACAGTAACATTATGTTCTATTGTTGGGGATATTGTGGTTTATTTACAGAATGTAAAAAAAGTGATCATCTCAATGGATAGATAATAAATTTTGAGAAAAAAAGGAAAAGAGGGAAACTCACTATATTTAAGAAAGGGTATCTGTAAAATCTACAGTTAACATCATGCATAACAGTTGTTCTCACTGAGGTCAGAAATGAGGCAGTGATATCTGTTGTCATCTTTCACACTTATTATTGAATGTGATAAACTAGCCACCAAAGCAACAAAAAGAAAATGCATAATAGTTGGAAGAGAGGAAATTTAGATTTCATTATTTATAATCATATCATTGTATGCATGAAAACCCAAAATAATCTAGAAATAAATTATTTGCACGTATAAATGAATTTATCGAGGTCACTTGTTACATAGTCAATTCATAAAAATCAAATATTTCTTTATAAATGACTAGAAGAAAAAAATTTAAAACAACAGCATCTACAATAATACCCAGGAACATGAAATACTTAGGAATATATATAATAAAACATGTATAAGACTACTAAATATAAAACTGCAAATCATTAGGAGAAAAATTATGGGACTACTTAATCAATGCAAGGATATGTCATGTTTTAAAATTAGAGGAATTAATATTGCTAAGATGTAATTTTTTGTCCAAATTCATCATCCCGAAGTGCAATTCCAATTCATATGCTAGCAGGAATTGTGTTTGCATATGTGTTGGTATATGTAAATAGACAAGCTGATTTTCAAGTTTAAATGGAAACATGAAAGGCACAAAGCTAGCCAAGGTGATCTTGAAAAAAAAAACAAATTTGGTCCACTGAAATTTTCATAAATCTATTTTCATTATAAAATTATAGTTATTAAGGCAGTATGGTATATGTGCCTGGACAGACACAGACAAATGGAACAGAATGGAATCTAGAATAGACCTACATAAATATCATTACTGTTTTGTGACAAAAAGGACAGAGGAATGCAGTGTAGAAAGGATGCCTTTACAAAAAATGACGCTGGGACAATTCAATATACATAAGAAATAGTCTTTACCTATTTGGTTTATATATAGAACCTAATTTCAGATATATTGTTGATAAATGTGTAAAGGTAAAAAAACACAAAACAAAGTGTAAAACATAAGCGAATATGTAGTCTAATAATTTTCTCTAAATGTCAATATTACCTAATATTTACAAATTAGATGTTGATAAAATAAAATATCAGATAAGAGATTTAAAGGGTAGATTATACAATAGGAGATTGTTTTCTCCACATAAATGTGACAGGAGATATGTACTCAGATAAAGAATACATATAAATCAATAAGAAAATGACAGACTTTCAGAGAAAAGAATTGACCTAATTCTTAAACAGAAACTTTCAAAGTGGATATACTAATCGCTAATAAATTTGTGAATCGATGCTCAGCATCCCAAAATGCAGATGAAAAGCATAATTTGAAAACAACAAAACACCATCAGAATGGCGAAAAAGAAAAAAATTGGTGAGGATAAGTAGCTATTAGGCACTACTGTTGGTAGTGAAAATTGGCACAAGTGAAAAGTGCTATTTTATTGTAAAGTTGAACACATACATAAATGTGATCCAGAATTTCAGTCTCAGGTATATATAAAACATAAAACATTCATATCATAATAGCAAAGAAAAGAAAGCAGAGAAATAGCCCAAATATTCTTCTTCAGCAAAATGAAAAACAAATTGTGCTATAATCATAAAATAAAGTATGCTGCACAAAACAAAGTGGTTGAATTCAATAAACATTATTTTGAGCAAGATAACCAAGGCCAAGAAAATTATAGTAAGTTAAAAAAATAAAACTATTATAGACTGTTAAAAGTCAAGATCACATTTCCTTTTATTGGTTAGTAGTCACTAAAAAGGTCTTTGTTTGTTTGTTTGTTTTTGTTTTTTGAGACAGCCTTGCTTTTATCATCCAGGCTGGAGTGCAGTGGCTTGATGTCAGCTCACTCTAACCTCTGCCTCCCAGGTTCAAGAGATTCTCCTGCCTCAGCCTCCCGAGTAGCCAGGATTACAGGTGCCCACCACCATGCCTGGCTAGTTTTTTCTTTTATTTTTGGTACAGATGAGATTTTGCTATGTTGCCCAGGCTGGTTTTGAACTCCTGGCCTCAAGTGATCCACCCGCTTTGGCTTCCCAAAGTGCTGGGATTACAGACGTGAGCCACAGTGCCTGGCCTAGTTACTAAAAAGGGGTTAAAGGGAACATCTCAAGACTTGATGACACTATTCATGTTGTTTTGGGGAAATGTCAATCTCTTCTAGAAGTGTATTCAACATATAACTTTAGATACGTTCATTTTAAAGGTAAACAGTACATCTAAAAAGTAATATATTGGAAATTGTATTTTGAATGAAAAAGACGTGAAAGAACAAAGCCTTTATAGTCTTAAAAATGAGAAGAAAGGAAAAGCAAAACAAAAAACCTATGATACCTCATAAATATTAAAAATATAATGATGTCATAGTAAGAACATAACATGTCAGGAATAGACATAACTGTTAAAAGGTTATATTTTCCTATTAAATGAGAATTATATTGTATTATAAAATATCCAGCTGTATGCTCTCTACATTTCCATATCTACAGTAATCAAAACACATAGGGAATTGTTTCGGGAATCTTTGAGCTGAGATTACCAATGGCACTCCTGCTGATGCAAATTAATAATTTGTTGCTTTTTATTAACTGAGTGAAATGAAACATTTATAAATCAAAGAAAAAGAACTTAAAAGAATCTATGGCAAATTCCTTAAATTGTTTTATTAATATAATTGTGGTAGGCAGAATATCATCCTCTCAAAGTTGCCCCCATCTCATCCTTGAACCTGTGTGCATGCTATTTCACATGGCAAAAGGAACTTCGCAGGTGTGATTAAGTTAAAGACCTTGTGATGGAGACAATATACCACATTATTCAGATGCATCCAATTGCTCAGATTTTTTAAAGCAGAAGAAGAAGGAGAAGAAAAGCTGATAGTGATGTGCTATGACAAGAATTTGACTTCCCTTTACTGGCTTTAAAGATAGAGGAAAAAAACATGAGCCGAGGAATTTGAGTGGCCTTCTATGAGCTGAAAAAGGCAGGAAAATAGATTCTACCAGAAAGCTTCCAGAAAAGAACGCAAGCCCACCAACACCTTGATTTTTAGCTCATTGGACTTCTACACTACAGAAGTTTAGATCGTATGTTTGCATGGTTTTAAACCGCTAAGTTTGTGGTAACCTGTTAAAGGTTACAGCAGTAAGAGGAAAAAAACACAGTTACACTAAGTAATAAGTAGGTTGTTTACGCTGGTTTCTTAGTTTACCACTGCTGAGATTTCTTTCCCAGAAATCTAAGTAAAAATAACACTGCATTAGGGAGGGTTGAAAATGGAATAATGCTTCTGGAGAGTACCGTACATGCCCCTCTTCATTATAACCTGAATGTTGGAGGGCAGATGTGCTATTACAACTTTTCTTATTTGAGTTGTGGAGAGGAGTACTTCCTATATTCTCTAATCAACATTTTAAAATAATATATTTTTCAAAATTGAGAACAAGATGAATAATAAATGTAAAGAACACTTCACATTTCCAACTTGATCTCTTGCTAGAAAACATTTAAAATAGTTTTGGGGAATGAGAATGTCTAAGTCTTAATATAGAATGCCTTCAGGGAAATTTGAGACAATTATAATGCATGAATGCATGACTGATTTTTAAAATAACCCATGGAATTTTGAAAATTACATATATTCTTTTTTCATTATAAAGTTCCCTTGCTATTAGATTATGCTTTTTAGTGACTGTTGTTATACATTATCTGATAATTGATTAGTTGTTTGATAGCTAAAATAATTGATTGGATTTTTACATGGAAAATTACCTACGAAATCTTAATTTTCAAACATATTTTCTAAGGATCCCCTAGTACTGGAATGAATAATTTAAAAAAAAAACAAGCAAATACACAAAAAAGCAAGTATGTGTGTGATATATTATGAAAGAAAACCAAATTATAAACATTGAACAGTATATAAGCAATAGCAATTACTAAAAATGTAAAAACTAAGAAGATGGGCAAGATAGTGAACTTAATATAATCAATGAGATGTCTCTGAAATATGTAAAACAAAATACGTGGAATATGCACATATCCATCCATAGAATATGCACCCTGAAATATATAAAACAAAATACATGGACCATGCACGTATCCATAGTTCATAAGGCTTTAATATACCTCTTTCAGGCTATCAAACAACTAATAAATTATCAGTAATTAACAACAGTCACTAAAAAGCATATCTAATAGCAAGGGAACTTCATAATCAAAAAAAGAATACACATAATTTTCAAAATTCCATGGGTTATTTTAAAAATCAGTCATGCATTAGATCATGCTGAAAATAATTATAGATACCAAAAAATCTGAAAATAAACGTGTATTCCCACAACATAATAAAGCTGGATATTAACCTAAAACACATTGTCCCTGACAATCCATCTGCAAAGAAAAAGAAATGCTTTATTTTTAAAGACATTTAAACTGGGGGGAGAGGTGAAGTCTTGAGTTTTTGTATGTGACTGAAGTTTTTATCAGTATACAATAATTTATTTTAACTATAAGATATTTTATGTAAGCCTTATGATAACCACAACGCAAAAAACTATGGCAGGTGCACAAATGAGAAAGGAAGTAAAACTTAACACAAAAGAAAATCACCAAATCACAAGGATAAACAACAAGAGAAGAAGAAAAGAACAAAAGATCTACAAAACAACCAAATAACAACTAAAAAAATGGCAGTAGTCAATTCTTGCCTATAAATAGTTACTTTGACTATAAATGGATTCGATTATTGAATCAGAAGACACAGAGTGGCTGAATGGATTTTTTAAAAAGATTAAATTATATGCTACATCCAGGAGCCTAGCTTTAGCTTTAAGGACCCACATAGGCTGAAAGTAAAGGAATGCAAGACTATATTTCATGCACATAGTAACCGAAAAAGAACAGGGACAGCTATATTAATAACAGATAAAGTAGACTTCAAGTGGAAAACAGTCACAAGAAACAACAAAATACTTAATGAAAATGGTATAATTCATCAAGAATACATAACAATTATAAATGCATCCAATACTGAAGTACCTAAGTATATAAGGTAAATATTAACAGACATTAAAGGAGAAATAGATGGCAATACAGTATAATAGGAGAGGATTTTAATACTCCACTTTCAACAATGGACATATCAACCAGACAGAAAATTAACAAGAAAGTACTGGAAAAGCTGTTTTAAAAGAATAATATGAACATTCCAGTCCTGTAATTAGGAAAATATAAAATAAGCATTAAAAAGTAGTAATTCTAATCAATAATAGCAAATGCAAACATTTATAATCTGTGCAATATTAATGCAATATTGTGCAGAAACAGAGTTAACGTACCAGCCCTGAAGTTGCCATCTTTAGAAAGACCTGCTTCTAAGGTTGGCCTTCAGTTCAGGTCTGAGAAGTTGAAGTTTTAAATGTTCCATAGGTGATAATGTTGGTTTGCTTTCCCAGACTGTGATGTTGAACAATTTAATTTATGGTAGATACCTGCTTCCTTTTGGGATTCTAGAATTTTGGTTACTGTGATTGATCATTTAAGTACATGATCAGGATGCCTATATGACCATACTCAAATAAAAAAAAAACAAAAAAACAACTGTTTCTTCTTCTTCTTTTTTTTTTTTTTTTTTTGAGGGAGTCTCGGTTTGTCGCCCAGGCTGGAGTGCAGTGGTGCGATATCGGCTCACTGCAGGCTCCGCCTCCTGGGTTCACGCCATTCTCCTGCCTCAGCCTCCCAAGTAGCTGGGACTACAGGCGCCCACCACCACACCCGGCAAATTTTTTTTTTTTTTTTGGATTTTTGGTAGAGTTGGGGTTTCACCGTGTTAGCCAGGATGGTCTCTATCTCCTGACCTCGTGATCCGCCTTCCTCAGCCTCCCAAAGTGCTGAGATTACAGGCGTGAGCCACCATTCCCAGCCTCTCTTTTCTATATTTTTATAATGTTTCTTTGCAGTCTCTAATTGGTCTGTTAATGGTGCCTATCAATTTGAGTAATTTGTAATATTCTTGTTCCTTTAGGACTATTGGGTTTTATGTATTGATTATCAAGACCTCCACCATGCCAAGACTATAAAACAGTATCAGTACTTTATTCTTATATTTTATTGCTAATTTTAAGGCTTATAGCTTTACTTTTTGTAAAATGTATCCCTCTATATGCTGTGAAATATTTGTTCAAATATTTATTAGCAGTGATACATGTGAACACAGGTACAAATAAGGTGCATGCAGCCACATTTGTATGGGTGAGTGGGTACAAAACAGAGCTTCCATTTGTGAAAAATGGAGGATATTTATGAAGATACAGGTGTCAATGCCCTTTCGACAAAGACTACCTAGAACATATCCGTAGTGTTACAAATTAGGCTTATTTTATATATATATATTTTATATATATATAAAGGCAACCAGATATCATATAAAATCTGTTTCTGTTATCTAATAGGAACAGGGAAAGAAAAAAGCTCTGCTATGCAAAATGGTCAAAATATATGATTATTTAATTCATAAATAAAATTGCACAAATGCAAATTTATGCACAAACTCACTGGTAATCAGAGAAGTAATAATGAGAGCTTTGAGATCAGTTTTTCCATTCCTTGTTACAAATTAAAATGATTGGTCATAATTAGTACTGCTAAGTATTGTGGTACAGGGAGAGCGTCTTCATTAATTACTAGTGAAAGAATATATACACACACATACATTTATACAGCATTATTTAACTTTGGAAGGTTAAACAGTAAATTATACAATGTGATTACCCCTAGAGAATCTGGAGAATGTAATTACAATTTCAACTTCTGCTCTATATTTTATATATTATTTGATTGTATAAGCATACGTCCATTTACATGCATACATATGAAAAAGTGTGAACAAATGGAAATTTCAAAATTAAGAAGAATCCTGCCTTTATATTAAAGGACAAGATCTTTGAAACTAGATCTCTGAGTAAATAAAATTGTTTAATAAAAGAGTTAAGAATATAAAAATATGGTGTAAATGCAGTGTTATTTACATACAAATA
Organism: Homo sapiens; assembly: GCF_000001405.40. Taxonomy (NCBI): domain Eukaryota; kingdom Metazoa; phylum Chordata; class Mammalia; order Primates; family Hominidae; genus Homo; species Homo sapiens. Next base: position 413,204 of record NT_187577.1, read on the forward strand.
ATATTTGTTTTTTAAGATTCTTTAAAGTTATTACCTAATTTATTTGTTTATTTATTTGAGATGTAGTCTCACTCTGTCACCCAGGCTGGAGTGCAGTGGCATGACCTTGGCTCACTGCAACCTCTGCCTCCCAGGTTTAAGCGAGTCTCTTGCCTCAGCGTCCTGAGTAGCTGGGATTACAGGCACACACCACCACGCCTGGCTAATTTTTGTATTTTTAGTAAAGGTGGGGTTTCACCATGTTGGCCAGGCTGGTCTTGAACTCCTGACCTCAAGTGATCTGCCCACCTTGGCCTCCCAAAGTGCTGGGATTACAGGCGTGAGCCACTGCACCCAGCCCCTATTTGAATAATAATTGACTGCCATTTACTTTTTAAAAATAATAGGTATAGTCTTTTTTTGTTGATTTCTATTATAGTAAAACATGGTACATAAATATATACTAAGTACATTTTTATTCTACTTACTGCCTCACTCTAACTTTATTTACAATTGGAATCCTTAGTAAACAAATCACCCATGAGACCCTTGAGAAAAGTTTGTTTCTCCTAAAAACCACCTTTTCATTCCCCCAAGGATATGTTTTGGTGTTGGTAACTTACGAGTTAATTATGAAATATTTTAGCTGATGAATATTGCTGACCAACTGCTATTTTAGATGTTATTTCTGCAGTTCTTACACTTGCATGTACCTGTGGCTATTCTAGAAATAGTAAAATAGGGTCTGGCATGGTGGCTAACTCCTGTAATCCTAGCACTTTGTGAGGCTGAGGCAGGAGGATCATTTGAACTAAGGAGTTTGAGACCAGCCTGGGCAAGATAGTGACACCTAGTCTTTACAAAAAAAAAAAAAAAAAGAAAAAAAATATCTGGGCATGATTGCTTACACCTCTGGTCCCAGCTACTCAGGAGGCTGGGGTGGGAGGATCACTTGGATCTCACTGGTTGAGGCTGCAGTGTGTCATGATCACACCACTGCATTCCAGCCTGGGCGACAGAGTGAAATCCTGTCTCAAAAAAAAAAAAAAAAAAAAAAAAAAAAAGAAGAAGAAAAGAAATGGTAAACTAATACAGCTTCATTGGAATTATACAATTATATTGTATAACTACAAGTTTGTACACAACAGAATATTAAATTGAAATTGAGATTAAGAAACAAGAGCTTTTAAGTGGTTAAACTGTAATAATATTTCTTCCTGTAAAATTTTAGGAATGTCAATTTAAGAAGTGCTGTGATTATAACACATGTAAACTGAAGGGCTCAGTAAAATGTGGTTCTGGACCATGTTGTACATCAAAGTGTGAGGTAAGTTACCAACATTCATTAAAAGCAAATTGAACTGTGGTAAGAGACGTCTGTATTAACTGAATCAATGTGCAATTAATAAAAAGAATATATAAGGAATTTAGTGAAATAAAATGTAGAGTGCATGAACAAACACAAGTTTAAAGGAAAATTGCTATAAAATATAAAAGTCATCTCAGACAGGTACGGTTGCAGTTACTATATGCATGGGCTCCACATACTGAACCACTTAATACGTGCAAACATGAATTAGGTGCATTAGCATGATGCATGTGAGATTTATTCCTGTTGTGTCTATTAGCAAATAATTCCTTTTTGTTGCTGAATAGTATTGCAAATATTGTAAAGATATGCCAGAGTTTATTTTTATTTTTGTCTTTATTCCCTAAACAATACAGTATAACTATTTACATAGCATTTATATTGTATTAGGTAATATAAGTAATACAGAGATAATAAAAATATATGAGAAGATGTGTGTAAGTTATATACAAATGTTACAAGATATTATGTAAAGGACTTGAGTGCCCATAGATTTAATATGCCTGAGGGTTCCTGGAACCAAATGCCCATGGATTCTGAGTGATGATTCTATTCTTTAGTGTTAAAATCACAAAGTTTACCATCTTCTAAATTATCAGATAAAAGGGAGAAAAAACACACATTACTACATCCAAAAAGTTATTAACTCTCAAATAAATTATAAAGTCAAATAAATGATGAATGATTATGGAAAAAATTGTAGCATGAATAGCAGACAAAATATGCAGCATATAGAATGTGTAAAGAACTCTCATTGATAACTGAAATGCAAATCATACACATACAATTGAAATGAACAGTATTTATTGATATTGGAATGATTACATAATTATATATTGTACAAGAGTTAGTAAATATGGACTAAATATTAATGCAGTAATATAGTATTATGTCCAAGACACACATTTGGATAAGAAAACAAGTTCCTTAGTAGCAAGATATTTTATTATTCCAATTCTGGTAAATCACCTCTATGTAAATATTCTATGTATTTTTTTTGTTGAATTTAGCTATTAATGTATAATTTAATATACTAAAATTCTGTTAGTGAATATTCCCAAGTGTCAGAAGAAACATATTTAAGCTTATAACTAGCATCATAAAAAGGATAGGTGATGTCATCACTCCTCTCTCACATTTCCCTGTGCCTCTTTATACTCAATCCATGACTCCACCCGCAGCCCCTGGTAACCACTGATCTGTTTTCTGAAGCTGTAATTATGCTTTTGCAAAATTATCACATAAATTGAATCATACAATATGTGCAAATGTGAAGCAGGCATCTTAACATAATGTATTTGAGATACATTCATGTTCTTATGTTTATTAGCAGATCATTCCTTTATAGTGACTGCATATTAGTAGTATTGCAAGGATTGTAAGGATGTACCACAGTTCATTCATCCATTCCCCAGTTGAGGGATATTTTGGCTGTTTTCCATTTTTGGTGATGAAAATATGGCTACTTTAATATTCATAAGCATATTTGTGCATGAACATAGTGTTTCATTTCACTTAGCTAGATACCTAGGAGAGGGATTGCTGGATCATATGGTAAATATGGAACTTTATAGGAAATTGAAAAACAGTCTTTCAAAGCAACTGTACTATCTTGAGTTCCCACCAGACACTTATGAGACTTACGGTTGCTTTGTAAATTGAATGTAAACACTAAAACTATAAAATATATGGTTTTGTGTTATCTTTGCTACTGATTTGTTATTTGTACCTTTTAAAAATCATTTAAATCATTGATCCATACAAATTATTGATTATAAATTACTGATTAACCATTGCTTTATGAATCATTAATTAATCAGGCTAATTTCATATTTCATTTCATGTGTAGTGAATAATTCTTATAATAGAACATGATCATATACCATAAAAACAAAATATGTTTTTACTATTTTTGCTGTATAGTCTTTTATCTTTTAGAGTAAATAAAAGAAGAAAAAAAATTAAATGAATTAACATCATTTGTTTCATTTCAGAGGTCTATTTTCTTTTGCAGATTTCTGTTTACTATCATATTTCTTGTACCTGAAGACCTCCCTTTACTATTTCTTGTCATTTATGTCCTCTGAAAATAAATTATCTCAGTTTTTTTTGTTTGTTTGTTTGAGACAGGGTCTGGCTCTGCTGCCCAGACTGGAGTGCAGTGGCACTATCTCTGCTAGCTGCAACCTCCACCTCCTGGGCTGAAGCCATCCTTCCACCTCAGCCTCCCAAGTAGCTAGGACTACAGGCACACACCACCATGCCCAGCTAATTTTTGTATTTTTTGTAGAGATGGGGTATTCCACCATGTTTCCCAGGCTGTCCTTGAACTTCTGAGCTCAAGCAATCTATCCCCCTAGGCCTCCCAAAATGCTGGGATTACAGATGTTAGCCACCACGCCTGGCTACTCAGTTATTTTTTGTCTAGGAAAGTCTTTGTGTCTCATCCTTTTTTGAAATATATAGTTACAGGGTATGGAATTCTAAGTTGAAAAAGTTGTTTTTAAATTTCATCACTTTTAAGTTACCATTTCTTTTATTTATTATGCATCTTTGTTTCATTATTGAATATTGTATTAGTTGGTTTTCATGCTGCTGATAAAGGCACACCTGAGACTGGGAAATTTACAAAAGAAAGAAGTTTAATGGACTCGCAGCTCCTCATGGCTGGGAAGGCCTCACAATCATGGTGGAAGGTGAAAGGCACATCTCACATGGCGGCAGACAAGAGAAGAGAGCTTGTGCAGGGAAACTGCTTTTTATAAAACCATCAGATCTTGTGAGACCTATTCACTATCATGAGAATAGCACAGGAAAGACCTGCCCCCTGATTGAATTATCTCCCACCGGGTGCCTCCCATCACATGTGGGAATTATGGGAGCTACAATTCAAGATTAGATTTGGGTGGGGACACAGCCAAACCGTATGAAGTATTAATTTCATCAAACTGGATTGTATTTTGTGTGTGTGTTTGTGTGTGTGTGTGTGTGCATGTGTGTGACATCAACATATATAGCAGGACAGCATTTCAACATGGTGAACTTCACTATGGATGGCAATCTATTAGGTCAGGCCACCACAAAATTTTGGCAATAACTGTACACCTCACCTAAGTGATGCAAGGAGGCGTTTATGCTCTTAGATAATAATAAACATATAAAAATGAGGCCAGGTGTGGTGGCTCAAGACTTGGCGCGGTGGCTCATGCCTGTAATCCCAGCACTTTGGGAGGCCAAGGTGGGTGGATCACCTGAGGTCAGGAGTTTGAGACCAGCCTGACTAACATGGTGAAACCCTGTCTTTACTAAAAATACAAAAATTAGCCAGGCGTGGTGGCATGTACCTATAATCCTAGCTACTCGGGAGGCTGAGGCAGGAGAATTGCTTGAACCTGGGGGATGGCAGTTGAAGTGAACTGAGATCATGCCACTTCACTCCAGCCTGAGCAAAAGAGCAAAACTCCATCTCAAAAAAAAAAAAAAAAAAAGATGCTGATATGATGATAGCTATCATATATGCACACTGCACTGCTTACTATGTATTGTTCTAAGAACTTTTTCCATTACTCCTGTTCAATACTAATAAGAACTCTATGAGAATTTGTCTTTTATTCCAAGCTTACAAAAGTAAAACAGATAGATTGTGTTTCTCACCCATACAAATAAGGTAGTAAGAGTGAGAGACTGGGACTGAAACCAGGAAGTCTGGCTCCTGAGTTTCTCCAAGAACAAAAAGGTAGAGACAGTGTTCCTATAGTTCCAAGGAACAGGTATGTTTAATCTAATGCTGTTTGAGTCAGCTTATTTCAAAATGTAGAGCACAAAGGAGGTGAGCAGCTGCAAACTCACTGTCAAAAGGAATTCTTTCACGTCTTTGAGACAGTTTTCTCTGGGCTTCACAATGAATACTGTATTTGATTTTTTTTGGCAAACTCACGGACTTGGGAACTCTGGTGTTCCCTCAAATATCAATAATTAGAAACATTTTATGTGATAAATCTTTTCACTAAGCAATTGAGAAAAATGATTTACAGAACTTAATTTTATTTTTCCTTTTCCTCCCAGTTGTCAATAGCAGGCACTCCATGTAGAAAGAGTATTGATCCAGAGTGTGATTTTACAGAGTACTGCAATGGAACCTCTAGTAATTGTGTTCCTGACACTTATGCATTGAATGGCCGTTTGTGCAAGTTGGGAACTGCCTATTGCTATAACGGACAATGTCAAACTACTGATAACCAGTGTGCCAAGATATTTGGAAAAGGTATTGCTCTTTCTTTCGTATTTATTTTACCTTAAATTTGCATCTCTCTGTAGAGTACATTATGTACCACACAACTCTAGAAGTGGAAGAAACTGAACCACAAGATTAATAAACATTAAATTTTAGTTAAAGAAGAGTAGTTTTTTAAGAGTATCTGAGGTTTTCCAAGAAAAAGACCATACATTATTTTTATTGTGGTTTGATTTTTGTTTTTGATGATTAGCTAGCTGGGCAAAAATCCATATTTACAGCTCATCATTTATATAAACATTAAAATCAGTAGATTCTAAAATTTATATAATTTCCTATTACTACCCACATTCATGATTTAATTTTAATGGCATGAAACTTACAAGGCTCAGAGTGAATTTCATTTAAAAATAATCATATTTCCTAACTGAGGAATAACTGCTAAGATAATGGTGGTCTTAAGCCACCTGATCAAAATTCATTTTTATGTTTTGTTTTTCAAACAGCTTTGAGAGTAATTTTAATAAGACTTGTGCATATATTCTTGCTTTTCTGGTGAGCAATTATTCATAATATCCAAATATAATTTTGTATTTTTAGAGAAATTAAAATAATAGAAACAGATCAAAATTACCCAGTGAAATGCATATATATATAATTATTTTCTAGTTGAGTAAAGGTGGTTTATTTGCCCAGTGGTAAGCTCAGGAATATAATTTGTACCAAATTACATTGTATATGGTCCATCTTGTCTTCCTAATTATTTGAGTAATAAATTTCAGATTAGGAGGCTTAAACGAAATTCAACAAAAGCTGCAGAACTATGATTTCTTAAATCACAAGTCAGTTCTATTTTCTGTGTGCTATTTTTCTAGAATGCTACTTTTTATGTGTGTGTGTTTTGTTTTTTTAATACTTATTTCTGTTTGAATAGTATTGTTATTTTTAAGCAGGGTTTAAAATATCTCTTAAAGGTAAAATTAAATAATACTTTCTGTAAGGTTCATTAAGTAGCGTCTACAATATATTCTTTTATTTTTTAATTAAAAAAAACTTCAACCTAGAATTCATTTACTTGACACATGACATCTTTTTTGAGTTCTTTTTTGTTTTTTTTAAATTTTATTATTATTATACTCTTTTTTTTTAATTTTATTATTATTATACTTTAAGTTTTAGGGTACATGTGCACAACATGCAGGTTTGTTATATATGTATACATGTGCCATGTTGGTGTGCTGCACCCAGTAACTCGTCATTTAGCATTAGGTATATCTCCTAATGCTATCCCTCCCCCCTCCCCCCACCCCACAACAGTCCCCAGTGTGTGATGTTCCCCTTCCTGTGTCCATGTGTTCTCATTGTTCAATTCCCACCTATGAGTGAGAACATGTGGTGTTTGGTTTTTTGTCCTTGCCATAGTTTGCTGAGAATGATGGTTTCCAGTTTCATCCGTGTCCCTACAAAGGACATGAACTCATCATTTTTTATGGCTGCATAGTATTCCATGGTGTATATGTGCCACATTTTCTTAATCCAGTCCATCATTGTTGGACATTTAGGTTGGTTCCAAGTCTTTGCTATTGTGAATAGTGCCACTATAAACATGCGTGTGCATGTGTCTTTATAGCAGCATGATTTATAATCCTTTGGGTATATACCCAGTAATGGGATGGCTGTGTCAAATGGTATTTCTAGTTCTAGATCCCTGAGGAATCACCACACTGACTTCCACAATGGTTGAACTAGTTTACAGTCCCACCAACAGTGTAAAAGTGTTCCTATTTCTCCACATCCTCTCCAGCACCTGTTTTTTCCTGACTTTTTAATGATCGCCATTCTAACTGGTGTGAGATGGTATCTCATTGTGGGTTTGATTTGCATTTCTCTGATGGCCAGTGATGATGAGCATTTTTTCATGTGTTTTTTGGCTGCATAAATGTCTTCTTTTGAGAAATGTCTGTTCATATCCTTCACCCACTTTTTGATGGGGTTGTTTGTTTTTTTCTTGTAAATTTGTTTGAGTTCATTGTAGATTCTGGATATTAGCCCTTTGTCAGATGAGTTCTGATTGCAACAGAATGTTTAGCAAAATGTATATTCCTATAATATATGTTCTAGGATCTCCAAAAAACTAGTATGAATGCATCAAAAATTTCATCCTCTGATGCAGTGTTTTGTTCATCCCCTAATTCATTCATTTCCCATTTTCTCCTTGATTCATTTACTTAGCTTTTTACTTGCAGGCATTTTTCTTCTGTTACCAAAAACCACAGGTGGTATATTATATGGGACATGTTAACTAACAAGTAGTTACATTAAGTTTGCATTCTTTTATTAAGTAAATTTAAACTTTTAAAGAAATGTTGAAATATAAGTAGATTTGCTTAATCAAAATTATACATCGAGTGTCTAAATGCAAAGAGCCTGCAATATTCAACCAGATGGACATTGCCATATGATTATTGTACTCATGGAGCTTAATGACTAAGAGAAAAAGACAGTAAAACAAAAGAAATATAAAACCTATAGCTGTGTTCTTTGCATTTAAAACAATAAAAATAGAATGCTAAAAGAAAATCAAGGTAGTGAATAAGGAAAATACCGCCATCTGTCATCAAGTAGTCTTCAGCTATCAGCTCTTCCAGAATTTGCCTCAACTGCAAAGAGAGCTTTTGCCCAAAGGCACACACTTCTCAAGCCAGCACACATGCAATGATTACGTGAGGTGGGGGTTTTATACAAAAGTCTGCCTCTTTTGGCCCAATCAAACACACACTGGCAGGTTATTTATACCACACAGCTACCTATTAGTCTGTTCAAGAACTTGTTGGATTTGCATCCCAGTTTGAATTCTCCTCTGCTCCATCCAGCTTCCTTCCCATTTCCAAATATTCTGATCTTTAATAAATAGCCTTCATCGTATGCCTCAATTAGATGTCAGCTCCTAGATGTCCCAACTACTAACAGTTGGTAATGAGAGTGGAGTGAGTAAATACAGACTGAAAGATGAGTTTTCAAATCCAAATCACTCTCTGCCAGGCTATCAGTGAGCACCTCATCACTGGTGGAAGTTGATAATATACTCTCTCAGCAGATTGGGATAGTATACTTGTAAGAGAGAATACATTAGCTGGTACAATTGAAATTAATGGGGCAAATAGTAACTTTAAGGGTAATGGCATTAAATGGCTATTGCCAAATACCATTGAACTTAGGAAAATATAACAAAAGGGCATGCATTTGAAAGCAAAGCGTGAGTCTAGAGGGCCTCTGCTAACTTATAAAGAGCCCCTCATCTTTTAAAAAAGAGGTTAGAGAGAGATGAGGAAGACTTAATTGAGAAGTTAAACTCTATATAAGTTTGAATTCCTTATCAGGTATATTTTTCAGGTTTGGGGTTCCAATTGGGAGAAGAATGGGACCTACCCTTGGGATGGAGACAATTGAAAATATGACTACCCTAATTTTGAGGCTCCAGGCTTCTTTGAGTCTATTGAACCTATAGAATGGCTTAGATCTGATTCCTCCCCCGTCCCTCTTCATAACACGAAGTGTATTCTCATCAGTATCTTCTCGCTATCCTTCGTGGCCACTAGCTGAAAATAGAGAAAAGGCACAGAATAATAGAGACAGGGATGTGATGGACTTTATAAAGCAGTAAGGAAACTATACTCCAAAAAAGATTTGGTCCTAGCCAGCAGTTACTGCTGGCATCAGGGAAGTACACAAGGGACTGAGTTCTGAGAACCTGATCATGAGATAGAATAGAGGAACACAACATGGGATGGGGGGTATTTATTGTTTTGGAAACACTCTCCTAAAGTACAGCATTTAACATACTGGCATGGATCCTAGAAGACAGTAAAATCTTTCTACTAGGATGGCTTCCAGCAGCATGGAAAAAAAAAGATCACTCGCCCTAAGTGAAATTGAAATGACAGAATTGCCATAGCAGATAGTGGAAAAAAGAAGAAAAAGGCTCAGGGAAGTGGGAATACTGTAATCTATGTACTGTGTATTTAAGGCCAAATGATTTGGCCAAACAGGAAAGCCCAAGGCCATAAGGAATGTGCTAGAGAAAGGGATACCATATTCACCATAAATTTCAAAGATGGCTTCCTCTGCAGGTCAGAGTGGGAATGCCACTACACTCACCGGTAGCAATGGATATGATAAGATCTGGAAAAATCAAGACCAGATAGCAGTGCTTACCTACCAGAAGCCAGATGAATAATGTTGTTATAAGCAGTAGATATGCAGTAGCAGACATGGGTACCTTCCCTACCAAGTGTCAGGGAGAGAGTTAATATAATACGATTTCCCTGTGTTCTGTGAGCAGCCAATGAGGGTACTACTCAATTTGTTTCATTAAAGGAAATGTATAAAAATAGATGACCAGGAGACTGTGGAGAGTTGTCTCAGTAAATATCGCAATGTTAGGTCCACACTCTGAATCTAAACCAATTTTCAGAGCCAGAACTCATTGACTTAAGTGGGAGCAAGGGCCATAGAAGAAAATCCCCATAACACCTTGTTAACTGTTCCTCTCATATGTTCCCATATGGACTTACAACCATTTAATCACGTATCTGTTCACTGGGGAAAAGAAAATATCCAAACATTTTAAAAACTAGTGGACACAGACTGCATTGACATTAATATCCAGAAGCCCAATGTGATCATGGTCTCCCTGTGAGAGTGAGGACTTAGAGACACCAGGAGTTAAATAGAGTCCTGGCCAAGTTTCAGTTTACAGTGGGTCTGCTAGTTCCATAAATCCATTTGGTTGTTATTTCTCAGACCTAGTGTATATAATTGGAGTTGGCATATTTAATAGTTTGTGCAATTCCCTCAGTGGGGCTTTAATGTGTTTGATGTCTGTAACCGCCTGTTTCAAGAAATTAGTGCTACTTTTAAAGATCTAAAGGATGCAGGGGTGGTTGGCTATATATTACACACATTTAATTATTCAATATGATCCCTGCAGAAACAAGATGATCCTGGAAGATAATATTTAACTACTACAAATGTAATCAGGTAGTAGACTTGATTGCATTCACTGCGCCAGGGTATGTCCATGCTAGAGCAGATTAGCATGGCCTCAAATATGTGTGAGAAGTGTAACCCCTGATTTGGCAAGTGTATTATTATTATTATTATTTATTGTACTTTAAGTTCTAGGGTACATGTGCACAACGTGCAGGTTTGATACATAGATATACATGTGCCATGTTGGTTTGCTGCACCCATCAACTCATCATTTACATAGGTATTTCTCCTAATGCTATCCCTCTCCCCACACCCCACCCCCCAACAAGCCCCAGCATGTGACGTTCCCCGCCCTGTGTCCAAGTTATCTCATTGTTCAATTCCCACCTATGAGTGAGAACATGCAGTGTCTGGTTTTCTGTCCTTGTGATAGTTGGCTGAGAATGATGGTTTCTCTGTCTCTTTCAGTTCTGCTCTGATCTTAGTTGTTTCTTGCCTTTTGCTAGCTTTTGAATTTGTTTACTCTTGCTTCTCTAGTTCTTTTAATTGTGATGTTAAGGTGTCGATTTTAGATCTTTCCTGCTTTCTCTTGTGGGCATTTAGTGCTATAAATTTCCCTCTACACACTGCTTTAAATGTATCCCAGAAATTCTGGTACGTTTTATCTTTGTTCTCATTGGTTTCAAAGAACATCTTTATTTCTGCCTTCATTTTGTTATTTACCCAGTAGTCATTCAGGAGCAAATTGTTCAGTTTCCATGTAGTTGTGCGGTTTTGAGAGAGTTTCTTAATCTTGAGTTCTAGTTTGATTGCACTGTGGTCTGAGAGACAGTTCGTTGTGATTTCTGTTCATTTACATTTGCTGAGGAGTGCTTTACTTCCAATTTTGTGGTCAATTTTAGAATAAGTGAGATGTGGTGCTGAGAAGAATATATATTCTGTTGATTTGGGGTGGAGAGTTCTGTAGATGTCTATTAGTCCTGCTTGTTGCAGAGCTGAGTTCAGGTCCTGGATATTCTTGTTAACCTTCTGTCTCGTTGATCTGTCTAATATTGACAGGGGGGTGTTAAAGTTTCCCATTATTATTGTGTGGGAGTCTAAGTCTCTTTGTAGGTCTCTAAGGACTTGGTTTATGAATCTGGGTGCTCCTGTATTGGGTGCATGTATATATTTAAGATAGTTAGTTCTTCTTGTTGAATTGATCCCTTTACCATTATGTAATGGCCTTCTTTGTCTCTTTTGATCTTGGTTTAAAGTTTGTTTTATCAGATACTAGGATTGCAACCCCTGCTTTTTTTTGCTTTCCATTTGCTTGGTAGATCGTCCCCCATCCCTTTATTTTGAGCCTATGTGTGTCTTTGCATGTGAGATGAGTCTCCTGAATACAGCATGCTGATGGGTCTTGACTCTTTATCCAATTTGCCAGTCTGTGTCTTTTAACTGGGGGCATTTAGCCCATTTACATTTAAGGTTAATATTGTTATGTGTGAATTTGATCCTTTCATTATGATGTTCACTGGTTATTTTTCCCATTAATTGATGCAGTTTCTTCTCTACATCGATGGTCTTTACAATTTGGCCTGTTTTTGTAGTGGCTAGTACCAGTTCTTTCTTTCTGTGTTTAGTGCTTCCTTCAGGAGCTCCTGTAAGGCAGGCCTGGTGGAGACAAAATCTCTCAGCATTTGCTTGTCTGTAAAGGATTTTATTTCTCCTTCACTTATGAAGCTTAGTTCGGCTGGATATGAAATTCTGGGTTGAAAATTCTTTTCTTTAAGAATGTTGAATATTGGCCCACACTCTCTTCTGGCTTGTAGGGTTTCTGCCGAGAGATCCACTGTTAGTCTGATGGGCTTCCCTTTGTAGGTAACCTGAACTTTCTCTCTGGCTGCCCTTAACATTTTCCCTTTCATTTCAACTTTGGTGAATCTGATAATTATGTGTCTTGGGGTTGCTCTTCTCAAGGAGTATCTTTGTGGTGTTCTCTGTATTTCTGAATTTGAATGTTGGCCTGTCTTGTTAGGTTGGGGAAGTTCTCCTGCCTAATATGCTGAAGAGTGTTTTCCAACTTGGTTCCATTCTCCCCATCACTTTCAGGCACACCAATCAAATGTAGATTTGGTCTTTTCACATAGTCCCATATTTCTTGGAGGCTTTGTTCGTTTCTTTTTACTCTTTTTTCTCTAACCTTGTTTTCTTGCTTTATTTCATCAATTTGATCTTCAATCATTGATACCCTTTCTTCCACTTAATAGAATCGGCTATTGATGTTTGTGCATGCCTCACGAAGTTCTCGTGCCATGGTTTTCAGCTCCATCAGGTCATTTAAGGTCCTCTCTACACTGTTTATTCTAGTTAGCCATTCATCTAATCTTTTTTCAAGGTTTTTAGCTTCCTTGTGATGGGTTTTAACATCCTCCTTTAGCTCGGAGAAGTTTGTTATTACCAACCTTCTGAAGCTTACTTCTGTCAACTCATCAAAGTCATTCTCCGTCCAGCTTTGTTCCGTTGCTGGCGAGGAGCTGTGATCCTTTGGAGGAGAAGAGGCACTCTGATTTTTAGAATTTTCAGCTTTTCTGCTCTGGTTTCTTCCCACCTTTGTGGTTTTGTCTACCTTTGGTCTTTGATGTTGGTGACCTACAGATGGGATTTTGGTGTAGATGACCTTTTTGTTGACATTGATGCTATTTCTTTCTGTTTGTTAGTTTTCCTTCTAATGGTCAGGTCCCTCAGCTGCAGGTCTGTTGGAATTTGTGGGAGGTCCACTCCAGACCCTGTTTCCCTGGGTATCACCAGTGGAGGCTGCAGAACAGCAAATATTGCAGAACAGCAAATATTGCTGCCTGATCCTCCCTCTGGAAGGGTCATCCCAGAGGGGCAGCCGCCTATATGAAGTGTCTGTTGGCCCCTTCTGGGAGGTGTCTCCCAGTTAGGCTACATGGGGATCAGGGATCTACTTGAGGAGGCAGTCTGTCCCTTCTCAGAGCTCAAATGTCATGCTGGGAGAACCACTGCTCTCTTCAGAGCTGTCAGACAGGGATGTTTAAGTCTACAGAAGTTGTCTGCTGTCTTTTGTTCAGCTATGCTCTGCCCACAGAGGTGGAGTCTAGAGGCAGTAGGCTTTGTTGAGCTGCAGTGGACTCTGCCAAGTTTGGGCTTCCTGGACACTTTGTTTACCTACTCAAGCCTCAGCAATGGCTGATACCCCTCCCCCAGCCAGGCTGCCACCTTGCAGATTGATCTCAGACTGCTGCGCTAGCAGTGAGCAAGGCTCTGTGGGCATGGGAACTGTCGAGCCAGGCACAGGAGAGAATCATCTTGTCTGCCGATTCTAAGACCTTGTGAAAAGTGCAATATTTGGGTAGGAGTGCCCCATTTTTCCAGGTAGTCTGTCACAGCATCCCTTGGCTAGGAAAGGGAAATCCCTCGACTCCTTGCTCTTCTTGGGCGGGGCAATGCCCCGCCCTGCTTCAGCTCGCCTTCCATGGGCTGTACCCACTGTCCAACCAGTCCCAGTGAGATGAACCAGGTACCTCAGTTGGAAATGCAGAAATCACCCATCTTCTGCATCGATCACACTGGGAGCTGCAGACTGGAGTTGTTCCTATTCGGCCATTTTGGCAAGTGTATTATTTTCTATTCCTATTTGAAAAGAAGATTAGAAACAGTTTACATTCACATAGAGTGGATAACAGGATTCATTTAGAATTTTTCTCCAGGGTTAAGTTTACTCTGTTTCCCTCCATCATAATATAGTAGAAGAGATTTGGACTTCCCATAAAATGTAACATTGGTCCAATCCATCAGTGATTTTATACTAGTCAGACAAAATAAGCAAAGTATAGCCAGCATGCTGGAAGGACCAAATAAACACATGTGCTACAAAGGACAGGAGGTAGACTCTGGAAAACTATATAAGTTCCAGAGGTTTCTGTCCATAAGTGACATGCTTCAAATTCCTCATTTCATTAAGAAGAGGAAGTTACAAGGTCAAGCCCAATATTCATTAGATTAAGAAGTATTTGCTCCCACCAGAAAGAGAAACATATTGTTTTAAAAATAATATAACTTATTGCAATAGATATAATCATTTTCTGTGTGTGTAAGATAAGACAATTATTTCTTTCTACTTGCATTGACAGGGTATGCATAGAAACAAAAGCATGATCAACAAGTACATGATCTTTTTGAAATTAAATTTCCTTAGTCTGTTACTGACAAACATTTAACTCATATTAAGAATGATAATTCAACTGACATGTTTGCATTTTAAGGTGCTCAAGGTGCTCCATTTGCCTGTTTTAAAGAAGTTAATTCTCTGCATGAAAGATCTGAAAACTGTGGTTTTAAAAATTCACAACCATTACCTTGTGAACGGAAGTACGTATGTAGAAAATGATTGCTTCTTTGAATCATAAAAATTATGTATTTTTATCAAGAGACACTAAGTAGTAATGAACACTAAAATTTTATAACATGGGAATATTTTCAAATACCAATGCATATATTTTTTCTATGAAATTCAGGATTTTCTATTATTTTCCCTTGATATCATCCTAAAAATGAGATTGGACAAAAAAAGGCTAATACTTAGTAACAGAAGAAGAAAATGGACACACACTGCCAGAAATCAGAACTGCTACTCTGTATTGAGAATTCAAATGAAGTTTTGTATTAAGTCTATAAATAGCAACAATCTTAAAGCAAACCTCAAGCTTTGATTTTTAAGACATAGAATTGTTGAGAAGAAGAAAGCTATTTTTGTTTTTGCTAATTGTGTCCAAAACATCAATATGTAAAGCATGGAAGTATCTATTAATAACTAAATTCAGACTATTGGGACATAGTGTTACTATAATCCATGTAATAAAGGGATTAATGAAATCCAATACTTTAATAAAGGAAGTGCCTACCCTGTAATGAATGCTTCCTTAATTTTATCTTCCTTAATTTCATTGAAAATTAAAGAGCCACAAAAATGTGTAACAGAGCCAGATTCACAAAATAAGAGAAAGGGAATAACATAAAAAATTTAGATATAATTAATTCAGGAAGAAGCAGACATTTAGTCTCAAAGACTTATAGCCAGGAAAAACCATAAAATCCTCAGGTAAGCACCACTATCAGTATTGTTCAAAGCAATACAGTTCCTTTATTAAGATGAGAAATGGATGAAGAAGGTATCCAGTTGGGTGGGACTAAAGTAGTATCCTCCATCACCCTCCTCCATATGTGAAATTACCATGGATTATGTATGCTGTGGAGAGGATGCAGAACTTCCCACTTGCCCCAACACAGGAGGATTAGTACATGGAAAGAAGAAAGGTGGAATCACAAAGAAAGTACTGATGAGTGGGGATCTCAGGAGGAGACCCGGCATAATCAGCCACACCTATTGGATATTAATACAGAGCACCAGGGGCCAGCAGTCTGAGTTACACCACAGTGGATCCCAACAAAGACAGAAGATGGTGGCATGACAACCCCACTTAATCTTCTTCCTGATGTCCAGAGGCACATCTGCTGCCTTTAATTTAAGATTATTCATGAAAAAAAGATAAAAGAAACCTGGAAGAAATTGTGAAAGTTAGCAAACATGACTCCATTGGACTTTGTCTTATGTGATAATAGTACATGAATTTTCCTGAAATAACATCATTAGATGAAACTAAAATTGAGTAGCATACATCGTCTGATCTAAACAGACTGTGATTCCTTTTCAAAAAAGAAAAAATAGTTCTAAGAATTTAACCATAAATGCAAATTTTGGGAAAATGGACTTGGAGGAAGAATTTGTACTCAGTAGCCAGACTGGAAGGATACATACATACCATGCAAGTCTGGTTTAGAATATATTCTATAGAAAGAGAGTGGAACCAAAATCAAAAGAAATATCAAGACCTGGGAAAGTAGAAAAGTTATGCTGGAGGGAAGACAAAAGTGAAATGTAATTTAGGTTCTGGCTCTTAATCTCATTTCAATCTTTACTTCTTGGTGTAATTAAGCTTATTCTTCTGAAAAAGCCTCAAATGATTCTTTTAGGACAAATGGGTAAAATTCCCTAAGAGGAGCCTTTTGATGAAATAATAATGACATGTTCAATAGAGACAGATCAATGGCTAAAAATGATTATTCTCATTGAGGATGAACTTTGATAATTAGATTTCAATAATTTCAAGTACAAAAAGTGACATAGATTATCTTTCAGAGCATAGTCTAGAAATACTCTTAGCCTCATAGAGAAGCCAGTATTTTACCCAATGATAGATTACAAATGGCAAAATACAGCATCCATGGGATAAGATAACCTTTGGTATGTTTGTGGCATAGAGGGGATCTAAAAGTTCTTAAATTTTTAACAGATAAGTTAAATATACTGGAAATATCTGTATGCTGGGAGAAATTGTGGATCAAAATGAAGGTTGTGTATACTGCAGAAATGTACTTTCTAGGTATCATGACAGGAATGATAGGCACAATAAAATGTGCAGAAAGAGAAATGCAATTAGCCACTCTCAGCAAATTTTGTTTAATAAGTGACCAGGCTGGCCAAGCTATATCAAAGTGGGGCAAGTGACTAATTCTCCCAGAGTGCGGTAAAATATGAATGGTCTAAGACAACTAGAACTTAGAGAACAAAATTGGGCTCTATAATGGGAATGAAGTCGTGTCTTCACGCTGAGTTAAGCATATACATTTCAATTCTGCTATTAAGACAGTTGCATTTAGTTGTTGTGCACCATAAAATAATGTTTTAGTTTGGCATTTTTCAGTTGTTATACTATCAATTAACAGTATGTTACCATTATGCAGTACTCACTTGGAACTTGTTATCATTAAGAGATAAACTGATAAGGAACTTTTTGCTTTCCACTTCCAGGGATGTTCTCTGTGGAAAATTAGCTTGTGTTCAGCCACATAAAAATGCTAATAAAAGTGACGCTCAATCTACAGTTTATTCATATATTCAAGACCATGTATGTGTATCTATAGCCACTGGTTCCTCCATGAGATCAGATGGAACAGACAATGCCTATGTGGCTGATGGCACCATGTGTGGTCCAGAAATGGTAACAAAATGTGATAATTTATATTCAGCTGTGTTAAATTATGTGAATTATCAGATACTGCATTCCATGATGACTATCACAATTATATTGAATGGATTTAAACTTGTGCTGGCATTTATTTCCCATGTGATATTTAAATGATAATTAAAACAAGCCTAAGTTATCCAATTACATTGCTTTTTGGATTAAAATATTATCAGTCCTTATGTTAAAAAAAGTACATATATATTTTAAGCACAAGATTTTACTAACTGACATCTGGTAGCTTTAAATTGTAAAATGCTAATACAAAGTTTTCCATTTTCCTTGCTTCACAAAGAACATTAATTGACTTTACATATTTCTTAAATTATTTGATTTGTATCTGATCAAAATATAAGTGTACAAAAGGTTTGGAACCAAACAAGAATCTATACTAGGAAACATTGCTATAGTGCATATACAGGCTCATGCGTATATACATGCATGAATATATATGAACACTTCTATCTATGTAGTCATAACATAAAAAGAGAACAAAAAGGCTTTAGAGACTTGGTTAATCTTGCAATATAAGGGCACATGTTCCAGAAAACATGATAATATGTGGCATCTGAAATTTCACATAGCAATTATAGAGTGTTGCACTTAAATGTCATTTGGTGCTTATTTGATGCGTAAAAATAAAACAAAACCTAGAAATGGAGGATGTGTTAGTCAATTGTTATATCTGGTGTCAGCAACCCTAATCCCTTGAGAAACCTCTATGTGGTAATCTGCTCCTGAAATGACTCTCAGTGATCCCACTTTCTGTCATTCATTCCTTTGTGTAATCCCTTCCTTTGCCTGTGGACTGCATCTAATGACTTGCTTTTAACAAATAAAATAGGGCAAAAGTTTTGGAATGTCACAAGATTAGAGGCTAGAGACAAGAAAGAAGATGAGAAAAGACAGTGACTTCTGTTTTGCATGGACTCTCTCCCTTGCCTTCTCAGATTGCTTGCTTTGCTGAAGCAAGCTGCCTTCAGGGAAAATCCTACAAGGAAAGCAATTGTGGGACAGTGAAAATCTGAGGCCCTCAGTTCAACAGCCTGTGAGGGACTGAATTCTGCCAAAACCACACAAGCAAGCTATGAAGAGCTTTGCAAGTCGGACCAACAGGTGAGACTACAGTCCCAGATAACAGATAACACCTTGATTTCAGCTTGTAAGAAGACTGTGAAGCAGAGAACCCAGATAAGATGTGCTTGAATTTCAGACTCACAGAAGTTGTGATATAATAAATACGTGTTGTTTAATGTCATTAATTTTGATGATAATTTGTTATGCAGCAACAGAAAACTGATGCAGATTTGATACCTGGACATATGGTGCTGCTGTAACAAATACCTTAAAAATTGGGTATGAATATAGAACCAGGAAGTGGGTAGAGACCAGAAGAATGTTGAAGACCAAGATACAGAAAGCTCATATTGCCTGAAACAGACCTTAAGTCCAACTCTGCACTTTGAGGACCTGGCTGGTGAGGGCTCAAGTGGTAGTTAGGAGTATATTATTGAAAACTGGAGGAAGTAAGGTTCTTTTTATTTAGTGGCAGAAAGCTTAGCATATTGTCTTCTACAGTACGTGGAAAGTAGAATGTGTACATAATAAACTTGGTGATCTAGCTTCTGACCCCTTCTAGCAGCTTATAATATAATAAGAAATGAAAGAAATTGAAGGAACTGTTAAATAAAACATAACCATTGATGATTTTGAAAATTCTTAACTTCTCCAGACAGCAAAAGATGCTAAAACAAAGAAATGGATTCCAAGAACTATCAGGAAAACATGGTCAAGAGTGAGACTGTAAAACATTAGTTAAGAGTAACAAAAGATTAGTCAAGATCAACTCTTAACTAATGTTCTACAGTAAAAGGCTCAGAGTGTTATTCAGTTAGACAAAAGTCCTTTAAAGAAAGAAAGGCTGCCTCACAGATCCTCTACATTTAAAAAAATAAGGCATCTGGAAACTTCAGAGCTTTGTCTTTCAGCCATCTCAGCAGAAGCCTAAGGTAGAAAACGGTTCATTTCAAAGATATTTGTGAGCATGTCTTTTGTTTAATGTAATAAATGCCAAAGAGATTCACGGGAGGTTCACAGTTTTTGAGAAACCGCCAGTAAAGAGAATACAAAATGAAAGGAGGCTATCGGACCCCCAAAATTCTACTGAGAGGAGGCAGGCTGAGATAATTGCTCAAAGTCAAATATGTGCTACCTTTCCTGAAAAAGGAAGGAATACTTAGAGAGTCAAATAAGAACTGAGAAGGCAGAACTGAGAGCCAAGAGAGATTTTTCACAGACCTTGAAACCCAAACAAGGAACTCCCAACATGAGCCCTTCTAGATATTTCAGAATTGCTATGGACCAGTAATTTCTTTTTAGTTCTAATCCCCCCCCACACACACTTTGAATTAAAATATCTATAAGTTATTCTATGCCTTTATTACCATTATATATTGATGGGCTTGGGGCCAGATTACTCTCTAGTGTCAAAGATCTACAAATGGAAGAGCTATACTCAAGGAAGTATACCCATGAACCTAATCCACAGCTGGAGCTAACTCAGATGAAGAAATAGGCTTTGAACTGATGCTATAATGAAATGAGAATGTTGGAGAGCTTGACAATTAATGTGGTTTTTATGTGTAAAAGATATGTAACATTAGAAGATAAACTGTGCTACTCAGCTTTTAAAATACCCTCCAATATCTTATCTTCTTCTGTTCACTCCCTTTATAATACACATTCCCTACCAACCAAGTGAGGGATGGACATAGTGACGTGCTTCTAACAAATAGAGTATGGAAAAAATGATGGAATATAACTTGCAACATTAGGATATAACAGACAGTATTTTCCGTTTTGTTCTCCTGCCCCTTCTTCATTGCTTACTTGGATGAAATAAGCTACCATGTTGAAGAGTAATACATGGGAAGAAAGTGAATATGGCCTCCATCCAAAAGACCTTGAGGAAATGAGCATGTTAATACAACAGCCTTCTGACAACCACGTGACAAATTTGGAAGCATATTCATTTTAGTAAAACCTTCAGATGAAATTGGCTGGCATTTTAATACCAGCCTATGCAAATATCTGAAGCAAAAGACCAAGCTATGCCATTCCCAGAATTCACCACTCACAGAAACTGCGATAATATGTGTATTGTTTCCTTTTCCTAAGATAAACTTCTAAGAGTGCAATTTCTGATTTGCAAGATAAGTATATTTTTGGTTCTATGAGAAACTGCTAGAATCTTTGGTCAAGTGGCTATGCCATTTTTCATTTCCACCAGCAGTGTGTAAGTGAGCAAGTTTCTTCATATCCTCAACAGCATTTGGTGTTAGCACTACTTATTATTTACTCATTTTTATATGTGCATAGTGATATTTGCATTCTTTAATGGTTAATTATATTCAGTATTTTCCATGAACTTATATGTCATCAGTGTATCCTCCTGAGTAAAGTATCTGATCATGTCTTTAGCCTATTTTTAATCAGATTGTCTTTTTTAAAAGTTCAATTTAATTGTTCTTTAAATATCCTAAAGGCAAGATGGCAAATATTTTCTCCTACTCTGTAGTTTGTTTTACTTACTTTTTTTGGTTGAATTGTATATTTAGTTTTATTTGACAAACAAAAATCACTTTGAAACACCAAGATGGGAGGATCAGTTGAGCTCAGGAGTTCAAGACCTGCCTGGGAAACATAGCGAGAACTTGTCTCTAAAAAATAATATTATTTTAAAAAATTAGCCAGGTATGGTGGCACACACCTGTAGTCCCAGCTACTTGGGAGGCTGAAGCAAGAGGATCTCTTGAACTCAGGAGATTGAAGCTTTCACACCACTACACTCCAGTCTGGTCAACAAAGCAAGACCTTATCTCAAAATAAATAAATACATAAAATAAATAGATAAATAAGTAAATAAACAATAAATTGATGAGTTTAGAGATAATTATACATCTGTGAAATGATCACTACCTTCCATGTCATAAGCTATTTATAACTTCCAAAATTTTTTCCCAATCTTTTATTTATTTATTTATTTATTTATTATTGTTACCTCTCTCATAGCAGCATTTAATATATGGCCTACCCCCTAGGAATTGTTTAAGTATATAATACATTATTGTTAACTATATAAACTGTGACATACAGTCAATCTCTAGGAATTACTTTTCTTGGATAACCAAAATGTTTTAACTGGGGCACGAACTGGGCCCCGAGGGCTCTGGGCAGCCCAATCTCAATGGATTTGCTGGTTACAGCCCATGCCACACCTCTCACAGGTTGGAATTGTGTGTCTGGGGCTCTCTTAGGCTAGAGTTTCACACCAGTGACTCAATCAGCCTGAGGTTGAGGGGGCAGTTCTGTACTCATTGTTGCCCTGGTGGGGGCTGTCTGTGCTGGCCTCACTCTTGCTCCCAGCTCCACTGGGCATTGCCCTAGTATGATGAGAGAAGAGACCACTTCTTATATAGTTTCTTATAATTTCTTATAATTTCTTGTTTGCTGAAAAGGTAAAAGTTAATAAGCAGAAGTGAAATTCATAGTCAGACAGCCCGGTGCCTCATTTCAGGCCTGGTAGTTAAAATTCAACCCCTGACCTCACCACTGTGTTATCCGTAGATTCTAGACATTGTATGAGGGAGCATTGTGAAACTCCCTGTTCTGTTCTGTTTCACTCTGATTACTGGTGCCTGCAGCCCCCAGTCACGTACCCCTCACTCGCTTAATTAATCACAACCCCCTCACTCTTTAAAGTTAGCCCTTAAAAGGGACAGGAATTACTTATTCAGGGAGCTCAGTTTCTAGTCAGCTGATGCTCCCAGCTGAATGAAGCTCTTCCCTTCCACAATCCAGTGTCTGAGGGATTTTGTCTACAACTCTTCCTGCTACAATGACAGTTCTCTGCCTGTGCTGTGAGGGCATCTGGGGCATCCTTTGAAGTCCAGGTGAAGGCAGCCATGCCTCCACAGCTTGTTCATTCTGGGCCCTTGTAAAGATGGCACCATGGAGACACCCCCAAGGTTGATTTGAATGTGCCGTCCAGAAGAACATCTCCTTGGGCCTCATCCCACCTGGGCCCAGTGGAGTCATACCCGATATGGTTGAAGAGCGGTTTGCTATAATGCAGGGAATAGAGACTTGAGGCATCATGAGCAGTAAGTGCCAAATTCCTGTGGGTGCATGAGGCTCCTCTTTTGACATAGATCTGCTCCTCAGGCCTGGTAACTCTGATCCTGTAATGGGAGTGGCAGCACTGATAATCTGTGAAATGCCTTCAGGGGCATTCTTCCATTGAGTTGGGGAATATCACCTGGTTTCTAAACCTTCTTAATCTCTTTTTCAAAAGGTGGCTTGGTCATATCCTTGGTGTTCGCTCCTGAACATGCTTTTTCATTCTTTACAACATGGCTGGGCTAAGAATTTTCCAAATTTTTTAGTTCTGCTTTCCTTTTCATTATAAATTCCGTGTTTAATATTTCTTTCTTTCTTCTCACACTTTACTATAAACTGATTTAAAAAAGCATGCTGCACCCTCCACCATCTGCTAACATATTTCTTCTTCTGTGAAGTATCTTATTTCATGGCTCAGAAATCCCACCTTCCACAAAACACTAGGACACAAACACAATTTAGCCAAGTTCTTTGACACTTTATAACAAAGATCGTCTTTCCCTCATTTTCCGGTACCTTGGTCCTCATTTCAATTGAGACCTCATCAAAATGGCTTTCACCTTCCATTTTCCTACCAATGCTCTGATCACAACCAGCTAGGTAACCTGTGAGAAAACTGAGGTTTTCTCTAAAGCTGTCCTTTTCTTCTGAGCCCTCACCAGAATCATCCTTAATTCTCCACTTACAGCAATGCAGGCTTTTTCTAGCAAGCACTTCCAAACCTTTTTCAGCCTCCGGTCAGTAGTGAGTTCCAAAGCCACTTCCACATCTTTAGGTATTTTTTATGGCAACATTCCACCTCTCGGTACCAATTTCTGTCTTAGTGCACTCATGCTGCTATAATGAAATAGCTGAGATTGGGTAATTTACAAACAAAAGGAACGTACTGCTTAACAGTTTTTGAGGCTGGGAAGTCCAAGATCAAAGTGCCAGCAGATTTAGTGCCTGGTTAGGACTCATTATCTGCTTCAAAGTTGGTACCTTACCGTGTCCTCGCATGACAGAAAGGGTGAACAAGCTCCATTGAACCTCTTTTATTAAGGCGCTAATCTCATTCATGGGGATTCTACCCTTGTGACCTAATCGCCTTCTACGGGATCCACTTTTTAATATGATTGCACTGGAGATTAGGTTTCAACAGGTGAATTTTGGGGAACACAAATATTCCGACCACAGCATGTTAATATCTTGGTTAAAGTGTTTCCTTTTTCATTTCTAAAATGACTATAGCTTGTTTATCTCTTTTGTTCTTAAATGATTACAATTTCTGACATACGAAAAACAACATTAATTAAGAAAAATTATTTTCAGACTCAGATATTTTTTATTCATTATTTGCTTTTAAGAAATGCGTAGGAATCAGAACTCTGTGCAATTGGAAGTTTCTTTGTTGAACTATTAGTTATTGCACATCACTTGCAGTGTATTATGTGACTAAAGGTATGTTTCCATTACTTTGTTTGGTGCATATTCATATGAAGCCAAGAGATCTAAGGGGAATTTGTTGAAAGTTAGCTAAGAGTGCCTTCATCACAGGATGTTGACCACATTGATTTTTTAAAATAGATTCCTATTTTTTTTTACTTGAAATATCTTTTGTCCAACTAGACTTCCAGAATGGATTGCAGAAATACAGATATTAAGTGAAACATGTTCAGTTATAATATTAGTATGTATTTTAATATAAAGCTATTTTTCACATGCCCATGTGGCCTTTTGCACCTATATATAGGAAGTTCTTGTGCTACTTAGAATACGATAGAAAATAATCTCAAAAACATTGAAAATATGTCTATGCAATATTCACATAAATTTAGACGCATACTTAAATGGCCATGCATGGCACTTTATTCTGTTTCCTAAAATTATTTACAATGCATAATTTGTCTTCTTATTTTGATCATCAATGTATAACTTTAAATTAAGCTGATGATCCAGTGAGAAATGGTAGTTAACTTAAGAGTTCATCAATTGATTATTAATTTCTTGTCATCTCCCTTCCTCTTACATACACTGGTCTAAATTAGACAATTTTATTCTATTGTACTGTATTTTAGGTTCAGGAGGCATATGTGCAGATTTGTTACATGGGTAAATTACATGACACTGAGGCTTGGTGTACAAATGATTCCATCACCAAGGTAGTGAGCATAGTACCCAATAAGTAGCCTCCCAACCCAGGCCCCTTTCCCCATCCTCCCATTTCAAGCAGTCCCAATATCTATTGTTCCATTTTTTTACTGCCATGTGTATTTAATGTTTAGCTCCCACTTATAAGTGAGAACATGCAGTATTTAGTTTTCTGTTCCTGCATTAGTTTGCTTAGGATAATATCCTCCAGTTGCATCCATGTTGCTGCAGAGGACATTATTTCATTCTTTTTGTGTGACTGCATAGTATTCCATGGTGTGTGCGCACCCTGTTTTCTTTATCCAGCCCACCATTAATGGGCGTCTTCATTGATTCATGTCTTTGCTATTGTGAATAGTGCTGTAATAAACATATGAATACATGTGTCTTTTTGGTAGAAGGACTTATTTTCCTTTGGATGTATATCAATAGTGGTATTGCTGGGTCAAATTGTAGCTCTGTTTTAAGTTCAAGGAGTAATTTCCAAAGTGCTTTCCACAATGGTTGAACTAATTTACATTTCCACCAGCAGTTAATAAATGTTGCCATTTCTCTGCAGCCTTACTGGCCTGCTATTTTTGGGCTTTAACTGATGTGAGATGGTACCTCATTGTGGTTTTGATTTGCATGTCTCTAATGATTAGTGATGATGAACTTTTTTTTCTATTTCTTCTTTTTAACTTTTATTTTTAAGTTCAGGGGTACATGTGAAGGTTTGTTACATAGCTAAACTTGTGTCATGAGGGTTGTTGTAAAGATTATTTCATCACCCAGGTATTAAGCCTAGTACCCATTAGTTCTTTTTTCTGAACTTCTCCCTCCTCCCAGCCTCCACCCTACCAAAGACCCCACTGTGTGTTGTTCCCTTCTATGTGTCCATGTGTTCTCATTATTCAGCTCCCACTTGTAAGTGAGAACATGCAGTATTTAGTTTTCTATTCCTGCATTAGTTTGCTAAGAATAATGACCTCCAGCTCCATCCATGTCCCTGCAGAAGACATGACCTCATTTTTTTTATGTCTGCATAGTATTCCATAGTGTATATGTAGCACATTTTCTTTATCCAATCTGTCATTGATGGGCATTTAAGTTGATGCCATGTCTTTGTTATTGTGAAGAGTGCTGCAATGAACATACATGTGCCCTTATACTAGACTGATCTATATTCCTTTGGGTATATAACCAGTAATGGGATTGTTCTGTCTTTAAAACTTGGAGGAATCACCACGTTGTCTTCCACAATGATTGAACTAATTTACATTCCCACTAATAGTGTGTAAGCATTCCTTTTACTCCACAACTTTGACAGCATCTGTTAATTTTTTCACTTTTTAGTAATAGCCTTTCTGACTGGTATGAGATGGTATCTCACTTTGGTTTTGATTTGCATTTTCTTAATGCTCGATGATGTTGAGCTTTTTTTCCATGTTTCTTGGCTGCATGTATGTCTTCTTTTGAAAAGTATCTGTTCATGTTCTTTGGCCACTTTTTAATGGCTTTTTTTTTCTTGTAACTTTGTTTAAGTTCTTTATAGATGCTGGGTATTATACTTTTGTCATATACATAGTTTGCAAATATTTTCTGCCATTCTGTAGGCTGGTCTGTTTAACTCTGTTTGGTTTCTTTTGCTGTGCAGAAGTTCTTTAGTTAAATTAGATCTCATTTGTTAATTTTTGCTTTTGTTGCAATTGCTTTTGGCATCTGCATCATGAAATCATTGCCTGCGCCTATGTCTTAAATGGTATTGCCAGGGTTTTTATAGTTTTGGGTTTTACATTTAAATCTTTAATCTGTCTTAAGTTAATTTCTGTGTGTGGTGTAAGGAAGCAGTCCAGTTTCAATATTCTCTATATGGCTAGCCATTTATCCCGGCATCATTTATTGAATAGAATATCCTTTGCCCATTGCTTGTTTTTGTCAGGTTTGTCAAAGATTAGATTGTAGTAAATGTGTGGTCTTGTTTCTGGGTTCTCTGTTCTGTTCCTTTGGTCTCTGTGTCTGTTTTTGAATCAGTACCATGCTGTTTTGGTTACTGTAGCCCTGTAGGATAGTTTGAAGTCAGGCAGCATGATGCTTCCAGCTTTGTTCGCTTTGCATAGGATTGCATTGGCTATTCAGGCTCATTTTTTGTTTTATGTGAAAGTTGAAATAATAGTTTTTTCTAGTTCTGTGAAGAATCTCAGTGGTGGTTTAATGAGAGTGACATTGAACCTAAAAATTGCCCTGGGCAATGTGGCCATTTCAGCTATATTGATTCTTCCTGTCCTTGAGCATGGAATGTGTTTCTATTTGTTTATGTCATCTGTGATTTCTTTGAGCAGCGTTTTGTAGTTCTCCTTGTAGAGATCTTTCACCTCCCTAGTTCGCTGTATTCCTAGGTATTCTGTGTGTGTGTGCGGCAGCTGTGAATGGGAATACATTCCTGATTTGACTCTGTTGACTGTTGGCTCATTTGTCTGTTGGTGTATGGGAATGCTAGTGATTTTTGCACATTGATTTTGTATTCGGAGACTTTGCTGAAGTTGTTTATCAGCTTAGGAAGCTTTTGCGCTGAGAGGATGGTCCTTTGAGGTTGAGCTCCAGTTGGGCTGGAGTTGCCAAAGTGCTCTCAGACTGCTGGCAATACCACTCCATAGGAGATGGTGGAGTCATGGGTGTAGGTGTGCTGGTGGGTGTGGCAGGTGTGCCACTAGGGCAGAGGCACTCCAGCATGTGGCACCATGGGCAGGGGTGCTTAGGAGGGGATTACAGGAGCATGGCAAGTGGAAGGTGTGTGCACTCTAGTAGGGGTCACCCTGGGCAGTAGGGGTGCTCTGTTGGAGGTCCCATGGGCAGGGGGCACTTCAGCAGGTGTAGTGGGAATGTCATAGGTGGGAGGTGCTACAGTGGGTGGTGCTGCAGGTAGGAGGCCTAATTTGGACAATTTTATAATCTTCATATGGCATATACAATTTTTTTCTTTTTATACTGTGAAAAAATATACATAATGTAAATTTACATTTCTACCCATTTTCAAGTGGACAATTCATTAATTACATTTGTATTGTTGTGCAACTGTCACTACTACTTACATACAGCACATTTTTTGTCATCCCAAACTGAAACTCTGTACCCATTAAAAAATAAATCCTTGTTATTCTCTCCCCACCAACCAAATGTTGGTGAGGGTGAAGAGAAAAGGAAACACACACGATTGGTGGGGATGTAAATTAGTTCAGCCACTGTGAAAAGCAGTTTGGAGATTTCTCAAAGAACTTAAAACAATTACCATTTGACCCAACCATCCCACTTCTGGGTATACGCTCAAAGGAAAATTATTCACTCTATCAAAGAGACACAAGCATTTGTATGTTCATTGTGAAACTATTCACAATAGCAAAGACATGGATGGAATCAACCTTGAAGCCCATCAATAGTAGATTGGATTTTTAAAAATGTACACCATGGAATACTATGCAGTCCTAAAAAAGAATGAAATCATGTCCTTTGCAGAAACATGAATGAAGCTAAAGGTTATTACCCTAAGGAAATAATGCAAGAACCAGATGATATATATGCATCTCTTACACGCATATATTAAATCACTGCTTAATGTTTTTTCTTGTTTTATATGAAACAAGAAAAGTTTATAAGGTACAATGTACCTTAAAATATGTACCATTTGTGTATATCAATTAATGTAATTCACTGCACGTATACAACGTATAATGATCATATCTAACTAGCAAGCTCATCACCTGAAACTTTTAAAATACAAAAAGTAACCCATGTTAGCGAGAATGCAGAGAAAGGGTAACTCTTATACACTGTTTGTGACAATGCAAATTAGTACAGCTAATATGGAAAACAGTATGGTGTTTCTTCTAAAACTAAAAATAGAGCTACCATGTGATCCAGCCATCCCACTACTGGGTGTTTATTCAAAGAAAAGGAAATAAGTATATTGAAGAGATAGTTGTGGCAATAAACTCCCATGTTTATTGCCACACTATTCACAATAACCAAACTATGGAATCAACGTAATTGCTCATTAATGGATGAATGGATAAAGAAAATGTGGTACATACACACAACAGAATCATTATTTAGTGATAAACAAATAAAATCATGTTATTTGCAGAACATGGATGAACTTGGAGACCATTGTATTAACTGAATTAAGCCAAACACAGATAAATAAATATCATATATTCTTACTCATACATGGAAGCTAAAAATAGTCTTGGATATCTTTTTATTTTTTGCTGAAATGCTCTGGCTAGAGCATCTGATATTTGCTGAATATGAGGGACAAAAGTGAGTTGACATATGCAACTTATAATCTATAAATTGGTTTTATGCAGATTTGAGGAAGTAATTAAAAAGCTAATTTTTATTCATGTTTAGTATTGTTATGTTGTGAACGACTTAAACAGATTTTATGGTGACACTTTGAAATAAAAAAGAAGCTTGCAAAGTCAGAAAAAAATAGAAAAACATAAATGAGGCAAAACACCACATATCTGGGTGATTATTCACCACCATATTACACATTTTGCCATAATAAAAGTTTTACAAGAAATAAATATTGTTCTTGCCATATTATTCTGAGGAATCTTATAACAAAGATTCAAAATTTATGAATTATACTTAAAACCTAAACAAAATGATTTCTGTTCCAATTTTTGAGAAGACAAGTCATTAACATCTAATCAATTATTCATAACAAAACATTAACATAATATAGAAAACTCATACGATGAGTGTCTCAATCCAATGCAAGCTATAAGTATAAAAACTGAAACTATATGTAACCTTTACATTAACCATGTCAGGGCAAATGCTGTCAGTTTTTTTGCTTGCAATTACTTTGTTGTTTAGATTTTTGTATTTTTGTATCAATAAATTAAGATAATGTTAATCATATTAATATTAGTCATATTAATATTACTAAAAGTCTTTCAACTTAAGCATCTCTTATACATATATAGAAATCATTAATGTTTTTTCTTGTTTTATATGACATTTGTGAATTGTAAAATTTTTGTTTGTTTTGTTTTAGTACTGTGTAAATAAAACCTGCAGAAAAGTTCATTTAATGGGATATAACTGTAATGCCACCACAAAATGCAAAGGGAAAGGGGTAAGTCACTTTTGTATCTGAATTGCATGTTATTCTTGTGGGTAATTCAAATAAACATCTGTTTATGAGGATTGAGAGTCTAGGTTGACTTGCCTAGCTCTGGTAGACTAATATAAAGAAAATTAACTGACCTAATTTCAAACTATATAACATATTAAGTGAATTGTACCAGATACGTATTGAACTGTAAGCAGTCACAACTTAGTAATATGTTTAAATAAAAACATTTATTCTTCTTCAACACAAATAAATGCATTTTTACTTATATCATGAACATATTTCTTCTCCCACACACATTTAATAATTAAGGCATATGAGTATACAATATTTTACAGAGTATACTTAAAAACACGTTGACATATCAGGGAATATTTTTTTCTCATTGAGAGACTTCCAATAGGAAATGCAACTTCACGCAAAAAGCTTTTTTTATTTCTTCTGAATTGTCTATTTTAATCTGGTAATTTAAATTTGTTACTTTTATATTGCAGTTCCATTTATTAAAATTTATAATTTGAGTTTTAAAAAATTATTTTCCTAAAAGAAAATCAGTGTGTGATATAGCCAACATTGTAAGAGTAACCTCAAATTCACCAGAATGCATTAATATTTAATTCTATAATTTCTAAAATAGTTGGATTCAGAGGATATAAAATGCTACTACATTGTCAGTAATTTGCCATCAGTTATTAACAAAGAAAATAGCCACATTTTAATGTTTTTTTTTCTGTAATTATAATTTTTGGCTTGAATTTTTTACTTCCTCTGTTACATTTTAGTTCTTCAGCCTTATTATTTTTTACAATATCTCAACACAAAGTTATGCAATATCTCAACACAAAGTTATACGTTTTTTGTATAACTTTATACATATCTGATATGTGTAACTTATATACATTTTTATACATTATCAATTTTTGCTACCATGTTTCATTGGGTTCACAATTGTTTTCTTAATATATTATTATTTACGTTCAGTTGTTGTTTTACTTCTACTTTTTAGATTTTTTTGATAAAACCTTTTACTATGAAATATTACATTCATAAAGGAAATACATAAGGTAAAACTTCCATATTTATTTAATTTATATTTCTACATATGTTATATTTTGTAGTTAAAATGTTTAAAAAGAAAAACGACTTAAAAATAATTATAAGTAATAGAAATCTTACTGAGTCTAAGCAAATTTGCATAGACTTTCTAATGACAGGTCTCAATAGACAGCTTTATCATTTATCATTCCAGTTCAATTTTATTAGCATGTAGGTGTTCTGAAATACCATTATTCATGAAATGTTGCCAGTTATAATAGAGTTGTTCTCTTTTTATTAATGATATACTTTTCATTAGTTGCCATGAACATTTATAATTTATTACTCTGAAAATTAGTAATCTAAGCATCAGTATAAAGAAGTTAAGAACATAACAGAATATTAAATTCAGACTTTTATGCATGATTCAATATAAGTGGTAGATATTCTTGCCTTGTCCTTATTGTGAAAGAAAAAATTTCAAGGCTTCACATTTTAGAGTAATATTTGCAGAATATTTTTTATTATAATTTTCAATTAAAATTATTCTTTTATTTCTAGTTTGTTTTCTATTATGAATAAGTGTTAAATTTTACCAAAGACTTTTTCTGCATCTATTGACTTTACTCTATGATTTTCCCCTTTAATCTGTTAATGTACAAATATATTTATTGATTTTTAAAATAGTAAGCCAACTTTAATTCCCAGAATAAAACCAACCATGACCTGTTTTTAGTTCAATTTTTGAGTATTTTATTTGATATAAATGTTTCTATCTTATGGATTTGATAGTTTTATATCTTGTACTTTACGTTTCTGATTTTGTATCAAGGTTATGCTATTTTGGTGGTGCTTCTTCATTGTGTATTTTCTATAGTAGCTTTAAAAAAATTAGCAGACATTTTTCAGAGCAACGTTTGGTTTACATAAAAACAAGCACCAAGTACAGTGGACTACAATATATCTGCTCCCTCTCCCTCTCTGCTTCCCCTATTATTTTACATCTTGCCTTAGAGGGATGCCCTATAATTCCTGTGCTACTAATTATACATTATTATTAACTACTGTCTACAGTTTACATTGAGTTTAATTCTTTGTACATTCTATGGGTCCTAAAAATATATAGGTCTTTCAAAATATGCGTCTTAAAAAATATATGTGTCTTAAAAATATGTTTCCATTATTACAGTATCATACAGAATAGTTTCACTGTGCTAAGAATGCCCTGTGATCCACATATTTAGCCCTTCATCCTTTTCCATAAACTCCTAGAAACCCATGAACTTTTTACTGTTTCTTAGTAATATTTATTTATGATCCCTCCATGTCTTTTCATGGCTTTATGGCTTATTTGCTTTTATCATTGAATAATATTCCACTGTACAGATGTACCACAGTGTGTTTGATCATTCATCTATTAAAGGACAATGTGGGTTTTTCTTTTTCCATTTTGGGCAATTGTGAATAATGTTGCTATAAACACTCATTTACAGGTTTTGGTGTGGACATAAGTTTTTATTTCAGTTGGGTAAATACCAAGGAGCACAATTACTGAGTCATATAATAGCAGCATGTTTGTTTAGTTTTGTAGGAAATTACTAAATTGTCTTTCAAAGTAGATGTATCATTTTGCGTTCTCACCAACAGTGAATGAGAGTTCTTGTGGCTTGACATACTCACCAGCATTTGGTGTTTTCAGCGATTGGGATTTTAAGCATTCTAATTATTTAGTGGTAACTCAATGTTGTTTTAATTTGCAGCTCTCTAATGACATATGATGTTGAGCATCTTTTATTACACTTTTTTGAAATATGTATATCTTCTATGATGAAGCATCTTAATCTTTTGCCTGTTTTTTTAAAAATATATCCTCCATTATCCCCTTCCCCTAGCCCCTGGTATCCACTATTCTACTTGAGGTTTATATGAATTGACTACTCTAGATACCTCATATAATTGGTATTATACAATATTTGTCCTTTTGTGACTAGCTTATTTCACTTAGCATGATATTTTCAAGCTCCATCCACGTTGTATCATGTAGCAAAATTTCATTCTTTTTAAGCTGAAAACTATATCATTGTATGTATATACCACATTTTGTTCATCCATTGATTTGCCTCTACCTTCTGGCTGTTGTAAATAATATTGCTATGAACATTGGTATACAAGTATCTGTTCAGGTCTCTGTTTTCATTTCAATTATTCTGGGTATATGGCCAGAAGAATTGCTGGAGCATATGGTAATTCTATTTTCAATTTTTTTCAGAATCACCATATTATTTGCCACAGTCTCATCAACAATGCAAGCACAGGGGTTCCAATTTCTCTACATCCTGCCCAATATTTATTTTTATTTTTTAATAATAACCATCTTAATAGTTGCAAAATGGAATTATCACTGTAGTTTTGATTTCCATTTCCCTAGTGATTAGCAAAGTTGAGCTTTATTTCCCTTATTGGCAATCCATATACCTTTAGATGATTTTCTATTCAAGTCCTTTGAGAATTTTTAAATTGTGCTTCCTTTTTATTATTGAGTTTTAGAATTGTTTATATATTTTGGATATTAATTCCTTATCATATATGTGATTTGCTATTTTTCCATTCTAAATGTTGTCTTTTCACTGTCTTGATAATATGTTTTGTGTACAAAAGTTTTTAATTTTGATGATGTTTATTTATTTTTTCTTTTGTTGCCTGGTCTTCTGTTTAATATTAAAGAAATCATCAAATCTAATGTCATGAAGCTTTTCCCTTATGTTTATCTCTAAGAGCTTTAACTTTTTAACTCTTCCTTCAGTTAGATCTTTTATCCATTTTGAGTTAATGTTGGTATATGTTTGAGATAAGAGTCTAACTATATTTTTACATATGGATATACACTTTTCCCAGCATTTGTTGAAACAATTGTCATTTACCCATTGAATGGTCATGGAAGCCTTGACAGAAATAATTTGACTGTAAATGTTAGGGTTAATTTCTGGGCTCTCTATTCTCCATTTGTCTATATGTCTGTCTTCATGCCAAACCACATTGTTTTCATTATTGTGGCTTTGCAGGAAGTTTTGTCCTCAGGAAGTATAAGTTATTCAACTTTATTCTTTCTTTGAAAAAACTTTTAAGGCTACCTGAAGTGCCTTGGGATTCCATATGAACTTTGTGATGCATTTTTCAATTTGTGCAAAAAAGCATCATTGGAATTTTGATCAAGATTGTTATGAATCTGTAGATTGGCTTGGGTAGTATTGTCATCTTGACAATATTAAGTCTTTCAAATCATGAACATGAGATATTTTTAAATTTATATCTTCTTTAACTTCAGCAATGGTTTGTAATTTTGAGTGTATATGTCTTGTCTCTCCTTGGTTTTAAGTTTGTTCTTAAGTAGTATTCTATTCTTTCTAATAATATTGTAAATGGTATTGTTTTCTCAATTTCCTTTTTGGGTTACGCATTGCTAGCCAGTGTATTAAAATGCAGCTATTTATTGTATGTGTGTTGATTTTGTATCCTGCAACTTTGTTAATTTATTAGTCTAAGATGTTTTTGTGGGATTTTTAGGGTTTTCTACATATAAGACTACATTATCTGCAAATATATTTTATGTTATTCTTTCTTTCCAATTTGGTTGCCTTTTTATTTCTTTTTCTTGCCTAATTGCTTTGGCTAAAATTTTGCTGTATAACATAAATTTTTGTATGTTGTGTTTTTATTTACATTTCTCAAAATATTTTCCAATTTTCCTTGTGATTTCTTTCTTGAATGACTGGTTGATTTAAAAGGTAGTGAATTTTTTCACATCATTTATTTTGTCTTCTATATATTTTAAACATCAGAAACACAATAATTATTGTTTTCTACAGTCAACATTTATTTATTCTTGCTTAATCATATATTTACTCTTT
The DNA here is from genome assembly GCF_000001405.40 of Homo sapiens. NCBI lineage: Eukaryota > Metazoa > Chordata > Mammalia > Primates > Hominidae > Homo > Homo sapiens. The sequence goes on from NT_187577.1 coordinate 448,239, forward strand.
CTATTTCTTGCATTCCTTTCTATATTTCTGTGTTTATTTCTGTTAAAAATTTTCCTCAGCCTGAAGAAAGTATGGTGGCTAAAATTAACATTTTTTCTGATAAGTGTTTTTTTGAATGTTTTATCTTTAGGTCAGAATTTTCTTTCAGTAGTTTAAAAAATATAATCTGTTTTATATTGACTTACATGATCTCTTCTGAGAAGTCAGATGCATTTTACTTTTGCTTCTTGAGGAACACCTGCTTTTAATGTTTTCTTTTTGACATTGGTGTTCAAGTGTTTGCATATGATTTGCTCAAGTGTAGTTTTCATCATACTCGTAACTTACAGAGCTACTGGATTCTACTAAGGATTATCTTTCTTAAGTTTTGGACATTTTTAAATCATTACTTAATTTTGCTTTTTCTATATTCTCTATTTAATCCTTTTGGGATTAAATTTACACCAAATTTATGGTTTTGTACTGTGTTCCAAATACATGTTAGATTTTATTCTGAATCTCTCAAGCTTTCATTCTTTATTCTTCAATCTGGGTGTTTTAAAGCTATTTTCTAGTTCTATTATTATTCTGCCATTTCTAATTTGCTTTTACAGCCTTGTATTGTGTTCCTGACTTACTCATATTATTTTTCCATTTTTAAATTTCTTTACTTTTAATAGATTTCAATTGAGTGGGGAAATTTCATCTTCTCTATTTTTAGAATTTATTAATCAATTTTTCTCATATCTAAGCCATAATTATTTGGCATATTCTTTTTATATCCTTGTAAAGTCTATATAATTTGTAGTGATAACTCCACTTTTTTCCTGGTATTGTTAATTTATGTATTATCTTTTATTGTATTGACACCCAGCTAGTGTCCACTGGAGACCCTTTTGGTGAATTGCTTGGTGTGTGAGAAAATACCCCAACACATCAGGAGTCACAGAAGTGTTCTTTGTTGATTACATTAATTTTCTGCTACCTCTCACAGTAGTTTCAATTGCCTGATTTTCTTCTTGATACCTTTCTATTTCCTTACAAACCTCCTTAAATAATTTGCAATGGAATGTTTAACAATGATGGTAAGTTTTACAAGAGAGGCTTTATAGTTTTCTCTTGGCAGAAATAGTGTGGGTCTGATTAGTTTAAATCCATTTATGGATTGAGCTATGTAAATACAAGTTCATAGCTTTATAAATCTAAGACACAGTTTTATAAATCTCTTACACCATATTTCAATGGTGTAAGTATCTAAATCTTTCACCTAAAAAACTGCAGCATCTTTATCTCCTCAGCATCAAGAAACTCTAAGAATTACAGCAGTGCTTTAGAGAAATTTTTGAATTAGATTTTAGCTTAAGAATATGGAAAATGTGTTTAGGGAGATAATGGCTGTATGATCTAGCCCTTCACAACTCCACTTTCCAACCCCTGCATTTCAAGAAAATGATAATAATTCTGTTGTTTATTTTTGTCTCCTAAAAATTGCCCTGATTACTGTCAAGCTGGAGTTATACTTCTAAATGTGCCAAATTGGTAAGGGCCTCTTTGAAAAGAGGACAATCATTAGTTTGAAATTATCATTCCTTAAAGAACTAACAAGTCTCACTTGTTTTTTATGGTTTTTCAGGTTAGTAATTGCATGTTGAATTATTCTAAAGTTTAATAATGTACATCATATTCATTCTACGTTCATGGAAGCTTCCAATATTTGCTTAACTTGCTAAAAAATTTAGGAAGAAAGACTTTAATTTTATTGAATTATTTTTTATTATTTAATTATATCATGTGTTTTTTTCCATTAATATCTTACTTGAATGAATCGTATTAGTGAATTTCCTAAAGCTGAATGATATTTTAATTTTTAGGATAAACCCTCCTTAGTTTTGGTTTATTATTTTTTAATACACAAGTGAGATGTGTGGTGTTAATATTATATATGAATTTGTCTTCTTAAATATTCTGTGTGTAGAATTTTGGGGGCTAATATGAGATGTTTTATGATCTTGATATAAAAATAATGCAATACTTATAAATCACAGTTTTTCATCTAATAACTGGACCACATTTATACTGCTGATTGAATACAAGTGTGCCACAAGGTATTGAGTCTGATGGCCTGCAGGTGATGAGGTTGTAGAGTAAATATTGTTTCAATGAGAAGGATCTTCAAGGAGTGACAGAGCAGAGCAGAATGTGATAATGGGACCCTATTGCCCCAGGAGGCAGCAATGATGATTAGAAAAATCTTGAAATTTCTGATATTTCCCAATGAGCTGAGGATATCCAAAGAAGTACACAACCACCTGTGCAATTTTTTCAGAAATTGGTTGTAGAATGTATGTGAACAAGAGGGACACAAAGATTACAGAGAAATGTATTTTCTGGACACTCAGAGTGCATAGGGTGTAAAACAATGTGAAATGGGGGACTGAATTGGCCAGAATATTCTATCTGTGTGTGATTTATGCCACTTTGATAACACTTAAATTAACTACAATGTGATTTTTCTTAAAGTGCTTGTGTATTCTAGAAATTAAAGTTATGGCATTACTTGGAAAATGGCATTAAAAATTGATTTTTAAGAAAATCACATAATGACTAGAAATTTTAACATCAAATTTATCAACAAATAAAAAAGAATGTTGTTGAAGCTTAAAATGATTTTGTCATGAATTGTAAATGGATGTACAGTAATTTCATTTTATAATTGCTTACTTATGTAAGCAGTTTTCTCATTCAGAATTTTATAGAGCTTATCTGCCTTCTTGGTATTTCTTGGTCAGATGTATGTGACAAAGTAAACACAAAAATTGATATGAGAATATTCACAAAGCAATTCTCTCACTGAAATTTGAAAAAATGTACATAGAACTTTTAGGTAAATGTAATAGTAAATATGTGTCCTAATATTTTGCAATTAATCTTTCTTAAACAATTATGAAATCTAATGAAAATTTAATAAAAATAAGTTATCCCAACCTCTTTTTATTTAACTAATTGGGACATTATTAACATTAATTTCTGAGTATAACATGACATGAAAAATTCAGATTATAGAGTGATTTGGGGCACTTTTTATATTTTGTTTCTATGATATTAACAAGGTTAAGTGATGTAAATATATTTGCTTCCAAAATTTTTGCTCAAAACTAATAATGAATTTGGACCTGCTGTTCATATAAGACTTAGAATAATTGATTATATTTTTAACTTTTTTCCCCACCAACTATTGACCCATATAAGTTAAAATTTATTGTAATGCACTTTGGGAGGCCGAGGCGGGCGGATCACGAGGTCAGGAGATCGAGACCATCCTGGCTAAAAAAAACGGTGAAACCCCGTCTCTACTAAAAATACAAAAAATTAGCCGGGCGTAGTGGCGGGCGCCTGTAGTCCCAGCTACTTGGGAGGCTGAGGCAGGAGAATGGCGTGAACCCGGGAGGCGGAGCTTGCAGTGAGCCGAGATCCCGCCACTGCACTCCAGCCTGGGCGACAGAGCAAGACTCTGTCTCAAAAAAAAAAAAAAAAAAAAAAAAAAAAAAAAAAATTTATTGTAATGTAAGTGTGGTTTATTTGTATTTTATACAAAAATTGGCAATTTTATCCATCTTTTAATTTTTTTCTAAAAATATATATATTTCTGATATATCTTATTTTTCTCATTCTTATTTTTGATATGTTCATTGTGGTGTATTTTTGCTTGTATTTGCTGATATATGTATTGTTCTATTTCCTAATTTTCACTTTTTAATACGTTGTGATAATCTCTGCGTTTTATTAAGATGCTTGTTGTTCCTGACATTATATGCTCTTTATTTCTTATATTTCACATTTAAACATTTTTCTTTTTTATTTTTTAATTAATTATGAATTAATTTTTGGCTTTCATTTTAAGTTCAAGGGTACGTGTGAAAGGATGTGCAGTTTTGTTACATAGGTGAACATGTGTCATGGGAATTTGTGATACTGCTTATTTCATCACCCAGGTATTAAGCCTAGTATCCATTAGTTATTTCTCCTGACCCACTCCTCCTCCCAATCTCTGCACTCAGGTGGGCCCCACTGTGTGTTGTTCCCCTCTATGTGTCCATGTGTTGTCATCATTTCGTTCCCACTTATAAGTGAGAACGTGTGGTATTTGATTTTCTGTTCCTGTGTTTGTTTGCCAAGGATAATGGCCTCCAGCTCCATCCATGTCCCAGCAAAGGACATGATCTCATACTTTTTATGGGTGCATAGTATTCCATGGTGTATATGTACCACATTTTGTTTATTAAGTCTATCCTTGATGGGCATTTAGGTTGATTCCATGTATTTGCTATTGTGACTAGTGCTGCAATGCACATATGCCTGCATGTGTCTTTATAATAGAATGAGTTACATTCCTTTGGGTATATACCCAGAAATAGGATTGCTGGGTTGAATGGGATTTCTGTCTTTGGGTCTTTGAGGAATCACCACACTGTCTTCCACAGTGGCTGAACTAATTAACACTCCCACCAACAGTGTATAAGTATTCCTTTTACTCTACAACCTTGCCAGCATCTGTTATTTTTTGACTTCTTAATAACAGCCATTCTGACTGGCATGAAATGGTATCTCATTGTGGTCTTGATTTTTATTTCTCTAATGATTAGTGATGTTAGGCTTTTCTTTTTTTCATATAACTGTTGGCTGCATGTATGTCTTTTTTGAAAAGTTTCTGTTCATGTCATTTGCCCACTTTTTAATGGGGTTTTTTTTCTTCTTCTTGTAAATTTAAGTTCCTATCAATGCTGGATATTAGACCTTTTTCAGATACATAGTTTGCAAATATTTTCTCCCATTCTGTAGGTTGTCTGTTTACTCTGTTGATAGCTTCTTTTGCTGTATGGAAGCTCTTTGATAATATCCCATTTGTCAATTTTTGCTTTTGTTTCAATTGCTTTTGGCATCTGCATCATGAAATCTTTTCCGGTGCCTATGTCTTGAATGATATTGCCTAGGTCTTATTCCAAGGTTTTTGTAGTTTTGGATTTTAATTTTAAGTCTTTAGTCCATCTTAAGTTGATTTTTGTATATGGTGTAAGGAAGGGGTTCAGTTTCAGTTTTCTGCACATGGCTAGCCAGTTATCTCAGCACCATTTGTTGAATAGAGTATCCATTCCCCATTGTTTGTTTCTGTCAAGTCTGTTGAAGATTAGATAGTTGTCGGTGTGTGATCTTATGTCTGGGTTCTCTGCTGTTCCATAGGTCTATGTGTTCTGTCCTTGTACCAGTACTATGCAGTTTTGATTACTGTAGTCCTGTGATATAGTTTGAAGTCAGGTAGTTTGATGCCTCCAGCTTTGTTCTTTTTGCATAGGATTGCCCTGGCCATTTGGACTCTTTTTTGCTTCCCAGTGAATTTTAAAATAGTTTTCTCTAGTTCTGTGAAGCAAGTCAATGTTAATTTAACGGGAATAGCGTTGAATCTATAAATAGCTTTGGGCAGTGAGGCTGTTTTCACAATATTGATTCTTCCTATCCGTGAGCATGGAATGTTTTTCTATTTATTTGTGTCATCTGCGATTTCTTTGAGCAATGTTTTGTAGTTCTTGTAGAGACCTTTCACCTGCCTAGTTAGCTGTATTCCTAGGTATTTTATTCTTTTTGTGGCAATTGTGAATGGGACTTCATTAGCGATTTGGCTCTCCGGTTGACTGTTGTTGGTGTATCAGAATGCTAGCAATTTTTGTACATTGATTTTGTATCCTGAGATTTTGCTAAAGTTGCTTATCAGCTTAAGAAGCTTTGAGGCTGAGACAATGAGGTTATTTTTAGATATAGGATCATGTCATCCACAAAGCGGAATAATTTACCTTCCTTTCTTTCTATTTTAATGCCTTTATTTCTTTGTCTTGCCTGATTGCCCTGCCCAGAACTGTAAATATTATGTTAAATAGGATTGGTGAGAGAGGGCACCTTAGCTCATGTCAGTTTTCAAGGGGAAATGCTTCCAGCTTTTGCCCGTTGATTATGATGTTAGCGGTGGTTTTGTCATACATGGCTCTTATTGTTTTGAGGTATGTTCCTTCAATAGCTAGTTTATTGAGAGTTTTTAACTTGAAGGGATGTTGAATTTTATCAGAAGTCTTTTCTGAAGGAAATTGAGACACACACAAAAACATTCAAAAGATTAACCAATTCAGGAGTTTATTTTTTGAAAAAATTATAAGATAAATAGACCACTAGCTATACTAACCAAGAAGAAAAAAGAGAAGATTCAAGTACACACAATCAGAAATGATAAAGGGGATATTACTACTGACTGCACAGAAATACAAACAACCATCAGAGAATATTATAAACACCTCTATGCACATGAACTAGAAAATTAGAAGAAATGGATAAATTCCTGGACACATACACTCTCCCAAGAATGAACAAAGAAGAAATTGAATCATTGAAAAGACCAATAACAAGCTCTGAAATTGGGGCAGTAATAAATAGCCTACCAACCAAAAAAAGCCCAGGACGATAGATTCACAGGTGATTTCTACCTGAGGTACAAAGATGAGCTAGTACAATTACTACTGAAACTATTCCATAAAATTGGAAAGGAACCCCTCCCTAACTCATTCTATGAGGACAGCATCATCCTGATACCAAAATCTGGCAGACACACAACAAAAAATTAAAATTTTAGGCCTATATCTTGCATGAACATCGATGCAAAAATCCTCAACAAAATACTGGTCAACCGAATTCAGAAGCACATCAAAAAAGATTATCCACCACAATCAGATAGTCTTCATCTCCAGGATGCAAGGTTGGTTCAACATATGGAAATCAATAGATGTGATTCATCACAAACAGAACTAAAGACAAAAAAGTCACAATTATCTCAAAAGATGCAGAAAAGGCTTTTGATAAAATTCAACATATTTTTAAATTTTTTATAAATCATTTTTAATGTTTTATCTTGCCATGACTTGCCCTAATACAAAGTAAATTCTATAATGTGACTTTGTTTTGGCTGGGGGGACCCAGTTACCTGGGAATTTAAACATTTGTTTATTTTTCCTTATTTGTCTATTTCTATGCCCAGCTTAAATAAAACCTATTTCTCCTTGCACATGCAGTTAAGGAGTGACCATTTTTGCGTTTGTACCTACCCTTTACCTTAAACCTCTAACATTTGTGGTTTTTGGGAAATTTTGGACTTGAAGTTCCTGATATTATAAGGGATTATATGCATTATGTTAATTCTGTGTTTTAATTATGTTACAGTTAAAAGTATAATATATTTAGATTTGCTATCCTAGATCAAATGTTCTGTCATGTCCTTGTACTTTCATTGGAGGGGTGGGGAACTGGAATAACACTTTGTCAAAATATAGAGGAAAATATATATGTGAGAAAAATGCATTCAGAGATATTGATATCAAAATGCAAAAATGATGGTCTTCCATATAAATGACACTTTTGTTGTTTAAGAATTATCATACTTTGGTTTACCTTCAAACTTTGAAACTCTGTTCTACTATACAGTTGCTTTTAGTCTTATCAGGGAAGAGTCTGATGCTATATTTAGTCTCTTTACACTGTACAGAATATTGTAAGGTTATCTTTTGTGTGTGTGTGTTCTTAGAATTATTGCCAGGTTTGTGCTTGTTTTTCTTTTTTCTCTTTGAAAGCCAATTGTTACGTAATCTCCAAAATATCACATTTTTCTTCATCTTTTGTTAAAGTTGCTTTGCTCTGGCTGTTTCTTTTAAAGTTAGCAAAATAAAATAATGAGATCCTTTGTTGTCTTCAGGTATTTAAATAAATGTAAATTAATTCAGAAGAGGATTACAGTTGTGGAATAAGTTAAAAAGATGCATAAGGCCAGATCACTCCTGTAATCCTAGCAATTTGAGAAGCTGATGCAGGAGGATTACTTGAGCCCAGGAGTTCAAGACCAGCCTGGGCAACAAAGCAAGACCCCATCTAAAAAAATGCATAAGTGATATTCTGATTCTAATATTAAAATACTGTGCACTAAATATTCAACAACAAAAACATGGATATATAAAATAGAATACTACTTCATGGAATTCAGGGCTATAATTCAAACTCACTTTATTGAAATCTCTTTTGATATGTAGAAAAGAGGTAATCAATTTCAATATACTATATAAACAATTTAGCAAAATGAGTATAAACGGAAAGGACACAATATCTATAGGAAAATTACAGGGAATACTTACACTACTGAATATTATGAGTCTAATTTTAAAAATGTGCCTGTGATGTCTTTATACATACAGGTATGAGAAGAAGTTCATAGTATATTGTTATGGATATTATTTGGTAAAAATCTATTAATGTATATGTGTGTTTGTGGATGTGAGTACGTGTATTTATAAATGCATTTGATATATATGAATGAAACACAACATCTTTAGCAGTTGGAAATGGGACTTAAATAGTGGTTGAGGAATTTCAGTTCTATACACTTTTATTGTTTGAATTTTACAAAATATGTACTTACTTGTTTTATTTTAAAATGAAAATACTAAACTGTAGAAATATTAATACAAAGGCATGAATAATACAGAAACATTGTCAAATGTTAACTTCTAGCAATGGAATCTTATCATAAAGTTGTATTTGATTGTTGATTTATAATATTTGCTTTGCACGTATGTTATTTTATTATGGAAAATATAATTACTTAAAAATAAAATGCACATTATTGACCAATAATGTCAAATGTTGAAAAGGGGCTAGGATAAGGAATTAAAGTGGCCAATCAATTGATATTTATTTTATCACAATGCTTTCTATAGACATTGAAGTGCATGAATAGAAAATGTCCAAATAGTGACAACGAATGTTTCCAAATTACTAAATAACAGTCATTTAAAAAATTTAACCTCTCTGAATATGAAGACTACAACTTTATTAAATCTTATTTTTTAAAGACGATTGAAGAAGACATTAATGCTCAATGTATAGAGGCCAGAAATAAACTTTCATGTAGGTATTTTCCCATTTGGCCATTATGTTGTCAAAATTTTTACTACTTTTTCTAACCTATTTCTCACATTATATAGTCATAATAATCTTAAGAAAAAATAATTATTCTATGAAATTTAGTTATTTATATCAGATACAAAGACCTTGTATCAGATACAAAGACTAAGACGACTCAAACTGTTTCTGTATTTTTCTGTTTCAGATATGTAATAATTTTGGTAATTGTCAATGCTTCCCTGGACATAGACCTCCAGATTGTAAATTCCAGTTTGGTTCCCCAGGGGGTAGTATTGATGATGGAAATTTTCAGAAATCTGGTAAGTGGAAATTTGTTTTCTAAAGCAAAATAGAAGGTTGTTTTATATAAAGTTAATTAAACAAATCTAAGTCATCTTGAATGGTAGCTTCATCTACATTGCAGCAGTCCCTCCTTATTTGTGGGGGATACATTCTAAAACCCTCAGTGGATGCCTGAAACTGTAGATAGCACCAAGCTCTAAATGTACTATGCTTTTTCCTACATATACATATCTATGATAAAGATCATCAATCAGGCTCAGTAACAGCAATGATTAACTGTCCTTCCATGTTTTATGCCATGGCGTCTCCTTTGCACTTTCATTACTGAAGGTTCCACTGGTCTTCCAGAAGACTGTGGCAGCTGATTTTTCATCAGGAGACACAGCCTCTCCAGCAATTTTTCTGTTTTTCAGTCCAAACCTATTCCTGAATCTGTGTAACCATCTCTTACTTGCAATAAATGGCTCACTCATTTCAGGGAATTCCATGCTGAAGTATTTCTACAGGTTCAAATGTCTTCTGGTGCAACACGTTGCTGTTAATCAGAACACATGTTCTGTTCATGTCTTCTACTTACAAATTTAACGTCTTTTCTGTCTTAACTAAGCATTTATCATGCACTGCAGTCTTAACTTTTGTAGTTTGAGATACATCTGCAAAACCGGTGCAGATTTCTTTCTCCTTCTTTACAATTTTATGAACTGAAGATTTGTTTTAACCATAGATCTTAGCAATGAATAGTTTCCTTATTAAGGAAAATATGTATGTATGTATATTTTGTATGTATATTTTGTCAAATGTTGACATTTGTAAATATAAACATACAAGTTTATTTAAATATTAAAATATTTATAATTATACACATACATTTGTAAGTATACATATACATTTTTTCTTACATATATTTGGAATATGTATGTATTAATATATTTTCCTTATGAAGTCAAGAGTATTCACCCTTTTCCTTAAGGAAAGAATTTTTGGCTTCTCTTTGGCATATACAAATTGATGACCTCACTAATCTTGCCCTTTGGGATCATGATGAAGTAAAATAAGGGTGATTTGAACAAAGCACTGTAACGGCGTAACAGTCAACCTGATAACCAAGATGGCAAAGTGACTAATGGACAGGTAGCATATACGGCATGTATTCGTTGGACTTGGGAATGATTCAGGTCCTGGGTGAGACAGAAAGGAATGATGGGAGATTTCATCATGCTACCCAGAACAGCATGCAGTTTAAAACTTATGAATTGTTGATTTCTGGAATTTTTCATTTAATATTTTCAGACAGTGGTTGCCCATGGTTGTTACTGTGCAACCAAAACTGTAGATAAGGGGGAGTGACTACTGTAATCTTACACAGTATTTATAATCAGATATTCTCAGAGATATTCAGCTTCAATTAACTCAAATAAGTTAGAACACAGTACTAATAAGTTTCAACAAATGTCATTCAACAAAATTTTTAAAATCTCATATAGAATTATAAAAACTAAACAAATGATTTTCATTCCATATTATTACAAACTCTGTAGGCTGTTAAAAAACAACTGTACCATACAGTATTTATTCTCAATGAACTCTGGAAAAACATGGCAAAATATAAATGCATTTCTTTAAGAAAGGATAGTAAAATCAATCACATTTTGAGTGATGGCATAACATTTATGCTTTATTTGTTTCTATAAATGAAGGCAATATTGAAACAGGATAGTTCCCTGACCCCTTCTTGGGACCTGTGACAGGGGTGCCTCATTTGCACAACCTGCAGTTCTCAACTCCTTGCAGGAGGGAGTGTGTGAGTGAATGAGGTGGGAACTGGAGTGCATGAGCACTGGAACCAGCTGGCTGCTTCAGTGCCAGCAGTGGCAAACTCCACTCACTGGGACCTGATGTGTTCCAACCCTTGAAGGAGGGAGAACACAGGTGCAGGGTGCAGGGGCCAAGGTGCAGGGGCCAAGGTGAGCACTTTTGAGCATTGGCAGGAGCAAACACAGTGCGGGCCCTGCGGCCGCATCTGGAGAGGTTCCAGTGACCCTTGAAGCTCCAGAGGGCATGTTACAGTGCTCCTTTAGCTCTGCCATCTGCTAACAACTGTGAACAGCTCAGTGGGCCCTCTTCCTTTTCATGTGAGGTGGTAGCTCTCTGCCAGCAAGGGCAAAGAGCCAGTGTGACAGTCTTTTGCATCCGCACTCATGGCTCCCGAGCTCTTGTCTGGTGTCCAGGAAAAATGAAGTCATGTGAGCAAATTGAAGTATGGTAAATGCAGGGGATTTTATTGCTGATGAAAGTGGCTCTCAGTGGGAAGGGGAGCCGAAAAGGGGATGGGGTGGGAAGGTAATCTTCTCTTGAAGTCCAGCCATCTCCAGCCAGATTCTTCTCTGAAGTTATGCCATCAAGCTGTCCTTCTGAAATCAAGCCACTTCTCTTCAATGTCAAGCCATAGTCCCTGACGTCCAGCTGCTTCTCCTCTGTGCCAGCTGAGTCTGGGGTCTTTATAGGCACAGGATGGGGGTGGAATAGGACCATGGGTGGTTTAGGAAAAGGCAACATTCAAGTGAGAAAACAGGGATATTAGTTCTCACTTTGGGCTGCAGTCTCAGGCTTTTCAGCTTGAGGTTCAGCCTTAGTTGGGGACCTGCCTTTTTCTGCCTAAAATTTCTCTGCCTCCCATCTCTGTCAATATCATAGGCTACTTATTGATTCAATTATTCATTCATTCATACATTCCCTCCACAGACATGTTATTGAGTGTCTGGTGAGGCAATAAAATTGAGATTCACATTTTATAAAGTCCACCCAGGCAGCAATGTGGTAAATAGGTTTGGTGATGTGAGTCTTAATGAATGAAAATTACTGGAAAGCAGTAGCTTTAATTTTAAGGTCCCAAAGTAAACAATAAAAGGAAAAATAAGTTGCTACACAATATCAATTTTTGTGAATAACAATGAATAAAGGCATGTTGATCAATGTGTTTTATGTATGCACAGTTATAAAAAGTTTGCATGAAAATATCAGAGAATGAACAGAGCATGAAAATAATGCATTTAAGTTTGGATAGACAGAGGTTTAGTTATCTGTGGGAAAATTAATGTGACAATATCACTGCGTGTTTGATGCTGGTGTCGTTAAGGGTATCAGGGAATGGTCATACTTAGTTTATAGGTTGTTTAGCTAATCAAAGTAACTCATGGGATGATACAGTTGTGTAGAGTGAGATGAGATAAAAACACTGGAGATAACTTCTGTAAGCAACAGTGATTCAGAAACATCTCTGAGATTATTAATCTCTGAAAAAGAAGATTAAAAGGAACAGCAATAAGGACTTCCTTTTTTGGCTGTGACAGAATAATTCTAGAAAATTGTATGAGGTATTTGTCAACAAGTAAACAATTCTGACATTTGAGAAAGGAAAAATAGATGAAATGAGTTACATGTTTCTAAGGCAATATATATTTTTCTTGTATATACTTAAAGGGTAATTCAGATAAAAAATGAGAAAGAATGTACAGAAAAGACATTTGAAAAAATAATGACTCCAAATTTTCTCAACAAGTTGAAGAAAGTCAGTACTTGTATCCAAGAAGCTAAGTGAATCTCAGGCAAGATAAATATAAATAAACTTTTGTTCATGAAAACTACTTCTGTTAACAAGGCTGCAAGTCCAGGCTTTTTTACCCTAGACTGATTTCTTACCTTAGACTAGCCTGACCCAACTTCGTCAACATGGTAGTTCAACTAGGATGAAGCTATATTTGAAAGCCATTAGGTTTGCTGCTTCAGGGTGGGGTGGGAGGAAAAAGGGAATTACTATATTTGTTGGAGTATTGTTGATTACACTGGCAGTTATGTTGTCAGGAGAACATGGAGGACTAACTATCCTGCTAGGCTGATATAACAAGTATGTTTAGAACAAATGACAGAGCAGAAAATAACTAGGAATTTAACAAGGAAATTCAAAATTACGTGGATATATGGAAAATTTAGAATGCCATATGCATGATTATTGCAAGATTCATGCTAGAAAATATCAAAGAAGATAATGAGCTGTCACCTGAGGCTAATTCCTAGGCTCAGCGAAAGTCTGGCTCAGTGTAAAAGCAGTGCTCCAGCACAGACTCAGCCTGCACTGAATAGAAGAGTTAAGAGTTATTTTGTTTGTGCTTGTTTCCTTTGTTTTTTGGCTATGTACTTATTATTAGTATTAAAAATTAGCTCCTGTTTTCCAAAAAGTCACTGTCAAAACATTACCTGAACAAAAACTCTGGGAGTCAGACTTCAGTGACTACAAAGCCAAAAAATACAGTCTTTGCAAAAATAGCCTGGTAAGTCACTAAACAAATGAACTAATTAAGTCTTCAAAAATCAAGAAACTGGCAAACCCTGAGTAAGGTAGATGAGGAGATAATCAGAGTTTCCTTGTTATGACAGTCAAATAGCCAATTTTCAACAACAATGAAAATTCACAAGGCTTAAAAAGGAAAAGGAAAGCATGACCTATTCACGGGAACAAAATTAATTGACAGAAATCATCCCTGAGGAAGCTCAAAAATCAGACTTACAACGGCTTTAAAATGTACTCAAACACCTAAAGGAAAACATGGACAGAGAACTAAAGAAAATCAAGAAAAACATGTATGGACAAAATGAGAATATCAATAGAGATAGAAATTACTAAATGGAACTGAACAAATTCTGGAGCTGAATGGTACAATAACTAAAATTAAAAATTCACTACAAGGGTTTAAAAGTGAATTTGGGCAGAGAGAAAAAAGAAGCAGTAAACTTGTAGGCAGAACAATTGAAATGGTTGAATCTGAGGACCAGAAAGCAAAAAGAATGGAGAGATTTGATCAGGGCCCAAGAGACCTGAAGACCACTACCAAGTGGAACAACATTCTCATTTTGTGAGTACCATATGGAGAGAATAATGAAAGAAAGAGAGAGAAGGACTATTTGAAGACATAATGCCCCAAAACTTTTAAAATTTTATGAAAATCATAAATATACAAATCCAAGAAGCTTAATGAACTGCAAACAGGACAAATTCAGGGCACTGAACACTGGCGCAAGCACTAAAAAATATTAAAAATGAAGTATAACATGGAATAATATAAAATGGTCAACTAAAATCAGAGAAGGCCCCCCCCCGAGAAAAAAACAGTGAAAGATAAAAGATAAGAAAAACAAGGGCAATAAATAGCAAGGGCTAAAACAATAAAACAATAGATATTAATTCAAATATATCAATAATCACGTTCAATGTTAATATCCATCCCATAAACAGAACCAATGACAAAAACCACGATTATCTCAATAGATACAGAAAAGGCCTTTGATAAAATTCAACAGCCCTTCATGCTAAAAACTCTCAATAAACTAGGTATTGATGGAATGTATCACAAAACAATAAGAGCTATTTATGACAAATCCACAGCCAATATCATACCAAATGGGCAAAAACTGGAAGCATTCCCTTTGAAAACTGGCACAAGATAAGGATGCCCTCTCTCACCACTCCTATTCAACATAGTGTTGGAAGTTCTGGTCAGGGCAATCAGGCAAGATAAAGAAATAAAGGGTATTCAATTAGGGAAAGAGGAAGTCAAATTGTCCCTGTTTGCAGATGACATGATTGTATATTTAGAAAACCCCATTGTCTCAGCCAAAAATTGCCTTAAGCTGATAAGCAATTTCAGCAAAGTCTCAGGATACAAAATCAATGTGCAAAAATCACAAGCATTCCTATACAATAACAGACAAACAGAGCGCCAAATCATGAGTGAACTCCCATTCACAATTGCTTCAAAGAGAATAAAATACCAGGAATCCAACTTACAAGGGATGTAAAGGGCATCTTCAAGAAGAACTACAAACCACTGCTCAATAAAATAAAAGAGGATACAAAGAAATGGAAGAACAGTCCATGCTCATGAATAGGAAGAATCAGTATCGTGAAAATGGCCATACTGCCCAAAGTAATTTGTAGATTCAATGCCATCCCCATCAAGCTACCAATGACTTTCTTCACAGAATTGGAAAAAACTACTTTAAATTTCATATGGAACCAAAAAAGAGCCCACATTGCCAAGACAATCCTAAGCAAAATGAACAAAGCTGGAGGCATCACCCTCCCTGACTTCCAACCATACTACAAGGTTACAGTAACCAAAAGAGCATGGTACTGGTACCAAAACAGATATATAGACCAATGGAACACAACAGAAACTTCAGAAATAACACCACACATCTACAACCATCTGATCTTTGACAAACCTGACAAAAACAAGAAATGGGGAAAGGATTCACTATTTAATAAACGGTGCTGGGAAAACTGGCTAGTCGCATGTAGAAAACTGAAACTGGATCCCTTCCTTACACCTTACACAAAAATTAATTCAAAATGGATTAAATACTTAAATGTTAGACCTAAAACCATAAAAAGCCTAGAAGAAAACCTAGGCAATACCATTCAGGACATAGGCATGGGCAAGGACTTCACGACTAAAACACGAAAAGCAATGGCAACAAAAGCCAAAATAGACAAATTGGATCTAATTAAACTAAAGAGCTTCTGCATGGCAAAAGAAACTACCATCCAGGTGAACAGGCAACCTACAGAATGGGAGGAAATTTTTGCAGTCTACCCTTCTGACAAAGTGCTAATATCCAGAATCTACAAAGAACACAAACAAATTTACAAGAAAAAAACAAACAACCCCATCAAAAAGTGGGCAAAGGATATCAATAGACACTTCTCAAAAGAAGCCATTTATGCAGCCAAAAAACACATGAAAAAATGCTCATCATCACTGGCCATCAGAGAAATGCAAATCAAAACCAAAATGAGATATCATCTCACACCAGTTAGAATGGCAATCATTAAAAAGTCAGGAAACAACAGATGCTGGAGAGGATGTGGAGAAATAGAACGCTTTTACACTTTTGGTGGGAGCATAAATTAGTTCAACCATTGTGGAAGTCAGTGTGGCGATTCCTCAAGGATCTAGATCTAGAATTACCATTTGACCCAGCCATCCCATTACTGGGTATATACCCAAAGGATTATAAATCATGCTACTATAAAGACACATGCACACATATGTTTATTGTGGCACTATTCACAATAGCAAAGACTTGGAACCAACCCAAATGTCCATCAATGATAGACTGGATTAAGAAACCATGGCACATGTACACCATGGAATACTATGCACCCATAAAAAAGGATGAGTTCATGTCCTTTGCCGGGACATGGATGAAGCTGGAAACCATCATTCTGAGCAAACTATCACAGGACAGAAAACCAAGCACTGCATGTTCTCACTCATAGGTGGGAAGTGAACAATGAGATCACTTGGTTGCAGGGCAGGGAACATCACACACCAGGGCCTGTTGGGAGATGGGGGACTGGGTGAGGGATAGCATTAGGAGAAATACCTAATGTAAATGATGAGTTGATGGGTGCAGCAAACCAACATAGCACATGCATACCTATGTATCAAACCTGCATGTTGTGCACATGTACCCTAGAACTTAAAGTATAGTAACAATAAAAAAAGACAGAGACTGTCAGAGTATATCAGAAGAAATTTAATAAACAAGACCAAACTCTATGTTGTCTACAAGAAGCACCCTTTAAATGTAAAGACACAGGTAAATTAAAAGTAAAAAATTGGAGAAAGATCTTTGTGTGTGTGTAACACCAGTATCAAAATAAATGAGGCAAAATCTGATTGATAGAACTTCTAGGACAAATAGAAAAATCCTCTATAAGAGTTGACTAGTCTAACTCCCTTCTCTTAGTAATTGACACATCAACATGTAGAAAATCAGTAAGTATAGTAAGTCCTCACTTAATTCCATCAAGTTCTTCAAAACTGTGACTTGAAATGAAAGGACATACAATGAAACCATCTTTTCTCATCAATATTATAATGAAACATTGTTGAAAAAACAATTTTTTCTTTGAGGACCTGCTCATATTGTTTCACTTAAAGTTGCATTTTCCAAGAACTTGCAGACAGACAATGTTAAGTGAGAATTTACTGTATATAATTGACCTTAATACCATGATCAGTCAACTTGATCTAGTTATATTTAGAGAATATTCCATACAATGAGAGCAGAATAAACATTATTCTCAAGACCACACAGAACATTCTCAATTGTAGATCAAATTCTTTGTCTTACAATGTACCTTAACAAGCCTAAGCAATGAAATCCTACTATGTATGTTCTGAGACCAAAATGAAATTGAACTAGAAATCAGTAACAAAAAGAGAACTGTAAAGCCCTAAAATACTTGGAGATTAAGCAACAAATTCACAAATAACACACGGGTTAAAGTAGTCTCAAGAGAAATTTTAAAATAATTTTGAACTAAATAAAAATGAAATACAACCTATCAAAATTTGTGAGACCCATCAAATGCAAAACTTACAGAAAAATGCACAGCATGGAATGCGTATATAATATCTAAAGTCAGAAATTTAAGCTTTCACCTTAGCAAACTAGGGAAAGAAGGTTAAAGTAAATCCAAAATAAAGAAAAGAAAACAGTACAGTAAAAATTGATAAAATAGAAAAAAAAAAGCAAATCAATAAAGGAAAATCAATGAAAGACTGGTTCTTTGAAAACATCAGTTACATTGATAAACCTCTGGCCATACCAAGAAAAATGGAAAAAAGACATAACTTATTAGTATGAAAATGAAAGAAGGCTAACTGCTGATCAAATGAACATGTAAGCGGTAATAGAGAAATATTGTAAATAACCCTATTCTCAAATATTTTATAATCTTTATAAAAAAACAATTCATTGAACAACACAATAAAACAAAACTCACACAAGATGAAACAGATAATTCTAATAGGCCTATACATACTAAAAGAATTAAATCAATAATTAAAACCCTTCCGTTAAATAAGCTGTCAGGCCCAGATATAGCCACCGGTGAATATAACCAAACATTTAAGTAAGAAATTACGCTAATTCTCTGCAATACCTTTGAGGAAATAGAAGCAGGGGTGTGACTTCCTAACTCATTCGATAATGCCAGCATCGCCCCCAGTAGCAAAACCAGAAGACTTCACGAGGACGGGAAACTACAGACCAATGTCTCTCATCAATTTCTCATAATTGTTCAGATTTTATGTCTCTCCTTTCATTCCTGATTTTATTTATTTGCATTTTCTCTCTCTCTTTTTTCTAGGTAATGTTTTATCAATTTTGTTTGCCATTTTAAAAACAGCTTTTAGTTTCACTGATTTTTGTTTGTTTGTTTTTCTGTTTTCTATTTCATTTATTTCTGCTCTAATACTTGCTATTTTTTTTCTGCTAATTTTGGGCAAAGTTCATTTTTCTCTTTCTAGTTCTTTGAAGGGTAATGTTAGGTTGTTTATTTGAAATCTTTCTCTCTCATTTTTTAAAATGCAAGTGTTAATCACCATGAACCTCCCTGTTAGTGCTGCTTTTGCTGCAGCCCATAATTTTTGGCATGTTGCATATTCATATTCATTTGTCTTGAGGTATTTGTTTCCATTTTGTTTTCTTCTTTGACACAAAGATTGTTCACTAGTGTTTTGTTTCATTCCCACATTCTGTAAATTTTCAAGTTTTCCTTTTGCTATTGATTTCTACTTTCATCCCCTTGTGATCTGAGAAGATACTTATTCTGATTTCAATCTTCTTAAATTTGTTAACTTTTATTTTTATGATATAACATTTGATCTGTCCTGGAGAAAGAGCTGTGTGAACTTGAGAGCAACACGCATTTTGCTGCTGTTGAGTGGAATATTTCGTGTATGTATGTTAGGTCCATTTGGTGTTTAGTATGATTCAAACTCTCTGTTTTCTTATTGATCTTCTGTTGGGATATTTTATATATTATTGAACATGTGACATTGAAGTCTCCTACCATCATTGTATTGATATCTATTTCTCCGTTTAGTTCAGTCACTGTTTGCTTTATATACTTATGTGGTCAGATGTTGGGTGCTCAGATGTCATACCTTTCTGGTGCATTGACTGTTTTATCATAACATAAAGACTTTGTCTACTGTGACACTTTTTGACAGTCTATTTTGTCTGATATAAGTCTGACCACTTATGCTCCATTTTGGCATTTGCATGGAATATTTTTATTTATGTATGTATTTGCATGGAATATCTTGTATTTATTTGCTTTGATTACTCTTTTTGTGTGTGTGAAATTTGTATAGTTGTGTGTTGCGTGTCTGTGATTAGCTACTTGTGGCTCATATAAAGTAACTTATAAAGTCCATTTTAAGCCATTAACAATCTAAGCTCAATCACATAAAAAAACTACACATTTACACCCTCCTCCACTCTGTGTTATTGTTGTCACAATTCACATCTATTCATATTGTGTATCTTGTAACGTATTTTTAGTTATAGTTATTTTTAATACTTTTGTCTTTTAACTTTTACAGTAAAATTAAAAGTGATTTACTCATCACCATTACAGCAACACTGTATTCTATTTTTGTCTCTATATTTATCTTTGCCAACTAGTTTTATAATTTTTTATCCTGACATTTTGCTGTTTAGCATCTTTTCATTTCAACCGGAAGAACTCCCTCTAGAATTTTTTGGTAAGGTAAATCTATTGGTGATGGATTCCCTTAATTTTGGTATGTTTGAGAAAGTCTTTACAAAAGAATGAGTTGGATTCTTATCTTACACCATACATACAGATGGACTCAAAATGAATTAAAGAAAAATGTGACCTATATATGTAAAACTCCTAGAAGAAAGCATGAGAGAAAAGATTCATTACATTGATCTTGGCAATGATTTCATTGTGGGACTATATCAAACTATAAAGCTCTATACAGCAAATGAAACAATCAACAGAGTGAAACCTATTGAGTGGGAGAAAATATTTGCAAACCATATATCTGATAAAGAGTTAATATCCAAAATATATAAGAATATATAAGAAATCCCTATGACCTAATAGTGAAAACAAACAAAGAACAAAATACCTTATAACTTGTTTAAAAAATGGGTTGACTTGAGTAGACATTGCTTCAAGAAAACACACAAATGGCCAACAGGTATGTGAAAAAATATGCAAATAACACTAATCATCAAGGAAATAAAAATCAGAACCATGATGAGATATCACCTCATACCTGTCAGGATGACTATTATTTTTCAACAAATAAAGGATGTGAAGAACTTGGGACCCTTGCATACTGTTGGTAAGGATATAAAATGGTGCAGCTGTTATGAAAAACAGTATGGAGGTTCCTCAAAAATTGAAAATAGAACTGTCATATGATCCAGCCATCCCACCAATGGAGACATATTTAAAGAAATTAAAATTAGCATCCCAAAATTAACAATTTTGTATCCATCATAGCACTATTCACAATACTCAAGATGTGGAAACTACCTAAATGTTCATCAATAATGTGTGGATAAAGGAAGTGTGGCATATACATGTAATGAAGGACTACTCAGCCTTTAAAATGAAAATTCTGCAATATGCAGTGACATGAATAAATCTTGAGTACATGATGCTAAGTGAAATAAGCTGTCAGAGAAAGACAAATGTTCCACAGTTCCACGTATGTGAAGTACCTAATATAGTCATATTCATATAATTAAAGAATAGAATGGTGGTTGTTGGGGTGGTAGTATGATGGGGTGGAAAATTACAAATTAATGGGCATAAAGTGTCAGTGAAGCAAGATGAGTAAGATCTAGAGATCTGCTGTACAACATTGTAGCTATAGTCAACAATAAGTACACTTAAAACTCTAACAATCTAGATCTCTCGTTAGGTAGGTGCTCTTCCTACACAAAAGAAAATAAAAAATTTCACAAAAAATAGCATCAGAAAATAAAATACTTGCAAATAAATTTAAATACTTGCAAATAAATTTAGCCAGAAAATGTGAGATTGTGCACTGGAAACTCCAAGTCATTACTGAGATAAATTAAAGAAGATTTAAATAAATGGAGAGGCATGCAATTTTCATAGATCAAAAGATTCACTATTGTTAAAAGAGCAGAAATCTCTAAATTTGTTTATCCATATAAGAAAATTTCTGTCAAAATCATCCATCAGGCTCTTTTGCAGAAGGTGATAAGCTGATTGTAAACCTTATTGTAAAACTCAAAGGACCAAGAATAGTTAAAATGACTTTGAAAAAAAAATGTTGGAGGAAATACACTGCCCAATATTGAAACTCACTATAAAGCTACAGTTATCAAGTCAGCGTGGTACTGTCATTAACAGACATACAGGTCAGTAAAATAGAATAAGAAACCAGAAATAGACATGCAAATATATGGAAAATGGATTTCTAATAAATGTTCAAAGCAATACAATGGATAAACTTTAGCTTTTTAAACAAATTGTGCTAGAATAATTATATATTTATATGTAAAAAAGATAAACTTAGAGCTGTATTTCACACCATGTTCAAAAATTAACTCAAAGTTGATTACATACCAAAATTTAAAACTTCTAGAAGAAAACATAAGAGAAATCCTCAGGGACTTTGAGCGCAGATTTTGTAGATATGACACCAAAAATATGACCCCAAAATGTGATAAGTTGGACAACATAAAAAAATTAGGACTTTTGCTATTCAAAAGCCACTGTTAGGGGAATAAAAGGGCAAGCCACTGCCCCTTAACAAATATTTGTAAAATATATACCTGATAAAGTATTTGTATTCAGAATATATAGTGAATCCTTGAAACTTAATTTAAAAAACCAACTCTATAAAAAAGGGGGGCAAAATAAGCACATGTAAAGACGCCCAACAACATAGGTCATTGGAGAAATGCAAATTAAAATCACAAATAGATGCTACTCATTCCTTTAAAAATTGTTTACATTTAAAAGGGCTGACCACATTAACTTTGGCCAAGATGTGGGGGTAGGAACCATATACTGATATTTAAAACACTGATATTTAAAACAAAATTTATAGTTTCAGAGATTCTTAAGGAGGTAAATACAAATCACATAAATCAGCTATTATACAATTTACCCAGTAGAATAGAATGCTGATGCCCATACAAAGCCTTCCATATAAATGTATATAGTAACAATTTTTGTAATAGATAAAATCTGGTAACAATGTAAATATAAGTCAAAATCTATATAGTAACAATTTTTGTAATAGATAACATCTGGAAACAATGTAAATATAAATCAACAGATGGCTAAACAATGTGTAGTCTCTCAATACAGTGGAATACTATCAAATAATAAAAAGAAATAAACTGTTGTTATATACACCAATATGGATGAATCTCAACATTTATGCTAAATGAAACATGTTAGACTACAAAGAATACATACAGTCTTGTTCTATTTATATATAAGTATAAAAAATGAAAGCTAATTTATAATGAAAGAATGCAGACCAGATTAGTGACTGCCTGTGTGGGGAGTAGCAACATGGCAGGATCAATGGGCTTGGGAAATGTGTATGGATTATGGATATATGCATTGTTTGCATTTTTATGGTTTCATGGCGGTACACAAATAACAAAACCTATCAAATTATGCACTTAAAGTGTGGGCAGTTATTTCATGTCAATCATCTCTCAGTAAAGCTGTTAAAATAACAAAATTAAAATAATTTATAAAAGAATTTACACTATTTTGTTGCCAACTCTCGGGCACTAGTTAAACCCATTCTTTATCAAATAAAATATTAGAAACACTTTATATTAAATGAAAAAACTAACACATCAAAACAAAAAATATTTAAAATATTTGCCTCATGGGGTTTACATTTATGAGCTTTCATCCAACTGTACAGTGGTGTTTGCATTTCATTTTATATGAGGAATAACTATGAAAAGAAGAAAAATACCAAAGATAAGCAAAAATGAAGACACTCATTTACTACTAATAGGAATATAATGGATACAACCACTTAGGAAAATCACTGGAAATATTTACTAATGTTCAATGTGGGAATATGCAAGCATTGACACTTCCCGTGTATGCATATATCTGATTTTCAAACATAATGTTGACCAAAAGACATGCTGTAGAATATTCACAGCAGCACTATTCATAATACCCCAAATTTCAAACTACCCAAATGTCTGTCAGAATATCAGAAATTAATACCTGCTATTTCTATGCAAAGGTATAGTATGCATCAATTAGAATAAACATTTTGCAACTATAAGCAACAACATCTGTGAATTTCAAAAGTCAGTAATAATGAACAAAGTCAGAAAACAATGTGCATGCAGTATAATTCCATTTATATAACATTTAAAATCTGTCAAAAATGATCCACACTCACCCTATTCAATAAATGGTGCTGAGAAAGTTGGATAGCCACATGCAGAAGAAAAAATCTATGTATTTCAACATATACAAGAATTAACTCAAGACAGGTTAACAACTTAAATGTAAGACTTGAAAGTATAAAAGTTCTTACTGAAAACCTTTTCTGGACATTGGTATAGGCAAATAATTTATGACTCAAAGACCTCAAAAACAAATGCAACGAAAGTAAAAATGGACAAATGGGGCTTCTTAATTAACCTAAAAAGCATCTGCAAAGAAAAACTAATAATCAACAAAGTAAGTGGACAACCTACAGAATGAGGGAAAATATTTGCAAACTATATATCAACAAAGTACTGTTATCCAGAGTCTATAAGGAACTAAAACTCCAAAAGAAAAAATATAAACAACCCCATCAAAAAAATGGCAAAAGACATGAACAGACACTTTACAAAAGAAGACATCCAAGAGGCCAAAAAACATATGAAGAAATGATCAGCATCACTAATCATCAGAGAAATGCAAATTAAAACTACAATGAGTTATGTTATCAGGATGGTTAGTATTCAAAAGTCATAAAACAACAGATGTAGGTGAAGATGTGGAGAAAAGGGAACACTTTTATACTGCTGGTGGAAATGTACATTAGTACTATAACCATGGAAAACAGTATGAAGATTTCTTAAAGAACTAAAAATAGAACTACCACTCAATCCAGGAGTCCTACTACTTGCTAGCTACCCAAAAGAAGAGAAATCATTATACATCATATGTTCGTTGCAGAACTAGTCACAATAACAAAGTTATGGAATCAACCTAAGTGTCCATCAGTGGAGGACTGGATAAAGAACACATTATATATATATGCACACACATATATATTTATCATGTAATATATATTGATATCATATATATATCAATGGAGGACTGGATAAAGAACACATGGTGCATATATATTTATTTATATATAAAATATCTCCTCTCATTCTATAAGGTTGTCTGCCTACTTTGTTGGTTATACCGTGTGTGTGTGTGTGTGTGTGTGTGTGTATATATATATATATATATATGCCGTGTGTTTTTTATCCAGTCGTCCATTGATGAATACATATTTATATTTCTTTATATATATATCATGGAATACTACTGAGCCATAAAAAAATAAAACCATGTCTTTTGCAGCAACATGGATGGAACTGGAGGCATTAACCTAAGTGAAATAACTCAGAATCAGAAAGCCAAATACTGCATTGGCTCACTTATAAGTGGGAGCTAAACAATGGGTACACATGAACATTCACAGTGGAATAATAGACACTGGGGACTCCAAAACATTGGAAGGTGAAAGAGATATGAAGGGTGAAAAATTACCTATTGAATACAATGTACACTATTCCGATGATAGGTACACTAAAAGCCTAGACTTCACCACTGCACAATATATCCATGCAGCAAAACTGCACTTGTACCTCCTTAATCTATTTTTCAAAGTGTATACAACATGAAAAGATACAAGTATAGTTAATGTGTCTAAATTAATAGCAAGCCAAAATGAAAGGGAAATAAGATTCATGCTCTTAGAGGCAAAATTAGTGATTTTCTTTGGGAAAGACAGTGTCTGGTAAACTAAGTTGGGGAGTTATGTTTCCTAGATTTGTTGCTGGTTACATGGTCTTGTTCAATGTAAATGTCTTTTGAGCAGTACAACTTTATGGCACACATTTTTGTTACTATGTTATATACATCAATAAATTTCACTAAATAAATAATAATTAAACAAACCATGATCATTGTAACGTTTGGAGAGGAGAAAGGATTAGGAAATGTCCTGCAGTGCTTTGGAATTATAACAGGATCCTTTTTGAGACCTGGAGAGTGGGTATGTGCATATTCATTTAGTTAACTCATTGCTGATTTTGCTAATATATTTACATATTGTATACTTCTCAGAATTGTGTGATATCTCAACTTTTTAAGTATTAAAAAAACAAAGGTAATAATATGCTTATAGAATGTCAATGAGTGGAAAGATATACACATACACACATGCACACAGATGCACATGTTATGTATAGATATATAGATATAGATGCGGATACAAGTATAGGTATAAGTATGAATTTTGTTTACATACATAGAATATAAACACTAGATGGAGAGAAATGAGTCATTTATAAATGGTTTTCTCTAAGGAAAAAACTGATTTGGCAAGCGAGTGGGATGGTGGTTTCTCAAAGTATACATTTTTTAAAATTGTAACTTAATCCCTATTACTGTATTAACTTGTAAAGTATTGATGTTACAAATAAGCTGAATGCAGCAAACAGCACTCTAAACATGTATACAGCAGGTTAATATTAAATAAATATGTGTAAATAAACAGAAAATCTATGAAAAATATAGCACTGTAGTTTGCATTTATGTTCTATTTTTCCTAGTAGTTTGCAATGCATTAAAACTTCATTATATATACACGTATATGATTAAGTGAAAAAATATAAATTTATTTAAATATCCACTGAGTCCCCACTAATTTATCATATGATTCATTTCTAGGTGACTTTTATACTGAAAAAGGCTACAATACACACTGGAACAACTGGTTTATTCTGAGTTTCTGCATTTTTCTGCCGTTTTTCATAGTTTTCACCACTGTGATCTTTAAAAGAAATGAAATAAGTAAATCATGTAACAGAGAGAATGCAGAGTATAATCGGTAAATATGATATAGAATCAATGTATTAGGTTTAATTATCCTAGTCATTAACCAGTGTCATGCATTTTATATAACATTTGTTATATTAATTCTTAAATATACTATTTTAAATCTAATGTAAGTGGTATCTTTATAATTTTGTGTTTCAATAATTTGTTATTATATTGGGGCAAGCCAAAATTCTCAATGTTCTAGAACTTTTCCTGATGAGTATCCTATGCTGTACCAAAGACTTACTAGGTCAGAAAAGAATATAGTTGGTAAATTATTTTAAGTGCCCTTCTAGTTAGATCTCATTACACATTGGTGTTGGTTTTACTTACCATTTTAATATCTTTGTTCTTGTAATCCGTTCAGATTTTCTGTTCTTTATTAAGTCATGTTTGGAAGCTTGTGAATTCAAAAATATGTCCCTTTCTTCAAAATTGTATAATTTGTTACACAAAGTTATTCGTAGTATTTTCTTGTAATCATTTTAATGTCTGTAGGGTCAGTATTGAATTATCATACTTTATTCCTAATTTTGTTTATTTGCATTTTCTTTTTTTTCTTGTTCAGACCGGTTAAAGGTTTGTTAATTTTGCTGATATTTTAAAAGATCCAACTTTTTGTTATAATTATTTTTTGCTAGTGTTATTCAGTTTTGTATTTCATTAATTACAGGTTAATATTTCTTATCTACTTTTTTTTCCTTGCTTGGGGATTGGCTAGTTCTTTTTCTAGTAGTTGTAAGGCCAATGCTTACATGATTGTTTTGAGATCTTTGTTCTTCTGATACAGGCATTTAAATCCGTAAATTTTCCCTTAGGCTTAGCTGCATTCTATACGTTTTGATAGCATATATTTTCATTTCCATTCAGTTCAAAATATTCTGTTTTTTCTTGTGAATTCTTCCCTTGGACTCATACATTAGTTAGAAGTATATTGTTTAATTCCCAAGTATTTATAGATTTCCCAGGATTTTTGCCTTGTTAATTTTCAACTTAGTTGAGCTCTGATCACAAAATATACTTCATTTGATTTCAATCATTGTAAATTTAAAATTTTTTTAAATTTTTTGAGAATTTTTATAGGCCTAGTATATAGTCTGTCCTGAAGACTGTTCCAAATACACTTGAATAGAAGGTGTATTTACTATTGTGAATACCCACTGCGTGGTGGGGAGTTCTATAGAATACAGGTAGGTCAAGGTGGTTGATGGTATCGTTTAAGTCTTCTATATCCTTGCTGATTTTTTGTCTAGTTATTCTATCAGTTTTATACCACTTCACGGAAGTATAATTGATATACAAATACGTATACATACTTAATATATACATCTTGATGAGTTTGGAAATAAGTATACCCCTTTAAACCATCATCACCATCAAGGCCATAAATATATCACCTCCCAAAGTTTCCTCCCAAATTTTATATTATTGTTGTTGCTTTACCAAGGTAAGAACACTTGATATAGATCTACCCTCTTAGCAAATATCAAGTATACAATACAGTATTGTTAGCTATAGGTACTGTGGTGTATAGTAGAGCTCCAGAATTTATCTTGCATAACTGAATCTTTGTACCCTTTAACCACCACCTTCCCATTCTCTGCTCCCGCATCTCTTGGCAACCACTGTTCTACTCTCTGCTTCTATGAATTTGATTATTTTTGAGTCCACATATAGTTAAGATCATGCAACTTTTGTCTGACATATTTCACACAAATTTTGTCTGGCATATTTCACTTGGCATAATGTCCTCTACATCTATTCATGAGATAACAAATAAGAGAATTTTCTTCATTGTTAAGGATGAGTAATCTTCCATTACATACATTTGGCACATTTTCTTTATCTATTTACCCATGATGGACATTTAGGTTGTTACCATATCATAGCTATTGTGAACAATGCTACAATGAACATGGAAGTGCGGATATCTCTTCAAGGTCCTGATTTCAAGTCCTTTGAATTCATACCCAGAAGTGAGGTTGTCACATCATATGGTAGTTCTATTTTTCATTTATGAAGAACCGTCATACTGTTTTCCATAATGGCTATACCAATTTATATTTCCACCAACATTGTACAAGAGTTTCTTTTTCTTCATGTCTTTACCAACCTTGCTCTCTTTTCCCTTTTTTCAATAACAACTATGTTAACCTAAGATGTAAAGTAAGCCATTCTAAATGGAAAGTAATATCTCATAGTGGTCTTCATTTATGTTTTCCTGATTATTGGTGATGTTAAGTACCTTTTGATATACCTGTTATTCAATTGTATGTATTCTTGAAGAAATGTCTATTAAGCTTCTTTGACAATTTTTAAATCAGGTTATTTGCTTTCTTGCTATTCACTTGTATGAGATCTACACACACACACACACACATTTGTGTGTGTGTGTGTGTATATATATAATTTGTAGAGACAGTGTCTCCGTATGTTGCGTAGGCTTGTCTAAACTCTTGAGCGCAAGTGGTCCTCCCGCCTCAGCCTCTCAAAGTACTGGGATTACTGGCATGAGCCATGGTGCCTGGCCACCCATATATATTTTTGATATTATGAAACCCTTTATCAGATATATAGTTTGCAAATACTTTGTCTCATTCTATAGGCTGCCTTTTTATTTCATTGATTGTTTCTTTTGCTATGCAAAAGCTTTTTAGTTTAATGCAATCACTTTATTTCTGCTTCTATCGCATGTGCTTTTGGTGACATACCCAATAAAATCATTGCCCAGACCAATGGCAAGGAGCTTTCTGTCTATTTTCTGCTAGAAGTTTTATAGTTTCAGGTAAGGATTAGGCTTTAATCTCTCTCCTGATTTCTTGGAAAGTCAGATAAACAACTTAGTTTCAGTTTGGTTACATGGCACCTTAGGGTGAATGGCTCCATTTTAGTTTCTTCTGTTGGAGACTAGTGCAAGAACTCAGCTCAAAAATAACCTCCCATAAATTTTATTTGACAACCATCTTACAAAATCTTTCTAAGATGCAAAATTAACACACACTTAAAACTTTTGAATAATTTAATATTACTTTCATAAAAAGTTTATTTACTTACCCAATTAGCTTAAATCTCAAATGTGACATTCTTTTACCAAAAGTAGTTACTTTTGATAGAGAAAGCTAAATTATTTTAACTGCATTCCCAGAGAAAGTTGTATACATCCTAAAAATGAATTTATAATTTATTTCTAGCTATGACATTTCTTCAATATGTCTAGTTTCCTATTAGCCTCTGACCTACTTGAACACAAGGATGGCATCCCTATATTTTGGAAAGAGCTGCTACAAAGGTCCCTGAAATGTATTCAAGTCCTTTTCCCCATTGTCTTGGATATTAGCACTTGGCTCCTTTTTAGTTATGTTAATATCTCTAGCAAGTGGTTGCTCCACAGCCTACTTGAATTCCTCTCCTTTCAAAGCTTTCCTTTCAAAGCTTTTTCTTGCTACAAAGCTAGGCTGAAAATTTTTCAAACTGTTATGCTCTGCTTCCTGATTAAATATAAATTTCAACTCTAAATCATTACTTTGCTCCCCCATCTGATTATGGATTGTTAGAAGCAGCCAGGCAACATCTTGAAAACTTTACTGCTTAGAAATTTTCTCTGCCAGATATCCTATATGGTCATCTTTAGTTCAAGCTTCCACAGATCCCTAGGGAATGAACAAAATGCAGCCAAGCTCTCTGCCAAGGCGTAACACACATGACCTTTGTTCCAGTTCCCAGAAGTTCCTCATTTCCTTCTGAGACCTTGGCAGCCTGGACTTAACTATCCATATCACTGTCAGCCTTTTGGTCACAGTCATTTTAACTAGTCTCTAGGAAGTTCCAAATGTTCCCTCATCTTCCTGTCTTTATCTGAGCCCTCCGAACTCTCCCAACCCATTACCCAGTTCCAAAACTGCTTCCAGATTTTCAGGTATCTTTATGGCAATGCCCCACTGCTAGTACAAATTTTCTATGTTAGGCCATTCTTGCATTGCTATAAAGAAATATGAGAAATTGAGGTCAATTTATAAAGAAAAGGGACTTAATCGGCTCACAGTTCTGCAGGCTTTACAGGAAGCATGGTGCTGGCTTCTGCTCAGCTTTTAGGGAGGCCTCAGGAAGCTTACAATCATGGCAGAAGGTGAAGGGGCAAAAGGTATGTCACAAGAGAAAAGCAGGAGCAAGCGAGAGAGTCAGGTGAGGATGGTACCACACACTTTGAAATGGCCAGATCTTGCAAGAACTCACTATTACCAGGACAGCACCAAACCATGGGAGATTCACCCCATGATACAAACACCTCCCACCAGGCACCACCTCTAGCACTGGGGATTATAATCCAGCATGAGATTTGGGCAAGGACAAATATCCAAACAATATATTCACATTTTTTTTTAAAAAAGCAGCCATCCTAACCAGTCAAAGAAAATTAAGAAATTTAAATAATGAACATGTATTTCCTGTTTTGATTACTTGACTGATGAACAGAGATTTTAATAAAATCATGAGTAACTGTATTATTTATCATGCCTTCAGTGATGTATAGTAGACTTCAGAAATGTGTTCAAGTCATAGAGAGTCAGAAAGTCATTATTCTTTAATAGCAACACAATAAATCCTGAGGTATTAATTATTATCAATTATCATGTGAATTAACAAAATATATAAAAAATAAAGTCTTTAAGGTGTATAGGACTATTTAAATAAATATGACATACAACATATATCACAACGAAAAGCACATGGTTAAAAAGTAAATACTTCAGTGAAATAAAAATCTTGGCTATTTGGAAGTTATTTTTTTATGTTATTATTGTTTGTAAGTCAAACAAATATTTTATGTTTAGAAGGAAGTGTGGAAAAATGAATTGTAAAAAAGCCAACCTTATTTTGTTTCCTTCTACAAACTGGAGAAGACAATCAATATTTGATTTTGTTTTTAAATATTGCATGAAAGGTATACAAGCAAGAGTATTCCATAGAAGGACAACTTAAGCATGTCTGGCAAAAAAATTGAAATTAGGTAATTCTATTTTTATATTTTTGAGAACTGCCATACTGTGTTCCACAGTAGTTTTACAATTTTTCATTCCCACCAACAGTCCAAAAGGGTTCCAGTTTGCCCATATTCTTACTAGGATTGTTATTTTCTGCTTTTTTTAAAAAACATATTGGCCATCCTAATGGGTGTGAGGAGATATCTCACTGTGGTTTTGATTTGCATTTCCCTAATGATTAGTGATATTGAGCATATTTTCTTGTGTTTGTGGGCCACAGAGGATGGGAAGTTTTTGTTGAATACATATTATTCAATGAGGAGTTATTCTTTACTGAGCACAGAATTTCACTTTTGCAAGATGAAAATGTTTCTGGAGACAGATGGTGATAGTTTCACAATATGAATGTACTTAGTACTACTGAACTGTACACTAAAAATGGTTAGAATGTGTATTTTACTACACAAAGTATTTTTATAAAGTGAATAAGGAAATTGTGAAAAAATTAAAGTCAGCAACCTGAATATTAACTATAAAATGAAAATTATTTCCATGTTAACTCTATTGTTTTCATGTGTGAACTTCATATTAATGGGGAAAAAAATAAAGACTAACCTTTTATTTTGTCTCCCTAAGCTGTAGGTTTTTCTAAGAAACAAAGTGTATAAAACTGAATAAATGGATTTTGATTGTTTTTACATAGTCATTTCATAGTTTGCCTGGTAAATTATAAATCAATGCTAAGGTACAAAAACATATACATTTATTTTATGTTTAGCTTTTTAGTTGGACTCCTTATAATATAGATAAGTTACCTATAATATAGATAAGAACCAAATTTATCTATAATATAGATAATGTAACATCTATAATATAGATAACCAAACTTATCTATAATAATCTTTGATTTTTAGCAATTATAAAGTAGAAATTCAGTAGTAAATATGGTTTAAAATAGGCAATTGGCTACTACTAAACATATTGTGAATTTCTATTTTTTCTGTTTTTCTTCACTATAGTAATTCATCCGTTGTATCAGAAAGCGATGACGTGGGACATTAATATTGCACAGAACTTCCATAGCAAATAACCTAAAGGAACGAATGTGCTTTATTTATAACCTTACGTTATCCCCAATGCATTGTAAATGTCAAACTTTTGGAAAATAAAGCCTGCGTGCCCTCCCATGTGCCTCCTCCAGTGCCTCTTGCTGTGGTTGGGAACACCCTGACTCCAAGTTCCAAGAGTCTCTGGGATCCACAGACCTGGGTCTGGGCCGTGCCCTCCAGAACCCACCGTTCTTGGGATCTGCTCGGCCTCCCCAGCCCTGGCCAGAAGCAGCCCCCATTCCATGCTCAGCAGCCATCACTGTGGCGAGGCCGCTGGCCACGCAATGCTCTCTTGCTGATCCTCTCAGGGCTGGGCCGGTTGACCTCCGCGGGTGATTGCAAGTGAAGAATTTTTGCTGCGTACGGGGACTGCATTTCAGTGTCCAGAGAGGAAGCATGTGTCACCCTCCCTGTTCCAGTAGCTCAGGCCAAGCTGTGCAGAAGAAACAGAGCTTGTTGCTCCAGAGCCCCAGAGCTTCAAGGCCAGGCGGGCATCATCCCCTTGGTCTTGAACCTCAGGCCGGGCTGGGGAGGGGCACAGTCAGAGCCTGCCCAGTTTCAGGGCCACTGTGCCATTGGCATCTGGTTGAACCTGCTAGTTGGAGGGCTTAGCCCAGAACTCAGACAGCTGTTCCTCACTTACCTGACTCTGCTCAAGAGGGTGCATTTCCTGGAGAGGTGGGGGAAGGAGGGAGGCTGGATGGGGTTTGACACCTACAGCCCATATTTCCTTTCCCATTCTGGGTTGAGGTCACCTAGACCCAGAGTGTGGGGGATGACTCTGGGTAATACTCCCTCTTCTCTTCTAGGGGAGTCTCTTCCTGGAATTGGACAAAGTCTGGTTTTGTGGGGTGTGTGTGTGTGTGTGTGTGTGTGTGTGTGTGTATTGGGGCTTGGAAGTATAGTGATGTAAGATGAGCAGACGAGTGAAGAAAGGATGCTGTGATACACTGGGAATGCTCACATGTTTTTCCTTACTGCAGATTCGGAAACACCATTTCTACAAATTGCATGGCCACAGAATATTAAGAAAGACACCAATAATGTTGATGTATCTATACACATTCATCTGTGAAATTATGTTTGTGCTCATATTTACTTTGTTCTTACATTTCGCCTGAGTGAAAATAAATGGTTTACTTACTTTTTCTTTCATTATTCTTCAAGTAGTATATGCATACTAGGGAAATAATTCTTAAATATTTAAAAATACAGTCTCAGAAAAAAACAAAAGAAAGCATACCAAATTCCTAGCACATAAAAAGGCTAAACAGCCAACTTGAACTTGATTTTAACTAGCTTTATTGAGACGTAACTAACATATCATACAATTCACCCATTTAAAGCATGCAATGCGCCAGGTGTAGTGGCTCACTCTTGTAATCCCAGCACTTTGGGAGGCCAAGGTGGGCGGATCACGAGGTCAGGAGATCGAGACCATCCTGGCTAACACATTGAAACCCCATCTCTACTAAAAATACAAAAAATTAGCTGGGCATGGTGGCGGGTGCCTGTAGTCCCAGCTACTTGGGAGGCTGAGGCAGTAGAATGGCGTGAACCTGGGAGGCGGAGCTTGCAGTGAGCAGAGATCATGCCACTGCACTCCAGCCTGGGCGACAGAGCGAGACTCCGTCTAAAAAAAAAAAAAGTATGCAATGTAATAGTTTTAGTAAGATCACAGAATTATGCAACCATCACCATAATCAATTTTTGAACATTTCATCACCCAAAAAAGAAGCTCCAGAAACATTAGTAATCACTCCCCATTGTTTTCTCCTACTTTCCTTTACTTCACCTTTACTTCACCTTTACTTCTCCTTTACTTCACCAGCCCCAGGCAATCACTTATCTACCTTCTAGCTCTATATATTTGTTTATTCTGATCCTCAAAAGACAAGAAAAGCAAGAATAGAAAACAAGGGATTACTTTAAACTAAAAAGCTTTGATATAGCAAAAGAAACAGTCAATAGAGTGAAGAGACAACCTATATAATAGGAAATATTTGCAAATTATACATCAGGTAAGGGGTTAATATCCAAAATTTATAGGTGACTAAACTCAATAACAAGAAAACAAATAATATTATTTTGAAATGGGCAAAGGACCTGAATCGACATTTCTCAAAAGAAGCCATCCAAATGGCCAAGAATTGTATGAAAAAATGGTCAGCATCACTATCATCAGGGAAATGCCAGTGAAAATCACATGCAATGTAATGTCACTGCACACCTGTAGAATGGATCCTTTATTGACAAAAAAGTGCACAATTAAACATTTATGCTAAGAGATTTTTTCATACAAATTCTTAGAATTAGAAAATTTAGCAAAAGATACTTGAGCTCTGAAAAATTAATTAATACCATATGTACGATAATGGTTAGAAAGCTGAAAAGTGTTAAAGGAAGTGACACATCCAAGTCTCAATCACTTACTGGCTGTGTTTCAAAACAATTCTAATTTTCTTAACAGTAAAATAGGTAAAGTTATACCTAACTTGTGAGTATGCTGTGAGACTTTATGAGATATTTTATAAGGCGTTTAACCATGATACATAAAACTTGTTTTTCACATTTTTTGTTATTATGAGTAAGGTACAGGTAAGTTATGTTGTTGAAATATAGATTTGTGCCTTAAGCAACTGTGTATATTGTGATGCCATTACTTGATATCCAGAATGTAGAAGGCAAAATATATGTCTTTATTCTCAAACAATAGGATAAAAGAGGAAAGGAAAATATTTCATTGGCTTGTTTCCTATACAGTTTGTATCAAATACAGTTATAAGATACATCATGAAGTTCTACATATGAAAACCAATCCATGTAATAGAATGAAAGAAAAAAACCACATGGTCATCCTAAGTGAAGGAGAATAAGCATTTGATAAAATTCAGTATACTTAATGATAAAAAAGCCTCAAGAAGCTAGGAATAGAGGGAAACTATCACAAAATAGTTAAAAGTATATATGATAAACCCACAATGAATATCATATGTAATGGTGAGAGTGAAAACATTTACTCCAAGATCAGGAACAAGGTAATGATGTCCACTTTCACTGCTTCTATTCAACACAGTACTGGAAGATCTACTTAGAGCAATTAAGCAAGACAAAAAGCATCCAAACTGGAAAGACAAAGTAAAATCTCTGTTCTCAGTGGTAGAATCTTATCTATAGAGAACACTACACACAAATGCACACACATCCACACACACACACACACACACACACACACCATGCTATAACTAATAAATTCAGTGCAGTAGCAGGATACCAAATCAACACCCAAAAATTAGTTGCTTTTGCCCAGGCATGTGGTTCACATTTGTGATCTCAGCTACTTGGGAGGCTGAGGCAGGAGGATTGCTTGAGGGAAGAAGTTCAAGACCAACCTGGGCAAAATAGCAAGAAGTCATCTCTAAAACAAATTTTTTAAAAAATTAGCTGGCCCTGATGGCACACTTGTAGCCGAAAGGATCGCTTAACCCCAGGAGTTCAGGCCGCAGTGAGTTGAGATCATACCACTGCACTCCAGCCTAGGTGACAAAGCAAGACCTCATCTTGGAAAACAAAAGGAAAAAACTGTTGCATTTATTTACACTAACAATAAACAATCTAAAAGGGAAATTAAAAATTAAATATACAATAGCATTAAATAGAATGAAATAATTACAAATAAATTTAACCAAAGAGCTGCTGAAAGATGTGTACAATGAAATCTACAAAATATTGTTTAAAGAAAGTAAAGACATAAGTAAATGGAAAGTTATCCCATGTGCATGGATTAGAAGACTTTATATTTAAGATGCCAGTATTATGTAAATTGATCAGATTAAATGCAATCCCAAACAGAATCCTAATGGCTTTCATGCAGGAATAGAAAAACTTATTCTAAAATTTATATGGAATCTCAAAGGATTCTGACTAGCCAAAATAGTTCTGAAAAAGAACAAAGTTGGAGGACTCACACTTTCTGATTTTAAAATTACCTAAAAATCTACAGAAATTAATACAGCTGGATGTAAAGACAGATATACAGACCAAAGTAACAGACTAGAAAGACCAGAAACAAACCTGCAGGAGTATAATTAAATGATCTTTAATAAAGTACCCAAGACAAATAGGGGAAGGGCAGTCTTTTAAACAAATCATGTTGGGAAAACTAGATTTCCACAAGCAAAAGGATAAAGTTGGACCCTTACCTAAGGCCACATACAAAAATTAACTCAAACTATATCAAAGACTTACATGTAAGGGTTAAAACTGTAGAAGCCTTAGAAAAAAATATAGGCCAAAAGCTTCATGATGTTTAATTTAGGAATGATTTATTGGAGATGATATCAAGGTACAAATAACAAAAGAAAAAAATAGACAAAACAGACCTTACAAAAATTAAAAACTTTTAAGCAAAAAAAAATAGAGTGAAAAGGCAACCAACAGAATGAGAGAAAATATTTATAAATCACAACTTATAATGGATTAATATCCAGAATAGATATACAACTTCTAAAATTCAGCAACTTCTAAAACTCAAAGCAAAAAAACAGTTCAAAAGGACTTGAATAGACATTTTTCCAAAGACAAACAAATGGCCAAATAAGCACATGAAAAGATGTTTAACTCCAGAAACATTAAACAAAAAAATACAGAATCCTGAAAATAGCAAAAGACAAATAACTTTGTCACATACAAACAATGCTGAATAAGAATAATAGTTGATTTATCATTAGAAACCATGGAGGCCACAAGAGAGTAAGATGAAATAGTCAAAGTTCTGAAGGAAAGAAATGATCAATCAATAATTCTATATTGAGCAAAACCATCCTTCAAAAATGAAGAAGAAATTAAGACATTCTCAGACAGACAAAAACTGAGAGAATTTGGCACTAGCAGAGCTACCCTATAAAAGAACTGAATCCATATGAACAAAAATTAGGCACCATTAAGGGTAACTATGAAGGTAAATATAAAAGACAATATAAGTTTATTTTGGTTGTAATTTTCATATCCTATCTTATTCAAAAGACAGCTACATAAAGCAATAATTATGAATCTAAATTGATGGGTACACAATAGTAAGTATGTAATTTGTGACAATAAGACAAAGTATACTGGAGCAGAGGACAGAGCTACATATAAGCTAAGCCTGTATACTATTGAAATTAAATTGGCATTACTTCAAACTACATTGTTATAAATTTAAGATATTAATGTAAACCTCAGACCAGTCACTAAGGAGACAATTCAAAAATATATGTTAAAGAAAATAAAATTAAAATAGTAACTCAAAAATGTCCATTTACCTCAAAGAAAGCAGTAATGGAGGGAAAAAAGGAAGAGAAAAGACATAAGACACAGAGAAAACCCAGGGTCCTTTCCAAGATGGCTGAATAGGAACAACTGTGGTCTGCAGCTCCCAGTGTGATCGATGCAGAAGACAGGTGATTTCTGCATTTCCAACTAAGGTACCTGGTTCATCTCATTGGGACTGGTTGGAGAGTGGGTGCAGCCCACAGAGGGTGAGCTGAAGCAGGGTGGGGCATCGCCTCACCCAGGAAGCACAAGGGGTTAGGGGATTTTTCCTTTCCTAGCCAAGGGAAGCCATGACATACTGTACCTGGAAAAACGGGACAGTCTCACCCAAATACTGTGCTTTCCCATGGTCTTAACAACTGGCAGACCAGGAGATTCTTTCCCATGCCTGGCTCGGCAGGTCCCACACCTACGGAGCCTTGCTCACTGCTAGCGCAGCAGTCTGAGATCTACCTACAAGGCTGCAGCCTACACCTACAAAGAAACATAGACTCCTAGACAATAATAGTGGAAAAATTCAACACTCCACAAACAGCATTAGGCAGATCATCAAAGCAGAAAATTAATAGATATTCAGGACCTGAACTCAACATTGGACCAGATGTATCTGTTTGACATCTACAGAACTCTCCACTAGAAAATAACGGAATATACATTCTTCTCATTGCCACATGGCACATACTCTAAAGTCAACCACGTAATTGGACATAAAGCAATTCTTAGCAAATGCAAAAAAAAAAAAAAAAAAAAAAATTATACCAAACACACTCTCAGACCACAGTGCAATAAAAATATAAGTCAAGACTAAGAAAACCACTCAAAACCATGCAATTACATGAAAATTAAACATGCTCATGAATGACATTTGGGTAAATAATAAAATTAAGGCAGAAATCAAGAAGTTCTTTGAAACAAATGAGAACAAAGATACAGTGATACGGTTTGGCTGTGCCCCACCCAAATCTTGAATTGTAGCTCCCATAATTCCCATGCGTCATGAGAGGGACCTGGTGAGAGGTAATTGAATCATGGGGGTGGGTATTTCTTGTGCTGTTCTCATGATAGTGAATAAGTCTCACAAGATCTGATGGTTTTATAAAGAGCAGTTCCCCTCCACATGCTCTTTCTTGCCTGCTGCCATGTAAGATATGGCTTTGCTCCTCTTTTGCCTTCTGCCATGATTTTGAGGCTTCCCCAGCCACGTGGAACTGTGAGTCCATTAAACCTCTTTTCCTTTATAAATTACTCAGTCTTCAGTATGTCTTTATTAGCAGCATGAGAACAGACTAATACAGTAAATTGGTACCAGTAGAGAGGGGTGCTGCTGTAAAGATACCCAAAAATGTGGAAGCGTCTTTGGAACTGGGTAACAGGCAGAGGTTGGAACAGTTTGGAGGGCTCAGAAGAAAAGAGGAAAATGTGGGAAAGTTGGGAACTTTCTAGAGACTTGTTGAATGACTGATGAAAATGCTGATAGTGTTATGAACAATGAAGTTCAGGTTGATGTGGTCCCAGATGGAGATGAGGAACTTGTTGGGAACTGGAGAAAAGGTGACTCTGTGCTTTAGCAAAGAGACTGGTGGCTTTTTGCCCTTGCCCTAGAGATACGTGAAATTTTGAACTTGAGAGAGATGATTTGGAGTATCTGGTGGAAGAAATTTCTAAGCAGCAATGGACTCAAGAGAAAGCAGAGCATAAAAGTTTGAAAAATTTGCAGCTTAATGATGTAATAGAAAAAGAAAAACCCATTTTCTGGGAAAAAGAAAATCAAGCCAGCTGCAGAAATTTGCACAAGTAATGAGAAGCTGAATGTTAATCATCAGGACAATGGGGAAAATGTCTCCAGGCTATGTCAGAGAACTTCTTGGTGGAGTTAGTCAGAGGGTTGTTGTAGTGTAGGTCAGAAAAGTAAATCTCATGTAAGTTGTCTTTGTTTTGTGTTGCTATAAAGGAATATGTGAGACTGGGTACTTTTTTTTTTTTATTATAAAAAGGTTTATTCTGCTCACAATTCTGTTGGATGCAAGATTGATCTCTGGTGAAATCCTCAGGTGCTTTTACTCATGGTGGAAGGTAAATGGGAACAGGCACGTGCAAATCTCACATGGTGAGAGAGGAAGCGAGACATAGGGGGAGGTGCCAGGCTCTTATTAACAACCGGCTCTTATAGGAACTAATAAGGGAGAACACACCCGTTACCATGAGGATGGCACCCAGTAATTCATGAGGGATCTGCCCCCATGACCCAAACACCTCCCATTAGGACCCACTTCTAATACTGGAAATCAAATTTCAACATGACGTTTTGGGTGGACAAACATCCAAACTATAGTATTAGGTCTTAATGTCAATCAATATAACTTACACTTTAAAAGACTAATTTTTTGCAAATAGATTATAGATAGGCAAGGGGAAAAGTGGATGAAGCAAGTATGGGGGCTGTAACAATAGTCAAGGAGAGTAACGACGGTGGTTCAAACTAGGAATGGTAAGTGTAGTCAAAGTTTGAATATTTTTTGAAAGTAAACCAATGGAGATAATTGACAAATTGAATGATTACTGTGACATCATTACTTTATAATCCAGCAATTTCACTTCTAGGTAAATATCCAAGAGAAATAGAAACATATGTCCACAAAAAACTGGTACATTAGAGTTCATAGCAGCATTATTCATAATAGAGAAAAAGTGGAAAGAGTCCAAATGTCTGTCAACTGATATATAACAAATAAAAATATAATAATGAATGGATGAAATGTACTTTATTTACAAAATGTGGTGTAACAATGAAATGCTGCATTTTTGGCCAGGTACGGTGGCTCACACCTGTAATCCCAGCACTTTGGGAGGCTGAGGTGGGTGGATCACCTGAGGTCAGGAGTTTGAAACCAGCCTAGTCAGCATGGTAAACCCCCTCTCTACTAAAAATACAAAAATTAGCCAGGCGTGGTGAGGGGTGCCTGTAATCCCTGCTACTTGGGGGGCTGAGGCAGGAGAATTACTTGAACCTGGGAGACAGAGGTTGCAGTGAGCTGAGATCATGTCACTGCACTCCAGCCTGGGCAAAAGAACAAGACTCTGTATCAAAAAAAAAAAAAAAAAAAAAAAAAAAAAGAAAGAAAGAAAAAGAAAAGAAATGTTGCATTGTCATTTTGACACTGTAACAGCACAGTGGAGGATTTGCAACAGAAGCCATGTGACTCATAATGCCAAAAACGTTTATTATCTGGCTCTTTACAGAAAAAAATGTATGCTAACCACTGGACTAAATACAAGTTATGTGATAACTGATTGAATTAGAAAGCAAGGCCCATATGTATGCCTCTATGATAAACCTCTTTTAAATATAAAAATTTAGATAGGTCAAAAGTAAAAAGACAAATGTATCAGGCAAACACTAATTAAAGTAGGTCCAGGTACTTATCCTAATTTCAGATAAAATAGATATTCCAACAGACAGTTTTCAGAGAAAAAGGAGACATTACAAATTATAAGGGGAAAATTCTCCAAGAAGACATAACAATACTAAATGTGTATGCTTGACAGAAAACTGACAGATCTGAAAAGAGAAACAGACACGTCCTCAATTATAGTTGTAGATTTCATTATTCCTCTTTCAATATCTGTTAGAACTGCTGAGAAGAAAATCAGTAAAGATATAGATGATGTGAAGAAAGCCATCAAGCGAATTGATCTAATTGGCATTCAGACACCCAACATCCGGATACACAATCTTCTCAAGTGCACATGGACCATTCACCAAGATAGATCATATTTTGGACCATAAAATAAATAATTACTACTTTGGAAATTTTCTTGCTGCTTTAACTGCACTGTAAGAAATTTGCAGAAGAACAATGATCGCAAGTAATTTATAATTAAATGTTCCTAACCAGTGATGAGAAAGTCAGTGGCGGATTATACAGGGAGGGTAGATTTATTTTACAAATAAACTGGGAGAACTCTATTCTTATATCTGTGGATGCCTGAATGTTTAGCTGTGACTCTTGACTTAAGTGAGAGAAGGAATATGTATAATTTGCTGTTTAAGGTATAATTCCCTGAAAACCTCCAGGACCAATTGACTTACCTGGAAAACCTGGTTATACAACCTGGATTTTCATTCTGTACATAAATGCATAAAGGCTCCACTGGGAACTTCTTTCATGAGCTTTCCTAGAGACAGAATTTATTCCACAAACCTTTGTCATTTCATGAAGAGATTAAGCCATGAGTCTCTGTGTACAGATATTAATAAGAACCCCAGGGACTTTGCATGTGGATGTCTATTGGATCCCTGGGGCTCACCAGCACTCTCTCTTGTGACACCAAATCCTTCGTCTTTGAATAGAACATTTAATATGAGTATGCTCTACTGAGGCTTTGAGTCCCATCAAATATCCAATCTTAAATATCTTTATATGGGCCGAATCTGTAAATTATGTTCTCATCTTGAAACATATGAGCCTGAGAGAGATTCTGATAAAGATTTTATATTTCAAATGTATTGTAAATTTATAGTGTTCCTTGCTGAGGCAATTACTAATCATATTAAATTATTCCATGTTCTAGTGTTGTTTAGCCTTTATTATCTCTAAGTTCTTAAGACTGTGAAAGATTGCTTAGTACCAAATAAATAGGTAGGGAGGTAGAGATATAGATAGATAGATAGATAGATAGATAGATAGATAGATAGAGATGGTAGATTTAGATAAATACATTATAACTGACACAAAAGTTTCTGAGAAAGGAAGTTTACTTCATATTTAGCTTTGCATCTAACGAAGCAGTGCATTTAAAAAGAAAATGAGAATTAAAACTCTGACCACAACCATTTCCTTAATTAAAGTAATGTTCTCTTATTGCCCCGGTGGAATTCTTTATTGCCTAATGTTTGATATTGAGGAGGGCATGGACCATTCTAAAAGTTCTCATTTAGTATAGCAGCAAAAATTAGTTAAAGGGTAAACTTTAATCAATGTCCTTCCCCTTCCTCCCATGAAAAGGACAATACACCCCATTCACACATAACACCCATACCAATTATATGTTCGGGTAAAAAGAAAGTAACCATGGTGCAGTCTTTAGAATCAAACTTTACTATCTGTAATTTCACATTTCCACTATGGTATTTCCATTTCACTCACATACATCTTAGGTCCTTCTTGTCTCTCGGAGGGATTACGGTACATTGAGTTCTTGTAGGTAACAGTTCTAAGATAATTTGCATACCAACTCAGGCCACTTTACTCAAACTATTGATTCTGCCCCAAAAAAGGCTGGACCAATATATTTTGGCCTCCCTGTCAGTCTTTTTCAGATTTATGGCTTTAAATTGGTTATTAAATTCAGCTCATTCTTTAACTATTTTCTGTTCTAAATTACAGTCCTCATGATTAGATTTGAACTCCACTGGACTAGAATAGATAAATTTCATATGCCATTGGTCTATGAGTTGGGGTTGGCGCTGGAGCAGGTCACTTACCTCTCAAATATTGATAAAGTGCTATCAACTTCTTAGTAGAAACTTCATTTATTTCTTTTTTTTTAACCACATATTTAAAACTAATGAAACAATTTCAGTCAGTGGGCCTGTTATTATGTCTACTTTATCTTTTCCTTTTTGTATTAAGTCCACTTTTTTTCAATTGACAGATAAAATTGCATGTACTTATCATTGTAACATAATGTTTGGAAACATGTATACATTGTGGAGTGATTAAATGTAACTAACTGATAAATTCATTATCCCAAATAGTTAACATTATTGTGGTGCAAACACAATCTGCTTTCTGTGTTTTTCAATAATAAAATACACCATCATTGACTATAGTCAACACGATAGATCTCTTGAGAATAT
The DNA here is from genome assembly GCF_000001405.40 of Homo sapiens. NCBI lineage: Eukaryota > Metazoa > Chordata > Mammalia > Primates > Hominidae > Homo > Homo sapiens. The sequence continues at coordinate 491,781 of NT_187577.1, forward strand.
TCCCCCTATTTAACTGTAAATATGTACCCTTGGACCAACATTTCCCCAAACCCCTTTTGTCTTCTAATCACTTCAGCTTCTGGTAACCATCATTCTACTCTCTACTTCTATGAAATCAGTATTTATAGATCCCACATGAGTGAGATGATGTGATATTTGTCTTTCTGTGGCTTCTTTTACTTAACGTCATGGCCTCTAGTTCATAAATGTTGTAGCAAATGAGATAATTTCCTTTTTTATGGCTGAATTATTGTATATATGTACTGTATTTTCTTTATCCATTCATTGGTTGATGGACATTTAGCTTGATTCCATATCTTGACCCTATTGTGTGTGCTGCAGTAAACCAGGTAGTGCAGACATCTATTCAACATACTGATTTTATTTACTTTGAATACATAACCAGTGGTGGGACTGCTGAGTCATACAGTACTTCTATGTTTAATTTTTTGAGGAACCTCCATACTGTTTTCTATAATGATTGTATTAATTTATATTCCCAACAACAGTGTATAAGTGTTCTGTTTTTTCTGCATCCTCATCTGTACTTGTTATCTTTTATCTTTTGATAACAGCCAATCTAACATTATATCTTATTGTGGTTTTGATATACATTTTCTGATGAGTAGTGATATTGAGCATTTTTTAATTTACCTGTTGGCCATTTGTATGTATTCTTTTGAGAAAGTCTATTCCTTTATTGTGTCCATTGTTTAATTAGGCTATTTGTCTTCTTGGTGTTTGAGTTTGTTAATATTTTGAATATTAACTTATTATCAGATGTATAGTTTGCCAATCTTTTCTCTTTTTCTTTAAGCTGTCACCTCACTCTGTTGAGTCTCATTTGCTGTACAGAAGCTTTTTAGTATGGTGCAATTCTATTTGTCTATTTTTGCATTTGTTGTCTGTACTTTGAGGTCATATTCCAAAAAGTCTTTACCCAGACTAAATGTCGTGGAGCTTTTCCCCTATGTTTTTCTTCCCCTATACTTTTACAATTTCAGGTCTTATATTTAAGTCTTTGATTCATTTTGAGATAATTTATGTATATATTAGATCCTATATATCTAAGATATATAGGATCTAATTTCATTCTTCTGCATATAGGTAACCAGTTTTGTCAACATCATTTGTTGAAGAAACTTTTCCTCATATGTATTCTTGGTGCCTTTGTCGAAAATCAGTTGGCTGTAAATGCACAGATTTATTTCTTGGCTCTCTATTCTGTTCCATTGGTCTACATGTCTGCTTTTATGCCAGTACCATGGTGTTTGCACATTTTGAAGTTAGGTAGTGTGATTTACTTACAAATTACCCAGCCTCAGCCGGGCGTGGTGGCTCACGCCTGTAATCCCAGCACTTTGGGAGGCCAAGGCGGGCGGATCACCTGAGGTCAGGAGTTCAAGACCAGCCTGGCCAACATGGCGAAACCCCATCTGTATTAAACATACACACATTATTCGGGCGTAGTGGTGTGCGCCTGTAATCCCAGCTAATCGGGAGGCTGACGCAGGAGAATCACTTGAACCTGGGAGGCAGAGGCTGCAGTGAGCCAAGATCATGCCATTGGCACTCCAGCCTAGGCAACAAGGGTGAAATTCTGTCTCAAAAAAAAAAAAATCCAGCCTCAGGTTTTTCTTTATAGCAATGCAAGAATGGCCTAACACTATCTTTAATTTCTTTTAATAGTAATTTGTCATTTTGTATGTATAGGTGTCATAGTTTTCCTAGAATGGTTATTTCCAAGGATTTAATATGTTTAGTGCTAATGTAAATAATATTCTTTTAAATATTCTAGTGTTTACATTTTTATTTTATATGTAAATGGGATACTTGTGTATTAAATTTACACCCAATGGATTTTTCAGATTCACTTGGTAGTTAAAATATTTTATCTATAGATTATCTTGGATTTTCTGTGTTTATACTATAATAAGATTTTCTTTGTATAAAGATTCCTATTTAAAGTTTATTTTTTACTTTTTTGTAGCCATATTTACTGACTACTATTTCCACAAAGATATATAAAAATGTTAATAGTGAATTTTCTTAACTTCTTCACAATATTAGGAGGAAAGACTAGAAAATTCAATATTAATTATTTTCATTATATAAATGTTTTGTTGATCCCTTTCATCAGATTAAAAAACTTCAAATCTATTTCTAGTATCTTAAAATCTGTGTGTCTTGCGTGAGTATATGCTTATAAATCAGATAATTGAGTCAAATAGTTTGACTATTTTAGATACCTCATATAAATGGAATCATGCAATATTTGCCTTTTTGTGATTGGCTTATTACACTTAGCATAACGTCCTTAAATTTCACCCATGTTACTGCATATAACAAGATTTCCTTCTTTTTTCAGGCTGAATAATCCTTGTCATGTTTTGTTACTAATTTTTGCTGACCTCATGAAAGGAATCAGCATGTGTAGGACTGAAATAATATCATCCTTTACTTTAAATGTTTATATACTTGAAAATGTATCTTTTTTCAGCAGCATATGGTGAAAAATTTTTCCAAATTTTAGGATCATTGCCTTTGATTGATTTCAGACCATCACACTATAACATAACACATACCATTGCAATTTGAAATGTAACAGTGGCTTTTAATCATAGTACCACCTCATTACATTATGATATTTCCTTATACCATGCCCCTACTGACAGAATTAGTGTCTACTAACCAACAGAAATAGCGTAAGATAACTTTAAAAAAACAGAAATTTGTAATGTAAAACTCATTATCATGCATTTTTAAATAAGTAAATTATCTGTGAAATTATACATATATATCATATTTTCTGGTCAAATTAAAATCACAATATGCAGGTTTGAATCCCAGGAAACCAGGTAATGTACATTCTTTTCTTTCCATTTTTTTGTGTCCATCCATCACAGATAATTACTCTAGAAGACTGAATAAATGAAAAAAAAAGTCACCGTTATCAACAAGTTGAAATGATAGCTAGTTCAACAAATAGCATGCAAGTAACCTTATTGCAAAGTAGACTTATATCATGCAATTTATTTTTAGCCAACATTTTAAATATACAAATGCTAAAGAAGTAAAATTAACTAAAGAAAATAATTAAAAAATAACACTGTAATAAATTTTTAAGTGGAAAATTTCAAAATCATTTATAACTTGATCATGTCTATTATAAATTCTGAAAAATATAATTCCGAAAAATAGTCTCCAATTTATTTTTATTATATATAGCTATATGACTGTCACTACTTAATATATATTTATTTAATATATTACGTTCTTTCTCTCTCCTCCCCCCAACCCCCCCATCCTTAAAATATTTGGAACTCACTCATGTCCTTTGCAGGGACATGGATGAAGCTGGAAGCCATCATTCTCAACAAACACACACAGGAACATAAAACCAAACACCGCATGTTCTCACTCATAAGTGGGAGCTGAATCATGAAAACACATGGACACAGGGAGGGGAACATCACACACCAGAACCTGTCGGGGGTTGGGAGGCAAGGGGAGGAAGAGCATTGAGACCAATACCTAATGCATGTGGGGCTTAAAACCTAGATGACGGGTTGATAGGTGCAGCAAACCACCATGGCACATGTATACCTATGTAACAAACCTGCACATTCTGCACCTGTGTCCCAGTACTTAAAGTAAAATAAATTTTAAAAAAATGAAAGAAACTCACAGTGATATCATGGCATCTCTGTTGTCCAGACTACCCTTTAGGTTCACTCTCACTTTCAGGTTGCCTGCATATTAAAAATAAAAATAATATTATACTTTCTTCAAGATGATTTTACAAACCTCTGTATTATCTGTCAGTCTTGAAACAGTTCTGAATTTTTACCTAAGAACTGGGTTCACCCATTATTTGAGAATACCCTATCACTGAGAACATCTCTGCCCTGGTAATCAAGACTAATAATGAACATCTTTGCATCAGTGAATATGAAAAAAAAGCACAGTGATATATGTTTACCCGAAAAGAAACTTAGATCATTGTTATATTCATAGTATTATTGGTTAAGTATCTTTAAACTTTTTGCCATTCATTTTCAACCCTATTAATTTCTATTCATTTTACTAGCTATGCTTTTTTCCCTGAAGATATTTGATATCAGTTATTCCACAATAGTTATCCAATATAAGAAAACCACTTTAGTATATTTAAATAATGACTAAGTTATTACTCGTTTAGGTGCTGTATATTATTTCAGCAATTTCAAATCAACTTTTAAAATATATTCCATTTTCATTTACATTGTCATTTTAAGTATTTTAATGAAATTCAATTCATTTCAAGTAAAATGAAGGACATAGTTATATAACTCCCAGGGAGAAATCATTTGGTAGCATTTTCCTTGAAAATAAATAAACCAGTTTTAATGTTTACTTGTATTTTTATAGCACATATTCAGATATTTTTATTTTTAATAGAAGTTATTTGTTTTATATTTTCTGTAGACTAGCTGTGGCTATCATCTAGATTTTTAAGTCTTTTATTACTTATTAACTTTTAATCTTTTTCTACTTCTAATTGCTGTGCTTCAATTTACATTACTACCAAAAAAAAGCTAAATTACTTTCCTGGGTTTTCCTACTACCTTTCATTAAAATAGCATAAAAATTCACTAAGATATAGAAATATTACAAAGTTATTTAAGTATTATTAAGTTAAAATACATATTTAACAAGATCAAATAATAAAAGAAGATAGATAAACTTTAAAGATAAACTTTAAACTTGAATGGACAGCTAAACTTTAGCTAATCTTGCCCCTAAAAAGTCCAGATTCTTATAAGATTAAAATTGCAATTATTATATGTGTATATATGCATGTGTATGTGTGTGTGTGTGTGCATGTGTGTGTGTGTATATATATATAATTTTTTCTTTTTTGAGTCTCAGTCTCACTCTGTTGCCTAGGCTAGAGTGCAGTGGCACAATCTCGGCTCACTGCAGCCTCTGCCTCCCAGGCTCAAGTGATCCTCCCACCTCAGCCTCCTGAGTAGCTGGGACTATAGGTGCATGCCACCACGCCTGGCTAATTTTTGTATATTTTTGGAGAGATGGGGTTTCATCATGTTGCCCAGGCTTGTCTTGAACTCCTGGCTTTAAGTGATCCACTCGCCTTGGCCTCAGAAAGTGGTGGGATGACAGGCGTGAGCCACCACCCCTGGCCATTAGTTATTAATATATGAGTTATTAAATTCCCATATAAAGACAATAATTGAATTTGAATTATTACTCATTACATCGACCACATTGCTATTTACTATGTTCATAAATTATACAAATAACAAATCTTAAATATGAAATCAATATACTCATCGCTTGAATAGTCCTCAGTTCTCCATTTTTTCCTTTGGAAATTAACTTTCACCATTATAGCAATCAGTACACAGAAAATAATAAAGAAAGGAATGAATAAGAAAAATGGCCATCTCATTGGTTTGGAATGGTAAATGTTCTCAATGTAGCGCCTTTCTAGAAGAAAAAAAAATCAAAGATTTGAAAGCAAGCACCAGAAATATAGTAAAGATATTTCTGTATTTTACTACGTCTACCAAAATAAAATCTTTGAACAATTTAATAATTTAAAAATTAACATATTTTCTATGAAATAGATAACTTGAAAATATAAATGCCCAAAGTGACTCTTGTAACTCTTTTTAAAATGGATAGCTATATATGGTGGGCTGATACTTTGCTGAGGATTTTTGTATCTCTGTTCATGAAGAATTTTTTTTGTGATTTTCTTCTTTGTTGAGTTCCTTGTTTGAATTTGGCATCAGGATTATGTTTTCCTCATACAATGAGTTGACAGGAACTTCCCCACCACTGTTTTCTGAAAATAATATTGCTTTCTTCCAAGAATTTGGTTCAGTTCACCTGTGAAACCATCTATGCCTATAGTTTTTTGTTGTCGTTTATTTTTGTTGGTGGTGACCTAAAAAATCATAAACCCACAGATTAAGAAGTGTGGTTTCTGACTTTTTGTTTATGCCCTTTGGTTTATAATCCAAATAGTCCTTTTCACATCTGACTACCTTTATCAGCCTGTTTCTTGCCTATAGTTGATTGGGGACCAATGAACGTACATGCTACCTTGATCACTTTCAGTCTGAGCTAATATAATTCCTTGAATTTCTCATGTATCAAATAAAAACACAATCCATTAAACAAAGGCCACACTCGCAAATCTCTTTGACATAAGCCTTTCTCTGTATTGGATCCTGTGAGGCTGTTATGAAATGACCAGTTTAAAATTCTTAGTAGCCTTACTGTTTGAAACTTTTTATGATGCATTTACATAAAATACTTAGAAGGCCTTTTGTATAGAAGAAAGAGTCTCTAAGATATATCAACTTAAGTTTTTCTGAGATTTTAACAGAGGTGTTTACAGTCAAAGGCCTTGCTTAATTTTGATTTGAGATAAAATTTTATTGCTCTAATCTCAAATTTGGCCTTTCATTGTTTCTTACTTTAAGAAACTTGTGGAGAATGAAAATTAGTTTTACTTTCAAACCAATAAAATCCTTGCTTGGACCAATGTCCTAGAGTGCCTTATTAACATTTTCTTCCAGTAGTTTCATAGTAGGCATGAGTTCAATTTTCCACATTACCAAAGGCAGCAGTGATGCCAAACAATTTACCACTTCATAATAATGGTTTCACTTTCTGCAACGTGTTTTTAAACTGTCCTTGAATTGCTCACCAACTTCAACATGTACTAAGACTTCAATAGTTTCCTGCCTTTCTGTCTTCCATGCACTATCCAATTTCAAAGCTAAGGTCACATTTTATATTTCTATTACACAACATATTGGGAGCTAAATGTTTTTTATTATTTATTGCTGTATAAGAAATTACCTCAAGGCTTAGTAACTTAAAACACTAGATTTTGCTCACAATTTTGTTGGTTATGAATTTGAGGAGGGCTTATTAGATGGTTGTATTTTTGTTTCTGAGTGCAATCAAATTTCAAATATTGCTGATAATTTTCAAGAAGTGAATGAGAGAATGAGATTTCAGGGAATGAGAGAAGTAAGGGCTGCAAAATACCTGCCTAGAGTCTGTAGGAAGACCACGAGAGTCCTAGAATGTTAGTTCTTCACATTTTATTGATCAATCATACCACTAAAACCAACCTGGAAAGGAGTGGTCTCCACTGCTCATTGGGAAATGGCATGTGTGTGCATGAATAGAAACAATTAATTGCAGCCAATGGGAAGATAAGCTAATTGTTGCTAGTAAAATGGAAATAGCTTGAAAATACATTAATTACAAAGTTTTAAACTTACTAATCTATTACTATATAACATTAAATATAATATTTCCAGATACTGGAATTAATAACTACCTATGACTCAAAATCAGAAAAATGGCTCTACTTGTATGTACATTTAGATTTTTATATCAAAGAAAATCTCCTGGTCCTAAGTATTATTGGATATGCCAGTTAACTTCTGGCTTTCTCTAAAATTCATCTAGGCTTTTCCTCTGCTTTGATCAATATCACAGGGAACCGCACTGCCCAAGTTCCTTGACCTGCTGTCTTCCAGTCAGTTTTGATCACTGGGAATCACTAAGTAATATCTGGAGGATTCGAAGAGTAAAAATAGCTCTGATATTATTCCCCCTTCCTCTCCAGAATCTCCAACAGTGACTGTATATTCTCTATACCTCCAGCTCATGCTGGACAGTTACTCTCCCTGTGGTTTCAATCCTGCTATACATCCCTGACCATAGTTATATATCATGCTAAATGGCCCAGAATCTGATTCTAGTAATACCACCTCTTTTTATTGTCCCTACAACCCTAAAAAGTGGTAGTCATTTTCTGGGTTGCCTCACCTTTCTCTGATTAATCTTCTCATCTATGCAATTACCGGATGCCTTACACGGTGTTCTTTCTGTTTGAAAGACTAAAGTGATTTCTGTCTTTATGCCTGGGCTCTGACTGATATATCATATTTATAACATATGCTACATATGTTGTAATATATTACTCTCTGGAAGTGGAAGTAACACATACACATTCATGTGCAGTTTAATGTCTAAACATAGTCTAGATATAAATTGGTAGACAAAATATTATTTGTTATCCAATTTAATAAATTCAAATTATGTTTTAATTATTTTCTGATTTATTATTAATACTTACCAGGGAGTCTGGCTGGTATAGCTACAGGTGGAAAATTGCCACTGTCAATACTCCCACCAGGCCATAGATCTGATTGAACTGAGCAATCTGGAGGTAAATATGAAGCACTACAGTGACAGTGCTTTTTGTTATTGCATACCTAAAAGAAGGAGAAATATCACCTTATAAGATAAGCAACTAGATTTATATATGTTCAAGTAGAATTATAAAATAATATGTAGGTCAGCTAAGGCCAATTTTCCTATATGTTTTGGTGTGTGTGTGTGTGTGTGTGCGTGTGTGTGTGTGTAGCAATGCAGTTTCCTAAAATTAGGCTCAATGATTTCTATTTTCACCTCATAGTACTGCTACTTACACCTCTATCATTGCATTTGTCAGTAGTACAATCATAACCCAAGTATGAAGAACTCACACATCTTTGATTCCTGCAAACCTAAAAAGGATGAGCAAAAATAAGTTAATTGACATGCCATCTAGAGTTGCCATTTAATTAAAAGCATTCCATACCATACCATATTACCATGGACTAATAAAAAGGGTATTGATTTAGCAACAAGAATTAGTATACTAACAATGAATAGTTAATGTATTGAGCTACTATGTTTCCAGCACTAGATGAGACTCTGATTATCTAGGAGTAAACAAAACAATAACAGCTTCTTCCCTGCTTAGACTGGGATAGCAGGGACAAATATGAAATGAGTAAAACACAAATAAGTACGTAATAAATGCTGTAATGAAAAAATTGATTTGTGAAGCGTAAAATACAGGAAATGTGTCAAATATTTGAGAACAGTTAAAACCTTCTCATTGAGCCCTGATGATAGATAGGACTTAATTAGTATAGAAATAAAAGACAGAGTATTATAAAAAAAGAAGTAATATTTAAAATGATTCTACCATGGAAGACCGTATTGAACCTTTGAGAAATCTAAAGGGCAGTGTGGCCATTCAGTCATTCATTAAATAAATATTTGAGTCCTACAAATGTACCTGGCCCCAAGAAGGCATCAGTGAACAACACAAATCTCATCTTGTTCATACCATAACAAAAGAGAGAGAAACAGACAAAAAACTCGATATTATATGAAAGAAGATATTATTGGCATGATTGTGTAGAATCTTATATTCTTCATGAGCAAGTTGGTCAAATATAGCAATTTGCTATATTTACATATTGGAAGAAGGAAAGCTGATAAAAGTAGGTTTTGGAAAAGAGAATGGAAAGGGCAATAGCCTATAGATACAAAGTTAGAATGTCATTGCTGTGGTCCACAAAAATGATAAGCATACAATGAAATTGAGTGGTAGTGAGGATAGAAACCAGTAGATGTATTTGAGATAGAAAGTTGAAACCAGCTGAGTTGGAGTAATATGCATAGTAAAAAGAGATGGGTGAATGACACCAAGGATTCTGACTTGTTTAATTCTCTTGCTGGTAGTTAAATCAACTGAGATAAAGAAAGTTAAGCATAAAGACAAAGGTTTAGTAATTGTTTTCAGAGATCTCTTTCAACCTATATCAAATAATGCTATGTTTCAAAAGAACAAGAAATGTTTAATGCACTCATACAAATACTCAAAGCGACTAATGGTAAGCCCAAGAACATGTAATTAGAAATATTTTTTATTTTAAAAGTTTGCTAAAGAATATTGGCAATATTTTGGGAGATTTTTCCTCTTATAATATAGGATCATAACACACTAACTTTTAAAGTCAGAGAGTTAATCTGTTCACATAGTTTTTGCCCAACATTATTGAGTATGAAAAAATACATTATTAATTGTGTTGGCTAATTACGGCAATGCATACCTCCATTTAAGATTTATGGGGAAATGGACTAATGATGAATAGATGGCCAGGTTATTTTGGATGGCTGTGGTAGTAGTATAAAAAGTACTAGCTCTGGATACTGGATACAGATTAGTGCTGCTGTAGTTATAAATCTATCTATTCTGTTAGCATGCTTCCTTCACACTTAACTACAATTTAAATACAGTAGTTAGATATATAATTTGCAGAGCTATTGTCCAGAAAAAAGTAAACCTAATTTTCAGAACCATTAAATATATTAATTGTCTAGAGAAACAAAAGTTGAGGAAGGGTTGTTGGTATTACTGGTACCCTTTTTCTGCAATGAAGTGTTTTTGTGGGTTTTTTTGTTTGTTTTTGTTTTTGTCTGGGTTTTGTTTGTTTGTTTGTTTTTGCTTTAACATGCCTGTGGCAGAGTGCTTAACTTCAGTTGTATCATGCAGGAAGCTTTGCTAGGGAAAAGCAGCATCCAAATAAAGAAGCTAGCTAAAAAAATTAAAAATTATTTATAACCATATAGCAATAGTAATATTACATAAAAAAAACAATTCTTTTTTATTCTTCACCAAACTCTCTAAAACAGATTTATTTTTGTTTTGAGATAAGAATCATAATGCAGCCTCCTTTATTATCACTAGGCGGAATAGGTTCCTACAGAAACCTTCTTGTTATGTAGGAACTAAAATGCTAAATGAAATAAAATCTGTACATACTCTTTTTTTTTTTGAGATAGGGTCTCACTCTGTTGCCCAGGCTGGAGTGCAGTGGCTTGGTCTCAGCTCACTGCAGCCTATGCTTCCTGGGTTCAAGCAATTCTCGTGCCTCAGCCTCTCAAGTAACTGGGATTACAGGCTTGTGCCACCACGCCCACTTAATTTTTGTATTTTCAGTAGAGACGGGGCTTCACCATGTTGGCCAGGCTCATACTCTTTTTTTAAAGGCATAGTTGTACCAGAGATAAAAATCATTTTTAGGTTCAGAAAATGTGAAACAGTGTGATTTTACAAAAGCAACCAAAACTGAAGGCAGCACTCCTCCAGTGGCCACCAATGACCAAGCATTTTGGATTTAAATGATCATTTGCACCCCCTACAACAGTGGCAGAATTAGAAGCAGGTTATATCAAACTTTCAATAAATAGTCTGGGGAGGTACATCAGAAAAACGGTGATATAGAAAACAAAACAAAATCTGGCTGAAATAACATTATAGGAGCTCTGGCAACAGTCAAAGGTCTACAGCAACCAGTAAAATACTGAAGAACACATTGTCACAGTCAAAATGGTAGAAAATTTTATGGCATTTTTGTCTGAATGAGGCAGCAGCTAAATTCTCAATCCCTTCCCTCAAACTGAAGGATGCAGCACAGATTTTATTGGCAATACTCTAACTTGTCTGGTAGCTGCCTTAAGGACTGGTTTCTGATTTGCCTAACTCAAATCTCAGATGGAAAGAAGCAGTATAGACTGCTAGGGAAAGGTGCAGGGAGAGTAACATTTGCAGACACCTGGGGCAAAAGATTACGGTGGAGATGTAATTGTAGCTCCCACAATAACGACAGTGTCATGGGAGAGACCTGGTGGGAGGTAATTGAATTATGGCGGCAGGTTTTTCCCATGCTGGTCTCCTGATAGTGAGTAAGTCTCATGAGATCTCATGGTTTTATAAAGGGCAGTTCCCCTGCACACACTCTCTTGCCTGCCTCCACGTAAGACATGCCTTTGTTCCTCCTTTGCCTTCTGCCATGATTGTGAGGCCTCCCCAGCCACGCGGAACTGTGAGTCCATTAAATCTTGTTTTCTATATAAATTACCCAGTTTCAGGCATGTCTTGATTAACAGCATGAGAACAGACTAATACAGTAAAATCGGTACCAGGAATGGAGTGCTGCTGTGAAAATACTAAAAAATGTGGAAGCGATTTTGGAACTGGGTAACAGCCAGAGATTGGAATCATTTGGAGGGCTAAGAAGAAGACGGGAAAATGTGGGAAAGTTTGGAAGTTCCTAGAGACTTGTTGAATGGCTTTGATCAAAATGCGCTTAGTGATATGAACAATGAAGTCCAGGCTTAGATGGTCTCAGATGGAAATGAGGAACTTCTTAGGAACTGGAGAAAAGGTGACTCTTGTTATGTTTTAGCAAGAAGAGTGGCAGCATTTTGCCCCTGCCCTAGAAATCTGTGGAACTCTGAACTTGAGAGATGATTTAGGCTACCTGGCAGAAGAAATTTCTAAGCAGCAAAGCATTCAAGAGGAAGCAAAGCATAAAAGTTGGAAAAATTTGCAGCCTGATGATGCAATAGAAAAAAAAAAAACCCATGTTCTGGGGAAAAATTTAAGTCTGCTGCAGAAATTTGCATAAGTAATGAGGAGTCAAATGTTAGTCATCAAGACAGTGGGGAAAATGTCTCCAAGGCATATCAGAGACTTTCATGGTAGCCCTTCCCATCACAGACACAGAGGCCTAGGAGGGAAAAATGGTTTCCTGGGCAGGGCCCAGGGTCCCCCTGCTCTATACTGCCTCAGGACTTGGCACCCTGCATCCCAGCCACTCTAGCTATGGCTAAAAGGGTCCAAGGTACAGCACAGCCCACAGCTTTAGAGGGTGCAAGTAATAGTAAATCCACCGGAATAGTAAATCCATTACCTCCTTAAAGCATAAATTTCACAGGACCTATAAAACAACAAAACACACACACACACACACTCACACACACACACACAAAACAAGGTATTCAGGCAAGAAATAGCATGAAAATGGGGCAATTTAAAAACCTGCCAACTTGCCCAGTGTTTGTAGAATGGCTCTATTCTGTGAAAGTTCTTTACTAATTAATTTAGTATTATCTTAATGTTGGGGTCAACCTGAATATAAAGCTTATGATCATCCCAGGTCCTTTCTGAGCATGCATCTTTCCTAAGCCTGTGTGTGGTTTTTTAGTTTCTCAAATACATGGTTGATTTAAAATGTATTATTTTTCCAACTCATCCCATCCTCGTCCTAGTGTTCTTAGATGGCTACTTGATGGGACATCACTTTTGTCATGAACACTGTGGCAGGGTACTGCCTGTCATATATCCTTCATCCCATTCACTAACTGTGGATATAACCAGAGTTCCAATCAACCCTTTTGAAGGCCATGTAAAGGAGGATCACAAACAAGATCTATAGCTAAAAACTGGACTGAGTCTGGATCATTGATGACATAATGGCACCCAATAACTGCTCTGGATGGACAACCTCCAAAATTACTTTGTATTATGGGAAAAAAATAACTACCAACGATTTAAGCCACTCTTGGTGGTTCCCATTTCCTGTGCAATTCCTACCTCACATAACGTATTTTAGCCTATTTAGAAACAATGGAGAATTTAAAATGTAAGATAGTCTTGGGCATTAATTTGGTAAGACATTTTCAAAGTAAATTTAATAAAAGCAAATGTGTTGCACAATTTTTTAAATGACTTACATTTTGTGTGAGAATTTGAATGACAGTTTTTTTATTTGTATACACTCTTACTTACTAATTTTCTAAATGAATATTAGTAAAGTTAGCATAGTTTTCCTTTCCCTCTTTTCTTCAATAAGGGGCTTACTGTATTCTGTTACTTATTAAGCCAGAGAGGCTTTATAATTTAAACATGAGACTAATTTGAGCTTGCACCTCCTTGTGTATATACGTGTTTGTATGTATTTCATATTTCATATAATAAAAAAATCTAGGAAGGCAAAAACTGTTGATATGTATGCATAGGTACCATATTGAATGCAAAGTAAGAAAGATAGTTATGTAGACAGATAAATATTCTACAACTCCATGTGTGTGTGCATGTCTATGAAAAATTGATGGAAGGTTCATAAAAATTAAGTTATTACATCTCAGATATGCGACTGGATTGATTTTTTTCTTTATTCTGTGAGTTTGTTTATTATTTTCATCAGTAAAATGGGCATATATTATTTTAATGGCTATTTTAAAATGATTATATCAAAAGATAATTTATGACATTAGATGTATTCTCTGTGTGATATGAGATATTTAATAAAATACAGTAAATGAACAACGCAGTTCTCAATTCAGTGAATACACATAATTTCAATGAAAAAGTTACTAAATAACCAGCGAAATAGTCATAGCAATGTCATATATGCATGATTGCAAATATTTTATTCTTTTAAAGTTTGTTTTTTCCTGATTTTCTGTATTGAATATGCACTTAAATTCTGAGAAAAAATACTAATTATGTATCATTTAAGAACAGAGTCTAGGCCAGGTGCAGTGGCTCACGCCTGTAATCCCAGCACTTCAGGAGGCTGAGGTGGGTGGATCACCCGAGGTCAGGAGTTTGAGATCAGCCTGGCCAACACTGTGAAACTCCGTCTCTACTAAAAATACAAAAATTAGCCGGGTGTGGTGGTACCACCTGTAATCCCAGCTACTCAAGAGGCTGAGGCAGGAGAATCACTTGAACCTGGGTGGCAGAGGTTGCAGTGAGCAGAGATCACACCACTGCACTCTAGCCAGGGCAAGAGTGACACTCATCTCAAAAAAGGGCAAAGTCTAAAATATTAGGAAATTATTTGGGAATAAAAGACTACCTACCTTATTTGAACCACAAGAAGTTCCATCTTTTATCCACATCTTTTGGCTGTCTGCATGATCACTGGCAAATTCCACAGCAATGCAGAGATGTCCACTTATGTTGGCATAAATAATAGTGGCTCTTGGAATTTGTAATAAAAATTTACCTACATATTTACATATTAATTTTCCGCACTGCAGATTGCTATAATTTATCCACAAATAAAAATTATTAATTTTAATTTAGAGAAGTACAAGAATATAATTTTTAAAATAGATAGATTTAAATAAAGTATTCAAGGTTTGCAAGCTAATACATGCAATTCGTTTTAAAACACCAAAAAAAGAGCCTTGCCTAAATTGCCAATAATAACTGAACATTTTAGTAATTAATTATGAACTAAGGTTGGTGCAAAACTAATAGTGGTTTTTGCCACTTTTTTAATGGCAAAAGCCGCAATCACTTTTGCACCAACCTAATATTCCCTAGTTAGCCTGACAACTTTTTTTGTGATTCCTTCACTTTCCTTTGAATCTGAAACAAAATCAAACCCAAGCTCAAATGAATTTAACATCTGTTCACCTTTTCAGTGATTTTAAAAATGAAGATTTCAAGGTCACTCATATTAATTAACAAAAATAACCATTAATTAATACTACAGGGTTATCACTATATATATCACATAGGTAGTATGTCCTACAGATTAATGTGAGCATTTGCCTACAGTACATGCTACAAACCATAAGATTTTTATTTGGCCCTTGCATCCTGTTTGGAATCTTAAATGCTACCACATGACCATTGCTACATCAGAAGATTCAGGAAACCATGGAGGCAGAGAGACTAACCCTAGATCAACTGCATATGTTGAGATAGACAACATATGTTATCTAAATAGCCTCCTAATCAGCAAAATCTCAGCAGTGATGAAAATCTAAATGTCTTCAAGCAATTTTCTATGGCCTGAACTTTTCTCCCTTTGGCCAAAAGAAGACAACGAAAATGGGCAACCCAGCCCCTGAAGTGGCCAGGAGTCATCGAGGAAGGACTTGGAGTTGATAAAAGCTGTTCTGCACTCATAGTGCACACACCAGTTAAACATTAAGTAATTTCATAGAACATCAACCTTAGGCAAAGCCATTCTGTGATCATGAAAGATTAAGAAAATAAGCAAGCTCACTTCATAGATCATGTATGAACACAGAGGAGAAACAAACATTGTCCAAGCCACAGTTACTGGACATTCCCAGGATTCAACTAATATGTGTGACTATTGCTTCTTTAGCAATTACAACTTTAGCTTCACTTTAGTCTTCCCTCTTCATATATAAGATTAAGATATACAATCATACAATTATTAATATCTCTACTTTAAAACATCTAATTTACAGCAAAGGTCTATTTCCTGAAACCTTCCTAAAATCACCTAACCCAAGTCCAAATCTCTAGAACTGGCATACTCCACAATTTCTCATGATGCGATTTCTCACCACTCAACATGTAAAAAAACCCAACTTGCTCAACTACGGCTGCCTTCTTGGTGGTCTTTGGCTGGAAGGCATTGTAGTAAGGTAGAACTGTAATCTGAAACACACATGCTCACACTTTGAAGACACCGGAATGTAACCAGAAAGGAAAGGACTATATAACTGAGCTTTAAGAATGGGAACTGCAGCACCAGATATTCTGTAGATGTGGCTTTGTTTAATAATTTATGAAAGCACATCCAAGGTTGAAGATTCTTAGCTTGAATAATCCCAGGACATTATTAAAATACGGGTCTAATGTCAGTTAGTTGACTGGAAACTTAGACTGAGAACTGAAATCTGAATATAAATTTCAGGTTTATATTCAGCCTGAAACCTGGATGACTACTGAACTAATTAAGCTTGTGTGGTGAAGAATCCAGGGAGCACATAAAAAGCATCTCCCAGAGGCATAACGAAATGAACAATGTTTTCAGCTCCTGCTCAGAGACAGGTTTGCTTTATAGTTTGAGTCCAGCTATGTTAAATCCTTTCCATTACAAAATTCTAGCCTTCAGAAAAGCAAAAGTGAATGCAATTTCCGTTATGTATTAGTCATATTATATGATACAAAGTTAAGAAATATGCTAAACACACATAGAAAAAGTAAAATATAACATAGAGGGCAAATAAATTACTAGATACCAACACCAATACTACACAGACATTTCATTCAGCAGAGAAGCCCTTTAATGCAGCTTATATAAAAAGGATCAATGATGAAAAGGAAAATATAGTCATAATAGCTAGAATTTTCTTTCAGTAAGTATATGCTTTAGCAATTATAAAGCAAATTTCTGTGCATTTGGAACTTGAGTATATGAGGAAGCAACTTGTATACTAAAATGTACTTTATGGCACTTAATTGGAATTAGAATTATCACTAAGTTCATGTCTTAAATTCAGAGATTTACATGAATGAATATGTGATACATGTATGTGCATATATGAAATGCATGTTCTAGCTCCATTGACTGACAGGCTTGAGAGGTAATGAGAAGAAAAAAAAAGAAATAAAGGGCCACCATATCTGAAATTTACTCTCAAATATTTCAGAAAAGCAATTATAAAGCAATATATACATATAGTTACAAAACTGTATGTGTTTATAATGTGTGTATTTGTATATTTGTGTGTATATTATATGTAATGAAAGAGAGAGACAGAGACAGAGACAAAGAGATAGAAAATGATAAGCCAAATGTGTTAAAATGCTAAAATTTGGAAAATTTGAAGGGTATACAGGAATTATTTGCACTATTATTCTAACTTTTATATGTCTGAAATTGTTTCCAAATAAAAACATTAAAAAATAAAAAGTCAGTAAAAATAAAAAAAATTTAAAAAAAAAAGAAATAGTAGACATGCACACAGCTGGTGCTTAGGTATTTATTTTCAAATACCATCTTCTAAGAAAAGGAACCAAGGCTCCTTGGATGAATAGCTGAATCCAGAGCAGAAGTAGAAGAAGCTCAATGCAACCTACAACATCTTTTCTTGTGCTAGAAAAATTTGGAAGTTATTAAAAAGTCCTACAGACTTTTGAAAAGGACACATTAACCAGCTCAAAGGGATTCCCAATAGTCAAAATTAAGAGAATTTGAGAAAGTATCAAAATAATGATAGTAATGTATTTTATCCTATTAAATAAAATAACAATTATTGTGTCTAAACTGATATATATATAGATAAGTAAATAAAAATATAGAAGTGACTACTTCTTCCTACAGTACATTTCTAGATAATAAAGGCAAAGTCAATAATACAGTTAGAAAATCACTAATGGATTTTAAAACTAGTTAGTTAAAGTTTGAGGAGAAACAGAATATGCCCAGGGTCTCAATATAACTCCTCCAAAATTACATATTAAACCCAAAAGGAAAATAGTAATTTCACAGTTGAAAGATTTAGAGAATAATGACTTTATCAAAACATTTAACCTAAAATGTCCAATACTGAAAGAAAATGGCATGTACCTTTAAAAAAATCCAGGGTACAACAACATCACTTCAGTGATAAACATGCCAAAATGTATCACTTACACATAATTATGAAAAATTTCAAAGAAACCTAAATTGTGGGAAAATTCTACAAATTAGTTAACCGATAGTATTAAAAAAAACTAATAAAAAGAAACACAAATAAAAACAAAAATGTTCCAAATTAAAGAACTCTAAAAATACATTAGGAGTAAATGTAAATATCTGACACTGGGTTTGTTCCTGAACAAGGAAAATAGCCTAAAATTACTCAAAACAATGAATGAAATTTCAATATGAACTATGTTTGATAGCTACAATAAGTTATGTAAGAAAATATCTTTATTTTCAAGATAAACACATGGATATATTGAGGAATAAACAAGCACAGTTTTCAACTTACACTCAAACCTTTCAGAAAAATAATTATGAAGAGAGGAGAGGAGAGAAGAGTTGGAACAACAGAAGGGTAAAGCAACAGGAAAAATGTAAACAACCTGTAAACCTAGGCAAAGGGTATATGGGAATTCCTTGCACTATTCACGAAAACTATAAAGTTTATTACAGAAGTTTTACTTTACTTTTGAAATAATATCAACATAAAATTTTACAGCAAAGGAATGGGTATCAGTAACATTCTAGTTCTAATTTATTTATTTATTTTTTATTTTTGAGGTGGAGTCTCGCTCTGTCGCCCAGGCTGGACTGCAGTGGCGCGATCTCGGCTCACTGCAACCTCTGCCTCCCAGGTTCAAGCGATTCTCCTGCCTCAGCCTCTCGAGTAGCTGGGATTACAGGCAACCGCCATCATGCCTGGCTAATTTTTGAATTTTTAGTAGAGACGGGGATTCACCAGGTTGGCCAGGCTGGTCTCTAACTCCTAACCTCAGGTGATCTGCCCGCCTCAGCCTCCCAAAGTGCTGGGATTACAGGTATGAGCTACCCCGCCCGGTCTTCTAGTTCTAATTTACAAAATAATAGTAACAGATAATAGTTAGCACTCATATAGTACATACTATGTATCAGTCACCATTCTAAGTGTTTTTCATACAGCGTCTATGTTTCCCACTGGCACCAAACTGGTGATGCGTTATTAATATTCATATATTACATATTAAAAAAAACTGAAATACGTGCCTGAGGTCACACAAATAGGTAAAGAGTGGGATTAGGATTTAAAATCAAAATGTCTGGCTGTAGAGCACATGTTCTTAAATACCACGCTTTGGCCAGGCGCGGTGGCTCACGCCTATAATCCCAGCATTTTGGGAGGCCGAGGCAGGTGGATCACGAGGTCAGGAGATCAAGACCATCCTGGCTAACACGGTGAAACCCCGTCTCTACTGAAAACACAAAAAATTAGACGGGCGTGGTGGCAGGCGCCTGCAGTCGCAGCTACTCGGGAGGCTGAGGCAGGAGAATGGCGTGAACCCGGGAGGCGGAACTTGCAGTGAGCCGAGATAGTGCCACGGCACTCCAGCCTGGGGGAGAGAGTGAGACTCCTTCAAAAAAATAAAATAAAAAAATAAAAAAAAAACACATTTTGCTCCTTAAGCAGTAAAAATTCGTGTATTTTAACTTCTTTACTATGAGGATTGTCATGCTTTGTAAAAATTAAAGTAATAGCACCACTGCATTCCAGCCTAGGCAACAGAGTGAGACTCCATCTCAAAAAAAAAAAAAAAAAAAAAAAAAAAAATTAAAGTAATAGCATGCACAATAAAAATGATTACTGATGGGTAATTAATGTACCTGTATGAAAACTAAACACTTTGTGGAAAAGTACAAGGGATAATTTGGTTATAGGAGAGGAGAAATGTGTCTATGATATTTATAATTTGAATAAACATGGTCTTACTTTATGTTCAGGGGATATTTTGCTTACATAAACTTAATTGTTTGATGGTATTTTCAAATATAAGGTGATAAATAGAAGTTCTAAGACAGATTTCTGAAAACATACTCAGCTTCACACTGTGTGTATCCTGAATCACTTATACCACAGTTTCCAGATACATCAGTCTTTGAATTAAGGTGAGAATAACATTCTGAAGGGCCAAACTCTACTTCTGAAAATAAAAAGGTGAGGTTAGTCATATTAAACTTATATTAATTAAAAATAAATAACAAATACACTTAAAATTCTGAAAGGGTTTAAGATATTCATTGTACAAAATAAGATCATACTATAACATTCAAAATAAAAACTAGATTTAAGATCACACAAAACTACTTCAATGAAATGTTTAAAAATTGAAAGGACTCTGGTCTACTATTCAAAGACATATCCTAGACATACTCCAGAGTTAGCCACTGTATTGTTTAACCTCTAATCATAGTAAGTCTATAAATGCATATCTATTAGTACGTAGGAAACTTTTTTCACATAATTGACTTATTTGTCAAATAAACAGTTTTAGCATGAATGTCTTTTCAAGTCAAACAACTAACCAATTATCTTGTTTTACATCATAATTTCCTTAGACAAGAAATATATTGGAGTCACAATTGATTCATTCACCCTCCCATCATCCAATCCACATGCATAATCTGTATAATTTTAATTCTCATAAGATCCAACCTACATGGCCGGGCGCGGTGGTTCATGCCTGTAACCCCAGGACTTTGGGAGGCCGAGGCGGGCGGATCACGAGTTAAGGAGATCGAGACCAGCCTGTCTAACACAGTGAAACCCCGTCTCTACTAAAACTACAAAAGAAAATTAGCCGGGCATGGTGGCAGGCGCCCGTAGTCCCAGCTACTTGGGAGGCTGAGGCAGGAGAATGGCGTGAACCCTGGAGGCAGAGCCTGCAGTGAGCCGAGATCGCGCCATTGCACTCCAGCCTGGGCGACAGAGCGAGACTGCGTCTCAAAGGAAAAAGAAAAAAAAGCTTCAACCTACTTAAAAAGCAGTTTATTTCTCATAACCTCCAACTGCT
Organism: Homo sapiens; assembly: GCF_000001405.40. Taxonomy (NCBI): domain Eukaryota; kingdom Metazoa; phylum Chordata; class Mammalia; order Primates; family Hominidae; genus Homo; species Homo sapiens. The sequence continues at coordinate 512,791 of NT_187577.1, forward strand.
CTACTTGATGGACTCGGTCAAAAATCTTTGACAGGGAGACTTAACCACTACATAATGTTGCTGCAGCATGAATGCTCAATAACAGAGTGGACAGACTCAGATCTCAGCTGCGACCCACAGATGATGTAGTGAACTGAAAAGTAAAAGTTCATTTTGTCCCAGAGGTCATTTGCAAGGCTGGTTATGGGTAAGAAGTCAAAATTTTAACCTTGGCTATGGTAGCAAGCCATTGCTGGTAGACAAAAAATAGGCCAAAACAAAGAAAGCCGCAATCTACAGATCAAAATGAATTTTAGGCATCCAAGAGAAACTACTGAAAGACGGTGTGATGATACATTTTATGTATCAACTTGGTTAGGCTATAGTCTCAAGTTATTCAATTAAACACTAATCTAGGCATTGCTCTGTAGGTATTTTGTAGGTGTAATGAAGTCTACAATAAGTTTATTTTACTTAAGAAATATTATCCTAGATAATGTGGATGGGCCTGATTCAATTATTAATAGTTGAAAGACCTTTACAGCAGGCTTCCCTGAAAAAGAAAAAAATTCTGCCTGTGGACTTCAATTTATGCTTAAAATTTCTATTCTGCCCTTTTAATTGTCTTGCCCTACAGATTTCAGGCTTGCCTAGCCAGCCCCACAATCTGATCAGCCAATTATTTGCATAGATATATACACAAAATTTTATATACAATAAAATATCTATATACCTATATCTATCTATCTACAGAGAGGAAGAGAGAGTGCAGAATTACATATCCAATGGATTTTGTTTCTCTGGTGTAGTTCTGGTTGATAGAATTGATAAACAAAGGGGTCGGTGATGTTTTAACTTGGGCATATTCTCATTTGTTCTCAGTGTCTCATGACAGATGAAAGCCAGCAGGCTTACAGCTAATGAAGAGGTCACATCTCCGTTGGAGCTCTGTGAAAGCGCTATGCCCAGAGGCAGCCAATAATTTATCTAAATATTTTATCTAAACTTTCCATTCCCTGGAAAAATCTCTGTTACCAGGTGGCTAGGGCTACTTGATTTGATTTAGAGCTCAGTTAAGTGAAAAAAAAAATGAATAAAAAAAATCTTGGCTTTCAGAGTGAGGTAAATTAGATAGGTTGGTCATAGCATCCCTTAAATGAGAACAAACTTGCAAAATAGATGGCGAGAATAAACCTCCCAACAGTGCAAAAACTGCATCCTGGGATACTGGTTAGAACATCCTGCAGCAAGGAGGTAAAGAAACATAAGGGAAAACACCCAAATTGGTTCAAGTGCAGAAACCCATGATTTGTGTCCTTGGAGTGACCTATGTTCATTATAATAGTAAAAAAGGCACCCTTGGGTGGAGAATTAAAATGCTAATGAGAAATGTGATGCATGTACTGGCATGTACAGCAATAGCACATGTGCATTCAGGAGACCACCTACAACATGCTAAACAACAATGCCCACTCCCACCCTTTTATGAATAATCATGTTAGGCTCCAATAAAGGGAGTTTCCTCAATGCCAACCGACGCTCTTATTCTTGTGCAGCCTGCTATCAGAGCGTACTTTGCTTTGCAATGAACTTCTTTATTTACTTTCCCTTTGGACTTGCTCTCAAATTCTTTTCGGCAGTGAAGTAAAGAATCTGAACCGGTTCACTGACAACAAAGGCATTACTGAAATAATATAAATCTGCTACCAACATCACCAGTGCCTAAGGCTGTGATTTCAGTTGAGGCAAACAAGAGCTCACTGGAAATTTTAAAGGAATTCCTGGAGAGTTAGATGACTATGTGAAAGAGAATAGCTCAAACCTATTGTTCACTCTGGGTCAGATTTATCAGTCACAAAATGATTAGCTGTTTTTCAGTTGCCATCGACCCCCAGGTTGCCAATCAAATAGTCTGAACCTGAGCAGGCTGGAACTGAAGTACTCAGTTTGAAATATTCAAATCTAGGAGCATGGAACAAATTAAGAAGCAAAGGGTCAGATGCAGTGGCTCACTTCTATAATTCCAGCACTTTGGGATGCCAAGGCAGGAGGATTACTTGAGACCAGAAGTTTGAGACCAACTTGGGCAACACAGCAAGACCTCACCTCTACAAAAAAAGAAAAAGAAAAAATAGTGGGCATGGTGACATGCATCTGTAGTCCCTGCTACTTGGGAGGCTGAGGCAAAAAGATCACTTGACCTTGGGAGTTGGAGGCTGCAGTGAGCTGTGATTGCATCACTGTACTACAGTTTGGGCAAGACCCTCACCGCCCTCTTCCCCTCAAAAAAGAAGGGAGGGGAGTCCTGTTTTATTGCAGTAAAAACTTAAAAGCTGAGGACCTGGCACCGCCTCTTTGCATGACCAAATCAGAGCCTTTCTCATCTCTCTCATAGTTACCATCTGCCTATATAACCTGCCCCCAGACGCCAGCTTAAGGAAACAGATTTGAGCATTGCCTTTTGTCTCCTTGCTGGTGGACCTCACAATAAAGCTTTCTCTTTTCTTGGAAGCTGGTGCTATTAGTGTTGGCCTCTATGCACATCCGGAAGTGAACTCATTGCTTGGTAACAATGTAACTGGATCTAAAATGCTGCACACAGGCCAGGCGCAGTGGCTCAAGCGAGTAATCCCAGCACTTCGGGAGGCCCAGGCAGGCAGATCACCTGTGGTCAGGAGTTCGAGACCAGCCTGGCCAACATGGCAAAACCCTATCTCTATTAAAAAATACAAAAATTAGCCGGGTGTGGTGGTGTGTGCATCTAATCACAGCTACTCAGGAGGCTAGGAGGCTGAGGCAGGAGAATCACTGGAACACGGGAGGTGAAGGTTGCAGTAAGCCAAGATCACACCACTGCACTCAAGCCTGAGCGACAGAGCAAGACTCCGGCTCCAAAAAATAAATAAATAAATAAATAAATAAATAAATAAATAGCTGCACACATACCTAGAATAGTTCTGAGAACAGAGAGTTTTCTAGTCACTCCTTACTCTATGATGTTTAGGTCCTGAACAAGCAGGAAGTGAAAGCTAAGGCTGTCTTATAAACTGCTTGAAGTTTGAATCTGTCTTCTCACAGAGATACTTTTGGCATAGGGTAGAAAACATATAGCCAAGGCATTAAAGGAAATTGGAAAGACTATTGGTGGCCACTAAATAATACTGATGTAGAGTGCTCCTTAGGAAGCACTCTGGGTCCATATAATTGAAAGAGAAGACTCAAATAAATAAAATCTGAAATGAAACAGAAAACATTACCACTGATACTACAATGATACCTTATGATATGAAGAATATAAGAGACATATATAAATAGAACAACTATATGCCAACAAATTTGATAACAGAAAAAATAGATAAATTCCTGGACACATCCAACTTACGAATATTAAATTATGAAAAAAGTAGAAAATTGGAATACACCAACGATTGAGGAAATTAAATCAGTAATTAAAAAGTTTGTCTTTTGCTCCCTCTTCTTTCTTTCTGCCTTTCTGTCTCTTTCTGTCTCTATTTTCCTTCTTTAATCTGAAAATCATCCACATTGTGGTACCAAATTACCCATTTTCCCAGGACAACACTTTTTCATTTTGTAAGTTTCTTTCTTTGCATCTTTGTTTTGTTTTTCTTCAAACCAACAGTCATTCCTAATTTTATGTTCATTTTGGTTAGTGATAAGTGCTTTGCAATCCCTTTTTACACAGAAATTAGAGTTAGACTTGCAACTTGTTCCAGTTGAGAATAAAGGTGACCACCTATCTGTTTCTATGAACATCCTAAATGTTCCTCTGTCAATTGTTCCTGATTTTTTCGATATGGGGATGAAATACTGTTGGCATTGTTGCTGTTTCCATATTATTTAGCAAACAATTTTGTATATAGTTTGCACCATGGTTTTCTTTTTTGTTTTTAACGTCAGTGCACATCATCCCTCAATAACTTCAGAGTCCCTGGATTTTCATGAAATTTCCTTATTGTTTCCACAGGTGATTTTATGCACCTGAATGTGTGTGCCTGCATTAAATGTGGTTTGAACTGTATTTATATGACAACTTATAATTACTTTAATGTCTATAGTCATATTACTTATTCCATATTTACCAAAACAAGGGATGGATATGAAGTAAAAATATAGTTTGTGTTCTCTCTACTTTCTTCCTTCTTGAACTCAGAAGTCCCATAGACTTTGAATCTTTCCCTCTATTATTTTGATGAAAGTAATTAATAATGTAATGATTTCACTTTTAATTAAATTAATTTTTAATTTCTAGCTACTGATATTTTTTCTGACAGTATTCTCTTTTTTTTTTTTTTCTTTTGAGGTGGAGTCTCACTCTTTCTCCCAGGCTGGAGTGCAGTGGCGTGATCTCAGCTCACTGGAACCTCAGCCTCCTGAGTAGCTGGGATTACAGGCATGTGCCACCACTTGCGGCTAATTTTTGTATTTTTAGTAGAGACAGGTTTTTGTCATGTTGGCCAGGCTGGTCTCAAACACCTGATCTTGGGTGATCTGCCCGCCTCGGCCTCCCAAAGTGCTGGGATTACATGCGTGAGCCACCGCGCCTGGCCGTATTCTTCTCTTTCTATAATTCTTTAGAATATTTAAACTAAATGTGACATTTTAAAAATCACAATCATGTATCAGCATCTATTTCTGTTCAGTTTCCAGAAAAAAACGCATATATGAGAAATCAAATGATAATAAATACCTTTGCCAAATGTGTCTGTACATTGTTTATCCCCACTCATACAAACTCCATCTATACAGATCCATTGATTCAGTCCACACGGATGCCCAGTCTGAACATAGTGGTTTTCTGGGCATGATGCAGATGATCCATTGCAATATTCAGGGAGGTCGCATTCTTCAAAGGAAGGCCTACACATTCTTTCTTTTGACATAAACTGATGGGATGAGGTAAATGATATTGAATTAAGCAGAATGAGAATACATAAGCATAATAATGATAACTACTTATGTAGGTAATATTGAAATTTTTCAAAAAGCTCTTACTAGACAGTTTTCGCAGCATGGTCCTTCAGCACAGTTTGAACCGGCTTTAAATCTACATGTGGCAATATCACAGCATGTTTCTCCAATAAGGGCACAATCCTGTAAGGCAAATCAAATGCTCTGAAGTATTTTCCAACTTGTATTCATATTGGACAGGCATGTTCATAAAGACAACATATTATATAACATACACATAGGTGCTTAACTTACATGTTGGCAAACAGAAAAATAAAACCACTTATTCATTTACTTAACAGACATTTATTAATTACCTACTAATTGCCAGACCATGTGTTGCTCATATTGCTATAATAGGTTTGGTTACACTGATAAAAGGATTCTCTGAAGCCCTGGGGTCCACCATAGCCAAGTCACTGAGAAGAGCTCTGGCTCTTGTAGACAGAGATAGTTAAATACAAGACGTAAAATAAACAGAAGTTATAATTTAAAAATTATATTGCAGTGACTACTTCTTATTAGAGTCTTCTGAATATAATATTTTAACAAGTTTCTGCATTTTATGGTATATTGTTGATTTATTTCATTTTTAACTCCCTAATTAAGGTCTGGAAAATGATATTATTTCTGAGAATGCTGAAGTTGTCACCTTTATATCATTCACTCATATCTTATTATGCCTTGTTTTATGCTTTAGTTCATCTATGCCCAGTGAATATGCTTTTAAAACTTCTATTACTAAAGTTAGTAAAAGCAATAGATAAGAAGGCTAAAAGACAATGCATTCACACACACACACACACACACACACACACACACTCACATTTTTTAAATACCCAGAAATTTAAAATAGGGTAAATTGGAAAAAGAAATTTGATAAATCACAAAAAGATAAATCATGAGTTTAGTAGTCTTCATATGAGTTATAGCAAGATACTTGGAAGCACAGAGTTGTCAGTATTTTTCACAGCTATTCTAAGAATTGTCACTGTCATTGCTATCTACTGTAATTCTAGAGGGGAAAGTTATATCTCAGTGGTTTAAGCCTCAATTACATAACATTTCGAGAGCTTAGATACATGATTGTCAAATTGAAGAAGAAATTTTCAAGATGTTTCCATTCAAACCCAACCAAGCAAAAACAAGTGGGTGACGAGGAACAATTTTTTAAAAACATATCACATATCTCAGGATCTATAAACATACTTTTAAGGTTGGAAGGCTACATGAGTGACCATTGTAGGGCACAATGAAGTCTACTTAGTCTTTGTGATCCTTTTGAGCCTGTACCATTCACTATGAGTTTCAATATCTCCTTTCCCTTATTTCATTCCCTTTATCTCTGCTCTCCTCACCTCCCTTCAACCCAGGTGCTTTATCTAAGATTTCTGTGGTTTGAGAAAACTAGCTCTTCTTAATTATGTATGTTACAAATCTTTTTGACTTAAATATCCACCTGGATTAAAATATTCAAAAACCACAAATGTACTCCCTAGGTTTTCTGGCTCCATAGTGAAAGCTTTAAAATATCTCTCTTTCTGAACAACAAAGGAATTTAGGTTAAATACTAGTTTTAAATTTTAGGCTTAAAAACTAGGGAAGTATATACTCAAGAGGAAAAGATTGAACCTACATCAACTCAGCTATGAAATTAGTGGCCTTGAAAATTGCTTATATGAGAGATTAGAATGGTGCTTACCAGGGACTTCAGGGAGGGGAAAATAGGGAGATGATGGTCAAGGGGTATAAAATTTCAGTTCTGCAAGATGAATACGTTCTAGAGATCAAACATGACTACAGTTAACAATATTGTATCATATACTTGAACTTTGCTAAGAAGGTAGATTCTTAGTGTTCTTGTCAGAAAGGAAAATTTTTGAAAAGCAAAAGAAAAGGAAAAAATAAAATGCTATGGTGAGATTACAGGTATGTTAGTTATCTAGATTTTAGTAAATATTTCAAAATGTACTCATATACTCAATCATCAAGTTGTATAACTTAAATATATACAATTTAAAATTGTCAGCTATACCTCAAGAAAGCTAGAATAAATAAAGGAAAATTACCTGTATATTCATACAAATCCACGTAGATCCACAAAGCACTGAAGCACTACACCAATATATATAAGTGCACTCATTAGTTGTTATAATACCTACATGCCCTCCTGAATCATTTGCAGAAAATTTAGCTTGATGAATTAAGGAAAATGGCAGTTTCTCACTCGAATTAATAAGTAATTTTTGCTGCAATTTCAGTGCGTAGTCTTCCGAATTAGTACCAACCTGTTCAGTCCCACAGTCACACTCCTCTCCTGCTTCCAGCTTTGCATTACCACACACTGCTTGCTGTTTGAAAAAAGGATCTAAGCGAGGCTGATTGTGAAGACACTGGGACTTCTGCTTTGAAATAAAATGTGCAAAGTCTTCGAAGCTGCAGTTACTAAAGATCTTCACACCACTGAAATGACTAAAGACACATCAAACGTCAAATTTTAATGTAAGGGTTTCCATAAACTACCTACCCTTAGAATAAACCTATACAACAGCATTCCACAACAGACCAAATTCCCAAGTCTGTGAGTGTCAATGCTTTCAATCTCTGTGCATGGGAAGTCAACTGTGCAAGAATGTAAATATTTTAGTGGAAGTAAATTACTAATCCATAAAGTTTTATTGGCTCTCCTATGACACTTATTCATGACACTGCTCTCTCTTGTTTAAGCTCCTATTTTCCAAAGTGCCCCATGCTGTTTCATTTGTGCTCTTTCTTTTTATAACTTCTAAGTGCTGGGACACCCCTGTATTAATAAAGAAAACAGGCTTTTCTTTTTTTTCTTTTTTCTTTTTTTTTTTTTTTGAGACGGAGTCTCACTCTGTCACCCAGGCTGGAGTGCAATGGCATGATCTCTGCTCACTGCAATGTCCATCTCCCGGTTCAAGCAATTCTTCTGCCTCAGCCTCCCAAGTAACTGGGATTAGAGGGACACGCCACCACGACCTACTAATTTTTGTATTTTTTTTAGTAGAGATGGGGTTTCACCATGTTGGCCAGGCTGGTCTAGAACTCCTGACCTCGTGATTCGCCCACCTAGGCCTCCCAAAGTGTTGGGATTACAGGCGTGAGCCAACGCGCCCAGCCCAGGCTTTTCTTTTTTTAAGAAATCTATATTTATTCATAGGTTATTTTATCCATGTCTATAGTTGCAAATAGCGTCTATGCCCAATAGCTCCGATATTTGTTTCTCTGGCGTTATCACCTGAACTGAAGTCCAGAGTCTAATGCTTTATTCAGTGTTTCTTCTTAAGTGTATTTTATTGGCACCTTAAATATAAATTCCCAACACTCTTGATTCTTCTCCCCAAAAACACCCCTCACAAAGTATAACACAGTGTTTCAGAATGTGGACTCTGTGGCCAATCAAAACAAATGAGTTAAAGTCTTGGTTTTGCCATTTACAGGTTGTTTGTCCTTGTAAAAGATTTTAAAATTATATGCAGTTTAGTTTCCTCCTTGCAATATGAAGATAAATGTTTTATTTATCTCATAAAGTTGTGAGAGTATTATACATGTAAAGTACTAAAAACTGTGCCTATCCATAGTTTGTACTCCTAATATTTTCAAATTCACTACAGGGAAATTCCAACTGCCTAGTTGCTCAGGACAGAAACCTTGAGGTTATCTTATATTTCTCACAAACCCCTTATCTGCCATGAAATTTTGTCAAATCTGTCTACTTTCTATATATTCAATATGTGTTCTCCACAACAACCACTTACAGACTTTATGGTCTTTCACTACAGATTAATGCAATAGCCTACTAGCTCATCATATGCTTTGATTCTTGCCCTTTGCATTTTTTTCCTCAAAACTCAATCAATTATGTTTCCTAAAAAAGTGGCAATTTCATATTACTTCCATGTTTAAATTCACCTATAGTTACTCAATCATTCAGAGCAAAATCAGTGCGATGTATTCACCAACTCCTCCGAGGTCATTCTCCTCATCAACCTCAACTCACTCTGCTCAAATAGGTGGACCTCTTACTGTCCCCTCCATCAAATATTCTACTATTTCCTCTGCCTGGAAAACTATTCCTTAGTATGCATGCATGGTTCCCTTTCATTCATTTCACATGTCTATACAAAATTTATGCAAACGGATATTTCCAAGCACACTTTAAAAATACCGCTTCCTTACTACCCTTTATTCCCCTTACTGACATTTGTTTTACTTCAGAATATTTACCAACAACTGGAATGTTACTAATTTAATCATTCATTAACTATCTTCTGCTAGTTCTTTTAAAGGAGTGCACTATTGAAACCACTTACTATAAATAATAAAGTTTAATTTTGTTATAATTTTGATTATTCTAAGTAGTATTAACAATGTTTAAAAAGATTATAATCACGATGGCCTATATTTTGATGGAAGACATTGTTAATAGGAATGTGATGAGTTTTAAGGTAATAAACTTGATGGTATCAAACTCTAGTCATTTGGATTATCACAAGAAAATGTTATTCACTCGAAGACCTCGAATAAATTTAGAATTTTTGAAAAAACTAACAGTGTTGGTATGACTTTTTGTGTGGTTGCATCCTGGCTGAACATCCCCTTCAGTTCCATCAACCTTAAATAATGAATTTATTATAAATTGCCAAGAATTCAAATGATTACTATCTAAATACAAGGAACCATATAGAAAAAAACTGATAGAAATTTAATATTACTGAGAACCAGGCAATGCAAGATACATTTACCATGTGTGAACTGGTTTATAGAGTATACACTTTCTGGTAATGAAATTAACATTGTCATTAGAAAGTCAAATACGGGAGGGATAGCATTAGGAGATATACCTAATGTAAATGACCAGTTAATGGGTGCAGCACACCGAAATGGTGCATGTATACATATGTAACAAACCGCACGTTGTGCACATGTACCCTAGAACTTAAAAGTATAATAAAAAAAAAGAAAGAGGGGAGAGAGAACGGTAAAAAAAAAAAAAAAGAAAAGAAAGTAAAATATCAAGCATAATTGCATCCGATTAGAGTACTTTTTTGCAGCTTGAATCTTCATGGAGATTTGCTGGATGCTTTCATTCTCTATTCTCTCACTTTTTTTTTATAATGGAGCCTCTGGTTGTTAGTTGAATGCATGACTTCATTGTACAATGTCTAAATTTCTCAGTTTTTAATAAATGAGTGAACATATATAGAAGTCAAATAATTGACCTAAGATGAGCCATAAGTTCAAGTTCTAGGAGGTAATGAGATAGACATGTTTTTGTAAGCTCCTTTATCCAATTGGTCACTTTAAATTTGGTTAATTGTTGTAATTAAAACTTCCATTAGGGATATGAGATTATTTTGGGAATGGAAGCCACTGTGTAGAAATACAGTGTGAAATTATACTGTGAAACATCACACAATTAAAAGAATGGTAATTTCTCAAAATAAACTTTTCTTTGATTGTAGCCATTATTCCTTTGTGTTTTCTGTAACTTGCAGCAAAATCTAAATACAGACTTAATCCCAATATAGATCTCAATCAAGATATTTCTTTATCAACCACATTTCAACCATTCATTTTCTCACCACAAAATTACAAAGTATTTGCAAAAGAATGAAATGTTCTAGTAACAATACAACACAAAATAAAAGAATGGAGCATCTTTTTCCTTAATCCATAATCAAAACATCAAAACATGTGTCTAATATTTTGTATTTTAAAAAAAGTACGATTCGCTAGGAAGAATATTAATATAACCTATATTTAAATATAATTTTGAAGGAATTACTACAGGCATCTTAATTACTAACTAAAAACAGAAAAATAACACCTCAACACATTCTCTCACTTTCTGTTGTACATGATGGAAGGAATCAATTTGAAAAAATGAAAAACAAAGAAAGACAAAACTAAACACAATTATTAAATAAGTCTCATGAAATTCAAAAGATAGACATCTAGAAAGTATATTTTTGGACCACAGCAGATATTAAATCAGATAACAAAAAGATACTTAGGAAATCCACAAATATTTGAAAATCAACTAACCTACATCTAAAATAGCTAGACAAAGAAGAAATCACAAAAAATTGAAAATATTTCAACTAACTGGAAATGAAACACAAAGTATCAAAAACGTGTGGTGTGTAATTGAAGGTCAAGTTCTAGGAACTTGTGATTAGAGAGAAATGCACAGCTTTAAAGGGTTTACACAAAAAGAAGGGAGGTTATTTGAATTTTTACATTAAAAATCTAGAAAAAAGATGAATAAACTTACCACAAACTAAGTAGAAATAAAGGAAAACAAAGTAGATAGGCCATGGGAAAGAGTCAATGTAATTAAAATATGATTCTTTAAAAAAATTAATTAATTTGATAAAATCTAAGTTAGAGTGATTATAAAAAGAAACTCAAATGATCAGTACCAGAGATAAAAGAGGGCATATCACAAATTATCCCATTGACTTTTAGGGGAAAATAAATGAAAGCTATAAAAGATTTTATGAAAAATTAATCAATTTTGAGGAAACAAAATATTTATTAGAAAAGGAAAAATAACCAAAATCTAAATATCTCAAAAATGACCAATTAAACACCTTTCCAAAAAGAGTTATCCAGTTCCGGACAGCTTCACTGATAAATGCTATCAAACAATTTAGAAAGAAATAGTATCAATAGTACAAAATCTCTTTTAGAAAGTTATATGAAGCCCGTGTAACTGTGATACTAAAACCAGTCAAAGGAATTGCAAGAGAATTACTACTAAAGATCTGTATCACTCATTAATATACAGGCAAATATACTTTGCCAATATTAGGGGAAAAAATCCAGCTACAAAAAGGATTAATACATTAAAAGGATAATTCCTCATTCCTTGATGCAGTTTATCCCAGAAAAGCAAGATTATTTAAACAATTAAAAATGAATAAAATGTATTTCAATGTATCAACAGAATAAAGTAGAAGAAACACATGAGCATCTCAATATTTGATAAAATATATTCATAATGAAAACTCTGATAAATGAGGGTTACAAAGCTTTCTCAATCTGATTAAAAGTCTCTCTGTAAAACCTTCAGTTAATGTATTTATTGGTGAAAAGTTACAAGTCTTGCTCATAAATCAGAGTGAAACAAAGACAGCCACACATCAAACTTTTGTTTTAAATAGTACTCGAGGCCCTAAGCACTGCGATAAGGCAAGATATAGATGTTTTAAAAATATAAAGATCAAAAAGGAAGATGTATTTATAATATATAATTACATGTGAATACAATTCTCATGAGACTAAATTAGAAGTTCCAGAATAGAATATGTTAGTGTAGCAAAGCTGCAGGATACAAGCTCAATAAAAATTAATCAATACCGTTTCTATATACTTGTCACAAACAATTGCAAATTTCATAGTCTCATAAACATGGTGCAATTAGAAAAACAATAAGAAACCTATTTCCAAAGGAAAAATAAAAAACAAAACTAAGGAACAGGTCCCAACCATGATGGGAATAACTTATCAGGCAACCTAACAAAATTACCTGTTTCAAAATTGAACAGAGAATACTTTGACATTATCCAAGAGGATGTGGAGGGCCCAAAGAACTTCTTATATTTGTGATTTTCTTATCCTTCCTATCTTTTCTTTACCATTACAACTATTGTAATCATTATAATCAACATTGTAAACAGCTATATTGTGGTTGAGATAAATAAAAGTTTAATGAATAATGCTCAACATTATTAATACAAACTATATAAATGTCATCTGTCTTTGTTTAGATTGGCCAGGAGAAAATACTCTAAAGCATGAACTTGATTGTAGGAATTTTATGTGGGTGGTGATTCTAGGAAGCAGGAATAAGGGTGTAAGGATGAAGAAAGAGAGGGGGAGGAAAGGTCGATATCAGCATGTATTATTGAGATGGCAATAATGACTTCTTTCTGCGGGGCCCACAGGAAAATGTACAGAATATCTTACAGAATTTTCCCTAGTTGGTCAGGAATCTGGTGTTTCACTAAAGTGGCTGAAGTTTGCTCCTAGAGAAGGAGTGCGTACATTTCATTTTAAGACTTTTTTTTAGAGTGTCCTAGGAAAAAGGCTGGTTGACATTCATAGATGTCAAAGACCTGGTCCTTGAGTGCTTCTTTTGAAGTAAACGCTGTTCTGGTGGAACTTGAAAATAAACATCTGAATGTGTTGTGCCCATTCTAAATAAATCCACATACTTCTTCCCTACACTTTCTTGTCTTTAAATGTCCAGTTTTATAGCATCTAGATCGTTCACCAAGTATCCAAGCTATTTGCCACAGCATAGGAATCTGTGTAGATTCCAATCTCTGGCACTTCTCTCATACAAGGTGGAAAACCCGATATATTGTTTACAAATATGTGCATGGGGCATGGGGACATTTACCATCCCCACAGTCTTTAGGTCTAAATCTAATAGGACTCTATATGAAACTGACTTTTAAAAAATACTTCAACTAACATATTAAAATTGGACTGAGGTTTGTTTTTCTCCATCAACCAGTTTTAGAAAATCCCTACAAGGATATTAGTGTATGGTGACTGAGAAATATTGGTGCAATAGATGTAGGTGACATGAAGATCTGGGATCCCTATTCCCTTATTTACTTGTACTCTCTGGACCTTCTCTAGCTTGCTCCCAGATTTACCATTTTGGTCATCAGATAGATTGATATGCTCACTTGATCTTATACATATATTTTTGTGGCTCTAAAACACCTCTTTTATGATGAAAACAGTAAACTTCAATAACATAGCAACTTACTATTTCCTAGATGCATGCTCAAGGCTGCAAGAGCCCAATAGCCCATTGGAAGCTATAGCAGAACTACAGGTCTGCGCTGCAAATCTCCTACTGATACTTGCCAGAGATTCCACATGTATGTAATCTACCAGGAATATCCTTAGTAACATTGTATTTAAATAATCACAAGAACCAAAGACAAGCCGTCTTGCACCACAGCCTGGACCTGCTGCAGTGCACTTTTCACATTATCTTTTGCCAGAGGTGCCCTTGTTGCTATCAGATCATGTATTGATGTAGGCCCACAATCCTTTCATAAAGGTTTGTTTTCTAAAGCCACTCTGGGGTAACTATTTTAGGACAGGTCCCCCATCCCTGCCACCCCAAAAATCAGAGCCTGAGACAAGAACTTAAGCACAAATATTTTAGGGAGCAGCAGTGCGGGAATGGAGACAGTGAGATGTTTCCTGCTGCAGGCAATGAGGCTTGATTCTCTAACACATCTGAGAAACAAAGAATGCCTCCAAGAATATCCATCAGAAAGATAAAAGGCTAGCTCCAGTTACTGCCTGGTTTCCTTAAATCCCCTGGCTATTTGATCGTATTTCTACAAACATTCATAATGTACTATAAGAATAATGTTGATATCAGCAAAAAAAATTCACTAGATCGTTGAGGCCTGATTAGAATACTGCAAACGACTTTCTCTCATGACAAAGAAAAAGCTGAATGGCAGCATCTCTGAAATCAACAGATGCTGAGACTTCAGGCTGAACCAAGGCAAGTTGAAGGAGACTCATGCAGACAAGTTCATACTAATAAATACTTTTTGTGTAGTGATCTCAAGCTTGCATTTGGCTTATCAAATTATGCATCAAATTGTAAAATTATACAAGTAAACATATTGATAAATGTAGTGTTAGATCACATGTGAGAAAGCCAGTGTGACATTTGATTACAAGTGATATTGAGATAAATATGCATCGTGGGCATTGGAATACACATTTTGGTCCTGGAGTCCTCAGTCACAGCTGATCGCCATTATTATTTAACAACTTAAACTTTCTTCAACTAAATACATTAAAATTACATTAAACTATATATGTAAAGTATAAAAGTCAGAAATCTTACATTGCTTCTGGATTCATAATGCAGACAGCTCCTGAGCACTGGCATTTGTTAATGTCATCATAAGTGATCCCCATACTAAGGCTCAATAATTGAGCTAAAATAACTGCAAGTGATTCCAGACTTATGGTTCTGGGGTGCTGAGAAAAAAAAATAGATGTACACGTTTTGGGAGATTATTTTGTTTACTGGGAGAACAATGCAATTATTAAAGATCACATGATAAAATGGAATAGGGGCATCTGTTATCCCAAAAGTGCCATCCTTGTTGGTCTAACTCATTATAAATGTAAGAAAATTATGAAAAATAAAATCTGAAGTTTTATCGGTATGTAAATGGATGACTCATTTGGTGGCCTCAGACAAAGAAAAAAAATTGCCCCAGGAATTTGTTAGCTATGTCTAACAACAATTACAGTCATATTTATATTCACAAAAGATAATATCTAAAGATAAATGCATAGAAAAACATAGTGTCAAATTATGAAATTTGGTCATTACCAGAGGCTGGGAAGGGTAGTACAAAGTGGGGGATAAAGAGGAGATGGTTTAATGAGTAGAGAAACACAATTAAATAGAATAAGGTCTAGTATTTCTAGGACAATAGTGTTACTTCAGTTAACAACACTTACTGTATATGTTGAAATATGTGAGTGGAATTGAAATGTTCCTAATGCAAAGAAATGATAAAGGCTTGAGGTGATGGATATTCCAATTATCCTAATTTAATCATTACACATTGTATGCCTGTACCAAAACATCACATCTCCCCATAAATATGTATAACTATTGTGTACCCATAATAAAAATTAAAATTAAAAAAATTGATTCCTCAATGATAATATTTTATATAGCCATTTCATAAATGTTTTTATAAACTCATAAGTTAACTCACTGAATTAATTAATATTACGGTAATAATGACTGATATAAGAATTCTGACTTTTCAGTTGTTTCAATTTTATTGGGAAAACTAAAATATATAATTTATATTTATATAATTTTAATATATAATTTATATATTAATTATATATTAAATTATAAACATATAATTTAAATTTATAACTTCTCTTTTTGTAAGAGTAAGATGCTTATTATAGCACATTTTGATCACACTATAACATGAATTTTGGGAAAAATCCACATATCCTGCTACCCCTTCAAATATATCTACTAACATTTTGATGAATATACTTCATGATAGGTTTCTAGGTATACATTTTGATTTCTTCTGTTGCCTCTCTAAGTCAGTTTTCCATCATTTTCTACCTTGCCCTCCACCCCAAAAAGATGACACAAATGGATTATGTCAGAGGGATGCTTTGCCCTTGAGTTTTACCTTGATTTTTTCTAATGGAGAGAAGAGAATGAGATGTGAATGAAAGTGAGGTATTTACTACATCATTGCAAGGATGCTTACGTCTCTTTGAACCCTTGATGGGACATCTACCTTCTGTCTGTGACTCTGATAAAATGACTCTCTTCCCTCCATCAACACTTGGTACCAATTAAAGTTCTTTATTACTTGTGTGGAGGTACTGCAAAGGCTCTACATTTTGCATGCACATGGATAAATACTCCATTTATCAAATTTCCACATTTTAAATGTATCATCTGCTTTCAGAGAGACAGTGTTAGGAAGAAGAAGGAGGAGGACGAGGAGGAGGAGAAAGAAGAAAGGAATGAAAAGGAGAAGGAAAAGAAGGAGAAGAAGGGGAAGGAGAAGGAGAGAGAATGATTCTACAGGGAATAAATTGAAGGATTCAGCTAAATTTCAAGAGGCTAAATACTGTAGTAGTATATTAATACTGGTACTGTTATTTTAAACCCCCTATTTTTGAGATATTGTAGAAAAGGCTTACTGACCCATAAATGCATCTTTATACTTTTCTCTTTTTCTCCTGTTTCCTGTTATCTCTTATAATTCACTAAGATGGAAACAACAAGATCCAGTGATTTCACTTTAGGCATTTGTATAAAAGCAGGGTTTTTTTTTTCCTTCATGTTCAGTTGCTCTTGCCTTCCCTGTATTCTTACTAGTACATATATTTTTGATCTTTCCTTTTATTGTATTTCCTTTCAAAGACACTTTCAAATGTCTTTGATCATTATAGGATCAAAATACCAAAGACTTGATGGTTTAATCAAGAGAAATTTATTTCCTTGCAGTTCTGTGAAATTTCGCAGTTCTAGAAGTCCAAGATCAGGGTGCTGGCAGGGTTGGTTGGCATCTGCTGAGACCTTTTTGGCTTGTGATAGGTTGCCTTCTTGCTGGCCTTTCCTCTATGTGCGCATGGAGAGCCTTATCTCTGCTGTCTCTTCCTCCTCTTCTATGGACAGCAGTCCTATTGAATTAGAGCCCCCCACCATGACCTATTTAACCTTTCAGGTCCTATCTCTGAATATAGTCACATTGGAGGTTAAGGCTTCAACATATGAATTCGGGGGGACACAGCTCAGTCCAGACTAGTATAAAAAAATTTTAAAGATATGGAAAGCAGTAAGAGAATTTCCTACAGGTTCTTGTTATTATTATCTCTGATTTGAAAGGCAAGTGACAATAAAGCACAACTATATTTAACACTGAATTTAAAAAATATATATTTAGGGACAAAAAATTTCAACAGAGCAGACAATTTTCTTTTGGTGAATATACCTGTTTAGAACCATAGTTTTCAAATAATAACAGCAACAAGCATTTATTAGGCTTCTTATATGCCAATCATCAGACTGAGAAATTTGTAAACAAGTGGGGATTTATTGAGACTTGTTTTTTGCATAACATGTGAGCATTCTCTATAAATGTGCCTGCCATATAAGTTTTTTTAGAAAAACACTCGTCTCTAATTTTATGTATCAACATTCTATCTATGCCTTTTTTTTCTTTAATGAACACATGTTATGTTTTGTTCAACTCATTATTTAGTCAAGAAACTGGTAAGATGTTCACGCCAATTCAAAGAGTGTATTAGTCTTCTCTCATGCTGCGGGTAAAGACATACCCAAGACTGGGTAATTTATAAAGAAAAAGAGGTTTAATGGACTCACAGTTTCACATGGCTGGGGAAGCATCACAGTCATAGTGGAAGAGGAAGGAAGAGCAAAGGCACATCTTACATGGTGGCAGGCCAGAGAACGCGTGCAGGGGATCTCCCCTTTATGAAAGCATCAGGTCTCATAAGACTTATTCACTATCACAAGAACAGCATGGGAAAGACTCACCCCCATGATTCAATACCTCCCACCGGGTCCCTCCCATGACACATGGGAATTATGGGAGCTACAATTCAAGATGACATTTGGGTGGGGACAGAGCCAAACCATATCAAAGAGCATTTGAGAAGCTAGGAGTATATTAATAAACATGTTAGGATAGAATTGTAGGTTTTAGATACAAAACTGATTAGTGTTTTAGAGAATAATGAATAATAATATGTGGGTTATCTCATCCACCAGAGAGAAATTATTTGCATTTCTACCAGACAAAAATCTGCACATTAACCTCTGCCACCCAATAATTGCAAACAGCCCAGTCAATAGAAAGTCAAGTCCAGAATATCATTGAAAGAACACTTAATAATTTATTTTGCCTATATTCACAGCTGTTTCACTGTTTGCATTCTATTTCAGTAGATTTTTAGAATATACCTACATATATGTTCAGGATCATTATATAATGCTACTAAGATTTTGTTTCATCTTAAGTAATAGAAACAAAATACATATGGATTTTTATTTAAATAATATTTTGCTGCTTTATATTAGTATTGATATATAAATTATCCTATGGTTGTTATTTTTTGGTCTTTCTCTTACCCTTTAGGGGTTAAAATTCCTGTGATATTACAAATGGGTTTGAAACTTGTAGAGAAAATGCGATCAAATAATCTTTGCCTTTTACAGTTGAAACTAAAACATTGTTATCTCTTTCAATTATTGCCCTTTGGAATTATTATAAAGCTTGTTTTGTGTGGCGCTTTCATACCTTTTCTTTTTTTTTTTTTTGAGATGGAATCTCGCACTCTCGCCCAGGCTGGAGTGCAGTGGCGCCATCTTGGCTCACTGTAAGTTCCTTTCATACCTTTAAAATAATGTTTTGGATTTGATACAGTTTCATATACATATCAATGTGTGTGTTTATATGTTTATGTGTAGTTATGTACCCATATGTACACATTCATGTAGGTATAATTTATGTATACTCATGTGAAAACACATATATACACATGTATTGGGGAAGTGCATACGTGTGTACTTGTGTGTGTGTGCGCATGTGTGTGTGTGTCACATGAACCTGTATAACTACTACTTTGTACTAGACACAAAATATTTTCATCACTCAGGAAGTTCTTTTCAGCAAGTTTCCAGGCACTACCTCCACATAAAATAGAATCTTTATTTTGATCTCAGTACAATGGCTTATCTTTACTTGCACTTTAGCTTCATAAAAATGGCACCATTAAGTATTTATTATTTTATTTCTGGCTAGTTTTTCTAAAAATATAGTTTTGGAAATTCATTAATTTTGAGTGTAACTGTACTTCTTTTAATTTCTGTGTAGTGCACTACAGGATATGGATATTCCACAATATGTTTATGAATTTGATGGATAAAATGCCTCAATATTGTTGATACTAATCTCTCTTGATCTAAAGTTTCCATAAAAAGCAATAAAAATCAAACAGTTTTGTTGAAATTGCAAGCTGATTTTAAAATGGAAATGCAGAGGACTTGGAATACCTAAAACAGTCTTGAAGAATAACAGACTAGTAGGGTTTACACTACCATTTTTGATGTTTCACTATCGAGGTAGAGTCATTATGACAACGTGGTGTTGGTGGAAGGACATACAAAAACACCAATGGTCATAGAAGATTCTGGAAAGAGGCCAGCGATATGGCGACTTGATCTCTATTACAAAGGCACAACTGTATTTATTTGGAGGAAAACTAACCTTTTAAATAAGTTGTTATGAAGCAATTACCTATCCAATGTGAGCTAACTGATTCTGTCCCCTATTTTACACCAAACAAATTTCTTTAATGTGGATTATACATCTACATTGAAAGGCAAATCAATCAAGCTTGTGTTAGAGGATAGAATAGCTTCATGATCTTAGAATGGGCAAACATTTCTTGAAGATGTCTCTTTTTACATTAAGTTTGCTGAGAGTATTCAATCTTGCTTTTTTTTGTCCTAAGTAGGTTCTAAATTTAACAAATGTATCTTCTGTATCTATTTTTTAATAAAGTAGATTATAATGATTGATTTCAAATATAAAATTCATCTTGTATTCCTAGAATAATTTCTATGTGTTCACCATGTCATACTCTTTTGATATATTGCAGAATTCTTTTTGTTAACATATAGTTAACATAAATCTCAAATCATAAAACAAGGTGAGAATTAGCCCCTCCTTTTGTATTATCTAAAGTAACTTATTACAAGCATTAAATATTTTGGAGCCATTTTTTGGAAATCATGTGGGCCTAGATGTTTTGTTTGTTTTGGAGAAAAGTGCTTTAATTGGAGACTCAACTATGCCAATGGTTCAATGGTGATGCAGATTTACTTTTCTATTTAATTGAGAAAATTTATTATTCATAAAATTTTATCCATATTTATTGCCATTAATTGGTTGAGGATAAGCCGTCTTATATGTGTAATGTCTATATGATCTGTGGTGATCATGTCCCTTTATTCAACTAATATTTGGATAATTTGTTTTTTCAGCTTTTTTTGAAATAAGATACCCATTTTGGTAGGTTGTTATAACTTGTATATATCTTCAAAAAATTAGTTTGAGCTTTGATGATTTTCTTCATTATATTTTGTATTTCATTGATAGCCAATATTATCCTTAAAACTTATTTCCTACTTTATAGCGTCTCTTAGCTTAACTCACCATCTATAATGCTTTTTGGAGATGGAGTTAGATCATCTACATTCAAACTGACCTTATTTTTATTTATACATTAAAGCTATAAATGCACTACCTCTCAGCTCTGCCTTTTTGGGATCCCATAAGTTTAGATACCCTGTATTTTTAATGTCACTTAGCTCAAAATGAGTTATCTCATTATTTTATTTGCAAATCTTTCGAGATTTTTAAGTGATATTTCTATTAGTTGGTTCTCATTTAAATCCACAATGCTCAGACACTTTTCTCTGTAAGATTTCAATCATTTAATATTTATTGATACTGCTTTATTTCTCACCATATTATTTGCTTTGGTAAATACTCTACATTAGCAATGTTTCTCTTTGGTATAAGATTTTAGAAATATATATTTTGATAAAATGAAAAAATACATTGCTGAGGTAGGTTGTTTTTTTCCATTCTTAAATATGATTATGGACCTCTTTTTCCTTTATTCTCTCACATTTGCTCTATATATTTTGAAGCAATGTAATTATATGCATACAACATTATGATTGCTATCTTCCCCTTCATCATAATTAAATATTCCTCATTATTTCTTCTAGAACATCCTTCCTTTAGACTACTGCTATGGACCAAATTGTCTCCCTCCCACTCCAAATTCTTATGCTGAAACCGTGACCCCTAACATGACTATATCTAAAGACGTATAATTGTCGCATTGTAACCCTTGAATATATATGATGTTTGTCAATTAAATATTTTAAGGCCAGGCACAGTGGCTCATTCCTGTAATCCCGGCACTTTGGGAGGCTGAGGCAGGCAGATCACAAGGTCAGGAGATCGAGACCATCCTGGCTAACATGGTGAAACCCCCATCTCTACTAAAAATACAAACAATTAGCCAGGCATGGTGCCGGGCACCTGTAGTCCCAGCTACTCAGGAGGCTGAGGCAGGAGAATCGCTTGAACCTGGGAGGCGGGGTGAGTCAAGATCGCGCCACCCCATTCCAGCCTGGGTGACAGAGCGAGACTCTGTCTCGAAAAGAAAAAAAAAAAATTAAGTGAAAAATCATATGCTGATTATTCTTTCTTGTTTGTACTCAACCAAAAACTACTTGTGCTGTGGTTTCACATATAAACTTTTAGGAAGGAGCAGCATTGGAAGGATACAGACTCTAAATTGCAATCTACAGCCCTGCAGGATTAGGTAGAAAGGGTGGTGGGAATTTAAACATCAAAAGGCAGAACTTCAACTATTCTCTTCAACATCTTACTTCTGTGAACATTGTTTATAGCTGATTTTTCCAGTGAAAGGGCAGGCAAAATAACTGTGGAGAATAAGAAAGAATACTAGAAAAGCTTTCTTCCAATTGTCGTTACTAAAGAGACCATTTTTCTCTGCCCATGAGGCACAAATTGTCCAGTAAATTATGGCATTTTCTTCTTCCTGGAAGCTAGCGTGCCTCTAATTTAAAAATTTTGTTGTGATTGTTGAGATGGAGTCTTGCTCTGTTGCCCAGGCTGGAGTGCAGTGGTGCAGTCCTGGCTCCCTGTAGCCTTGAACTCCTAGGCTCAAGTGATCCTCCTACCTCAGTTAGGACTACAGGGGCCTTCCACCATGCCTGGCGAATATTTATATTTTTTTAAATTATTGTAGAAATGAGTTCTTACTATGTTGCCCATGCTGGAAGCCCGCCCTGTAGAGAAAATCAGTTCTGCTCTCCTCTTTGTTAATCAGTGAAGGCCTTGCACTCTCCATGGGAGAGTCTTGTGATTTCTTAGTGTGGCATGTGATGAAATAAACAAGCCAAATTCCAGCATTTGAGACCAGATAAATCACTTGACCATAAGTATAAGTCACATTCTCCAAACTTGTTCATAAATATTGAAGATTAATTTTTGTTGAGCATTTTCTTCATATGTTGTTGGCCATTTGTATGTCATCTTTTGAGAAGTGTCTGTTCATGTCTTTTGCCCATTTTTTAATGGGGTTGTTTGTTTTTTGCTTGTTCAATTGTTTCACCACCTTATAGATTCTGGATATTAGGCCTTTGTCAGATGTATAGTTTGTGCATATTTTCTCCCTTTCTGTAGGTTGTCTGTTTACTCTGTTGATATTTCTTGTTGTGCAGCAGCTCCTTTGTTTAATTAAATCTCACTTGTAAATTTTTGCTTTTGTTGCAATTGTTTTTGAGGACTTAGTCATATATTATTTGGCAATGCCAAAGTCCAGAATGGTGTTTCCTAGGTCTTTTTCTAGAACCCCTTATAGTCTGAGGAGTTACATTTAAATATTTAATCCATCTTGAGTTAATTTTTGCATATGGTGAAAGGAAGGCATCTAGTTTTATTCTTCTGTGTATGGCTAACCAGCTAATCATTAGAGAAATGCAAATCAAAACCACAATGAAACACCATCTCACACCAGTCAGAACGGCTCTTATTACAAAATAAAAAACAACAGATGCTGATGAGGCTATGAGGAAAACAGACTGCTTATACACTGTTAGGGGGACTAGAATTAGTTCAGAAACTGTGGAAAGCAGTTTGGAGAGTTCTCAAATAACTTAAAACAGAACTACCATTCAATCCAGCAACCCTATTACTGGGTATATACTCGAAAGAAAATAAGTCAATCCCAGCACTTTGGGAGACCAAGGCGGGGGGATCACATGAGGTCAGGAGTTCAAGACCAGCCTGGCCAATGTGGCAAAACTTTGTCTCTACCAAAAATACAAAAATTAGCTGGGCTTGGTGGTGAGCACCTGTAATCCCAGCTACTTGGGAGACTGAGGCTGGAGAATTGCCTGAACCCAGGGAGGTGGAGGTTGCAGTGAAACGAGATTGTGCTATTGCACTCCAGCCTGGATGACAGAGACTCTGTCTCAAATAAAAAAAAAAAAAAAAGAAAGACAGAAAGAAAATAAATCATTCTACCAAAAAGACACTGGCACTTATATGTTTATCACAGCATTATTTACAATAACAAAGACATGGAATCAGCCTAAGTGTCCGTAAATGGTGGATCGGATAAAGAAAATGTGATACATATAAACCATGGAATACTATGCAGCCATAAAAAGAATCATAGCCTTTGCAGCAACATGGATGCAGCTAGAGACTATTATTCTAAGTGAATTAACTCAGGAACAGAAAACCAAATACTGCGTGTTCTCACTTATAAGTGGGAGCTAAACATTGGGTCCACTTAGACATTAAGATGGTAACACTAGAAACCAGGAACTACCGGGGGTGGAGGAAGGGTTGAAAAACTAACTAGTGGGTACTATGCTCAGTACCTGGGTGACAGAATCAATCATATCTGAAACCTTAGCATCTCACAATATACCCAGGTGACAAACTTGTATATGTATGCCCTAAATCTAAAATAAAAGTTGAAATTATTTTTATCTCCATTTAATTGATTCATCTCTTTATTGCTTCACTTAGCTTCACTTCATTTGTTCATTGCCTCTAAGAAACTCCTGCAGATATTATACAAACACTCACACAACAAAAAGGCAAGTTCTGTTTGTCAGAATAGTGATAGTATTATGAAATAACGGCAAAAATATATCAGTTTTGAATACACTAACATTCTCTACTAGATAATTAATGTCAATTAGGACATTTGGTTCCGTTATTCTTTACTTATACCCTATGAAGCATTTTAAGGCGACTGATACTTTCAAATGTTTTATTTTAATCTGGTTAATAATTATGTTCACTACATAATTAGGAAAACATATAAAATCTAAGTTTTAGCCGAAATTAATTATTAAATATTAAGATTATGAAAACTTGAAGAGCACTTTACAGTAAGACTAAACTAGTTCACTACCTTAACTTTCTAGAAAGGATATCTTGAACTCATGATAGGAAATTGAAAAATTTTTATACATAGTGAATTGAATGAGTACTTCTTATAGTTTAAACATTTCTGTCAGCAACAGTGACAAAGATGCTTAGAACAATGCAAATTTTAATACACATAAAAATTAAATATGAAAATGTGTAACTGTATACTAATTTATGTAGCATACTTTCTATACATAACCATACCATACCAGAACAACACCTCCTGCATAGTTTGCATCACACATCTTCCCTTGAAAGGTTGCACCAACATAATTTGACTTTTCTCTGTAACTTAAGTTTAAAAAGGGATCATAATCATATAATTTTGTAAAAATTAATATGAATTTTTATAAGACAAATTTTACATTTATGATAATCATTAATATTTACATCTAACATTAATGTAAGATAGCATAAGATGTGACTAAATCTTTCTGCTTCTTTTAAAAACAATAAAATAAATTTTAAAAACAAAGTGTATTTTATATGGATTTCTGTAACATAACAAAGATTCATTTTATGTAGATTTAAAAAAACTAAAACAGAAAAACTGAAGAAAAAACAAAAAATAATAAAAATAAATAAAATTCCTTAAAAGTAAAAAGCTAAGGCAATGCAACTTGTTAATGAGCAGAATCACTCTATGGACCAAAGTCTCTCATTATTCAGACAAAATTAGCCTTCTAGAGACATGAAAAAGCATGTCATATTTATGGGACAGAAGATAAAAAGTAAAATGTTTAAAACTCCATGTTTAATCTTAAAAACTCTCTCTCTCTCTATATATATATACACATATATATACACACATAATATATATATATATTCTGAATATTGATAAAAGAAAAACAGAGTCTATTAAATAGAAAGGAAGGCTAATGTACTAAAACCTTAAGCACAATGCAGATATATTAGAGATATTAAAACATAGTGTTTCAATTACTTTGCTTACTTTTTAATTTACAACAACAAATCATAACAAGAAGGCTGAATTACTATATTTATAGAATTCAGATGTTTCTCCAAATAGATATTGTGAAAATTTTATGTATTGTGTGAGATTTTTAATAATGTGGTATATACCCTAGGGAAAGAAGTAATATGGGAACAAGATTGGGGAGTGAGTTTTAACTTCAAACCAATAAATAAATTGATATCAGTAATTCCAATATAAATACCATGTTGTGAAAAATATTTACATGGCGTGTGTGAGAAAAAAATAGATTTTTTTAATACACATTTATCAACAGTAAGATATTCGGTCAAATTGCATAAATTTTCTTCAGATAAACTTTATATAATGTCAAGATATCCTTACACAAGTAAAAATGCCACATCATGAGGACGTAAAACAAGATAAGATGTTTTCCATCTTAAAAATGTGTGTAATAACTCATTAGCTTCTCCAGTGGTTGCAATTTTATTTTCATCTATCCAAAGCTCCAATGAAGACAGAATAATTGTAATATTAAATGAAACAAAAATCTAAAATAGAAAACATACAAAAGTGTGCTCAAAAGTCACAGTTTTTAAAAATTAGATATATATGTTTGAAAACAAATTTATGATAAATATTAAACAACTAAACTATAAGTCTGCATTTCATCTTTTAAAGTAGATTAGTAAGTTTAAAATGTTACTAATAATAAAAGTAATACTTGAGATTTTATAATGCTTGCATTTAAGGAAGCCCCATACCCCATGCTTTATATAATTTAAGTCTTACAGTAGCCAAATTATGTGCATACAATTATTATTCCCACTTCAGATAAGTAAAATTTAAAATAAAACTTAATTTCCCTTATGCCACACAACGTGTGGATTCATGTAGTGTCATAATGAGGTGTAGAAATTGTTTTAGTAACACAAGAAGTGCAAAAGTACTAAGAAGCAAAGACTTACAGCATTCGTCAATCCAATCAACTGGAAAACTTTTTGAGCGACAACAGTTGTATCAGACCCCATATGATTATACTGTAAAATATTATTACATTTTAGATATAAATATATATTGCTTAACATTTAATGATTGTTATTGTTTCATTTAAAATTCAATTTGGTGAAGTAATAAATTATTTAAATTACAAACATATTAGTTTTTAGACATTATTTTCTTATACAAATTATATGTTATATGTTCAGTATAAAAACTGAAAAATATGAATTGGAATTTATATTTTTTCCATAGAAATTTAAAAAGTTTAAACATTATAAAAAGGTATAATTCTACTATCAACAAAATAATTATAATAATTATTAAAAGAAAAGTTTAGCTCTAAACCGGAATGTTTAGATGTGTGTATAGGAGACATAGTACATTTTTGAAGATACAATTCACCTAAAAGTAAAGGAACTTAAAAGATATACCATACAAACATCACTAATAAGAGAGCTAGGATGTCTATCAGGAAGATATAAAAATTATAAACATGTATGCAACCAAAAACAGAGCCAGAGAATTACACAAGGCAAAAAATAACAGAATTGAAGGGAGAAATAGAAAATTTAACAATCGTATTTAAAGACTTAAGTAAACAGCTTTCAATAATAGAATACCTAGGCAAAAATATCAACAGAGATATTGAAGACTATAACAAAATTATAAGGCAATAGATATCTATAGCACATTTCACTACAAAACAGCAAATATGCGTTTTTTAAGTGCCCATGGATCATGATCCAGAAATAAAGCACAGAAAAATGAAAATTATTCAGAATGTCCATAACAATTTTAAATAAGAACAAAGTTGGAGGATTCACATATCTCAATTTCAAAACTAACTATAAACTACAGTAACCAAGACAATTTGTTACTGGCCTTTTATTAGATTTACAGATCAGTGAAATTGAGTGCCCAGAAATAGATTCTAACATTTACAGTCAATTAATATTTGAAGAAGAATCCAAGAAAATCAAATGGAGAAAGATTAAGTTTTCAAAATTAAAAACTTCCTGCTTCAAATGACACCATCAAGAAAACAAAAAGACAACCTTCAGAAATGGTAAAAATATTTGCAAAATATATATCCCATAAAGATCTAGTATATAGAATATATAAAGAACATTTACAACTAACAACAAAAAGGCAACCTAATTAAAACATGTGCAAATAATGTGAATAGACATTTCTCCAAATAAGATATGCAAATAACTAGTACACAAATGCAAATATTCTCAACTTCATTGTGTATTAGGGAAATGTAAATCAAAACCACAAAGAGAAACAAATTCACATCCATTAGAATCACTGTAATTCAAAAGACACACATTAACAAGTGTTGGTGAGGATGTGAAGAAATTGGAATTCTTATGCATGCTGATGGAAATATAAAATGGAGCAACCATTTCTGAAGACAGTTTGTCAAATGTGAAAAGGAGTTATCTTATAATCCAAAAATTCACAGTTCTCATTCTTCACACCTACCCAATACGAGTTAAAATGCATGGCCACACAAAAATTTGTACACAAATGTTTATAGTAATGTTATTCATAATAGCTTAAAAGTGGAAAAAGTGAAATGTCCATCAACTAATGAATAGGTAATCAAATTGCGACACAATAGGCTATTTTACAGTAAGAAGAAACGCAGTACTAATCCATGCCATAACATGTATAAACCTGAAAATCACTACGGTAAATGAAAAAATAGTCATAAATCATTACATATTGTATGATACCATTTAAATGAAGTGTGCAAAACAGAAAAATCTGTATGCTCAAAAAGTAAATTAGTGATTGCTTGGCCTGTGGTACAGGAAAGTAAGGGCAGAGGGATTGGGAGTAATTGCTAATGGATGCAAAGTCTTTTTATAAGGTGATGAATATTCTAAAATTAGATTATTGTTATTATTGTTTGCACAAATCTGTAAATATACTAAAAACCATGGAATTTTACATTTCACATAGTTTAACATCATAAAATATAAGTTACATTTCAATAAAGATTTTTAAAAACAACATCAAAAAAGAAGCAGTTAGAACTTCCAAATCTTCTCCTCTTTTCAAGGAGATCAGTGGTACATCTCTCCACTATAAGCAGGTTCTAATAAAGGGCCTTTGGAAAGGGAACAACTCCTGAAAAGAGAGGATTAAATGTAATATTTTAATGTCCCCAATTAACACTCCAACCATGTCTAATTAATAGTGCTTTTCCCCCATGACAAAAATATGAAGATACAGAGCTTACCTAAAGAGCAGAGTGCTCCCCACTTGAAAATCCCATGCATCTAAACAGTTTTCAACTTTGATTTTAACAACTAAATATAGAAATATAATTATAACACTTACAATTTAAAAAAAAAAAAGGATGTAAGGCCTCGAATGGGGTGACTTATGCTAAAGTTTCATGTTAATAAACTAAAACCTAAGTTGTTTACTTGAAAGAGCTGACCTTTCAAGAATCCAGGGAGAGATAATAGCCAAGCCAGCCAGTTTTAATAAAAACAGAACATTCTCAGTAACCAATCAAAAGGGGCCCAGTTAATCTAAGTTAGCATAGTAAGAATGTCCTCTCTGCTTTAACCCATATAAAGAATGTAGCCTGATGCTAACAAGTCTATTTTTGCACTATTGCTGTTTCCTCATTTCTGATAAATCTGCCTGACACAGCTTATGTCTACTGGGTGCTGCCTGGTTCATGAATTGTATTGAAAATCAGTTAGATCTTTGAAACTCAGCTTGTTAGGATTCTGCTCTCTGACAGTCTTTGAAGATGGTATCTGAAGGAGGGTTGTGGCTATCCCTGTAACCCATTAGGTATGCAGATGAGGTGACTGCTGGCTCCTTTAGACTTCTCTGCCTTCCTCACCAAACCCAGAATTTGTCAGTAAGTTCCTCTTGAATTTCAGCTGTACTCTCTTCGTTGAGCTCTCTGATACTTTTGGCTTTCCAGTTCAAGGTCCTTTTGTGTTGTAGCAAAGCATATGACCTTTGGGTGTTTTGTGGTGCTCCATTAGACAGACAAGGGCTGAAGCTTTAGAGGTAAAAGATAGCTGTTGCCACATTCACAGGGATTTTGTTTCTCTCCTCCTTGTTTCTTATCTTATATGCAAAGGTAAAAAAAATCTTTGACTATATTGGTCAAAGGAATCTCAGAGCCGAGCCACAACTTGACTGATGGGCATGGATCAAACACTTAAAAACTGTTAAAGTGTCTGCCACCTAAAACTAGGATTCCTGTGTTAGGATAAGTTGGTGACAGAATGGGTTAGCTTGACACTAGTGCACTTGCCACTTGCCAGCTTCAAGAAAAATTTCCATTCAGTGAAGAATACTATAAAATATCACACAACACAGCAGTGTAGCACTACCATCTTGGGCTTTTTTTTTTCTCAGCTCCAAGAAACCCAAGGCACAATACAAGAATGGGATCTTTACATTCTAAAGTATCCAGTACTCTATCTTCTGGTATACCTGCTTCTCTTATGCTCAAAATGTATGTTCCTGGAAGCTGTAAATATTTACAAAAAAAAATGGCAAAACCTTACTAAACATAATTTAGAATTACAATGGCTTTTATGAGGAATGTTATAATTGCACAAAATCATCCATCTAAGAGGTGCACATGAAAATAAGCACTCCCAAATTAGGCATAGAGAATGGTACATCTATTTTCATTGATATGAAGTAGTTTCTATAAGACCTCAGGATTCTAAAATAGCTTCACTAAAATATTATTTACAAAAGACTGTAAGACTGATGAAACCCCTATTGTCCCTCTCTTTCCTCCTCTGCTTACTAATATTTTCACTTAGTCGAATTCCCTCCTCAAAGAACAAAATAAAGGTTGATAAATGCCTTGTGAAGTTAGGCCCTCAAATCAATCAGATGTGCTTCTTTAACCACCTTTATATCTTGGTCAAGATCCTGAGCTCAGAGCAGTGGCTAAAGGCATTGCTGTTCTACTGGAAAATCCCAAGAAACCATCCCCAAAGTATTTTGTCAAAAAAAAATTGTGAAAGGACTGCAAATCAATTTTATAAATAGAAAAAGAATGAACCAGCCTCTGACTATAAGTTAAGATTAAAAGCACTATTTTTAAAACATTCTGGTCTATGCATGTTGAGCCCATACATAGAAAATGCTTTTTCTGCCCTCCGTGGTAATAGGTTTAACTCTGAATTCAGTAATCTAGTTAAAAAACACAAACTGGGTCGGGAAGACAGTGATATAGCCAAAATATGCCTTTATGGCACAATGACTAACTCTAGTCAGTTATTTTGAGACCTCTTTATAAGAAAAAGTTGCATAAAATCTCCATGTATAAGGTATCCTCCCTCCCTGCACCAGGACTAAAATCATAGAAACTCTTACTTGGGAGAAAAGGCATTGGCTTAAATCTACATAGCAAGCCTTGCATTTATGTTTGAGATTCTTTTCACGATCATGTTGTCTTAATGGACTTTTACCCCCACCTTATTTATTTCAGCAAATGATAGTATTTAGGTCTGAAGTCTACGTTCTGTGCCTTTTAAATGTTAATTCTCTACCTTATCATACTTAAATGCCATCCCTTTAGAAATGCAAAATGAGAGCAGCCATCTGTAGATTGTTATTAAGAAATAGAATGAATAAAATGGACCTTAATTGGGTTAAAACAAAAGTTTAAATGTAACATTACCAAGGGATGGATGGACCAAAGGGACACCTTGGCTGCTTCCCTAACATTAAAGGGTGTTAAGCAAGTCTGCCCTATTTATCCATTGGGAGAATTTTTTAAGCTAGAAGGTAGAGATTACAATGAGAAACCTGACTTGTAACCACTTGAGGCAATGGTCAGGTAGGTTAATCAAGATCAAGACTGAAAAAAGGACAAGGGTCCTTTGGCTCAACTCACTGATAAGAACTCAAAGTCTTTTGCATAAGAGTAGGTAAAATGATCAGGGCAAAAGAAATTTCCAGACTCCTTGGTATGGGAGCCTCATGTGCTGTGGTGCCAAAATCTATTGGTAAAGCCCTCACTTGGGCTACAATTTGATTGAGAGAACATAAAAATATAAAGATTGATGGGTTTCGAACTGGAGAATTTCTATTTGAGGGACATTAACTAAAGCTGCCATGTCACATTTCCTCAGACTAAGGAAAGTCTATACAGTCCATAATGTCCAACAATGGGCAGAAATAGCCTCGTCAGAGAAATAGTTTGATAGAGAAGTGAAATGGAAATTTGGAAGATTTGTTGTCTAAAAAGGAAGAGGGCAACGACAATTGGAAAAGTGACAAATAAAAAATCTTAAAAGTCTGTTTTAGCCATCTGGGTGAATAATCTTGTTCCATTAGCTACAAATATAATTCTGATCCAGATTTGCATGTGTTTTTATGAACTAGTGAGTTTTGTGTGTTACTGTATCAGGCATATGGCTAAAATTTTAGACTAAAAACTGCAAGACCTGCTTCTGTGTATGTTGATGTATGCCTTGTAGTATTTATGTATGTTTGTATGTCATATGTACAGAGTATTTTTCTATCTTTAAATGGTATTGCCAACATTAATATATGTTAAGGATCTCTAGTTAATTGACTTGAAGAAAATAAGTGTTTATATAAATGAAATATTCCTAAAACTGCTAGAAATATGGGAATGAATTCAAATGCTTTTCATGTACACTTGTTTGTGGATAACTTCAGTGCATGAAAAGTTAGCTATAGCATGCTGGTTTATTTAAAATAAGGGAGGAGACCACCCCTCATATAGTCCTTTACCCAATTTCTGCCTCCAAAGAAAGAAGAAGTAAAAACTAAAAGGCAGAAATGAAATCCACAGGAAGACAGCCTGGCACCGCACCATGGGACTGGTAGTTAAAGATCGACCCCTGACGTAACTGGTTATGTTATCTATAGATTCCAGGCATTGTATGGAAAAGCACTGTGAAAATCCCTATCCTGTTTTGTTCTGATCTAGTTACTGGTGCATGCAGCCCCCAGTCACATACCCCCTGCTTGCTCAATCAATCATGACCCTCTCATGCACACCCCCTTAGAGTTGTGAGCCCTTAAAAGGGACAGGAATTGCTCACTCAGGGAGCTTGACTCTTGAGACAGGAGTCTTGCCAATGCTCCTGGCTGAATAAACCGCTTCCTTCTTTAACTCGGTGTCTGAGGGGTTTTGTCTGCGGCTTGTCCTGCTACCAAAATAGACAAGTCTTTGGAGTTGTCAGCATTTTCTACCTAGGTTTCCTAATATAATAATTTCATGTTATCTCTATATTATGCAATTCATAAACAAGAAAAATAATTCAATGATGAATAGCTTTGTTTTGTGTTATACTTTATCTACTAAAAAAAAATCTCCCTAAATATCTTTGGTAATTTACACTTTTAAAGTTTTGCTAAGTTAAGTTGAAGAATAGATAATTATGGACTATCTAGATCATTTTCAAATAAGGCAAATGGTGAAACATCAATTTCTGAACATATGTGTAAGCTGTAAACACAAAATAAAATTCTAAGGCCACCAATCATCTGAATGACCCCTCCTCTTGGCTATAGCATTCCAAAATTAATCTGAAAAACAAGTTCAGGCCATGATGGGAAGAGGGGTGGGGGTCAGACATGCCTCAGTATACCTCCTGCTTTTTAGAATTCAGGAAAAGACAACAGCACAGACCTTAAGTCTGATAAGAAACATTTACAATCTATTCTCTCTGAAGCCTGCTACCTGGAGGCTTCATCTGCATGATAAAACCTTGGTCTCCACAACCCTTAATTGGAAACCAGACATTTCTTTCTATTGATAACTCCTTCAATCATTTAACAATCAGAAAATTTTTAACTCTACCTATGACCTGGAAGAACCTGCTTCAATTTTTACTGCCCTTCCAGACTGAACCAATGTAAATCTTACATATATCATTTGATGTATTATGTCTCCCTAAAATCCATAAAAGCAAGCTGTACCCCAACCACCATGGGCACAAGTCATCAGGACCTCCTAAGACTGTGTTAAGGGCATGTTCTTAACCTTGGCAAAACAAACTTTCTAAATTGATTGGTACCTATCTCAGATACTTTGTGGTTCACAAAGTTTATATACTTTTGGCATCTTGTTTTTATATGGTATAAAGAAGCTAAAAATATTTGGATTTGTAAATAGACATGAAAAATTGTACCATAAAGAAACATGTTTCTCACTGCACTTACATAATAATTAGGCCCAAGTTTAATGAGACTAGATTTATTCTGCAAACCCAATGGTCTTTCCTTGATTATCTTTAGTAGAAATGGGGAAGCTGTAGAGAGAAAAAGAACATGTGTCAGAAATAGAGTATATACACTCATTATTAGATTCTCTTTTTTTTTCCTTTATTTCTTCTTCTAAAAAAAAAACAGGATACATGTGCAGAATGTGCAGGTTTATTACATAGGTATATGTGTGCCATGGTGGTTTCCTACACCTATTGACTCATCCTCTAAGTTCCCTCCCCTCAGCCCCCACCCCACAACAGGCCCTGGTATGTGTTGTTCCACTCTCTGTGTCCTTGCATTCTCAATGTTCAGCTCCCACTTATGAGGGAGAACATGTGGTGTTTGGTTTTCTGTTCCTGTGTTAGTTGGCTGAGGATGATGGCTTCCAGCTTCATCCATGTCCCTGCAAAGGACACAATCTCGTTCCTTTTTTAGGTAGCATAGTATTCCATGGTGTATATGTACCACGTTTTCTTTATCCAGTCTATTATTGATGGGCATTTGACTTGGATCCATGTCTTTGCTATTGTAAGTAGTGCTGCAATAAACATACATGAGCATGTGTCTTTAGGGTAGAATGATTTATATTCCTTTGAGTATATACCCAGTAATGGGATTGCTGGGCCAAATGGTATTTTGGGTTCTAGACCCTTGAGGAATCTCCATACTGTCTTCCACAATAACTGAACTAATTTACATTCCCACCAATAGTGTAAAAGTGTTCCTATTTCTCCACAGCGTCTCCAGCATCTATTATTTCCTGACTTTTTAATAATCGCCATTCTGACTTGTGTGACATGGTATCTCATTGTAGTTTTGACTTGAATTTCTCTGATGATTAGTGATGTGGAGCTTTTTTTCCCATATGTTCATTGGCCAGATAAATGTCTTCTTTTGAGAAGTGTCTGTTCATATCCTTTGCCCACTTTTTGATGGGGTTGTTTTTTTTCTTGTAAATATGTTTAAGTTCCTTGTAAATTCTGGATATTAGACTTTTGTCAGATGGGTAGATTGCAAAAATTTTCTCCCACTCTGTACTCCGTAGGTTGCCTGTTCACTCTGATGATAGTTTCTTTTGCTGTGCAGAAGCTCTTTAGTTTATTTAGATCCTATTTGTCAATTCTGGCTTTTGTTGCGATTGCTTTTGGTATTTTTGTCAAGAAGTCTTCACTCATGCCTATTTCCTGAATGGTATTGCCTAGGTTTTCTTCTAGGGTGTTTATGGATTTGGGTTTTACATTTAAGTCTTTAATCCACCTTAAGTTAATTTTTGTATAAGGTGTAAGGAAGGGGTCCAGTTTCAGTTTTCTGCATATGGCTAGCCAGTTTTCCCAGCACCATTTACTGAATCGGAGATCCTTTCCTCATTGCTTGTTTTTGTCAGGATTGTCAAAGACCAGATGGTTGTAGATGTGTAGAGTTATTTATGAGGTCTCTGTTCTGTTCCACTGGTCTATATGTCTGCTTGGTACCAGTACCATGCTGTTTTGCTTACTGTAGCCTTGTAGTATGGTTTGAAGTCAGGTAGCTTGATGCCTCCAGCTTTGTTGTTTTTGCTTAGGATGTTCTTTGCTATATGGGGTCTTCCTTGATTGCATATGAAATTTAAAATAGTTTTTTCTAATTCTGTGAAGAATGTCAATGGTAGTTTTATGTGAATAGTATTGAATCTATAAATTACTTTGGGCAGTATGGCCATTTTCATGATATTGATTCTTCCTATCAATGAGGATGGAATGTTTTTCCATTTGTTTGTGTCCTCTTTTATTTCCTTGACTTTTATTTCTCTTTGAAGAGGTCCTTCACATCCTTTGTTAGCTGTATTCCTAGGTATTTTATTTTCTTTGTAGCAATTGCAAATGGGAGTTCATTTATGATTTGACTCTCTGTTTGCCTATTGTTGGTATAAAGGAATGCTTGTGATTTTTGCACATTGATTTTGTATCCTGAGATTTTGCTGAAGTTGTTTATCAGTTGAAGAAGCTTTTGGGCTTAGATGGTGGGGTTTTCTAAATATAAAATTATTCATCTGCAAACAGACAACTTCACTTACTCTCTTTTTATTTGAATACACTTTATTTCTTTCTCTTGCCTGATGGCCCTGGCCAGAACTTCCAATACTATGTTGAATAGGAGTAGTAAGACAGGGCATCCTTGGCTTGTACAAGTTTTCAAAGGGAATGCTTTCAGTTTTTGCCCATTCAGTATGATATTGGCTGTGGGTTTGTCATAAATAGCTCTTATTATTTTGAGATATATTCCATCAATACCTAGTTTATTGAGGGTTTTTAACATGAAGGGATGTTGAATTTTATCAAAGGCCTATTCTGCATCTAGTGAGATAATCATATGGTTTTTGTCTTTGGTTCTGTTTATGTGATGGATTACATTTATTGATTTAGGTATGTTGAACCAGCCTTGCATCCCAGGGATGAAGCTGGCTTGATTTTGGTGGATAAGGTTTTTGATGTGCTGTTAGATTTGGTTTGCCAGTATTTTATTGAGGATTTTTGCATTGATGTTCATCAGGGATATTGGCCTGAAGTTTTCTTTTTTTGTTGTGTCTCTTCCTGGTTTTGGTATCAGGATGATGCTGGCTTCATCAAATGACTTAGGGAGGAGTCCCTCCTTTTCAATTGTTTGGAATAGTTTCAGAAGTAATGGTACCAGCTCCTCTTTGTATTTCTGGTAGAATTCAGCTGTGAGTCTGTCTGGTCCTGGGCTTTTTTTGGTTGTCAGGCTATTAACTACTGCCTCAATTTCAGAGCTTGTTATTGGTCTATTCAGAGACTCAACATCTTCCTGGTTTAGTCTTGGTAGGGTGTATGCATCCAGGAACTTATCCATTTCTTCTAGACTCTCCAGTTTTTTTTGCATAGAGGTGTTTATACTATTCTCTGATGGTAGCTTGTATTTCCATGGGGTCAGTGGTGATATCTCCTTTATCATTTTTTTATTGTGTCTGGTTCTTCTCTCTTTTCTTCTTTATTAGTCTAGCTTGCAGTCTGTCTATTTTGTTAATTTTCTTCAAAAAACCAGCTCCTGGATTCATTGATTTTTTGGAGGGGTTTTCATGTCTCTCTCTCCTTCAATTCTTCTCTGATCTTAGTTATTTCTTGTCTTCTGCCAGCTTTTGAATTACTTTGCTCTTGCCTCTCTAGCTCTTTTAATTGTGATGTTAGACTCAATTTGAGATCTTTCTAGCTTTCCAACATGGGCATTTCGTGCTATAAATTTCCCTTTTAACACAGCTTTAGCTGTGTCCCAGAGATTCTGTTAGGTTGTCTCTTTGTTCTTACTGGTTTCCAAGAACTTCTTGATTTCTGCCTTAATTTCATTATTTACCCAGTAGTCATTCAGGAACAGGTTGTTCAATTTCCATGACATTGTGTGGTTTTGAGTGAGTTTCTTAATCCTGGGTTCTAATTTGATGGCACTGTGGTCTGAGAAACTGTTATGATTTCAGTTCTTTTGCATTTGCAGAAGAGTGTTTTACTTCCAATTATGTGGTTGATTTTAGAATAAGTTCCATGTGGCACTGCAAAGAATGTATATTGTGTTGATTTAGGGTAGAGAGTTCTGTAGACATCTACTAGGTTCACTTGGTCCAGAGCTAATATCAACTCCTGAATATCCTTGTTAATTTTCTATCTTGTTGATCTGTCTAATACTGACAGTGGGGTGTTAAAGTCTCCCACTATTATTGTGTGGGAGTCCAAGTCTCTTTGTAGATCTCTAAGAACTTGCTTTATGAACCTGGGTGCTCCTGTATTGGGTGCATATATATTCAGAATAGTTAGCTCTTCTTGTCAAATTGTTCCCTTTACCCTTATGTAGTGTCCTTCTTTGTCTTTTCTGATCTTTGTTGGTTTAAAGTCTGTTTTGTCAGAGACTAGGAATACAACCATTTTTGTCTTTCCATTTACTTGGTAAATATTCCCCATCCCTTTATTTTGAGCCTGTGTGTCTTTGCACGTAAGATGGGTCTCCTGAGTACAGCACACCAATGAGTCCTGACTCCTTATCCAATTTGCCAGCTTGTGTCTTTTAATTGGGACATTTAGCTCATTTACACTTAAGATTACTATTGCTATGTGTGAATGTGATCCTGTCACATGGTGCTATTTGGTTATTTTGCACACTGGTTGATGCAGTTTCTTTGTAGTGCCATGGGTCTTTAAGTTTTGGTGCGTTTTTGCAGTGGCTGCTACTGGCTTTTCCTTTCCATATTATGTGCTTCCTTCAGGAGCTTTTGCAGGACAGACCTGGTAGTAAAGAAATCCCTCAGCATTTGCTTGTCTGGAAAGACTTTTATTTCTTTTTCACTTATGATGCTTAATTTGGCTGGATATTAAATTCTGGGTTGAAAATTCTTTTCTTTAAGAATGTTGAATATTGGCTCCCAATTTCTTCTGGCTTGTAGAGTTTCTGCTGAGAGGTCTGCTGTTAGTCTGATGGGCTTCCCTTTGTAGGTGACTTGGTGTTTCTCTCTGGCTGCCCTTAACAGTTTTTCCTTCATTTCAACCTTGGAGAATCTGATGACTATGTGTCTTGGAGTTGATTTTCTCATGGTGTACTTTAACAGTGTTCTCTGTATTTCCTGAATTTGCATGTTGGCCTGTCTTCCTAGGTTAAGGAAGTTCTCCTGGATAATATACTGAAGTGTGTTTTCCAGCTTGCTTCCATTCTCCCCATCTCCTTCTGATACTCCAATCAATCTTAGGTTTAGTCTTTTTATGAAGTCCCATATTTTTTGAAGGCTTTGTTCATTCCTTTTCATTCTTTTCTCTGTTCTTGTCTGGATGTCTTGTTTCAGTAAGGTGGTCTTCAAACTCTTATATCCTTTCTTCTACTTGGTCAATTCAGCTGTTGATACTTGTGTATGCTTCACGAAGTTCTCGTGCTGTGTTTTTCAGCTCCATCAGATCGTTTATGTTCCTCTCTAAACTGGTTATTCTAGTTAGCAATTCCTCTGACCTTTTATCAAGGTTCTTAGCTTCTTTGCATTAGGTTAGAACATGCTCCTTTAGCTAATCATAGTTTTTTATTAACCATCTTCTGTCAATTACTCCATATGATCCTCTGTGCCAGTTCTGTGCCCTTGATGGAGAGACACTGCAATCATTTGGAGGAGAAGAGGCTCTCTGGGCTTTTGGGTTTTCAGCATTTTTTTCATTGATTATTTCTCATATTTGTGAGTTTGTCTAGTTTTGATCTTTGAGGCTGCTGACCCTTGGATGAGGTTTTTGTGGGGGCCTTTTGTTGTTGATGCTGTTGTTGCCACTTTCGGCTTGTT
Organism: Homo sapiens; assembly: GCF_000001405.40. Taxonomy (NCBI): domain Eukaryota; kingdom Metazoa; phylum Chordata; class Mammalia; order Primates; family Hominidae; genus Homo; species Homo sapiens. The sequence goes on from NT_187577.1 coordinate 551,879, forward strand.
TTTCTTTCAATAGTCAGGTCCCTCTTCTGTAGGGCTGCTGCAGTTTGCTGGGGGTTCACTTCAGACCCTATTCATCTGATTTGCTCCTGTGCATGGAGATGTCACTCAAGAAGGCTGGAGAGCAGCCAAGATGGGTACCTTCTCCTTCTTCTGGGACCTCTGACCTTGAGGGGCACCAACCTGATGCCAGTAGGATTACTCCTCTATAGGGGGTCTGACAACCCCTCTTGGAAGGTCTCACTCAGTTGGGTGGCATGGGGAATAGGACTTGTTTAATGAAGGACTTTGTTCCTTGGTGGAGAGGGTGTGTTTTACTAGGGGGAAACCCATTCATCTGGGCTGCTCGGATAACTCAGAACTACCAGGAGGAGAGGCTAATTCTGCTGGTCCACAGAGACTGGGGCCGCCCCTCCCCCTGGGGGCTCAGGCTCAGGGACATCCGGGTTCTGTCCCTGAGCCTCTGGCTGGAGTTATTGGAGATGCTGCAGGGAAGCCCCACCCACTGAGGAGGATGTGTCAGGATTAGACCTAGAGAGGCACGCTGGCCGCATACTGCCACAGCCAGTGTGTTGGGCAGTGGGAACAAATCTTGGGAACAAGCCATCCAGCCTTCCTGGTTCCAGCAGGGGAAAAGAGCAGCCTGGGACTATAGAAATGGGTGCCGCCCTTCCCCCGCCCAGGGAGCTTAGGCAGTTGCTAGTCCCAGAGCTGGCTGCTGCCCCTCCCCCAAGGAGCTCAAATGGTGTAGACAGCAGGCAGCCTCAGCCAGTGCTGGCTGCCCCTCCCTGGGGAGTTAGGTAGGCTTAAGCATATTCCAGCTGAGAGGCTATAAGAATCTGCGTGTTCCATGGTTGAGACACTAGGCCCCAGTGGCGTGGGTTCACAAGTGGGATCCATGGGTTTCACAGTTCCGTGGGAAAAGCAGTTTCCCCAGCTGGGTTGTGTGCTCACTCACTGCCTCCCTTGGCTGGGGGGAGGGGATTCCCCTTCCCCGTGCGGCTCTCAGGTGGGCTGCCACACCACACTGCTCTTCCTTCTTTCCGTGGGTCATGCCAGCCTTCTAGTCAATTTTGATGAAAGAACCTGGATACCCTGGTTGCCGCTGAAGGATTCACAAGCCTCTTATGGCTTTTTTTCAATGGGAGACTCCGAATGCTGCTGCTTCAAGTCGGCCATCTTGGCCCCCCCACCTCATTATTAGATTCTAGCTCTGTTCATTGTTTTTGAGGTTTTGTTACCCACCTATAAACTGAACTGAATCCTGAATTCTTCTTATTTCCTCCAATATCTGTGTGTGACCCTTCACACTCACATCTGCAGTTTTCTGCACTTTTCTGACTTGGAATCACTAAAAACGAAAACTACCTTTATTACTGGAGCCCCTACAAACTGGAGCTGGACAACTTGATGTAAATCTTAAGAGAAAACCTTTGTGCCCAATGTGCGAGACACTCAGAGAGTTCACCAAGGCACCTGGTGCTATAACCAGGGACTACCTAACGGCAAACCAGAAAAAAAATAGGCTTTAAGCTCAGATCTGAAAATATTTTCAACTAACTGCCCTCTGAACTCAGAGAAAAAAAAATCGTTTGTTCTAGCCATCAACTTTTGTTTTTCTTTTGTTATTTTAGTTGATTTGGCTCATGGTGACTTTGAGTCAAAAACTGAACCTCTATAACCAAGAATTATGACCAATTATTGGGTACAATTTTGCTAGTAGTTATTCTAGTAATCTCCGGAGTGCACTGCCTCCTCTCATGAATCTTAATGCTTGCTTGCAGCTATCCCCCACACAACAGTTGATCTAATTCTACAATTAGAACAAGATTGAGAGCAACAGAAAAGATCGACCATGGATCCTGAAATTGTGATTTAAAAATTTCACTCTGAGACTAAATAAAAAACTGCAGCATCATGATGACTGAGAGTGGCACTAATGCCTTAAATTTTGATCAAACCGCTCGGTATCACTGAGTCTGGCAAAAGGTGGAAACTTAAAGAAAACATGGCAGGCCTAAAATGAGTCACTCATACTAAAAATCCACATGACCATCTAAACTTAAGTTGTTTATTTGTAAGATCTGGCCTTCTGAGAATTCAAGGAAAACATGATAGCCAAATCCCTAAATGGTCCAGTTTTCAAAACAAATAGGGGATTCTCGCAACCAATCCCAAGGTGCCCAGTCAACCTGAGCCAATATAATGACGTTCCCTCTGTTTTATCCCGTACAAGCAGAGTGATCTCATGTTAAACAATCCACTTTTTTTGAGCTATGCTTCTTCCTTGTTTTTGATAAAGCTGCCTTAAAAAAGGCGACTTTTCTGCTGTGCCTGGAGCTCCTATTTTGAAGACTGGATGATGCCTCGTTCATTAATTGCTGATAAAAGCCAATTCGAACTCTAAAACTCAGTTAGTTGTAATGTCCTTTAGCATAATTAATTTTGGGGATAGAAATCAGAATCAAAATGAAAATAAGACTAGACTGAAAAGATATTTGGAGTGGTACTGGGATTAGTAAATACCGATGACCCTTTTAAGGAGCGTTATAAGTGAAAGTAAAACATCGACATGTTAGCTGGAGAGAAGGACGATTATCTTTGCTTATTTGTTTTGTTTTGTTTTGTTTTTAATATGGGAGAATACTTATTTGCTGATGGCCAAGAACTAATAAGGATTGATGTGGGCAAGAATTGTTAGAGCCACATCCTTAAGGAGCTGAGTGTGAATGTGCACGTTTGGAATTCTAGTGTTAGACTGGAGCACCATCTCATTCGTGGTAATGGCAAGGAAAACAGAGTGCATGATTAAGTATCCAGGCTAAGTGTTTGAGCAAGTGACAAGAGTTTGTGGATGTTCTCTTCTGATTTCTTTTATCAGCGAAATATGAGTCAGCAAGGCAAGACAGTGGGGAGCATAATGACGTTTCAGGATTTATGGAACTAAAGTGAGAATATGCCCTATCATTGTGTGCTTTATTGCAGTTGTGAACAAATTATTTGATGACTTGGATTTAACCAGGTTTGAGGTTTTTCCAGAGAGGCAACTAAAGGGAAAATGGCAAGGGAGTTGCAGGTGTTCGTAGGGAATGACGGTAATCATGAAACCATAGGATATGTGGTTTTCAATGGAAGAACTGAGTACATGGAAAAGGACAATGCAAAAATTGAAGAATTAATGGATAAATGTCTTGGTGGCATAAAATATTAAAGTCTGGAAATGGGAAAGAGAAATATAAGAGGGAGTATTCAAAGATTGAGAGGCTTAAATATAAGAGTAGAGAAGAGTAATGTGATAGCAATCCTGAAGTATAATATATGATGATGAAAGTCAGTGGCTGAGGCAGGTTGATGAACAATACTATTGAAATAGAGAAATCAGGGAATTAAAAAGTAAAGACACTGGAAGAAATAGTTACGTTGACATTAAAATTATAAAAAATTATGATATGAGTATTATTAAAATATGGGACAGTCATCAAAATGCTAAACACTTCAGTAAAAAATAAGTATGGTAAAGTTTAAAAATAGCTTCATATTTTTGGCTTCTGAATGCATGGTATTTTGCATTCTGGTAAAGTGCATAGCTTTACATGTCTTGCTTAAAATACTCTTAAAATACTTGCAGTATCTTAGAGTATACTTCTTCTCTACTCCTTGATGAGATGTGTGGAGCGATCATGATTGTCTTAGTCCATTCAGGCTGCTATAACAAAAATATCACAAGCTGAGTAGCTTATTAAAAACACATTTATTTCTCACAATTCTGGAGGTTGGAACATTCAAGATCAAGACACTGGTAGATTTGGTGTCTGATGAGGGTTCATTTCCTTATAGATGGTACCTTCTAGCTGTGTCCTTATAGACTGAAAGGGGCAAACAAACCTTTTTAGACCTGTTTTACAAGGACATCAATCCCATTCATGAGGGCTTTGACCTCATGACCTAATCACCTCTCAAATATCCCACCTCTTAATACCATCACATTGGGGATTATGTTTTGATAGGGACAGGAGGCAGCCAAATGCCTAGGCAGATAGGCGCAGGTCAAGAAAAGTGACTAGGGGATCTAAAGGTGACTATGACAAGGAGTAGAATGTTTTATTAAAAATATCTAGTTTACAAAGCCAATGAAAAGCAAATTCATAGAAATAAACTTGGAAAATGTAGTGAGACTCCTGAAATGGTAAAAACGATAAGCTCTGCAAATCCTTTGCACAATAAACAAAGATAAAACAAGACAAAATTGTCAAAAATCATTTCAAGATTCTGGAAAATGACCAAAGGAATACAAAACTTTAAGAATAATTTATTAAAGAAAAACTATTAATGCTATGGTAAAAAATAATAATAATAATGGGAATTTGTGGCATTTTAGCTGAGCTGTTCCCATCCTCATAGCTAGCTCTAGCCTGTGGCAATTCTACCATAACAGCTCAAGCCAGGAATCTAATAGCTTCCCTATTAAAGTAGAATGACATGATTTGTAGCTGACAGCAGGGAGACCACACGCTTAGGTACATTGTCAAAAACAATAGTTATCTGTGGCAAATGAACAGGGAAGGCCAACATCACATCTAAACATAGATTGTGAAACTGGTGATTTTAAGCAACAGATCAGAAGATTAGCCAGAAACCTAGCATGAAATTGTGGACAATGCAACAGCCAAAATGGTCTCGAAAGCACCCATATAGTCATGGTAGTCAGGAATATTCCATATATATATGAAGTAGCATCCATGCTCAGGGGAAATTGGAAAGGGCCAAGCTATGCACAATTTCATGGCTGACTCACTAGTAGAGGAGATGGGAGTAAGTCCTGCAGAAAGTAAAACTTGCCTGAGTGAAAACTGCCTGGATATTGAATACTTTTTCCAACACAAAGGTAAATCCATTGGCAAAGAGTGGAAGCCTTATTTTCGCAAGTTGTTGGAACATAGACTCTGACCAGTCAATAAGATATGCCAACCCAAGGACAACCACTAGGAATCCAGGCTCAAAAAATGAAAACGGGAATTGAAAAAAAAAATGCAAAGACATCAGTGATGACACACTGCTAGAGAGGCAGAGTCTTCAGAATTGCTCCAGCAAAGCGCTAAACAAACAAACAACAGAAGAATAGAAACAACGATTTCAAGATAGGCTTTCAGGATTCAGAATTGCCCAACTATATTATATTAAAAATGTCCCGTTTTCAACAAAGTATGACACATAATAAAAAAAAAGTTATATATAATATATTATAAATATTATATTATTTGTAATATTATTATAAACATATTATATATAAATATATATAAAATGCAGGTAATGTAAACTATGTTCTAGTGTTTTATTAGAGGTAAAACTTGTGAGTGACAAAATAGAATATTTAATTGAGAAGATTTCCAAGCAAAATGTTAGAGCATTGAGTGGCATTGTGCCTCCTGACTGCTTACCCTGAAATGCAAAATGATAGAGAAACTGTAAAGCAAAGCAGAACCAAAAGTTGAAGATTTGGAGATTTCCTGCCTATCTTTGTTGCAAAGATTGTTCTAAGGAGAACCCTAAGGAAATGGCTGCACAATCATTTGACAAAAACTTTATAGGATTATATGAGTGAAAACACTGCCTGTTTTAACTGAAAGGGATAGAGACAGGACACAATGAAGGAGGGCTGCCAGACTTCTTAGATTTGACAGGATGGAACGATACAGGTGAAATGAGCTGAAAATGAGCGCTAATAATAGAGAAGAGGAAAAGATACCCTGAAGGTGATTCAGAGATGATCGGAGCCACTGCCTTAATTTCCACAGTTTGGATGGCCTTTGCCTGTAGCCTTGCTGGCAGGACCACCCAGCGACCCCACCCATGGAAGTGACACTGCCCTCCCAGTAGACCTGGAAAAGGGGCATCAAGCCAAACAGCATTATTCTTGAGGCTTACAATCTAAATAAATTTGTCTTGCTAGACTTTCGGACTTGCTTGGAAACCATGGCCCTTTGCTTCCTTCCTATTTTTCCCTGTGGAACACAAAGTTCTACTTATCAGGTTTCATAGCTGGAGGGGAATTTTGCCTCAGTATGAATTGTACATCCTGACTCACCCACGACAGATTGAGATGATATTTAGATGAGACTTTGGACTTTAAATGTTAGAGTTGGAGCTGTTAGGATGGAATGAACACATTTTGTCTGGGAGAAGGACACGAATATGGGGAAGTGAGGGCTGGAGTTCTATGGAGTAAATTATCTCTCTCCAAAATTTCATATTTTGGAGCCCTGAGCCCCATTGTAACAGTATTTGGAAATGGTATCTTTGGGATATCATAAGGTTTCAATGAGGTCATAGGGGTGGGCCCCTCAAGATGAGATTAGTGCCCTTATGGGAAGAGATACTAGAGAGTTTGCTTTTTGGTGGCCATCTGTAGGCTAGGAAGACAGCCCTCACCAGAATGTAACCATGCTGCTACCCAGGTCTCAGATTTCCAACATCCAGAATAAATATACTACACTATATATACAAAGAAAACCTAAGAAAACTGTTAGCAAGCTGAAGCCAGAAATATATAAAAATGATTATGCATCATGATCAACTGGAACTTTAAATTACTGTAAGACACTTAACTGATATAATGACCAAAAATTCCCATAGTCATCTGAACAGAAACAGAATGTACATTTCACAAAACTCAACACCTACTCCTGATAAAAACAGTAACAACGACAACAACACAGCAGCTAATATTTAATTTATTAGCACATTAAATGGTGAATCTATGGCTTTCCCACAAACATTGAAACTACAACACAAGTCTTCTCTCAACTTACACTTAATCATTGTCCTGGAGGTTCTAGCAAAGACAATATTGCAAGAAAATAAATAAAAAGGCTTCACATTGGAAAGGCTAAAACAAAGTTATGTTTTATCACAAAATGATCCTGTATGCAGAAAGTCCTAAGGAATACACACACACACACACACACACACACACACACACACAATTACAAGTAATAAACATTTTTTGCAAAAATCACAAGATACGAGATCAATTAACTTTTTTTACACTACCAAATGAACAATCAAAATGAAAATATGAGAAGTAATCATATTAGAAACAAGATTAGGAAATAGGAATAGATTTAACAAAAAGCAAAGGACTCATATACTGAAAAACTACCAAATATTGCTGAGAGAAATCAAAGAAGATCTAAATAATGGGGTGGATATATGATGATCATGGATTAGAATATTCCAAATTGTGAAAAAATATCCTTCCCAAATTGATCTATAGAATTAACACAGTCTCTATCAAAATATAATCATCCTTTTTGCAGAAATGGATAAGGTGGTCTTAAATGGAAATTCAAAGGACACAGAATTGCTAAATATTTTTTAAAACATAAGGAAAAAGTTGGCCAGGCACAGTGGCTCACGCATGTGGTCCCAGCACTTTGGGAGGCCGAGGCAGGTGGATCACGAGGTAAAGAGATCGAGACCATCCTGGCCAATGTGGTGAAACCCCGTCTCTACTAAAAATACAAAAATTAGCTGGGCATGGTGGTGTGTGCCTGTAGTCCCAGTTACTTGTGAGGCTAAGGCAGGAGAATCACTTGAACCCATGAAGCGGAGTTTGCAGTGAGCCGAGATCATGCCATTGCACTCCAGCCTGTGGGACAGAGTGAGACTCCATCACAAAAAATAAATAAATAAATACATAAAGAAAAATAAACATATTGATCACTTATTTTACCCAAGTTTACAATATTTATCATTAAAATACTTAATCACCACCTTTCATCCCCAGTATAAGCCATTATTTTCCTGTCTACAAAAAAAATGTACAGATGGGAAACTTTTATTTCTTTTTAAATAATATCCAAAATGTCAAGCATTATTTTTAAAATTCAGTATAGTTCTAGAATACATACAAGTTTCTATAATAATTCTAAAACTATTTGTAAACTATTATAGAGGTAGCAATTATTTTCTTTATGTTGCTATTTATAAAATTAAACACTATATAAAATTTGATTCTCAATTTACTACTGATATTAATAATTTAAAGTGCATTAATGCAGAGCTAAGGCAAAATTATCAATTCTTTTCTGTTAAAAATATATTCCAAATTATTATTACAATCCCTCATTGCAAATATTAAGGGACATAAATAAATCAGAATATACTTACCAATTGTTTTTCAACTATAACATGCATTTCTATATACTTTGCAAAATCTTGCTGTGGCTGAAAAAATCCACAAATTTTACATCAAAATTACAGAATTACTTAAGTATTTTTAGTGCATGTCACTACTATTAATGAACTAAATATTGAAAAACACAATTTTGCATATAGAAATAAAACCAGATAATATAAGCAACACTAGATATCATAAAATCATTTTCATCTATTTGTCACTTTTCTGTACCTAATCAATTATTTAATTTACTTGGGAAACAACTTCCCTCTATCTTCCATTCTCCATATTTTCATTGGTTCCAAGCTATTCATATTATTCTCTCTTTTACCAGGCCTGCCTTACAAGAGCTCCTGAAGGAAGCACTAAACATGGAAAGGAAAAACCGGTACCAGCCACTGCAAAAACATGCCAAATTGTAAAGACCATCAATGCTAGGAAGAAACTGCATCAATTAACGAGCAAAATAACCAGCTAACATCATAATGACAGGATCAAATTCACACATAACAATATTAACCTTAAATGCAAATGGGCTAAATGCTCCAATTAAAAGACACAGACTGGAAAAATTGGATAAAGAGTCAAGACCCATCAGTGTGCTGTATTCAGGAGACCCATCTCATGTGCAGAGACAAACATAAGCTCAAAATAAAGGGATGTAGGAAGACCTACCAAGCAAATGGAAAACAAAAAAAAAGCAGGGGTTGTAAACCTAGTCTCTGATAAAACAGACTTTAAACCAACAAAGATCAAAAGAGACAAAGAAGGCCATTACATAATGGTAAAGTGATCAATTCAACAAGAAGAGCTAACTATCCTAAATATATATGAGCCAAATACAGGAGCACCCAGATTCATAAAGCAAGTCCTTAGAGACTACAAAGAGACTTAGACTCCCACACAATAATAATGGGCGACTTTAACACCCCACTGTCAACATTAGACAGATCAAAGAGACAGAACGTTAACAAGGATATCCAGGACTTGAACTCAGCTCTGCACCAAGTGGACCTAATAGACATCTACAGAACTCTCCACCCCAAATCAACAGAATATACATTCTTCTCAGCACCACATCGCACTTATTCCAAAATTGACCACATAGTTGGAAGTGAGGCACTCCTCAGCAAATGTAAAAGAACAGAAATTATAACAAACTCTCTCTCAGACCACAGTGCAATCAAATTAGAACTCAGGATTAAGAAACTCACTCAAAACCACTCAACTACATGGAAACTGAACAACCTGCTCCTGAATGACTACTGGGTACATAACGAAATGAAGGCAGAAATAAAGATGTTCTTTGAAACCGATGAGAACAAAGACACAACATACCAGAATCTCTGGGACACATTTAAAGCAGTGTGTAGAGGGAAATTTATAGCACTAAATGCCCACAAGAGAAAGCAGGAAAGATCTAAAATTGACACCCTAACATCACCATTAAAAGAACTAGAGAAGCAAGAGCAAACACATTCAAAACCTAGCAGAAGGCAAGAAATAACTAAGATCAGAGCAGAACTGAAGGAGATAGAGACCAAAAAAAAACCCTTCAAAAAAATCAATGAATCCAGGAGCTGGTTTTTTGAAAAGATCACCAAAATTGATAGACCACTAGCAAGACTAATAAAGAAGAAAAGAGAGAAGAATCAAAAAGACACAATAAAAAATGATAAAGGGGATATCACCACCAATCCCACAGAAATACAAGCTACCATCAGAGAATACCATAAACACCTCTATGAAAATAAACTAGAAAATCTAGAAGAAATGGATAAATTCCTGGACACATACATCCTCCCAAGACTAAACCAAGAAGAAGTTGAATCCCTGAATAGACCAATAACAGGCTCTGAAATTGAGGCAATAATTAACCAAAATAAGTCCAGGACCAGATGGATTCACAGCTGAATTCTACCAGAGGTACAAAGAGGAGCTGGTACCATTCCTTCTGAAACTATTCCAATCAATAGAAAAAGAGGGAATCCTCCCTAACTCATTTTATGAGGCCAGCATCATCCTGATACCAAAGCCTGGGGCAGACACAACAAAAAAAGTAAATTTTAGACCAATATTCCTGAGGAACATCAATGCAAAAATCCTCAATAAAATACTGGCAAACCGAATCCAGCAGCACATCAAAAAGCTTATCCACCACGATCAAGCTGGCTTCATCCCTGGGATGCAGGGCTGGTTCAACATATTCAAATCAATAAACGTAATCCAGCATATAAACAGAACCAAAGACAAAAACCACATGATTATCTCAACAGATGCAGAAAAGGCCTTCGACAAAATTCAACAGCGCTTCAGGCTAAAAACTCTCAATAAACTAGGTATTGATGGGACGTATCTCAAAATAATAAGAGCTATTTATGACAAACCCACAGCCAATGTCATACTGAATGGGCAAAAACTGGAAGCATTCCCTTTGAAAACTGGCACAAGACAGGGATGTCCTCTCTCACCACTCCTATTCAACATAGTGTTGGAAGTTCTGGCCAGGGCAATCAGGCAAGAGAAAGAAATAAAGCATATTCAATTAGGAAGAGGGGAAGTTAAATTGTCCCTGTTTGCAGATGACATGATTGTATATTTAGAAAACCCCATCATCTCAGCCTAAAATCTCCTTAAGCTGATAAGCAACTTCAGCAAAGTCTCAGGATACAAAATCAATGTGCAAAAATCACAAGCATTCCTATACAATAACAGACAAACAGAGAGCCAAATCATGAGTAAACTCCCATTCACAATTGCTTCAAAGAGAATAAAATACCTAGGAATCCAACTTACCAGGGATGTGAAGGACCTCTTCAAGGAGAACTACAAACCACTGCTCAACGAAATAAAAGAGGACACAAACAAATGGAAGAACATTCCATGCTCATGGATAGGAAGAATCAATATTGTGAAAATGACCATACTGCTGAAGGTAATTTATGGATTCAATGCCATCCCCATCAAGCTACTAATGACTTTCTTCACAGAATTGGAAAAAACTACTTTAAAGTTCATATGGAACCAAAAATGAGCCCGCATAGCCAAGACAATCCTAAGCCAAAAGAACAAAGCTGGAGGCATCACACTACCTGACTTCAAACTATACTACAAGGCCACAGTAACCAAAACAGCATGGTACTGGTACCAAAACAGAGATATAGACCAATGGAACAGATCAGAGCCCTCAGAAATAGTACCGCACATCTACAACCATCTGATCTTTGACAAACCTGACAAAAACAAGAAATGGTTTTTCCCTATTTAATAAATGGTGCTGGGAAAACTGGCTAGCCATATGTAGAAAGCTGAAACTGGATCCCTTCCTTACCTTATACAAAAATTAATTCAAGATGGATTAAAGACTTAAATGTTAGACCTAAAACCATGAAAACCCTAGAAGAAAACCTAGGCAATACCATTCAGGACATAGGCATGGGCAAGGACTTCAGGACTAAAACACCAAAAGCAATGGCAACAAAAGCCAAAATTGTCAAATGGGACCTAATTAAACTAAAGCGCTTTTGCACAGCAAAAGAGACTACCATCAGAGTGAAGAGGTAACCTATAGAATGGGAGAAAAGTTTTACAATCTAACCATCTGACAAAGGGTTAATATCCAGAATCTACAAAGAACTTAAACAAATTTACAAGAAAAAATCAAACAACCCCATCAAAAAGTGGGTGAAGGATATGAACAGACACTTCTCAAAAGAAGACGTTTATGCAGCCAACAGACAGATGAAAAAATGCTCATCATCACTGGCCATCAGAGAAATGCAAGTCAAAACTACAATGAGATACCATCTCACACCAGTTAGAATGGTGATCATTAAAAAATCAGGAAACAACAGGTGCTGGAGAGGATGTGGAGAAATAGGAACATTTTTACACTGTTGGTGGGACTATAAACTAGTTCAACACTTGTGGAAGACAGTGTGGCAATTCCTCAAGGATCTAGAACTAGAAATACCATTTGACCCAGCCATCCCATTACTGGGTATATACCCAAAGGATTATAAATCATGCTGCTATAAGGACACATGCACACGTATGTTTATTGGAGCACTATTCACGATAGCAAAGACTTGGAACCAACCCAAATGTCCATCAATGACAGACTGGATAAAGAAAATGTGGCACATACACACCATGGAATACTATGTAGCCATAAAAAAGGATGAGTTCATGTCCTTTGTAGGGACATGGATGAAGCTGGAAACCATCATTCTGAGCAAACTATCACAAGGACAGAAAGTCAAACACCACATGTTCTCACTCAGAAGTGGGAATTAAACAATTAGAACACTTGGACACAAGCTGGGGAACTTCACACACCAGGGCCTGTTGTGGGGTTGCGGGCGGGGAGGGATAACATTAGGAGATACACCTAATGTAAATGACGAGTTAATGGGTGCAGCACACCAACATGGCACGTGTATACATATGGAAGAAAGCTGCACGTTGTGCACATGTACCCTAGAACTTAAAGTATAATAAAAAATAAATAAATAAAATAAATATATGTAAATAAATGTGTGTGTTGAAAAGGTGGGCAGAAAAAAAAAAGAAAAGAAAACTACACAGATGCATGAGAGAATGCCAGGAGCTGTGTGTGTTGAAAAGGTGGTCAGATGCCAATTTTAAAAATCCACAGGCCAGGCGTGGTGGCTCACACCTGTAATCCCAGCACTTTGGGAGGCCGAGGTGGGTGGATCACTTGAGGTCAAGAGTTCGAGACCAGCCTGGCCAACATGGCAAAACCCTGTCTCTACTAAAAATACAAAAAATTAGCTGGGCATTGTGGCTCACACCTGTAATCACAGCTAGTCAGGAGGCTGAGGCAGGAGAATCGCTTGAAACTGGGAGGCAGAGGTTGCAGTGAGCCAAGATCACACCACTGCACTCCAGTCTGGGTGACAGAGTGAGACTCTGTCTCAGAAAAAAAAAAAAAATCCACAATAGCCAAGCCATTTTATTAAGACAAAGTAGCCCTAAAAGGAGACAAAAGTGCTTACATACATGATGTTGAAAGAGGACTCCAAATTTAGGACAAAGGTTGCCTTGGCCAAATAAAGACTAAGGAATTGGATCTAGTCAGAAATATCAGAGAACTCACAGTATTACACTGATCCATTTGCAATATGTATGAATGAAATATTCAGATTTAAAAACGTCAAAGGTCCTTGGTTAAGAATATTCAGGAAGTTGGAAGAAAAATGTAGGTGATTGATTTATCCATCAATAAATAGACAGATAGATAGATATGGGGTGTGTGGGTGCGGGTGTCCATGTGTGTGTGTTTCAATCGAACAACCAACATGTCCTGTATTGAATTATCAACTCAGGAGAAAATTTGGACTGGGACTGAATATCTGTAGGTTACAGTAGGTAAAGCCATAGAACTATATATATATATGATATATATGTAATATATATATTATATGTGATGATAACAAGCTCAAACATGAGATATAACAGAGCAAATATCAATATTTAAAATGTGAATGTATAAGGAAAAGTCAGAAAAAGTAAGAAAGAATGAGAAGCAAGAGACAGCATTATTGCAGAAAATAAGATGACTAGAAAGTTCTAGGGAATTTTTACTTTCACTCTTTAAAAATGTATCTCAATATTTCAAAAAGCCAATTTAACAATGGATCACCACTGATTATTTGTGGAGACAGAAACTGCATTTTTGTGAAATGAATAGTTAATGAGCTGTCAGGATGGATAGTTCCACTTATTCTAATATAAAGCTGGTATGTGAAGAAATGGAAAGTGCTAGGTATATAATAGATTCTATTTTATTTCATTTATTTTTAAATCTATTTTTAGTATTAAGGAGATATGATTATGTTCGTATAATGAAGGAACTGTAGATGATAATTCAAAATATTACACATAATAAAATGATTAATGGAATAAGGTTATAGGATCTTTCTGTTTAGAATTATAAGGATGGAACTCAAGTGAGAGAAAATAATAGATACTCAAATTTAGGAATTAAATTTTTATGTTGGAAGTAGGTGGAGGATAAAATGAGGCTAGCAAATAAAATGAGATAGAATAGGAATACAGATGGTTGAGAACTGTGATTTCCCCATTGCTCTACATTTTCAGATGTTTCTTTGAATATGCTTATTTATTCATGTTTTGTAAGTGAACTTAATAATCAACTTGGCAAGCACTTCCTGGTAGAAGCTTCTTGGTATTTTGGGAAATGGGGCAGGGAATTACATGAAATTTTTAACCAAAACAAATGAATAACTTTATGACCTTTTAAATACAGCAGAAAGAATATTTAAATGATAATAATTTTTATTTCCAAAAGTGAGGACAGCATAAAACAGCATGAGGGAATGAACAGAATGAGAAAAGATATGAATTATTTAAAACAATAATGTGAGTAATAACAGTAGTAGTCCTATGAAGTGTATAATATGTATAAAAATAAAAACATATAATGATAGCACAAAGTAGAACTTTTAAAGTTTTAAATAGTTCCACCACAATTAGATATCAGTTCACACATAATAGGATGGCTATAATCAAAATGACTGGTAATAAATGTTGAAAAAAAAATGTGGAGGAGGTCAGGCACGGTGGCTCACATCTGTAATCCCAGCAGTTTGGGAGGCTGAGGTGGGTGAATCACCTGAGGTCAGGAGTTCAAGACCAGCCTGGCCAACATGGTGAAACCCCATCTCAACTAAAAATGCAAAAAATTAGCCGAGCGTGGTGGTGTGCACCTCTAATACCAGCTACTCGGGAGGCTGAGGCAGGAGAATCACTTGAACCCGGGAGGTGGAGGTTGCAGTGAGCAGAGATCACGCCATTGCACTCCAGCCTGGGCAACAAGAGTGAAACTACATCTCAAAAAATAAAAAACAACAAATAAATAAATGTGGAGGAATTGGAACCCACAGATGTTGTTTCAGGAGATACAAAATTGTCAGCCACATTGGACAAATAATCTGGCAGCCACTCAAAAGGTGAAACACAGAGTCTGCGTATGACCTAGCAGTTCAAATCTTAGTAATTACCTAGAGAAATAAAAACATATATCCACATAAAACATATATTAATGTTCCTAGCAATATTATAATATTTAAAAAGTAGAAACAACCAATTTGTTCATCAGCTTATGACTATATGACCACGAGTGGTATATTTATACCCAGGCACATGTTATTCAGCCATAAATATAAAAGAGGTACTGATGAGCTTTGACCACCTTATAAGTGAAAGAAGTCACAAAAGATATTGTAAGATTCCAGTTATATAAAATATCTTGAAAAGGCAAGTCTATATCTATGACAATAGATTTGTAGTTTCCCGGGAAGACAGGGGAATGAAGAATGACTGCCATGGTTATAAAGTTTCTTTGTAGGGCATAGAGTCTCTGTCACAACTATTCAAGTTTGCCACCATAATATGAAAGTATACATAAACAATATATAGAATAGCAGTAATAGATGTTATTTATACAAACAGCCTGTGGGCCAGATTTGGCCTGAGGGCCATAGTTTGTCAACTCCTAATTAGACTAGCCACTAAAATTATTATGTTGTAAAAATTATTTTGTATTCACAGACTATATAAGAGCAAAATATATGAAACAATATATAATGTAAAAGCTCATTAGAGGAGAAAAATAAAAATACTTGATTAATAAAAAAGATGTAACATCATGATTAAATCCTTGAAAAAAATAAATAGATTAGATATAAAAGAAGAAAGAATAAAGGAATAAGGAACATATAAGACAAATAAGAAATGACAAAGTGGTAGATTAAATCTAAATTATGTAAGTGTGTGCATTAAAAGTAGATGCAATAAATAACCTTGGCAACTAGAAAAGTTGAGCTCATAGAAGTAGAGAGTGACATCGTGGTCATGAGAGGATAGGAAGGGTCAGGGGAGGAACGGATGGGGAAAGGTTGGCTATTGGTTACAAAAGTACAGCTAGATAGAAGGAGTAAGTTCTAGTGTTCTATAGCACCATAGGGTGACTATAGTTAACAATAATTTATTGTATGTTTTCAAGTAGCTTAAAGAGGCAATTTTGAATGTTCCCAACATAAACAAATGATAAATGTTTAAGGTAATAAATAAGCTAATTACCCTGATTTGATCATTACACATTTTATTCAAGTATCAAAATATCATTTGTATCCCATAAGTGTGATTATTATCTGTCAGTTAAACATAAAATTGTCATATGTGATTTAAAACGTTTAAAAACTTAGTAATATGTGCTTTAAAAGAGATACACTTTAATTAAAATATTATTAGCTACTCTGACTACACAAAAAAGAAAATATTTAAATTAATAAAATCAGAAATGAAAAAGAAGATTACTAAAAATCGTACCGATATTTAAAGACCTATAAGGGAGTCCTACAAACAACAATATGACAAGAAATAAATAGATAAAATAGAAAAACCTCTATAGACACACAAACTACCTAAATTGACTCCAAAAGAAATTAGAAAATTATAATAGACTTAATGAGAAAAAATTTAATTACTAATAAAAATCCTTCCCTAAAAATGTCCAATCCCAGATGGATTTTACAGATGTTGAAATAATTAAATCAATCCTCCACAAAGTCTTCCAGAATAGAGGAGACAACACTTCCCAACTCATTTCGTGAAGTTTGTAACACCCTGATACCAAAGACAGAGAAAAATATCATATGAAAACAAGTCTGCACAGCAATATTCTTTATAAATATAAATGAAAAAAATCTTCAAAATTATGCCAGCAAACTGAACCCAGCAATACATAAAAAGAATTATGCACTATAACAAAGAGAGACTGGATACAAGGTTAGTTTAATAATCAAAAGTCAATTAATGCAATACACCACATTAACAAAATAACGATAAAAATGAAATTATTATCTCAACATACGTTGCAGAACAAAAATATCTGACAAAATCCAACAACCCTTAATGACAAAACAAAAATCATTAACAAACTAACACTGGATGAAACCTTCTTTAACCTGATAAAGGGCACCTGTGAAAAAATTACAAATAACATGCTTAAGGGTGACAGACTGAATCTTTTCTCCCTAAGATTGGGAAAAGATGAGAACATCTCTTTTTCACCTATTCTATTCAACATTATAATGGAAGTAGTAATCAGGACAATTAAGTAAGAAAAAGGAAATTTGAGATATCCTAGTTGGAAAGAAACAAGATAAACTATCTTTATTCAAGATGGCATGACCATGTACATAAAAAGTCGTGGAGTTCAATAGAGAACTAATAAACAAGTTTGTCAAGTTCACAGAATACAAAACCAATATGGAAAATTCACTAATTACCAAATACTAATAATGAGAAATCCAAACTGATATAAAATTTAAATAACATCTAAAGTAATAACACTTCTATAAATAACAAAAGAAGCTTTACTGAAGACTTAGGCTTAAATATATAAAACATTGCAGAAATAAATTAAAGAATATCTAAAAACTAAAAGCTACCTACTGCTCATGGACAGAGTTAATATTGTTAATATAGCAGTATTCCTCAGGTTTATCTACAGATTCAACACAATCCTGGGTGCCATTTTTTGGAAATTAAAAATAAATAAATTTTAAAATACGTTTGGAAATGCATAGTAGCCAGAATAACCAAAATAATCTTGGAAAATAAGAATATTGAAGGATGTACACTTACCAATTCCAAATCTTACTACAAAAATACAGTAGTAAAGAAAACGTGGTAGTGGCATTAGAGTAGACATAAAGATTAATGGACTATAATTTTAAGTCTGGTAATAATACTTAACATTTATTGTCAACTGATCTTTGAAAAAAATCAAGAATGCTCAATGAGGAAAAAATAATCTCTTCAACAAATGGTGTGAGGACAGCTGGATATTGATATAAAAAAATTTGAATTTCTACCTCATCCAATAAAAAATATTAAAGTATCATATATCAAAATGAGATTAAAGAATAAAACATTTAGAAGAAACATAAGAATAAATGATGTGATATTGGTGTGATGATTAATTTTACCTGTAAACTTGGCTGGGCCACTGTGCCCAGATATTAGGTCAAACATTAGCCTGGATGCCTCTGTGAAGGTGCCTTTTAGACAAAATTAACATTTAAGTTGGTAAAGCTCTAGTAAAGCACATTACTCTTCATTATGTGGGTGAACTTCATCCAATCAGTTAAAGCCGTTTTTAGAAAACAGAGTATTTTCTAAACAAAAGGGAATTCTGCCAGCAGACTATGTTGGTCTTAAACTGCAAATCTTCCTTGGATAACCAGCCTGCCTGCTTACCCTGTAGATTTTGGATTTACCAAGCCTTCACAATCATCTGAGTCAATTCTATAAAATCTCTCTCTCCCTCTCTCTGTATGTACTCTCCCTCTCTGTGTATGTACACAAACACACACATATATATCTCCTATTGGTTTTCTATTTCTCTGGAGAACCCTGATATAGATGTGGGTACCAGGAATGAGGTACCAAGAAAAGAGAATCTTAAGCGGACATCTTCTGAATTGGTGCTGGGGTTTTGGGAATTTGCCTTCTACTTTGACTAGATTTAAAGACAATTCTATAGAGAGAAGATAGTTCATGGCATGATGTAGCAACAAAGACAGGCAAAATATTACCACTGAATACTTCTGATCAAAGACTTATGAAGGCAAGGGTCTTGGTGACCATGTATATGATACTTTTGAACATTTTTGTCAAACTAGCAAATATAATGAGATTGGCTGCTCCTAATGTTGCTGGACAAAGTGGAGAAAGAAGAGAATAAGCCAAAGTATTTGAATTACCAACTCAAGTGATGCATAAATTATCCAAAAGCTTCTTTGTGTGTCTTGAAATAAATTTTTATATCCCATAGCCACAGAGCTGAGATTACTGAAAACCAAACCCAGAATCTTATCCTGTCAGTGGATGAATTACAGTGCAAACTGAATTCCTAACCTCCCATGGTACTGCCGTCAAAGAGAAAGCATTGAGTGGGAAGCAGTGGGATCCTGAAAATTGGAATGGGAACCTAGAGAAGAACCCTAATGAAGCTGGGGCTATAAAACTCCTAAATGCTGGTGAATCTTGTTTGCTAATAGAAGCAACCTCTCTCTCACTTTCTGAGGATATTAAATAACCCTGAATCCCCTGAGGAAAATATAATGACCTCCCCTGAGGCAGTTCCCTTACAAGATAGGGGTGACTCTCCTCAGGACCCTAGATATGTATCTCCATTTTTTATGTGGATGGCATTTGTGTTTGTTACACCAGAATTTTAACATAATGGCTATGGGGAAAGGAGTACATCTGCTGACAATAAAGGTCTAGATTACAGAAAAAGATGCCACTAACAGTTGAAAATGTCATGATTGGAGTTCTGGAAAATTACAAAACTAGTTTTAAGGCTTAATGATATAAGTTATGAAGTTTCTGGTACATGTATCCATACATGTGGCTATATGTTTTGGTGTTTATGGGTGTGTAAATATGTAATTTATCAACTATAAATTTCAGTGCTTACATTGCTGTATAGTAATAACCATAGAGTTTGTTCAATTAATCACCTACCTCTACGCTTTGTAATTTAAAGGACAGATCTCTTGATTCAATATCCTTCTCATTATATAAGGAAACATCTGCTTTCTTATGTTTTACTTGGTAAATTACATGTTCAAAGCCAACTGAAGACTCCAGGGGTTCTATTCCATAACTAACATTTTCAAACTGTAGTACGCCCCTAAAAATTTCAAAAAAAAATTAATAAGTAAAACAATGCCTTGTGGAAAAGCCAATAAAATGCCACTTAGCATTATTTTTTCATGGTATGCAGATTATTTTTAGCCTGAATCTAAGGTGATAAAATAGGAGAAAGTTACTGGGTATCCACAAACTTACTGAGTGACACCGCATAGTAATGCTGTTAGCATTTGCCTAGCTATTAATATTTCATGGCTTCCAAATATATTTAAAAAATCATAATCCTGCATAAGGGCAGGAGCCATCATAAGTATTTCCATACCATGCTTTGTGAGTGGCAGTTTTCCACAATAGTCATGCCACACTTTAGAACCACTGAATATTATGTTAAAATGTTTAAAATAATTTTGAAGTAAATATTTTATTTTGTAATTCATAAAACAGTAAATTACAACCTGAGTCCAGTACATGTGCTAACCATCACCACAGATTTTGGATAACCTTCAATATACCCTTGGTAGTGGCAGAAATTCTGAAAGATAAAATACACATATCTCCATTAGAATGGTTTGTGTTACAGATACAATTTTCAAATATGTAAAACATATATGTGTTTTGTTTTTATGCATCAAACACTCATGTTTCAAAAATGGATTTATAATGTTATTAGATGAGCATATGGCTTGGTTTTCCAAAGTACTCCCCACAGATTTATAAAAAATGAGTATATTTTCATATTTCTATAGGTTTTAAATTAAGCATGACATTCTCAGTTGTTAAGAATGAGGTAAACATCATCAAAACTTATATTTTTCATACTTTTCTGACAATGTTGCATGGTAGATAAGCAAAGTTAATTTTTAATTCCATCAAAATGTTTTCATTTGCAAATTTCACCTGGATTTTGTATTTACTTTTGCTTTATAGTTCATCTTTCTACTGTGATACCTAAAATCTTAGTTTGTACCACTTTCCAAATACCATACTTCATGGACTCAATACACTGTATTTCTATTTCCATCTTATTTAGAAATTTATGTGAAAATATTTGTGCTTTTATTTTTATCACCAATTGGGGTATACTTCATACTTTATATAATGAAGGTAAAAATATCTTGAACATTCCACAGCTTTTATCTTCTTCCTTCCAGATGTGGTTTATAATATCCAGATTGATAACATTTCTAATTCTGTGGAGTATCAGGAAGTTACATCAACCTTAAACACAGGATGACATTGAGAAACTTAGAAATGAAAGAATAAGTCATTTTTAAGTCACATAGGATAAAATTTTCATGGAAGAATCAAAAAGCTTCACTTATTACCCAATATCCTTTCGCAGTTTATTTTTATCTTTTATTTTTATCAGTCAGTTTTGCATTGTTTGCCTTCACTATAATATCTTCTTGTTCAATATTACATTTGCACTTGAAAAGTATGTGTATACACTTGATATATTTGCTGAATTTCTTTCTACTTCATTTAGAAGTTTACAAAGTTTCTTTCTACTTTATTATTAGAAGAGAAGTGTTTAAATCTTCAAATATAAGTATTATTTGTCTGTTTCTTTCATTTCCGTCAATTATGCCTTCCATAATTTGAGGATTTGAGGTCTGTTTTTTTTTTGTTTTGTTTTGTTTTTTGTTTTTTGCTTTTTATGATGGAGTCTTGCTCTGTCGCCAGGCTGGTGTGCAGTGGCGTGATCTCGGCTCACTGCAATCTCCTCCACCTGGGTTCCAGTGATTCTCCTGCCTCAGCCTCCTGAGTAGCTGGGACTACAGGCACATGCTGCCATGCCCAGCTAATTTTTGTATTTTTAGTACAGACGGGGTTTCACCATTTTGGTCAGGATGGTCTCCATCTCTTGACCTCATGATCTGCCCGCGTTGGCCTCCCAAAGTTCTGGGATTACCGGTGTGAGCCACCACACCCGGCCTGAGGTCTGTTTTTATGTGCACATACATTTTAGATTGTTTAAGCATCCTGGTAATTTTACCTTTTAATTATGATGACTATCTGTTTGTCCTGGAGAGATCACAAAATCCAGGACAATGATGAATGGCTTACACTTGTCCTACTCTGGATGCAGGGAACAAACTCTTTCCTGGTTTAGCTGGCTGATTTTTTTTCTTTTGTAGATAAGTCTTTATTTATCAAGATAATATGACTTTAGGAATGGGAATCATGTGTGGACTTAAGATAAATAAATAATCCAATAAATACACCTGTTCCCAACTGAATTTAATGAGCTTTTTCCTAGGATAGAGGTAGGCCTGCAACCTTGGCAAACACAATTTATTTTCAAGGCAGCATGTTTTTACTACATTTGAGATCAACTTGCAACTACTTACCACATTCAGATTGTTGATGCTTTGAATGCTTTGTAGCATTCTTGCTTGTTTTTTTTTTTTAACTGTACATTTATCTTTCATGGTTACCTCTTGGGAGGTAGGAAGCAGAGTTATGTATGGAAGAATGATACAAAATACAGGTGTGAGATATTGTGATCTCCTGTGCCTCTGTCTTGGATTCTCACTCTATCTTCTGTCCTCTCTCTCATGCATGCAAATACAAACACACATACGCACACACACATATGTATGTGTGTGTATAACACTATGTAACAGTATATTAGTTATATATTTATATAGACTACTCTATAACTGACTCATAGAGTTGTGTACTCTCTTGGGCAAAACTTAAAGCAACTAACCATATCTATTACTTCTTCTGTTGAAATCCTAGCCTCTCTAAAAATGCTTTACTTTCAAAACACTTGATTGAGTCGCTATATAGAAATCAAGAACAACAAATGGAAAACACAACAGCAATTAGTAGAGCAGGGCTGAGGTTAAAAAACAAAAGAACAGAGGCCAGGAGTAGTGACTCACTGCTGTAATCCCAGCACTTTGGGAGGCCAAGGCAGGTGGATCACCTGAGGTCGGGAGTTCGACACCAGCCTGACCAACATGGAGAAACCCTGTCTCTACTAAAAATACAAAATTAGCCGGGCATGGTGACACATGCCTGTAATCCCAGCTACTTGGGAGGCTGAGGCAGGAGAATCACTTGAACCCAGGAGGCGGAGGTTGCGGTGAGCTGAGATCGCGCCATTGCACTCCAGCCTGAGTGAAACTCTATCTCAAAAAAAAAAAAAAAAAAAAGAACACTTCAGGCATGACTAATCCTGGCAATTTTATTCACTCTTCTTTATTATTTTTTAAAAAAATTATAGACAACATTAAATTAAGCTCTACATGTTCCAAATAGATGAAAATTTAATATACTCCTAAACGTGTGTGAAACTTCATGTGTACTTATTTGGTCCTTGAACATACTTCAAAGAAGATTAGATTCTTATTTTCTCCTCAGATTTAGCTTTCCTGATACAAGTCATGGTTTTTCATTTTACATATTTCACAACATATTTAGTCCCTATCACCTCAGGTACATAAGCCCTTAGCATGTGTCTAAATAGTTTAGAAACACTACAATCATGTCTTTTTAGTTAATCATCTGTTTAATAGGGCTAACTCAGTACATCAGTATACATCATTAACAGGAAAACATTAAACTTATGCCAAGAAGCCATGACCCAACACTTTAGACTCTAATAACATGTGGACACTAAATAAGGTGATCATAGACACTCACATGACAAAAATAAAAGAGATCATAAAAAACATACCTGAAAATCTTGGTCAAGTGGTTTCATAATTCCTGTGCCACTATAACTGTAAACTCTAAAATTATGGGGTAAAAAGTTTCTGTAACATAAAGATAAAATGGAAAAATTTGATTCTTAACCTTTTGTTTTGAAACATTTATTTTATTAATTATAGACAGGTAGGTTGACACAGAAAGAGCAAGAGAAACAGAGGGATATTTTCTAAATATATGGATTTTGTTCTAAATTTTACTCAAACATCTTACACTTCACTCACTCTATTGTTACTCTGTCCTCCTAGCTGTTTTCCAAACACAACAGGCAAGCTTGGACCTCACGATATTTGTACCATTTTGTTGGCCATTCCTGGAAAGTTCTTCAACATAGTTCATTGTTCTCCATCTACTTTAAGTCTTTGCTTATACATCAACTTCCCACTGAGGTTTATCTTGAAAATTTTATTTAAAATGTCAACTTGTTCAATCACCAAAGCATAGGATTTTTAAACCATACTCTAAATTTGCTCTATAGTTTTTGCCCAAGCATATATTACCTTCTCACATTCTTTCTACTCTATTTATTTATTATATAATTATTCATCTCATTTGATGATAATATAAACTTAGAGATTTGCATCTATGTTGTTACTAATACTAATGCACCCCAAGCATTAGTATTGTTTGCCAAAGTTACATAAAAAGTTAAGCTAATCTCAGAAGATCAGAGCATTTTTGTTTCAAAATTGATGACACAGTATCAAAAAGCTTTATGTAAATCAAGTAGGATAAAGGGAAATAAAAGTCAGATATAAATATATCATCAAAAGAAAAAAAAAGACTAACAAAAGCCCAGATGAACTTTAAAGATCTTTAAAGTTTCAAGAAAAAAGGATGTTACTTTTGAAGAAACGAATAATTCTTAATAAACCAATTAACAAATAATACAGCTACTTCATCAATAGAAAAGGAAAAAAAAGTCAGAAAACAATGGAATGATGATTTAAAAGGCAAACGACATCTTTTTCAAAGACATCTTAGAATTTATTCCAGCAAAAATTTATAAGAATATAGTTAAGTTGTTTCATATGAATTTTAGCATTGTTTTTTATTTACATTTCTGTGAAAAATGTCATTAGAATTTTGAGAGGGTTTGCACTGAATCTGTAGATTGCTTTGGGTACTATGGACATTTTAGCAATATTTATTTTTCCAGTTCATGAACATGCTTTATCTTTCTATTTATTTGCTGTTTTCCTTCATTTCTTTTAAGAATGTTTTATAGTTTTCAATGTACAGATCTTTTACCTCCTTCATTAAATTTGTCTAAATAGCCAAAACGAGCTTGACCAAAATGAACACAGCTAGAGGCATCATACTACTTGACTTCAAACTATACTGTATAGCCATAGTAACCAAAAGAGCATAGTACTGGTATAAAAATAGATATATAGACCAATGGAACAATATAGATATAAGAGAAATAAAACAACGCATTTACAGTCAGTTGGTGTTTGACAAAATTGTCAAGAAGACACAATGGGGAAAGGACAGTCCCTTCAATGAAATCACATAGAGAAAACTGGACACCCACATGCAGAAAAACAAAATTGCATCGTTTCACACACCATATTAAAAAAGCACTCAAGGCCAGGAGCAGTGGCTCACGCCTGTAATCCCAGCACTTTGGAAAGCCGAGGCGGGTAGATCACGAGGTCGGGAGATTGAGACCATCCTGGCTAAAATGGTGAAACCCCGACTCTACTAAAAATACAAAAAATTAGCCAGGCATGGTGGTGGGCGCCTGTAGTCCCAGCTACTTGGGAGGCTGAGGCAGGAGAATGGTGTGAACCCAGGAGGCAGAGCTTGCAGTGAGCCGAGACAGCGCCACTGCACTCCAGCCTTGGCTACAGAGCGAGAAAAAAAAAAAACAAAAAAACCAAAAAAAACTCAAAATGGATTAAAACTTAACCATAATAGTTATGATGCTAAAACTACTAGAAGAAAGCATAGAGGAAATGCTTGACATTGGTCTGGGTGATGATTTTTTGGATATGACTACAAAAGCACAGGTAACAAAACCAAAACTAGACAAAAACTAGACAAATGGGAGTACACAAAATTTAGAAGCTTCTGTACAGCAAAGGAAACACCACCACAAAGAGACAACCTAAAGAATGGGAGAAAAGATTTGCCAACTATACATCTAATAAGGGGTCAAAATCCAAAATGTATAGGAATACAAACAACTCAGAAAAAAAAAATTGAAAATGAGCAAAATACCTAAATAGACTTTCTCAAAAGAAGACATACATATGGCCAAGAGGTATATGAAAAACTTCTCATTCTCACTAATCATCAGAAAAAAGTATATCAAAACCACCATGGGATAACACCTTACTCCTGTTTGATTGGCTATTATCAAAAAGACAGAGGAGAACAAGTGTTGGCAAGGACATGGAGAAAGGGGAACACTTCCACAATGTTGGTGGAAATGTAAATTAGTACAACCATTATGGAAAATAATAAGGAGGTTTCTCAAAATGTTAAAAATAGAACTACTGTATGATTCAGCCGTCCCTTTACTGGGCATATATCCAAAGCAAATAAAATTAGTATGTTGAAGAGATATCTGTAATAAACATCTCCCAGGTTTATTGCAGTAGTCAAGATACGGAATCAAGCTTAAGTTTCCATCAATGGACAAATGGATAAAGAAAATGCAGTATATATGCACAATGGAATACTAGGCAGTCATAAAAACAAAAGAAATTCTTTCATTTGCTACAGGCTGGATGAATCTGGAGGGCATTATGTAAAGCAAAATAAGCCAAGTTTAGAAAGAAAAATATTGCCTGATCTCATTTATATGGAGAGTCTAAAAAATTCAAACTCATAGAAGCAGAGAGTAGAATGATGGTTTTTAGGGGCTGAGAGTGGGAAAATGGGAGATGATGGTTAAAGAGAAGAAAGTTTCATTTAGAAGGAATAAGCTCTGGAGAGCTTTTGTACAACAAGTTGACTGTAGTTAGTAATGTTTTATACTTGAAAATTGCTAAGGGATTAGATCTCAAGTATTCTCAACCTCAAAAAAGGTAAGTATTTGAATTGATGAATATGTTAATTAGCTTAGTCATTTCACAATGTATACATATCTAAAAATATGTTGCGAACTGTTTATATATAATTTTTTCTGTTAATTAGACCTTTATATAGCTGGAAGGGGAAGACTATGATTAAATAAAGATTTAATGACAAATAAAAACACATATAATTTAAAACAAGCAGTCTTATAATAGAAATATATTAAGAATTTCTGAGATATATCAAAATTAGCTTCAGATAGAAGCACAGAAATGTAGGGAGAACTAAAGATCACCAGAATTGGTAAATTTTGGTTAAATTAAAATGAATACTGACTTTATAAAAAATAGTAATACTTCATGGGGATTTAAAAATATACAGGTTTGTGATGTGTGAAAAAAAATAATGAATGGGAAGCAGAGGGTAAAGGGTGTTAGAGATTTAAGGATCTAAAAACATATGGTAATTGGTAGGAGGACTAATTTGTAATAGATTCAATTACTCAAGAGTTGATATGTTAACGTAGAGAAACTACTAAAAGAAGAGTAAAAGAATGTATAACAAATAATTTAATTGAGGAATAATGTATAATATAAATTAGTAGATTCAATCGGATAGAGGCAATGAAGAAAAAAGAGGAATATAAAACAAAAGATAAAACAGAAAAAATAATGTTTCCAAAATCATGTGAAAATTTAAACAATCAAGAAGAGTAAGCACACCTTAAAACTAAAGGACAAGTCTGGTTATAAACACCTATTATAAAGTCATAGTAATTAAAACTATGACATTTGGACAGATAAATTAGACAGGGTCTAAGAATGAGCATTTAAACAAAGAGAAGAGAACAAAGAATCCAGAGACTTCTTTATATACAGTCATTTAATTTATTAAAAAAGATTACATTACAGTGCAGTGAAGAAATATCATTTTTAAATTGTGCTGGGTCCACTGGATGCTAATTTGAAAGAAAAATAATTGCCAAAACATCTATGATGAGGAAAAAGGTGAAAAGGCTTTATCTTTAGGCTATCAAGATTTATCATAAATAGACAAATAGACCAAAAAGTTTAATCAAGAGCTTGGAAACAGATAAAACCATATATAAATGTATAATATATAACCATCATCACACAGAAGACATGTACAGAAAGATAGAAGATTCAATAAAGCTACTGAAACATTTGAAAAATCATACAGAAAAACTAAATTGGTTGTCTACCTTATAGCATATTCAAAAGCCAATTTCTGTTTCAACAAAGACCTGAATGGGAAAGGTAAAACTAAAAATATTTTAGAGGATTATATAAGATTTAGTCATGGCCTTTGAGTAAGAAAGGATTTCTTATACAAGATACAAATATAACTTACCATAATGGAAGAATTATCTTTACCAAATACCATAAGTGTGAAAACACAAGGAGAGAAAAGGTCAGATTAGAAATATCTTTTGACAAAGAACAAATGTCTTAAACAGGCACTTCACAGGGGAGAAATTCCATATGGCTAACTGCTGTATTTAAAAAGTTAGAGAAATTATTTACAGTTGGAGAAATACATATTAAATTACTTACAGTTAGAGAAGTTACTTACAGTTAGAGAAATACATATCAAATCACAGTAGGACATAAGTATATAATTATAAGCATTTAAAACTTAAAACATCTACCACTATTAATAGAATATATAATTCAGAGGAGTGTGTAAATTAGTATACTACTTTGGAGGAAATGTAATTATGAAAGTGCATGTAACTTAACCCATCAGTATGCTGTTAGTCATATGTCCTATAAAATCTTGTGCATAGGCCCAAAATAATATACATTTTAACATAACCAAACTAGACAGAAACAAAATGTTCAAAATAAGATGAAATAAATTGTTGTATAATCATGAAATTGGATGCTATACAGTAATAAAAATGAATAGCTTGGAATTACTTGCGACAACATTGAAAAAACCTCACAAACATTAATTTGAGTGACTAAAACTAGAAAAATCATCATAATTCATTTATTTAGAGTTAGAAAACAGACAAAAAGAAACCACATTAGCTAGGATAATAAATTCTAAATAAAATCAGAGAAATGGATATCACAACAATCCAGACAAGTAGTGAGACGGACTGAGGGGCTATTATAGCAAATGAAAAACAGCACAACTTCTTGAGTGCAGTCAATATATGTGTAAAGTCAGAGAGTTACATAAATATTCACTTCACGACACTTATTTAACTGCATAAACATATTTTATATTTTAATGTATGCCAATTTTATTATGCAATGAACATTTAAAAATTTTAAAGATAATTGACAGTGATTTTTGTGACAGAAAGGAGACCTATTTCCCAGTTTCCATCACCACTCTTGATATTGAAATGACAGATGAACAATAATTTTCAAATACAGGACTACACTATAAATAATGGGGTAATAAACTGGCCCATAGGTCAAATCCAGCTGATAGATTGTTTTTGAAAATGAAGTGGTATTGCAAAATAACCACACCCATCATTTGCATACTGTTTATGGCTGCTTTTACAACAGCAAGTAGTTGCAAGAGAGTATATAGAGCTTGGAGTCTAAAATATTTACTGTCTCCCCTTTGCCAAAAAATTTCCTGATTTGATTGTATTATAGGGTTAATTGGAATGATCAAAGCAATAGAAACAAAGGCTGGTACCACAGCTGAAAGAGTGAGCAGGTGAAGCTGTGGAAAGTAAGATGGATTCTGGATCAGAATCATACCTTAAGAATAGGTGGTTTAATGTCCTCTGGTCATTAGCATGAGAACACATTATTTACGACAATAGTCGCAAGCATCAGAACACATTGATGTGAGCATTTAAATGAAAGGAATAGAGCTAGAAATTTCCTCTGCAAGTTGCTAATAGAAACGAAAAAAAAAATCAATACCTGCTTCTGTCATGTCAGTGTTTGTTTCATCCCAGAATTTATATTTTGAAATCTAATCACCAATGTGATGGTTTTAGGAGGTGATACTTTAGAGAGATGATCAGGCCACAAGGCTGGAACCCTTATGAATGGGATTAGTGTCCTTATGAAAGAGATCTCAGAGAGTTGACCTGCTCCTTCTACTGTATGAGGGCACAGCATGAAGGAGCCATTTAAGAACCAGGAAATGAGCCTTCACCAGGCACTGAATCTGCCAGTGCCTCAATCTTGGACTTCCCAGCCTCTAGAACTATAAGAAATAAATCTCTGTTATTTGTAAGCTACCCAGTCTATGGTATTAATATTTTGTTACAGCAGCCCAAACAGACTAAGACACCTGCTGTACAGAGACCCTGGACAAAAGGATGCTACCCAATACTGACTGAGGCAGAAATAGCATCACATGCAGAAATGAAAACTCTAAACTATATCTCAGGCAGATGTGAAATGGATTCCAAGCAGCCCTATTATTATGGAACCCTGAGCTGATAAAGTGTAAACTTTTGACCCAGCTAATTGTCATGGCAGGAAACAAGCAAAAGCATCCATAAAACCACCCCTGAAGAGAGGCCTCCACAACACAAAAAAGATTAGAGGATGGTGGAAGATAAAGTTCACTCAAACGAGCTCATCAATGATAGTTCCAAACATATGGAAAAGTCCAAAGCTTGAAAATTGGGAGAAATCATGTAGAAAAATAGCAATAATCAAGTAAATTATGAAACTTAAGAATAAAGAGGTTTTAACGTTGAAACAGATAAAAAACAGAGATAAAAAGCCATAAAAGATTTACAAAGCACAAATGTGTCACTTTGTACAGAAATCCTAACCATGAAAAATATAGTCATTGAAAAATATTCTTGAAGAGTAGATTAGACATACATAAAGAGTAAAATGGAAATCATCGAGAATAAAGCACGAAATCAGGAATAACAGGAAATGTGAATGAGTACATAGAAATATGTGATAGATAAGTGAGTCAAAAATTGCTAACTTGATTCACTAAAATTTATATTAAGAGGCCCCAATTTTAAATATACATTTAAAAGCATCCCAGGAAAGGTTAGCAGAGTGAGAAAAAGCAACAATTAAACTTAAAAATTGATAAGAATCTCCATGATTCATGCAAGGATGTTAATTCTCAAATTGAAAATTCAGAGTCCTTAGAGATATAAACAAAAAGAAATCAATGACTACCATGTCATAGACAAACTACAGCATCTTAAAAGATATCAGAAGTACTCATTGGCTTGGTGTTACTCTAAATATCCTACTAATCTGGATCTCTTCTCAGGTTTCTCAAGGACACCTTGTGCAATGTCATAAAATTGGTTCCTGGTGTCCTTATTTTGTATATTTGAAAGCCCTCAGAAATGGTCATGTTGCCAGGAAAATGCACAGTTTGGTGCTAGCTCTGCATACAGTCCAGGCCTCGTTGTCTTTTGAAAGTAAATATCGTTATCACCCTGAGTGTCTATAAACTGTTGGCCATGCCTGAAACTAACTAGTTACCAAGATAGCCTGGGTAGGGACTGACAGGGCTTGACATAGACCAATAACAATAGCCACTAAAGGCTTCAGTACTCCACCAGTGTGGACTACCCAACAACACTTTATGCTGTCCCATCCCATAATATTATACACTTTATTCTCATCTGATGCAGGTAAAATGTAAAAACAATGAAAGCTTTGAATTTTACTTTATTATACATTTGGTTATTCATTTCTAAAATGTTTGATTTGTAATATTCTATTTCTTACTACTTTATTGATATTTTACAATAACGTTTTGAATGTTTTTGAGCCAAGAGTTTTTTGGCAACTGCTCTTGAATTTACAAATATCTGGTGATTCTCTGATGAAGGCTTTGTAATTACATTCTAATTTTATTGTGCTAGTCACTGAGGATATGGTTACTATTCAAAAGATTTTTTTATTTTAGTATGTGATTTTTTTTCTTAAGTACCTTTTCACCGCTTGTGTGCAAGAAAATAACCACATTATATGTATGTAAGGTATATAGTATGTGATTCATCCATTACATCACCATAAATTGTACTGTATATTCTATACATTTTTTCTAATAGAAAAAAGCTTAAGAAATCTACTGTTATGCTTACATTTTAATTCAGATATTCTTATATGTCTAATCATACTTTACATATTTTGATCTATATTAAACATTTATAAATACTGTATCTGTGATGCAGAAAGTAATTTCAGAGGATGCTTTACTACTGGTCACTGACTTGCTCTCAGTCTCATAACTTGACATTCTAAAGTAACAACTGTTGGGATTCTATGTCAGTTTGCTCTATGTATTTCTTGCAGAAGGCAGCACTTTTTTTCTTCAGAAAAAAGTAATTTTGAGTCTTTTTTTAATGTTATTTCTTCAAACTAGTACCGTCCATCTTATAAATAGAAAACATTTTCCAAAATTTATGATGTATAAAAAGAGTGCAGCTATGAATTCTAGAAATGATATGGATGCGTTTTTGATTTTTGTATTGATTTGGTAATTTCATTTGCAGGCTTCTGCTTTTGATAATTTGTAGAAATCTGTTCTTATCACTAGAAGAATCATTTCAATTTTCACTTTTCTTTATTTCTTAGTATATTGTGCTTGTTTTCCCCAAATTCATCAACTGGCCTGAGATTGAATTTGGCTAATTACAAATTTTATTTAATTTTAACTTAAGTCCTTAATAAGTTTTGATAAAGTATGTAAACTAGTTTAAAATGTGTCATGATTCATGACATCCAGCAATCTGCTATGTTCTTTGAAATATACCTTGAATATAAAAGAACTTAAAAATAAGCCATATATATTTTTATGAGAGATAGAAAATTATCAAAATTCATCCTTTATGAAACCTCTTGGATCACCAAATAAAAATTTGGTGCTACTGGGAACAAGAAGGAGGGGCACATACACTCTGAATTCAAGTTCTAGGTATGTATCATATATAGGCTTAAATCATATGATAAGGGATGAATGAATGGCAAGAAGCTAGAAATATTTTCAAATACAAAATAATTACATTCTGGACAATTTCAAGCAAAAATTATAAGTAGAACAAAGAGAATTGATAAAATAATGATGATTACCTACTTTTGCATTAAATTCACAGTATATGGTTTCCCTTCAATTACAATTTTGTAGGATGCCTGGCAGGAGAGCACAGTAAAAATACAAAGAAAATGAAAAAAAATGTTAGAAGGGATAACCATCATTTTACATTAATGATAATTGCATTCTAAAACACATTCATTTAATAAAAGGAGAAAAAATAGAATTTAATGCTGATTTATTTTAATGGCATTTGACATTATAATTCTAGATTTCATAATCAAAATAATGAATAAAATAATATATATACTTTATTTGTTTATTTTGAAATGTGTATGTTGATTTTATGACCTGCAACTTTATTGAATTCTGTTTGATCTAAGAGATTTATGGTGGAGTCTGGGGTTTTCTATATATGGGATCATGTCATGTGCTAATAAAGATATTTGACTTCCTTCTGATTTTGGATGCTGTTTATATCTTTACCTCTGCCCTTGATAGTTAGTACTATCAGTACTATGTTGAGAGTGGGAATCCTTGTCTTGTACCACATCTTAAAGGAAAACCTCACGCCTATTATCCCAGCACTTTGGGAAGCCAAGGCAGGCGGATCATGAGGTCAAGATTTTGAGACCAGCCTGACCAACATGGTGAAACCCCATCTCTACTAAAAGATGCAAAAAATTAGCCGGGCATGGGGCGGTTGCCTGTAATCCCAGATACTGGGGAGGCCGAGACAGGAGAATCACTTGAACCTTGGGAGGCGGAGGTTGCAGTGAGCCAAGATCACACCATTGCCCTCCAGCCTGGGCGACAGGGCAAGACTCCATCAAAAAAAAAAAAAAAAAAAAAAAAAGGTTTTAGTCCCTTTCCACTAATTATGATGTTAACTAAGGGTTTTTCATAACTGGCCTTAATTATATTCAGGTACCTTCCTTCTATACCTAAACTGTTAAGAGTTTTTAACCAAGAAAGGATGTTAGACTTTGTGGAATGCTTTTTCTGGGTCTCCTGGTGTCTTCATATCCACATGTGTCTGTGCTCAGATTCCTTGTTCTTGCAAGGACACCAGTCATATGGTATTAGAGCTGTAACTTACTATTAATTACTATTCTAGTAAACTCATTTTAATTTAATTACGTCTTTATAGACTCTGCCTCCAAATATGCTTACGTTCTGAGGCACCAGGGGTTAGGACTTCAACAAATAAACTCTGCTTTGGATTTGGGACACCTGTTCTGAAGATTCGACTTTATAAAGCCATTTCTTATTAAAATATGTTTACTATTACCTCTTCTTCTTTTCTCCCCTATTTCAGGAATGCCAATCACTCTATGCTTAAGCTTCTAATTCTGTCCTTTTCTCTTAGCCTTTCACATGTTGCATTTCATCTTTTCAGCTGTCTCTGTTCTACTCTAAATTCCTGACTTTTATATTTTCATACTGCATTTCCCACTTTTAGAAGTTACATTCAATTATTTTTAAAAATCTAGTAATTTTAGGCCATGTGCGGTGGCTCACGCCTGTAATCCCAGAACTTTGGGAGGCCGAGGCAGGTGGATCAGGAGGTCAGGAGATCGAGACCATCCTGACCAACGGTGAAACCCCGTCTCTACTAAAAATACAAAAAAACTAGCTGGGCTTGGTGGCAGGTGCCTGTAGTCCCAGCTACTCAGGAGGCTGAGGCAGGAGAATGCTGTGAACCTGGGAGGCGGAGCTTGCAGTGAGCCGAGGTTGCGCCACTGCACTCCAGCCTGGGCAACAAGCAAGACTCCGTCTCAAAAAAAAAAAAAAATCTAGTAATTTTAGGTTGAATAATCTTATGGTTTCTAGCCTTTATTAACTGTAATAATTCAAAATATATAGTTTCATATTATGTTTATAGTATTTGTTGAATTAATTAGCATAATAGCCTAGTTTGTTTTAAAAATACTGTTAATTCATTACAGTATTTTAAAAATAAACTAGGCTATTATGCTAATTGTGTATTTAACTCCCTTTAACTCCTTAACTCCCATTAACTCCCTAAGCAACTGACGGTCAACAATTATCCCTTGCACTATTTTTTTGTTGGTGGTGGTGCTTTGTTTTGGTTTTGGTAACCACAAAATCAAAAAGGAACTTTTTGATGACCAGCTATTCCAAGTTTCTCATTTACAAATGAGAAAATAATGAGCCTGATTAGTGCACAAAAGCATAAATACACATAGCATTTGTATCTGACACTGTTCTAGGCAAGAAGAATACAGACATTAACAAAATAGACAATTTTTTCCTCATGAATTTGACAGTTGAAAATGGGCATTTTTTTTTACTTATTGCAAATAACTATCTTATAACAATCAAGTTATTCTTGTTTGAAATACTTCTCTCCAAATAGATTCTCTGCTTATTTTCTACTATTATTAACATCTCCATAATAATTTTACATTAAAAATGTTTCATAAAATATTGTTAAAAGCCTCACTGCTTTTTTCTATTTAAATGATTTGTTTTAGTAATAGATATATAGATATGCATTCCTTTAAAAATGATTTAAATAACATCTTAAGCTATAATGTCTGTATTAGGATGACAAATGGATATATGCTAAGGAAATGTTTGCATTTAAATTACCAGAACATCTGCTACCAAACCAAAAAAAAAAAATTGATGTCTCAAGAAACCACATTCCACTTCAGAAATGGATTCTAGAACTTAGTGAAAATGATAAGAAGATTTTAAATTCAAATTTTAAAAAGAGAGTAATAATTCTGAACTAAAATAATCTAAAATAGCATGAAAGAAAGAGTTCTAATCATTAACATATTCGCAATCAGGGCTAAAAAAATCATTAATATAACACATCATTAATTCAAGTGATCATCATCCCATATAAGCAAGCCAAGGCTTACTTAGCAACAATGACAAAAAATTCCTCCAAATACAGCCTGAACGGTGAGTGAGAACAGAATCTCTAGAACAATCAAGCCAATGATTATTCAAAGACATCCAAGAGGAAGACAGATTCAGAAAATGGACTTGGGGCTTTGATAACCAGCATCACTGCACCATTATTTCTGTGAAACATTGTTGATCCTGGTTCATTTTCAAAAGGGCTTTTCCATTCAGGGAAAATTTGGTATAAATATAAAATTCAACAGGTGTGCATGAATGAAAAATGGCAGATTAACTTCTTAGAAACAAAATCTTTACATCATTTTAAATTTGTAAATACTGTTAGTGATTCATTACCTGCGATTCAATTCCTTCCTTTATTATTGACCGTATTTTCTCCGGAACTGTAATTTGCACAGGTAAACTATCAAAATCTGCAAAATGTGCAAAATGTTTTATTAGAACAATGCCCATCATTTCAGAGCGTGTTTTATGAGTTTTTCATCTAAATCTCTAATCTCTATTCTATACGCTGCTTCTCATTTTTATTATCTTCCCATTTCTTTCTAAAAATACAAGGAGGTTTTTTTTTCTGTTTTTCTGTTTTTTTTTTTGTTTTTGAGACGAAGTCTCACTCTGTCGCCCAGGCCCAGGCTGGAGTGCAGTGGTGAGATCTCTGCTCACTGCAACCTCCGCCTCCCGGTTTCAAGCGATTCCCCTGCCTCAGCCTCCCCAGCAGCTGGGACTACAGGCACGCACTACCACCCCCAGCTAATTTTCTATATTTTTAGTAGAGGGGGATTTCACCATGTTGGCCGGGATGGTCTCGATCTCCTGACCTCGTGATACGCCTTCCTCAGCCTCCCAAAGTGCTGGGATTACAGGCATGAGCCACCGTGCCCGGCCATATTTTTTTAAAAAAGAAGTAGGTGTATTGCTTTAGGAGTATTGCCCTGTAGGTAGGATCTGGTAACCTTGGGTCAAT
Organism: Homo sapiens; assembly: GCF_000001405.40. Classification (NCBI taxonomy): domain Eukaryota; kingdom Metazoa; phylum Chordata; class Mammalia; order Primates; family Hominidae; genus Homo; species Homo sapiens. Next base: position 588,400 of record NT_187577.1, read on the forward strand.
AGGTTCAAGCCCCTCAGGACAAATTAACTCACTCTGGACTCTTCAACTAGAGAGTACAGAAGTTGGGTCTCAACTTTCACTGTCGTGAAAAATGCAAAGCAGGATCTGAAACTACAATTTTGAAGCAACCTCTTAAGGCCTAGGACCTCCTATCTTATCTTTCCTAGGTTTCCAGGACGTGTGGGAAAGCCCTTATTCTACGTGGATTTTGGGTGGGGAAGGCGGCAATGTCGGGGATGAGCTTGGAATTGCTGAGTTGGAAACCCCTCAGGAAAGCATCCTCCCAGGGATGTCAATGTAACTTGGAGGCAAAGGGAGAGTAGCGCTGAGGGTCCCAAAAGGCCAGAGGAGGGGTTTTTCTGCTTACTACTGTCCATCCGCAGCCCGCCGAGCCCGCTGAGCAGAAACAAGACGCGCCACATGGCTTGAAGTCCTGGGTCCCAGCCGGAATAATGGCAGTTGGTGGTTACAGGGCAGTTGGAAGCGCGAGATGACGCCCCGGCCACGCAGCCTGGAAGAGGTAGGCGGCTGGGAGAGCCCAGGTGGGCTGAGGTTGGGTGTGGTGCGCTGTGGAACGTGCGAGCTCCTGAGCCCTGTCTCTTGCAGGACAAGCACTCCACTGGACGTGATGCCTAATTAAGGCAACAGCAACAACAAAATCACTTCCAACAGCTGAGGAACAGGAAGATTTATAAACACTTCTTAAGTAAAATTTCAATTGAATATATATAAACACGTATCAGGAGTTCGAGACCAGTTTCCGCAACATGGTGAAACCCCGTCTGTACTAAAAATACAAAAAAAAATTAGCCAGGCATGGTGGCGGGTGCCTGAAATCCCAGCTACTCGGGAAGCTGAGGCAGGAGAATCGCTTGAACCTAGGAGGCAGAGGTTGCAGTGAGCAGAAAGACCTTACCACTGCACTCCAGCCTGGGTGAGAGAGCGAAATTCCGTCAAAAAAAAAAAAAAAAAAAAAAAAAAGAACGAAACAAAAAACGAAAAAAAGTATATAATAAATCATAAGTTCACAGGTCAATTAATATTCAAGTGGAAAAAAAAAACAGCGTAACTAGTACCACGATGAAGAAATGAAAAAGAACCACCCAAATCCCCAGATTCCAACCTCACAACCATGACTTCTAAACAACCAAAGATTCGTTTTGTCTGTTTTTGAACTTTTCGCAAGTAGAAGCAATCACCATCTACTCTTTCATGTCTGGGTTCTTTTAATAGGATGATTGTAAGGTTCATACAAAGCAATAGTTCTGTTTTATCCTCATTGGTGTATATTACAAATTCATTAAATATAACACCACTTGTGTTTCCATTTTACTGTTAATGAATATTTTGTTTGTTTATTGTTCCAGCTATTAAAAATAATATTTAGCTATAAACATTCTTCTACATGCCTTTTGGTGTAATAAGTAAGGATTTCTACTGTGTATATTTCTAGAGTGAAGTTGTCGGATCACAGGGTATGTGTTGGTAGATACTTCCGACAAGTTTTCCAAGACTGTACTAATTTATACTCTCACCAGAAGTATATGAAAATTCCACTTCGTACACATCAATGCCTTGTTGTGTTGTTGTGTTGTCTGTAATGTTCCTTCATTGTAATGAACTTACCAACTTTTATATCAAGACATGCTGCCCTCATAAAAGAAATTAAGAAATGTTATCTCTTCGTTTAATCTTTGAAATAGTGTAATGCTGTGAATATTTATTCTTTTAATGTTTCTTAGCATTTAGAAATGGAGTGATTATGACCTGGAGTTTTCTTCATGAGAAGATTTATTTACTTTTTTATCTAATTTCTTTAAAATATTCATATTTTTTTCTTTTCGTGTTGGTTTGAGAAAGTTATGTTTCTGAAGGAATTTGTCCATTTCTTTGGGGTTGTTAAATTATTGACAAAAGTTGTTCATAATGACTTCCTCTCCTCTAGCAACTTTTTAAGGTCTATAGCACCTGCAGACATATCTCTTCTTCCATTCTCAATGTTGATAATTTGTGATGTTTCTCTTTATACTGGGTAAATAGGTCTTGGAATGTATAATTTTTATTAAGTTTTACAGGAACTCGGTTTTGGATTTCTTTATTTTTTTCTGTTGTATGTTTTCTGCTTTGTTGATTTTGTTCTTGGGTTCTTTTCCTTTTTTCTACTTTGGGCATAATGTTCCTTTTCTAGCTTCTAAGATTGGAAGTTTATATTATTTATTTTAAACATTTCTTCTTTTAACCTATGCCTTTAAACTACAAATTTCCATGTATTTCCAAATTTCTATCTATTCATTGCTTTAACTTCACCATTGTATTCTTATACTTTATTTTGATATACTTTACTTTCATTAATATTCAATTCTAAATGTTTTCTAATTTTCATCATGATTTCTTTTTGCCCCACATGTTTATTGGTGTTATTTAAATGCCACATATTTAAGCATGTATTAATTACTTTTTTATTGATGTCTAACTCAATTCCATTGTGATCATAGATTGTATTTTGAATAATTTCAAGTCATTGCAATTCACTAAGAGAAAATTCATTGCCCATTATATGGTTCATTACATTGAATGTTTCGAACTTTAAAAGAATGCAAACTTTAAAAGAATGCAGACTATTTAGCTGTGGATTATATTATTCTTTAAATGTCAACTAGATCAAGTTGGATAATACATTTTCAAATATTTTATATCCTTATTAATTCTTGTTCTTTTATTATGTCCAACTAAGAATACTTTTCTATTTTTCCTTTGTGTTTTATCAATTTTTAATTATCATATTTTGAAGATAAGTTATTTTTTTAAAACTCATTTAGGGAGGTTTTGTCTTCCTGATGAAGTGAACTTATGTCATTATAATGTCACTCTTTGCCCATACTGGCTTTTTGCCATTAAGCTTATTTTATCTATCACTTCCATAGCCAGATTTTTAAAAAAATAATTAGAATCTGCTTGGGATATTTTAAAAAAATATTTCACTTTAAAGGCATATCCTTAAAGTTTGTGTGTGTGTGTTTGTGTATAAATAACATACAGATTTTTAAATTCAGTATGATGAACCTGACTTTAATTGAAGTATTAGGTCCATTTCCTTACAGTAATTACAGACATGTTAAGTTTATGTCTCTCACCTGCTAGCAGTTTTCTATTGTTTTCCTACTAGTTGTCTGGTCTTTTATTTTTACTTTCTTACCTCTTTTGGATAATGGAAGCTGCTTTAAATTTAATTTCACCTGGTCTCGTTAATTTTTGAATATACTATTTGTTCTTTTGGGGGTTTTTAATGTTTAGAGATTATATTATATATCTTCAACATATTGCATTCCACATACCCATAATAAACAAAGTAAGAATATTGCAATAAGATAATTCAATTTAATTTAATTTAATTTTTATAGCCACATATTTTACATATATACATATATGTATAATTAATAGGCTTTTTTAGGGCTGTTCTAGGTTCAGAAAAATACCCAGTGGAAAACTGGGGTTAAGGTCACATATCCTTAACCCCACATGCACAGCATCTCCCACTGTCAACATCCTATATCAGTAAGGTACATTTGTTAAAATCCGTGAACATTGTACACATGGATACATCCTTAACAACCAAATCCATAGCTTACATTAGGGGTGACTCTTTGTGTTGTGCATTCTATGAGTTTTGACAAGTGTAATGATGTGCATCTATCATTATAGTGCCAATCAAAATTGTTTTCTTGCTGTGCTCCAATTATGCATCCCTCTCTTCTCTCTGAGCACTGATTTTTTTTACTGTTTCCATAATTTAGCCTCTTTCAGAATGTAATAATGGAATCACCAGTAGTATAGCCTTTTCATTTTGGCTCCTTTCACTTAGAAATTTAAGGTTCCTGGCCAGGTGCAGTGGCTCACACCTGTAATCCCAGCACTTTGGGAGGCTGAGGTGGGAGGATCACCTGAGGTCAGGAGTTTGAGACTAGCCTGGTCAAAATGGTGAAACCCCATCTCTACTAAAAATACAAAAATTAGCCAGGAGTGGTGGTGGGCACCTGAAATCCCAGCTACTTGGGAGGCTGAGGCAGGAGAATCACTTGAACCTGGGAGGCAGAGGTTGCAGTGAGCCAAGATCATGCCAACACTCCAGCCTGGGCAACAGAATGAGACTACATTTCAAAAAAACAAAAAAGAAAAGAAATTTAAGGTTCTTTCACTTTTTTTCATGACTTGATAGCCCATTTCCTTTTAGTGTTGAATATTTCATTGTATGGGATTTATTACTGTATCTACATCTCTATCACAAAATGTTACGTTGCTATTTTATTTACTTAATTTCAGTATCAATTTTTACAGGTCTTATATTTACACAGAGAAATTCTCTCTGCTCTTAGCTTATAAAAATTGTTTTTAATATTGTCTTCATTTCTGAAGTGCATTCCTGATGGCTATAACATTCTACATTAACAGGTATTTTTTTCCTGGTATCTTAAGCATTTCATCCCAGTGATTTTGCCTTCCGTTGCTTCTAATGAGAACTAGATTTTGCCTTCTGTTACTTCTAACATCACTCTTCATGTTGTTCCCCCCCAAATTTTTTCTGGGCTTGTTTTAAATAATTTCTCTTTATCTTTAGTTATCAACAGTTTGATTGTGATATGCCTAGATGTGCAATTCCTTTATATTGGTTATCTCAGAATGTGAAGTGTTTTCTGGGTTTGTGAATTTATATCTTTTATCCATTTTTAAAACTCTCAAATATTTTCTCTTTATATATTTCCCTATCTTATTTTCTCTTCTCCTCATATTGTGAGTCTGGTTATATTAGATTAGGTCATTTTATAGTTTCCCAGGATCTGAAATTCTCCTCTGCTTTTTAAATTATTTTCTTTCTATGTTTTAGTTTGAAAAATTATAGTGATAGTCTCTGCATTAGGAAAATATAATCTTCCAGTTGGTCCTCAGCTTATGATTGTGAATGTGTTATCAAATCTAGCATAATGATGGTTCAAGAAAGTATTATGGGTATGCTCATAAAGCACAGAAATAGAGAGGGGAAAGAGCTTATTTAGATAAATAATGACAAATACTTCCCAAATTTGGAGAAAGATGTAAATCAAAGTAGATGAAACTCGAGATTATCCAATCAAATCCAATCCAAACAATACTAAATCAAGACTTATTATAATCAAACTGTCAAAAATTAAAGAGAAGATCCAAAAAGTAGCAAGAGAAAGGAAGCACATCACACACAAAAGAAATCCACGTTGCCTATCAGATTTCTCAGCAGCAGGCCAGGAAAATAATGAGATGATGTGTTCAGAGCACTGCCAGAAAGAAAAAAAACAATAAACAAAACCTGTCAACCAGGAATACTTCACTAGGCAAAGCTATACTTCAGAAATAAAGAAGAGATAAAGACTTTACCATACAAGCAAACCTGAATGAGTTTATCACCACTAGCCCAACCTTGTAAGAAATACTAAAGGAAATTCCTCAGGATGAAAAAATAAAGATGCTAATTAGTAACATAAAAATACAGAGAAGTATAAAACTCACTGACAAGAGTAAGTACGCAGTCAAATTAGGAATACTGGAATACAGCGATGGTGGTGTGCAAATTATGTATCTCTTTATTAAGAAGGTTAAAAGAGAAAACCTACAAAAAAATAATAGCTATAATAATTTGTTAAGAGGAACACAATATAAAAGAATGTAAACTGTGGCATCAAAAACATATGTAGGGGGAATAAAAAGGTAGGGTTTTAATGCAATCAAAGTTAAGTTGTTACCAGCTTAAAATAGGCTATTATAACTAGATGATGTTTTATGTAAGCCTCACGGTAACCACAAATCAAAAACCAAGAGTGGATACACAAAATGTTAAAAAGTAAGACATTAAAGCATATCTGTTTTAATCCTTTTTCTGTTGCTGTAACAGAATACCATAGACTGGGTAATGAATAAGAGAGGTTTATTGAACTCATGGTGCTGGAGGCTTGAGAAGTCCTAGAATATGATGCTGGCATCTGGTGAGGTCCTTTCTGTGCATCATGACGTGGCAGGAGGCATCACATTGAGAGACAGAGCAAGCACACTAGTTCAGGTCTCTGCTTCTTCTTATAAAGCCACTAATACTGTCATGGAGAATCCATCCTGATGACCTCACCTAATCCTAATTACCATCCAAAGGCATGACCTCCAAAAACCATCAACATATAAATTTTGGAATTTCATTCCCAAAACAGGAAATTTGGGGAACACATTCAAACTATAACAATATTATGACAGAAAACATAATCACAAAGGGAGATGGTGAGAGAGGAAGAAAGAAAGAATCTACATTTAAAAAATACAGAAAACAATTAGCAAAGCAGAAATATATAAAGAGTTGTTACAAGTCAACAAAAAAGAAAAATAAGCCTACAAAAATGGGTAAAGTACTTCAACACATATTTCTCCAAAGGTGGTATAATATCAATGACTAATGACCCCATGAAAAGATGCTCAAGATCATTACTAATTAGATCATTAGTCATTAGGCATTAGAGAAACAAAATCCAAAACCGTAATGAGATATTGCTTCACAAGCACTATAAATAATCAATAAAATGGAAAATAAGTATTGGCAAGGATTAGAAGAATCCGAACTCTTCAAACACTGATGATGGGAATGTTAAATGGCACAGTTCCTTTGGAAATTAGTCTGGAAGTTCCTCAAAAAGATGAAAAATAGTTTGTCATATTGCCCCAAAATTCCACTCCTAGATATATACCCAAGAGAAATGACAACATATGTTCATTTAAGAACTTGAACACAAATGTTTACAGCATGATTATTCATAATATCCAAAAGGTGGAAACAGCTCAAATGTCCATCAACTGCTGAACAGATTAATATAATGTTGCTTGTTCATTCAATAGGATTTCAGTCAATAAAATGGAATGAATTACTAATAATGCTAAACCTGGATAGATCTTATAAACATCATGTTACATAATTTCATTCATAAGGGAAAGTCCTTCCTAAAAGGCCCTGCCTCTTAATACTATCACACTGGGGATTAAGTTTCAACATATTAATTGTGAGGAGACACAAGCATTCAGATAATTGCATTGGTGTTTGGTGTAGCTGTTTCTTCTTTTTTTCTTTGCTTTTTCTCTTTCTCTTTTTTTTTTTTTTTTGACAATTTGCATGAAATAATCTTTTTCCATTCTTTTACTTTCAACCTATTTGTGTCTGAATTTAAATTCTATTTCTTATAGAGAGCATATAGCTGGATTTTATTTATTTATTTTTCTAATCTCTTCCTCTTGATTGGTGAGTTCAAATTACTGATTGACATATAACACAATTGCTGATGAGGTAAGATTTAACTCTATCATTTTGCTTTTTTTTTGGTATGTGTTTAAGATATTTTCCTTCTATTCATTTATAACTCTTTTTTTTTGGTCAAATAGATATTTTCTAGTACACCATAATAATTCCCTCATTACTTCTTTTAACATATATTTTTGAATATTTTTGTAATAGGTCCCCTGAGAATTAAAATTAACACATTAATTTATAACAATATAGTTCAGATTAATACCAACTTAATTTCAGTTGTATACAACAATTTTGCTCTTATAGAGCCCTATTTCTCTCTCCTCCTCTCCTTTGGATTTTATTGCCAAATAAAATACATATTTATACACCACCCAAAATATATTTATAATCAATGCTTTTGAAATTGTCTTTTAAATCAGATAAAATAAAAAGCATTACAAACAAAAATGTATTTATACTATAAATTGCATTACCTACACATTTACCATTATCTCCTGTCTTTATTTCTTCATGTGGATTTTAGTTACTCTCAAGTATCCTTTCATTTCAACTTGAAGGACTTTCTTTAGTATACCTTATAGGGTAAGTCTGCAAGACACAAATTTCTTTTTTGTTGTTTATATGAAGATATCATTATTATCATTTTTGAAGGAAAGTTTTGCAAGATGTTGAATTTTTGGTTGACATAGTTTATTTTTCAGCACTTTGAGTATGGCACCCAATTATCTCTAGATTCCATGGTATACGATTAAATCATCTTTGAATCTTACTGAGGATCTTCTACAAATAATGAGTTGCTTCCTTCTTGCTACTTTCAAGATTATGTATCTCTGGCTTTTGACAGTTTCATTACTATGCGTTAGGTATGGATGACTTGATTTTATCCTTCTTAGAGTTATTTGAGCCTCTTAAGTGTGTAGATTATTGTTTTTCATCAAATGTGGACGTTTTCAGACCTTATTTCTTCAAATATTCTTTATGCCTTTTTATCTCCTCCCTTTCTTTTGGGACTCCCATTGTATGTTTGTAAGTCTGATTGTGTGTCACAGGTCTGTGAAATTGTCATTTTTTCCATTCCTCACCTAAATTTCTTCAACTGATGTCTCTTTAAATTCTTTCTTTGCTTTGAAACAAAAGCAACAAATACTGCATATTCTCTTACAGTTGGGAGCTAAATATTGGGTACACAGGGACATAAAGATAGGAACAACAGGCCCCAGGGAATGCAAGAATGGGAAGGGAGGAAGGGAGGGAGACCAGGGTTGAAAAACTACCTATTGGATAATATGCCCACTTCATGATTGACAGGTTCAATCATACTCCAAACCCCAACACTGTGCAATATACCTTTGGAACTAACTTACACATGTGCCCCCAAGATCTACAATAAAAGTTCATTTAAAAAAAGAAATGGGGAAGCATATTTTTATTTAAATAAATAAATACATTCACTGCTTCTCTTCTGCCTGCTCAAAGCTGTTGTGGAGCCTTTCTAGTTAATTTTTTCTTTGAGTTATTATACTTTTTAGCCCCAGAATTTCTTTTTTGATTATTTTTTATAATGTCTATTCTTTTCTTGATATTCTCTATTTGGTAAGTCATCATTTTCATACTTTCTTTTAATTATTTAGACATGGTTTGTTTAGGTCTTTGAATATATTTAAAATCGATTTCATGTCTTTGTCTAGCAAGATCAACATTTAGGATTCCTAGGGGAAAGTTTCTATTGCTTGTTTCTTTCTTGTGTATGGACCATAATTTTTCTGTATGTCTCATAAATTTTGCTGAAAATAGAACATTCCAAATGATATCATACAGCAACTCTGGAAGTCAGATTCTTCCTTCCTCTTAAGGATTACTATGACTTCTGCTTGTTATTAATAGTTGTTTGTTTAGAAGCTTTCCTCAAATCATTCTGCAAAGTCTGTATCCATTGTTGTGTGCAGTCACTGAAGTCTCTACTCAGATTCGTGGTCAGCTAATAATTAGACAGAGCTTATTTTAAATGTCTGGTGCCAACAAGCCTCCCAATGGGCTCTGTGTGCCTACTCTGTCATATCTTCAACATTGAACCAAACAGTTGAAAATCTTCTTAGCCTTCACCACTTGCTTGCTCAGAGCTTCAAGGTCAGCCAGAGATAAGAGTTTAGGGCCTTCTCTTGGTCTCAGGTATCTTCTGTGCGTGTGGACAGCTCTACACATCCTTGTTGCCTTTCAGAGTTTAGGTTTTCAAAGCTTCTATGAATATCTCACTCCCCAGTGCCTTGTGTTAAATATTTTGGTCTGGCTGTTGTTTGTTCAAACTGTTATCCATTGCCTCAGGCAGCTGAAAATTTAAAACACCTGCCTGTAAATTGTTTTTTACAAAGGATCCTGAGAAGAAAAGCTTTTTGTATACACATTCTAGTTCTGAGTCAATCTAATACAAGCATTCTTGCAAGTGGAGTCTTCTGGAGAATGACCAATCAGGTCAAATTAATGTCAGTTCTTTTAGGGTGAGGCTTTCAAAGAGTTCCATACTTGTGCTTCCTCCAATGCTTACCAGGCTGCACTAGAAATGCAGGCTGTTATTTTTCAAGGACATTGTAGATCTGGAGAGTGATAGATAGGCTAGGACAAATTAAAATACCACAAAGTTTACTGTCCTTACTGAGATTTAGCTGTTTGTCTTGAATAAATGTTATCTGGGTGGCTGCAAGCCTTTGAATTTCCAGAGTTATGAAAAAGTTGATTCTGAGAAATTTTGACATTTGCTTATTGCTTATGGAGAAGAGAATTTTCAAAGATTAATATACCGCCACTTCTGAAGATACCCTATAGTCATGTAGAACTATTTTTTAAACTCTGTATAGATCAAGGCACATAACAAAGCTGTTCTGTTATTTTCACCATTATTGAAAGTTATGTTTTATGCACAATTCAATGTGAATAAATATGAATCTGTATTTTTTGCCTTTCCTTTCTTAGACATATAGTCTTCTTTGTCTGGAGTAAGAAATTTAAATGTACTTTTGTATTTACCTCAAAAACTCAAGCTCTAATGAATCATATATCACTATCATGAATAGTAATAGGTCTCTAACCCAATAGTTTAAGGAAAACATAGATTTATTAACATTTATTGAGAAGTGCAAACAACTCAAAAGTTTGGGCAGACCAATTATTATGCAATTTACCTGACTCTAATTCTTTAAGAGTTTCCCCATCGATTACTGAATACCTGTTGTGTCTTTTTCCTTCAATTACCCTGGAGGAACCATGTATGAATAAGTGTCGTCCTGTTTTGAAGGGGGTCTCCCCTAGGTCTGGTCTGACCTTTGGTAGTCAATTAAATTTAGACATAAGTGCTCCTTCTTTAGATTTGGATCTCCTGTTAAGAAACCTGCTGGGTTGAGTGAATTATTAGTAGTTAAAGTTAAATCATCTTTTTCTAGCAAAATAGCCTTGTATTTCAGGATTCTGGAGTCAGCAAGCCACCTCCCAGCTTTTTGATTTAGTATTGCTTTAACTTGGTGGGGTGTGCTTACAGTTCCCTTAAAAGTTAACTTTCTGCTTTCTTCAACTAATATTGCCATAGTGGCAACAGATTGAATGCGTTGAGGCCACTCACAGGTAATAGGGTCTAAAACATTTGATAAGAAGGCCACAGGCTGCTGGTGGCCACTGAGTTCTTGGGTAAGCATTCCTATAGCCACTCCATTATTTACATCGACAAAAAGATGAAAGAGCTTTTCTAGAGAAGGCAAAGCTAAAACTGGGGCAGTCATAAGTCTTTCTTTCAGTTCCTCAATTTGGTCGACTTCCTCAGAAGTTCACAAGAGATGGTCAGAATTTTCTTGAGTAAGCTTCTGGTATAGCAGCTTACTGTGTAAGGTATATGAGTCAATCCATAAGCAGCAGTATCCAACTAATCCTAGAAACTTTCTGAGCTCATGCTTAGTTTGAGGCAAGGGTAAAGACACGATGCCTTCAACTCGCTCCAGCCCTATTCTCCACTTGCCTGCACTTATTAAATGGCCTAAATATTTGACCTCAGGTTCTACATACTGAAGCTTTTTCTTTGAGACTCATAACCTCTCAGAATGTAGATGATCAAGGGTACATATGGAAAAACTGGTTACTTTTTCTACATCCTCTCCTGATATGAGTATATTATCAACATACTGGAGCATGCATATGTGATTTGGAACAGAAACCTTTTCTAGCATTTATTCTAGACTCTGACTAAACAGGTTGGGTGTGTCTGTGAACCCTTGGGGCAAAACTGTTCACTGATACTGTTGTTTTCACCCTTACTGGAGGTCTTCCCACTCAAAGGCGAATATGTCTTGGCTATTTTCAGCTAGGGGTCATGCCCAAAAAGCATCTTTTAAGTCTATTACAGTAAACCATTGATGATTATATGGAATTTTACTGAGAATAAGTGTAAGGGTTAGGGACAACGGGGTGAGTGGTTTGGACTATTTGGTTGGCAGTTCTAAGATTTTGTACTAACAGGTATGATCTGTCTGATTTCTTGATGGGCAGTATTGGGGTGTTATAAGGAGACATACAAGGCTCAAGAAGCCCATTTTTTATGAGACTTTCAATTATGGGCTTTAACCTGATCCGTCCTTCTAAAGGGACAGGGTATTTCTTCCTCCTCACCACTTCCTCTGGGGTTTTTAGCTTGATGTGGATTGGGGGAATGTGAAGTTTTCCTTGGTTTCCTTCTCTGGACCAGACATTGGGGTGAATACATTTCTCATTTGCGGTGGTGACTAAATTTAATGAGGTAAGGAATCCTTTTGGACTAACTTGTAAGCCTATACCTAACTTCAACATTAAGCCTCTTCCTAATAAGTTAGTTCCTGCCTCTGGGGTCAATAAAAATTGGATATGAGTCAATCGTTCTTGGTATTGAACTTCTGTACTTTCTGAGACTTTTGCTTTAAATCCTTCCCTTTTACCCCAGAGACTAAAAGGTCTTCTGAAGAGCAGGCAATGTTAGATGAAGGGAAACAAAGGGAGGAGCAAGTGGCCCCTGAATTAACTAGAAAGGTGATAAGTTCATGATTGGGTCCAACATCTAAATTTATCAAGGGCTCCTGGTGGGACTTGAAGTAAGAGAGAGTCCCTGACCCCCCTCAAAGGTCATGAGGGGCAGGGCTTCTCTCTCTCTTTCTAATTCAGGACATTCTCTTTTGAAGTGGCCTGCCTTTCCACATCTGTAACAGCTATCTTGTCCTTATTCCCTCTCAGCTCTCGGATTTTGTGTCTTTGTTCCCCTATACTCTTTAGAGACTCTGGTAGATGAGGGCCTGCGTCCTCTGGATGGAGGCTTGGGTCTTTTCAACAGCAGTCTGGACCCTTTGTAGTTTTTGGCCCCCTGGAGGCTTTGTTTAGAAGTATGTGGATTTGGGGCCACCTGCTAGAAAGTGGATAGCATAAGTTTTGCCTTTTTTTTCCTGTTTCTTTTTATGTCTTCTAACATATACTTTTTGAGCTTCTCTGAGAAATTCACTCAGAGGTTGGTCTTCTCGATTTTTTAATTTTTGTAACGTTTTTGAGATATTTAACCAACTCTTAATGATGAAGTAGAGTTTTAACAGTCCTTGTCCAAGGGGGTCTTCTAAGTTTAGGGCTGAATATTGTTTCATTTGGTCCTTCAGTCTGTCTAGAAATTTCATAAACCCCTCATCTCTTTCTTGTTGTATATCAAGTGCTTTGGAAAGGTTGTGGGTTCAGGGTACTGATTCCCTAATTCACTTTATTATCATTTCCCTTAGGTCTTGCATATTTTCTTGGTGAGCTGGGTTATTATTGTCCCACTGGGGGTCTCGGCCAGGAAACTTTTGATCCGCGGTAGGAACGTCTTGATCGGGAGCGTGTTCACGCTCCCAAATTGCCATAGCAGCCCTACAGATCATCTCTCTCTCTTCACCAGAGAAGAGTATGCCTAGAATGGACACCAACTCGACCCAGGTGTAAAAGTGTGGTCCCAGGAATTGATTAACTTGATCTGCACCCCATAAGGGTCACATAAGAATGGCCTGAGTTCCTTCCTTAAATTCTGGACTTCTGAACTAGTTAAGGGAACACTTACAAAGCCAATAGCCCCCACACTTTGTGGTACTTCTTTCAAGGGGAAGAGAGTCAGAGCTGACTCCTTAGATGTGGAGGGAAATGGGAAATTTTGGATATCTCTTTTAGATTGTTCTACTTCACGTTGGAGTCCCTTCAGGGAGGCGCACTTAGGCTGAGAGGGAACAGATTCATGGGTGATGATTCCCAGGAATCAGGATTGTAAGGAGGAGAAATAACGTGGGCAGGGGAAGAATCTGGGGCAGGATCTGGGGTGGCAGCTGCCTGAGGGGAAGTATTGGGGGCACTGAGTGGGGGAAGGTGGTATGGGGATCCCATGCACAGGAGTCCTTTGGCATGGGAACCAGCTTTTCTGAGTCTTCATTGTGGGGTGCTAGATTGGGTGTTTCCCTAGTTTTTTTAAGGGATTGAGGAGGACAGGTCTCTGTCTCCAACAAAGAGCATAGTCTAGCTCCTCTTGAGACACTGGATTGTTTTCATTTACATGTCGAATTAGGAGTTGACACATTACATCCTCATTCGACCCAAATTTTGGCCAGAAGATTGAGGGTTTAAGGAGGGGACTCTGGGTCCAAACAAAACAGCAATATTTTATCATTTGTTGCTTGTTCTTATGTTTAGTTCTCTCATTATTTTTCCAATATTTTAACATGAGACCTAGGGGACAATTTGGGGGAATATCTTTATTGCTATTTTTATCCTTTTTACTTTCCATTGTGCTTGGGGTATTTCCCATGTTGGGTCCTAGTTAGGCTCAATTTTTGTATTAGAAATCTCTTGCCTATCCTTCCCTGGAGGCTTATTAAGGCTCATTTCCCTTGTATGAGGAATGTTTTGCCTATCCTTCCATGGAGGCTTATTAAGGCTCAATTCCCTTGCATGAGGAATCTCTTGCCTATCCTTTAGTCCCACCTGCTGGAGATTTCTGGCACCTTTCTCTTGCTTCGTCTGCTCTGGCCGCTTCCCTTGCAGGAGTATTTCAGGTCCCTCTTAGCATTGATGGCAGCTCAGTATAAACCCCTGATGGGACCCCCAAAGGGCCGCCCTAAGCCATATGAGGTGACCACAGAACTGCATATTGGACTCACTCACTCCTCACAACAGTAGTGCTTGTTACCATTCACACCATTTTAACCTCCAGACTCCCGACCACCAAGGAAATATTTTGTCGCCCCTGCGACTTTTCTTACCTTGGTCTGTGTAGAGTTTACCTAGTCGCTGTGGTATGTGAGCCCCCTTTTCCCAAGCTGCCCGTTTGTTCCTTTCCTGCATTGCTGAGAGTCTGGGTTTATTCATCATACTTGGTGGGTCTCGATTCCTCACCTTGAGGCTACCGCAACAAGGTGACTGGGCGCGCCTCCACACGGGAAAGTACTGGAGACCCCTCCCCAGAGGAGAATGGGCTCCCTGTACGGGCCACCAAAATTGTTATAAATGAATTTCCGATGCCACAAAAGAAACAGCACTCAAACATATATTTAGTTTCCTCAGCAAGGCAATTTACTTTTGCAAAAGGGTGCCACTCGTGTCAATCAAGATCGCAAGTGCACACCAAACAAAGGAGACCAGGGAGTTTTTATATCGTTAACGCGATCCCTATGTCTGTGTCCTTCCCCATGGGCTGGGGTCAGACCACACAATCTGAGATAACCCGATTGGCTACTTATAAGTATTTTTTTTTAATATGGAAGGGAGGGGGATGTGAGTTACAGTGGTGGAGTGTGTGAGACGTGCAGTTTCAGGGGAACAATGGGTACAGGTAAACAAGGGAACAGATGTGAGTTACTGATTAGAACTCACGGGAAGTTGCAGCCCACATCATGCACACAGTTACTGTTTACAGTAACTAGGGGCAAGGAGAAACGAGAAAGTTGAGTTTGAGAACAAAGGGTAAGGAAGTTAACAGGCTAAACCTTTTGAAGAGAAACTCAGAAAGATTCATTGTATTTTACATGTATTTGAGTACCTGCTTTCAATTCTTATGAGAATATACTTGGAGTGGAATTGCTGGGTTATATGGTATTTTTATGTCTAACCTTTTGAGGAATAGCCACACTTTCCAAGTGGCTAAACCATTTTTCACTCCTAACAGCAATATATGAGGATTCCAATCTTGACAGTATTTATTTCTTCTTTTCTTTCTTTAATATAGCCATTCAAGTAGATGTGAAGTGATATCTAACTGTAGTTTTACTTTGCATTTCCCCAATGACTGTGATATTGAGTGTCTTCTCATGTGCTTATTTGGTAGTTTGTACATCTTTGGAAAATTACCTGTTAAAGTCTTTTGGACACTTTTTAATTGGGTTCCCTTTTTGTTGTTCAGTGATAAGACTTATTTATATATTCTGGATTCTAGATCCCTTATGTATATATAAATAATATACATTTTATATCTAAATATGGTATTTTCTCCCATTCAATAGGTATTATTTCACTTTCCTGATAATGTCCTTCAATATGCAAAAGTTTTCAGTTTTGATGATGTCTTATTTATGTGTCATTTTCTTTTTTTTCCCCCATGCTCTTTGTGTCACATCTGAGCACTCATACTAAATATAAGGTCATGGAGTTCTGTCCATTAGTTTTCTAAGAGTGTTATAATTTTAGCTCTTATATTAAATCACTGATCCATTTTGAGTTAATTTTGGCATATGGTGTGAGGTATAATCCCAGCTTCATTATTTTGCACATAGATATCTGGTTATCCCAGCACCATTTTTCAAACAGACTATTCTTTACTCAATGTATGGTCTTAGCATTCTTGTTGAAAATAAATCGGTCATATGTGTATAGAGTTTCTTCCTGGACTCTCAGTTTGGCTCTGTTGTCTATATGTCATTCTTTATGCCAGTACCACACTGTTTTGACTACTATTGTTTTGTAGTAAATTTTGAATCACCAACATGTGAGTTTTCCAGCTTTGTTCTTCTCTTTCTACATTGTTTTTGTTATTCTTGGCCTCTCTGAATTCCATACGAAGTTGTGGCATGACTTTTACATTTCTGCAAAATAAAAATCTGTGAAATTTTCATAGGGATTGTGTTGATTCTATAAATAGCTTTGGGTAGTATCATCATCTTAACAATATTAAAGTGATGATAAGTAAATATGCATGAACTAAATAAATATCCATGAGCACACGGTATTTATTTAGTTTTTCTTAAAATCATTGAGCAATGTTTTATAGTTTTCACTGTACATAAAAATCACATACTCCTTGGTAAATTTTATTCTTATATATGTTATTTTTATAAATGCTATTGTAAATTGAATTGTGTTTCTAATTTTCTTTTCAGGTTATGTGTTGCTGGTGTAAGTACTACAACTGAATTTCGTGCTCTGATTTTTTTGTGTGTTGATTTTGTATGCTAAAACTTGGCTTAATTCATTTCTTAGCTTATCTGTGTGTGTGTGAGTGTGTGTGTGTATGTGTTTATTCCCTGGGATTTTCTGTATATTGGATCAGATAATCTGTGAATAGAGATAACTTTACTTTCTTTCTTCCAATCCTGATGCCATTTTTTTTCACTTTGCTATGGCTGAAACTTCCAGTACAATGTTAAATAGCAGTAGTAAAAGTGAGCATTTGTTCCTTGATCAAAGTTGTGAACATCAAGTATCTGAGACAGGTCTCAATCAATTTAGTAAGTTTATATTGTCAAGGTTGTGGACGTACCTGCGAGACAGTCTCAGGAAGTCTTGACAACATGTGACCAAGGTGGTTGTGGTGCAGCTTGCTTTTATACATTTTAGGGAGACATGAGACATCAATCAATATGTGTAAGATGTACATTGGTTCTGTCTAACAAGGCAGGACAACTTGAGGCTGGGCTTCCAGGTCATAGGTAGATAAGAGAAAAAAGGTTACATTCTTTTGAGTCTTTCGTCAACCTTTCACTGAATACACAATTTACATGTGAGAGGGGGACAGAGAAAGAGTCACTTATGCTTTAGTCTGGTTCAGTGAATCTACATTTTTACATAAACAATAGGGCAGAGAAGGCAATCGGATATGCACTTGTCTCAGGTGAGCAGAGAGATGACTGAGTTTTGTCTGTCCTTTGCTCTGCACCTGTGAAGATAAGCTATCGATTTACATTACCAAGGTGAAGTTCAACAGAACTGTCTTAGAGCAAAGATCTTGAGGCCCACAAGGAAAGTCCTTGTGGGCAAATTGTGAAGGAAGAACGTAACTGTTTTTAATCTTTGTAGCTATCTTATTTAGAAATACAATGAGAGGTAGGTTTGCCTGAGGCAGGTCCCAGCCTGACTTTTCCCTTTGGCTTAGTGATTTGGGGGTCCTTTATTTCATTTTCTTTTAACAGTCCTAACATGTTCTGTGTGCACTTGAGAAGAGTGTATGTTCCGCTGTTGATGGGGAGAGCATTCTACATATGTCTGTTAGGTCTAGTTGACCTAACATGTTGTTTAAGTCCTCTATTTCTTTATGATCTTTTTTCTGGTTATTCTGTTCATTATTGAAAGTCGACTAGTAAGTCCCTATTTTTGTAAAACTGTCTATCTCCTCTTTCAATTATGTCAGTGTTTGCTGCTTATTTTAGGGCCTGTCACTCAAGAGAGGTTACAGCCCACATCATGCACACAGTCTTCCAGGCTGCCAAGAATACATGTGATTTCGTTTTTAGGCCTGGCTTCTGAGATATTGTTCCAAGGTCGAAGCAGCTTATTATTTTAACAGTGTTTGGTCAGAAGTTGTGTTTAAATCTCTAGTGCCAGTGAGGCTTCTGCCCTCTGTTGTTGGATCTGTGTGCAGCATGAGGAATATTTCCAAAAATTTTTTATATCCTTTTGTCATTATCCTGAGCGTGTGGAGCTTAGCACTTGCATACACCTTCCCAACCTCAAAGGAACAATAATGAAGGCTAAATTAAGAGATTTCTAGATAAACAAAAAACTGGGAAAGTATGTTATTACCACTGCCCTGCCAAAGATACTCAAGGAAATCTTTCCAAATAAAGGAAAGGACACTAGACAGTAATTCAAAGCTGTATGTAGAAATAAAGAACACTGGTAAAAGTAACTACATAAATAAATATAGAGGATGACATTATTTTTAATTTTTGGTTTATAACTTCTCTTTTTCTTTACTACTTGATTTAAAAGACAAATGCATAAAATAATTATAAATCTATATTGTTAAGCACATAATGCTTAAAATGTAATTTGCAACAATAACCAAAACACAAGGATGGGAGATAAGTAGAGCTATATAGGAACAAAGTTTTTAAATACTGTAGGGGCTAAGTTGGTACTAATTCAAAATAAATTATTGTGTATTTTAGATTGTTAATTATAATCCTCAGGGTAATTACTAAGAAAGTAACAAACTGTGCCATATAACAGAAACATACAAAAAAGAAAAAAGAAGGCAAAGTAATAACCTAGAAAGTCAAACACAAAAGAACACAGCAATAAAAGAAATACTAAAAAAATACTAAATAGTAAATAATAATAAATACTTAAAAAATTATTGTGGATACATATAGAAAGGCAGGAGTCCTTTTTTAACAGTAACTATTTTAAATGAAAATGGATTCAACTCTTCAATTTAAAGGAAGAGATTAGCAGAAGGATAAAATAACAAACAACCAAAATGACCAAATTATTTATTGTCTAAAAGAAACCCATTTTAGATCTAAAGTCACAAACAGGTAAAAAGTGAAAAGATGTAAAGATATTCTGTGAAAAGAGGAATCAAAAGAGAGCTCTGGTGGCTATCAGACAAAATAGACTATAAGTAAAAATCGTTACCAGTGACAAAGAAGTGCATTATACATGGATGAAATAGTTTTTTCATCTAGAAGGTATAATAATTATAAACAAATACTACCTAACAACAGAACCTAAAAATATATAAAATGAAATCTAAAGGGGAAAATATACAGTTCTACAATAATAGTGGACAATTTCAATACCTGACCTTCAATAATGAATAGAACAATGAGACAAATTATCAATAAGAAAATAGAGGACTTGACAACACTGTACACTAACTAAATCTAATAACATACACAGAACACTGCACTCAACAATAGCAGAATGTCAATTCTTCTAAAGTACACTTGGGACAGTCTCCAGCATAGACCATATGTTTGGTTGCAAAACAATTCTCAATAAATTTTAAAATATGGAAATTATACAAAATATTTTCTTTGACCACAACAGAATAAAACTAAAAATCAAGAAGAGAAGGAAAACAACTCACAATATGTGGAAAGTAAACATCACTCTTACCTAATGTGCCAAAGACGAAATCCCAAGGGAAACTGGAAACTACTTAGAGATAAATATAAATGAAAATACAATTACCAAAACTTAGAGGATGCAGTTGAAAGCAGTGCTCAGAGACAAATTCATAGCTGTAAATGCCTAGATTAAAAAGGGTAAAGATCTCCGACAAATCACCTAAATTTACACCTGAAGGAGCTAAAAAAAGAACAAAATAAATTGAAAGCTAACAAGAGAAAGGCACTAGAGGTTAGTATAAAGGTTAGAGCAGAAATTGTAGAGCAGAGATAAATGAGATAGAGAACAGAAAAACAATAGAGAGTATCAAAGTTTGGTTATTTGAAAATATATTTGAAAAATATAGATTGGCCAAGGGAAAAGAAAAAGAAGTCTTGAATTACTTATACCAGTGATAAGCACAAGACAAAACTTTTTTGCACTTAAGGCCTGATTGGTTGTATTTAAATGTCACCTCTACATTAGAGGACCAGAAGAACACCTTATTTAGCAATTTAAAACATAGAATAAAAACGCACACAACGGTCTGGAAACAGTGAAGAATGCCCACTTTAATAATAATAATACTAATTTTTTTATTAATTTTACATTTGCAAAATAAATTTACATCACTTTTCTTCCTCTTTGGTTCATTTTATACAACTCAGATGGCTCTGCTTTTGTTCATCAGTTGTCACACTAAAGTAAATAAATATGTTAAATTATGTAGGTTTGCTGTAATAAACCCAAACCAGTAGAGCTAGATCTAGTTATTCCAGCAATCTTATTTGCAACTCATTCCGATTGTTGAAACAATTATTTATTTTTATAATTTTTAAAAACTTTAGCCAGATGAGATATTGTGTGTGTGTGTGCATGCATGTGTATGTACACATAGAAGTTTGCTAGAGAGCAGCGTGAGAGACTGAGTACCACCGCCCAGAGAGAGGTAAGACAAACAAGCTTACATAATGGTCCAACTAACCCTTAAAAGACTTGAGCGGTCAAAGACTCAGTTACCCCCAAAATAAACCAGAGGCTGAGCAATGGGGGAACTAGGGGATCTATCACCTCAATGAAGTGTCAGTGACTGACACGTTTAGAAAGCAAAGACTAAAGCAGGATGTCTGGACACAGCTTACCTGTTACACTGGAGGACACAGAGCAACAGTAGCCACTTTTCAGGCAAAGATCAGGGAATGTGATCCGTCTTGGGTCTGCAGCTGAGGGTCCCTGGCACTTCCCCAGAGGGCACTGGCAGCATGTCACTGGCCCTCCACTTCACCCACTGACAATGTCTTAATGGTCCCAGAGTGTGAACCTGGGCATCCCTCTTATTGGTCCCAAGGGTTCTCCCAAAACAGATACTATTCCTTCCAGAGGCTTGGCCAAATCCACTGCTACACTTCCACGTGCAACTCAGCCCCAGAAAGGGAGTCTCTTTTTGTCCTGTGGGGTCTCTGAGTTTGAGGTAATGCCAACATACTGGAGGTTGTAGAAAATAACCTATGTAGTCAGGCAGTCACTTTAAAACTTAAGCAATCTACATGCAATATTAGCTAGTTTTTACATCTCAGTAACACTTTTTACCAAAATAGTTTCTCCACACAACTTATAACGTATAGGACAAATTCAAAAATATTGCTGGAAATGGCTGGGTGCGGTGGCTCATGCCTGTAATCCTAACACTTTGGGAAGCTGAAGCGGGTGGATCACTTGAGGTCAGGAGTTCCAAACCAGCCTGGCCACCATGGTGAAACCCCGTCTCTACTAAAAATACAAAAAAATTAGCTGGTTGTGGTGGCAGATGACTGTAATCTCAGCTACTTGGGAGGCTGAGGCAGGAGAATTGCTTGAACTGGGAACATGGAAGTTGCAGTAAGCTGAGATCACCTGCTACACTCCAGCCTGGGAGACAGAGGGAAACTCTGTCTCAAAAAATAAAAATAAAAACAAATAAATAAATAAATTGCTGGAATATAATATAAATATGTTTTAAAATTCAGTGTTGAAATTCCTATGGGAAAGAAAAGGAGACACACTACTTTTCCACTTTCTATTTCGTGTCTATGGCTTCAAGTGCAAAAAAGTTCTGTCTTGGTGCTTATCACTGGTATAATGATTATTTTTGTTTTCCTGACTTTGGTCTTAGGAACATGAACCTCTTTGTGGCTTTATGGTAATGGAGTATTTCTAGTTGTTTAATCTCAAGAAATTTTTTTTACAATGTGTAAGTGATTATTGTTTTCAGGTTAAATGATTGGTATTAGTGTATATAAACTAAAATTATCTCAAAATGTATTATTTTTCTTAACTTGTTATTTTTAAATACTGAAAAATAAATGAAAATTGATAAGCCTTTAGTCATATTGAGCCAGTTAAGAGTTTTTCTTTCAGATTTTATAATCAAGAGTTGCTTATAAATATTTATGGCATCAAACTCTTCCAAGATTAGTCATCTTAAAAAAATGGGACATGAGTCACAAACTGGTTTGGTTTTTCGAGAATTCTTGATGTGAATTCCACCTTCACTTGACCATGTGTATCCACATGAACGTACTCTCTCTCTTGTTCCTTGTTACCAAACTAATCTGAGAGAACGTGGACTCATCACATCATCATTATCATGCTCAAATACTTAAAATGATTCCTTTGCCCAACAGACTCTTTGTTTTGGTACAGTGGAGTCATAACTGGTGAGATGGGTAGGTTTTAAAGACTGTGCCTAAGGACAAAATTGGGCATGCTCAAAATGATCCTTGAACATCTCCTAAATTACCAATAAAGTTCCCTTTACTGCGGTAAAAAAATAAAGATCAAGCTGGTGGTCTTCCTGCCTGCCCTGTGTCGTAAAATGGTGTCCCTTACTGCATTATCAAAGGGAAGGCAAGACTGGGTTGTCTAGTCCACAGGAAGACCTGCACCACTGTCGCCTTCACATGGTTTAACTCAGAAGACAAAGGAGTTTTGGCTAAGCTGGTGGAAGCTATCAGGACCAATTACAACAACAGATATGATGAGCTCTCCCATCAGTGGGGAGGCAATGTCCTGGGTCCCAAGTCTGTGGCTCGCATTGCCAAACTCAAAAGGGCAAAAGCTAAAAAAATTGCCACTAAACTGGGTTAAATGTACACTGCTGAGTTTTCTGTACATAAAAATAATTAAAATAATACAAATTTTCCTTCAAAAAAAAAGGAATCTAGAAAGAGAACCACAAAATAACCTCAAAAAGTACAGGAAAGTAAATAACAAACTGAAAACAGAAATGAATGAATAAAAAAATAAAATATACAAGAAAACATTTTTAAAAGCTGGGATTATAGGCATGCACCCCCACGCCCAGCTAAATTTTGTATTTTTAGTAGAGATGAGATTTCACCATGTTCGCCATGCTCGTCTTGAACTCCTGGCCTCAAGTGATCTGCCCGCCTTTGCCTCCCAAAGTGCTGGGATTACAGGCGTGAGCTACCGCTCCTGGCCACAATTAAGTACTTCTAATTCTGCTGAAGCAGCAGACAAATCAGGTTTTACTGTTGTGGCTGAGGTAATAGTCCTTGTTATAGGGCAAAATAAGGCTGTCCTGACGTGCTGAAACAAGAGATAATAATGCCGAAAACTAAGCAGTTATACCAACTACACTACACTAACTACACCTGAATTAAGACTATTTGAGAAAACATGTCCTGGGTTATTCCACCAGAAAACAAAAACGATCCTTCACTAGCTAAGGTTCTGGATGACATGAAAGAAACAAAACAAAATGTATAGTAGAAAGAGTATCTCTGTCAGCTCAGACTGCTCTTTAAAAAAATACCATAGACTGGGTGACTTAAAAAACAGAATTATTTTTTCTTATGAAGTCCAAGATCAAAGAGGTGATTTGGTTCTTGGTGAAAGCTCTCTTCCTGGCTTGCAAGTGACCTCTTTCTTGGTGCATCTTGGCATGGTAGAAGGAGGAAGCCCTGGTGTCTCTTACTTTCCTTAAAAGGGCACTGATCCCATCACCACAGTTCAACCTGCATGACCTAGTTACTGCCGGAAGGCCCTGCTTCCAGATACTTTTTCACTTTGGGAGTCAGGGTTTTAACACATGAGCTTTAGAAAGACACAAACATTCAGCCCATAACAAAAGAGGAAGCTAAAAACATCAACAGTTGCCTTGTTACCCATTTCAGAAAAGACTTTTAATAGCTATGAGTAAGTCTCTTATTTCCTTTCTCATTCTACATGAAGATTGACATTTGTCAAACTTACGGTTCATTCTTTTTTTTTTTTTTGAGACGGAGTCTTGCTCTGTCACCCAGGCTGGAGTGCAGTGGTGCAATCTCGGCTCACTGCAAGCTCCACCTGCCAGGTTCACGCCATTCTCCTGCCTCAGCCTCCCGAGTAACTGGGACTACAGGCGCTGGCCACCACACCCCACTAATTTTTTGTATTTTTAGTAGAGACGGGGTTTCACCATGTTAGCCAGGATGGTCTCAATCTCCTTACCTCATGATCCGCCCGCCTTGGCCTCCCAAACTGCGGGGATTACAGGTGTGAGCCACCACGCCCAGCCGGTTCATTCTTTAATTAGAGAACATGCAGGCCAGTTAATTCCCAGAGATGAGGGCAGTGACTGAGGAAGCTTTGTGTCTCCCTTTCTGAGAAGATGAATGTGTCTTCATTTGCATGAGTAATGATGCCTTTTAGGAAGCCAGTTACGTGTAAACAGTATGCTGCATGAAAGTTTAAACACAGCACTTTGGGAGGCTGAGGTGGGCAGATCACCTGAGGTCAGAAGTTTGAGACCAACCTGGCCAACATGGCAAAACCCCGTCTCTACTAAAAATTCAAAAATTAGGGCCGGGTGTGGTGGCTCATGCCTGTAATCCCAGTACTTTGGGAGGCTGAGGCGGGCAGATCACCTGAGGTCGGGAGTTCCTGAACAGCCTGACCAACATGGAGAAACCCCATCTCTACTAAAAGTACAAAATTAGCTGGGCATGGTGGCGCATGCTTTAATCCCAGCTACTTGGGAGGCTGAGGCAGGAGAATCACTTGAGCCCAGGAGGCGGAGGTTGCGGTGAGCCGAGATTGCACCACTGCACTCTAGCCTGGGCAATAAGAGCGAAACTCCATCTCAAAAAAAAAAAAAAAAAAAAAAAAAAAAAAAAAAAAAAATTAGCTGGACGTGGTGGCACACGCCTGTAATCCCAGCTACTCGGGAGGCTAGATAGGAGAATCACTTGAACCTGGGAGGTGGAGGTTGCAGTTAGCTGAGATCACACCACTGCACTCCAGCCTGGGTGACAGAGCAAGACTCCGTCTCAATAACAACAACAACAACAAAAATTCAAACACAAATAAAAGGGTATGTTTATGACTATTTGCCAAAAAAGAGAACATACCAAGTAGTACCTGTCATATCTCAGCTTCAGTTTCCTGTCTAAACCCTGCTCATTCTGACAGCTATATTCCCTAAAATCCTTTGCCAGTTCACTTTTTTTTTTTGTGGGGGGTTATTCTGCCAATGGGAAACAATGGCAGGAAATATAATGGCAAGAGGAAAAAAATTTTTTTCTGATATTTGACAGTGGCAGATACAGTGGTAAAAGGAGAGGCAGTCAAATGGTAGGAATGGTGAGAGTGAGCAGAGAGTGTAGACTCAGGATACACAGTGTGGTTCTGACTGCAATGGCATCTTTTATGAAGCAGTTGCAAGCTCTGAATAATATTCTTACTTTTGTTCTATTTCTGGGGATGATATTAGCTTCCTGCAGTTGTCACTGATTATGTAATTTCTTTTCCTCCAGAACCTTCAAAATTCTATATAACCAATAATTTATAAAATTCTGGAAGATCTATTAAGAAAATTTAAAGTGTAACCTGAAGCTTGCACAGCTCACTGCCTCACCCACCCGCCCCCCAACTGCTCCCCCTCACAGTTTTTAGGCACAGATCACTTCAACTATGTATATACTAAAAATCAAAGGAAAAATTATTTGAACCTTAAACAAATCCTTCAAGACATTAGAAAAGCAGGAGGTACTCCATAAATACCTTTTATAAGTCAGCCTAACCTTTATATTAAACCTGACAAGACACTTAGGAAAAGGAAAAAGTACAGGTTAACATTATTCACAGAGTAGGCTGGGCGCAGTGGTTCACGCCTGTAATCCCAGCACTTTGGGAGGCTGAGGTGGGTGGATCACCTGAGGTCAGGAGTTCAAGACCAGCCTGGCCAACATGGCGAAACCCCGTCTCTACTAAAAACACAAAAATTAGCTGGGCTTGATGATGGACGCCTGTAATCCCAACTACTTGGGAGGCTGAGGCAGGAGAATTGCTTGAACCTGGGAGGTGGAGATCACAGTGAGCTGAGATTGCGTCACTGCACTCCAGCCTGGGCGACAAAGAGAGACTCCTTCTCAAAAACAAACAAACAAAAAACATTATTCACAGAGAAACTATAATCTTAAGAAAGTCTTAGCACACAGCATTTAGTGTTATTTAAACAATGTATCATTAATAAGTTGTACTTTCCAGTAATTCAAAATTGGCTTAACATTTAAAAATAAATAAATATGACTTCCAGCTTCTACATTGGGATGTTGAGAAATAAAAGAAGTTTTCATTCTCAGTCTTACAACACAAAAAGGGCCAGATCAATTTCAAATTTATGACTTTTTGGAACTCTTTGGAGGGCTGGTATCATGGAGAAATTAAAACTGTTGCAAAATCTAAAGACAGGCAATGTCTGCTTTAAGACACAAACAAGCTATCATTTTAGGCAGGCAGAACTAAACACTTTTAAACTTTTTTAAACCAAACACTTTTAAACATTTTTAAGCTAAAATAGGTGAACAATTGGTGATGACTGAGTGAGGGCTGGAAAACCGTGTGAAACACCTGGGACATGTAGAAAGTGAAGGAATCTGTATTTCCTTTTGGTCTCTGTCTTTATGAACTTTATGTGGGCTCTAACAGCAAAATGTGCAAAGAGCTCTAAGAAGTATTTATTGTGATACAGAGCACGAGGAGGAGCCCAGCAGTCATGAAGAAGGAGCAAGAGTTCCTTCTCTTTTACATCCACTATAAAACAAATTGGCTTTCTTAGTGCATTAATGGACACTAATTGCAGCGGGGGGAAAAATGGCTGCAAAAAGAAAAAAAAATCCTACTCTCGAAAAAGGGCCAAGATTAAGCACTGAGCGCAATAACCACATTCAGAGAGATGCAAGAGAATGGAGAAGGCCACATCCCCAAGACTCAGGAAGAAAATGCATGCTCCAGACCAATAATGAAAACAAGAGAAGGTGCGTCCCCACCCCACCACCACTCTAACCACCAAACTAAGTTAGCTTTAAATAAAAAGTGACATCCATCTCTAAAATATACATAATAGAAAAAAATTAAAAATAACATGTGACAATAGAATACTTCTGGGAGAGAGGCAGGAAAGTGTTAACCTAAAGAAATGAACTGAGGCAAAAATTAATAGACAATTAATTTGGGCCACGGTTGAGGGCAGCTACCCAGAACACACTTCACAGTTGCCTTGAGGAGTGCTCTGCTCAGCCTTTGTTACAGCAGGGTCTTAAGGCAAAAGGGAACAAGGACTGGACTGACACAAAGCTGCTTGATAGGAATTCCCATTGGTTTACAGAAATAATATTGATTAGTAGCTGGCTATATATTGTTGATCTATAGGGTATCAGTTATGGTGTCCAGCATATGTAATTTTATGGCTACTTGACATCTGTATGTCTAGAGCCCACATAAGAAGTGGTTTCAAGAGGTAATTATTTAGTTCAAAGCGGTAGCGGAATGTAACTGCAGTCACACACTGTCACATTTCAGTGCCTCTCTGGGCCCGATAATTAAAGGAGCTCATGTTCATCAGATAAATTTTTTTTCTTTCTTAAAAGGAATAGACGATAGAAAGAGACCCTCTCTTATACACGGCACAAAAAGAATAACTAAAACTCAGAATCAGACATGGATCTGCTAAACTAATGCTCCACCAAAAGTATAAGCAACCTCTATAGGAATTTGAAGCCCATGGTGCACTGAAAGTAACCATGTGACGACAACCAAGTGACTCCTAAAAAGATTAGCAGGATGGGTGCAGTGGCTCACTCCTATAATCCTGAGGTCAGGAGTTCAAGACCAGCCTTGCCAACATGCTGAGACCCCATCTCTACTAAAAATACAAACAAAAATTTAGCTGGGCACAGTGGCGTTCACCTATAATCCCAGCTACTCAGGAGGCTGAGGCAGGAGAATGGCATGAACCCAGGAGGCAGAGGTTGCAGTGAGCCAAGATGGTGCCACTGCACTCCAGCCTGAGCAATAGAACAAGATTCTGCCTCAAAAAAAAAGGAAAACACACACACAAAACAAAGAAACAAAAAGATTAGCACATAGCTGTGCACTAGAGGCTTAACAGATGACAAGGCATAACAATTTCCAGACAAAAAGTATTGACCTCAATCATTACTGTTCTATACAACCGGCCTTTCTGTTGTTGTTGTTTTTGAGATGGAGTCTTGCTCTGTCGCCCAGGCTGAAGTGCAGTGTTGCTATCTCAGCTCACTGCAACCCCCGCCTCCCAGGTTCAAGCAATTCTCCTGCCTCAGCCTCACGAGTAGCTGGGACTTCAGGCACATGCTCCCATACCTGACTAATTTTTTGTATTTTTGTAGAAATGGGGGTTTCACCATGTTGCCCAGGCTGGTCTCGAACTCCTGAGCTCAGGCAATCCACCTGCCTCAGCCTCCCAAAGTGCTAGGATTACAGGCGTGAGCCACTGTGTCAGACCTATACAAAATGTCTTTCTTGCTGAAATATAATGCAAAGCATACAAAAAAGCACAAACATACACACTCTCTCTCTCTCTCATTCTTTCTCACTCCCTCCCAAAGGTCCAATCATCAAATCTAGAATCAAATATATTGGGGGGACACGCCCCCAATATTTCAACATAGATTCTTTCTATTTTCCATAAGTGTCGGCCAGCTGAGAAATAAAGAGAGACAGTATAAAGAGAGGAATTTTACAGCTGGGCTGCCAGGGGTGACATCACATATCTGTAGGACTGTGATGCCCGCCTGAGTCTTAGACCAGCAAGTTTTTATAAAGAGTTTCAAAAGGGTGTAAGAACAGAGAGTAGGTACCAAGATCACATGCTTCAAAGAGCAAAAAGCAGAACCACTAATAAGGGTCTAACAAAGATCACATGCTTCTGAGGGAACAGGACAAAGAGCAAAAGCAGAACCACTGATAAGGGTCCAACAAAGATCACAGGGCAAAGGGCAAAAGCAGAACCACTGATAAAGGTCTATGTTCAGCAGTGTATGTATTGTCTTGATAAACATCTCAAACAACAGAAAACAGCGTTCAAGAGCAGAGAACTGGTCTGACCACAAATTTACCAGGGCAGAGTTTTCCCAACCCTAGTAAGCCTGAGGATTCTGCAGGAGACCAGGGCTTATCTCAGTCATTATCTCAATTGCACAAGACAGACATTCCCAGAGCAGCCGTTTATAGACCTCCCCCTAGGAAAGAATTCCTTTCCCTGGGTATTAATATTAATATTCTTGCTAGGAAAAGAATTTAATGATATCTTTCCTACTTGCACGTCCATTTATAGGCTCTCTGCCAGAAGAAAAATATGGCTCTTTTTGCCTGACACCGCAGGCAGTCAGACCTTATGATTGTCTTCCCTTGTTCTGTAAAAATTATTCTGTTCTTTTTCAAGTGCACTGATTTCATATTGTTCAAACATACATGTTTTACAATCAATTTGTACAGTTAACACAATTATCACAGTGGTCCAGAGGTAACGTACATCCTCAGCTTATGAAGATAACAGGATTAAGAGATTAAAGTACAAGACAGGCATAAGAAATGATATAAGTATTATTTGGGAACAGATAAATGTTCATATTTGATGTACATTTAATAAACTGACATATATAAGCACATACAAATCATTTAACATAATATGCTATGCAATACATTGAAGCCTTTTCCACCTCACCTCTGAAGTGTTTCCTCTTCCTTCCTCCCCATCACTGTCATCATCTTCTGTCTCTGCTGCTGCATTATTTTTAGGGCTACCTCCTCCAAGCAGCAAGTTAATTGTTTTGTTCCAAGCATTTGTGCTAGTTGACATTCCTCCTCCTCCTCCTCTTCCTCCTCTTCATCCTTCTCCTTCCTCCTCTTCTTCTTCTTCTTTTTCTTCCTCCGCCTTCCTCCTCCTCCCCCTCCTTCACCTCCCCTTCCCCCTCCTTCTTCTTCTCCTTCTCCTTTTCCTTCTCCTTCTCCTTCTTCTTCCTCTTCTTCTTCTTCTTCTTTCTTCTTCTGGGTCCAGATGTTCCATGAGAAGTTTGAATTCTAGATACTTTTTTACTATACTCCCATGCTGGATAGTTTGTAAAGAAAGGTTTGTTGTTAAGAGATTTGTTTATCTCAGGGTTCTGCAGGCCGTAAAAGAAGCATGGCTCTGGCATCTGTGTGTGGTGAGGGCCTCAAGCTGCTTCCACTCATGGCAGAAGGTGAAGGGGAAGTGATGGGGAGCCAGTGTGCTGGACTTTTTAAACAACCAATTCCCATGGGAACTAATAAAGGGAGGACTCATTCATTACCATGAGGACAGCACCAAACCATTCATGAAGGATCTGCTGTTATGACCCAGACACCTCCCATTAGGATCAAAATTCAACATGAAATTTCGAGGAGACAGATATCTAAACTATGTCATTTGTGTAAAAATACAAAATAAAATAAAAAACCTGGCAAATTAAATCAGGAAAAGCCATGAAGGGAGGGTTCTCATGCATGAATCCCTGATAACACAAATGGCCAAGTGCAGTGGTTAATGCCTGTAATCCAAACACTTTGGGAGAATGAGGTAGGCATATCACTTGAGGTCAGGAGTTCGAGACCAGCCTGGCCAACATGGTGAAACCCCTGTCTTTACTGAAAATACAAAAAATATTAGTCAGGCATGATGGCACACACCTGTAGTCCCAGCTAATGGGGAGGCTGAGGCATAAGGATTGCTTGAGCCTGAGAGGCAGAGGTTGCAATGAGTCAAGATCATACCACTGCACTCCAGCCTGGGTGACAGAGCAAGACTCCATCTCAAAAAAAAAAAAAAAAAAAAAAAAAAAAATCACAAAACACTCTATGTAAACCGCAACCTTGCATAAAAAAGTCATCTTATACAAAACAATACTTCTGTGAGGACATCTGCTCAGCAACTGCTTCTCCAACCTTAAACTGGTGCCACCCTTTTGTATCCTTGACCCAAGGATTATTACCTCAAAACAAAATATTCATAAGATTAATCAATAAAATAATGGAAAGGCACAAATAAGCTATGTCATAAATGAAAAGGTCATATTAGCTACAAAAGTTAAAAAGATGAAAACAGATCACAATAAACAATGTGACAATAAATTGCCAAATTCAGATGAAACAAAAAAGTTCCTAAAAAATATAACTCATTCCATTGATTCAAACATAGAGACAAATGAGTATTTCCATATTAATTAAACCATTTGAATCATTATGTCAAAATCTTCCCAAATGTAGCTTCAGTCCCATAGCTTTTCTGGTAACTCCTACAAAAAAAAAAAAAAGTGAAACAAATAATTTCAATCTCCTAAAAACACTTCCAGGGAAGAGAAAATGAAAGGTGGAAAAAAATCAAAGCACCATTAAGAAAGACAAATTGGAGGGAAATTTCACTGATTAATATGGATACAATCACCTTAAACAAAGTATTAGAAAGCTCAATTAAGATTCCTAATATAAATGTATAAACAAATTTGATTCAATCCAAGAATGCAAGATCAGTTTAATATTAGAAAATGAATGAAGGTGTTCTGTCCTTTAATAGATTTAAGGTGGTTTAAAAAATAAACAACAGCACCTTAAAAGTATTGAAATAGCATTTTATAAAATCAAACTTCATGGCTGGGCACAGTGGCTCATGCCTGTAATCCCAGCACTTTGGAGGCCAAAGCAGACAGGTCACGAGGTCAGTAGTTTGAGACCAGCCTGGCCAACAAGGTGAAATCCCATCTCTACTAAAAATACAAAAATTAGCTGGATGTGGTGGTGCACACCTGTAATCCCAGCTACTGGGGAGGCTGAGGCAGAAGAATGGCTTGAACCCAAGAGGCAGTTGCAGTGAGCTGCGATTGTGCCACTGCACTCCAGCCTGGGTGACAGAAAGACTCCATCTCAAACAAAATCAAACTTCAGATTTTTTTCAATGACCTATGAAGCATTACCTGTTATGGAGATTTCTCTGTCCATAAACAAATCAGACAGATACATGGAACAATGATGTTCAGACACTGGACAACAGGTAGCACAAGACAAGGATCTCTGAGATACGGAAAGGAAACAAGGGGAGCTCTGTGATGGTCCCAGCTTAATAATAGGAGGTAGCTCTCAATATATTAAGGGGAAATCAAAATAATCTGGCATTCTAACTGAGTTGAGGAGATAAGATCAAAATGCAGAAAGGGTGAGTTTGCAGCTATTTGTAAGCAAAAGTACCAAAGAGAGGAAAACTGCACAGAGGTAGAGCTTGAGAAATATGCAAAGGAGATCTCTTGAGTGTTTGCCTGAATTCTACTCTGGGCAGGCATGGAGTGAAGTTCCACAGAGTTAAGGAATTAGCAGAAGACCAAGCAATTTCTATAACTCACACAAGACTGGAAACGGTCTTTGTTCCCATCTACTAAAGTAGAGAGGTATCATTGGGTCCAGAATTGGTTCCTTCCAGTGGGTTCTGGGTCTTGCTGACTTCAAGAATGAAGCTGTGGACCCTCGTGTGAGTGTTACAGTTCTTAAAGATGGTGTGTCTGAAGTTTGTTCCTTCAGATGTTCAGATGTGTCCAGAGTTTCTTCCTTTCAGTGGGTTCGTAGTCTTGCTGACTTCAGGAGTGAAGCCGCAGACCTTTGCAATGAGTGTTACTGTTGGGAAAAGGCCCCCCAAAATCTGGCCATTAACTGGCCCAAAACTGGCCATAAACAAAATCTCTGCAGCACTGTGACATGTTTGTGATGGCCATAATGCCCAAGCTGGAAGGTTGTGGGTTCACCAGAATGAGGGCAAGGAACACCTGGCCCATCCAGGGTGGAAAACTGCTTAAAGGCATTGTTAAACCACAAACAATAGCATGAGTGATCTGTGCCTTAAGGACATGCTCCTGCTGCAGATAACTAGCCAAAGCCATCCCTTTATTTCAGCCATCATTTTGTTTCCCATAAGGAATACTTTTTGTTAATCTATAATCTATAGAAACAATGCTTATCACTGGCTTGCTGTCAATAAATATGTGGGTAAATCTCTGTTCAAGGGTCTCAGCTCTGAAGGCTGTGAGACCCCTGATTTCCCACTCCACACCTCTATATTTCTGTGTGTGTGTCTTTGATTCCTTTAGTGTCGCTGGGTTAGGGTCACCCTGACCAAGCTGGTCTCAGCAAGTGGTGTCCATCGTGGGGGCTCGAATCCAGGTCAAAGGGTCACCAGAGCAACAGTTGGAGAATGTGGACCTAAGCTGGAGGACACCCGAGTACTCTTAAAGCAATCCCCATGGTGAGTAAGAAGGGGAGCTCAGAAGCATCAGGGTAACAATGGGACAAGTGTGGGCTCTGGTTCGTTCCACTTTAGAACCTTTTCACACTAATGATGAGGAGGAAGGAGAGTATAATGAAGGAGCAGAAGAGGTTAGAGAGCAGGTTTGTTTGCCAGCTAAAACAAAAGCAGCAAAGGAGGGAGAGGTTCATCCCTACCCTTCTGCATCCCCTCATTATTATTTTGAAGAAAAAGAGTGGCCTGACCCTCCAGATCTTTCTTTTCTGGAGGACACTGGGCAAAAAGTAGTTGCCCCAGTGACTGTTAGAGCAGCACCTCCAGTGACTACTCTCAGTTCTATTCAGGCAGGAATTCAGCAAGCTAGATGAGATGGTGATACAGAGGCTTGGCAGTTCCCTGTTAGAGTACATCCCCTAGATCAACAGGGAAATATTATAGCTACATTTGAGCCTTTTTCTTTTAAATTACTCACAGAATTTAAACAAGCTATTAGTCAGTATGGACCAGGGTCTCCTTTTGTAATGGGACTGTTAAAGAATGTTGCTTTTTCCAGTTGGATGATTCCTACTGACTGGGATCCTCTTACTTGAGCTTGTCTAACTCCTGCTCAGTTTTTACAATTTAAAACTTGGTGGGCAGATGAAGCTTCCATTCAGGCTGCTCGCAACACCCAGGCCCAACTTCAAATTAATATAACTGCAGACCAGCTTTTGGGTGTTGACAGCTGGGCAGTTTTAGATGTACAAGTGGTCATGCAGGATGATGCCATAGAACAGCTTAGAGGAGTGTGCATTAGAGCTTGGGAAAAAAAGTCACTTCAGGTGCAGAACAATACCCTTCCTTTAGTGCTGTAAAACAGGGACTGAAAGAACCGTATGTGGATTTTATAGCTTGGTTACAGGAGTCTCTTAAAAAGGTAATTACAGATTCGGCTGCACAGGATATAGTGTTTCGGTTATTAGCTTTTGACAATGCTAATCCTGATTGCCAGGCTACTCTGTGACCTATTAAAGGGAAAGAACATTTAGTTCATTATATCAAGGCCTGTGATGGTATCAGAGGTAATCTGCATAAAGCTACTTTGTTGGCACAGGAAATGGCAGGACTGAGAGTGGATAAAGGAAATACTCTGTTTCCTGGAGCTTGTTTTAACTTTGGGAAGCATGGTCATACTAAAAAAGAATGTAGAAAAAATCAGTGAGTCAGGCTGCCAGATATGGAAAAAAAGAAAACTGCTGAGTCTGAAATATGTCCAAAATGTAAAAAAGGAAAACATTGGGCTAATCAGTGTCACTCTAAGTTTGATAAAGATGGGAACCCGATTTCAGGAAATGTCATAAGGGGCCCATCCTGGGCCCCTTTCCAAACCAGGGCATTTCCAGCTCAGGCCATTCCCTCACCCCTGTACAATATCTGTCCCCCACCACAGCTGGTAGTGCTGCAGTAGATTTATGCTGCACAAAAGATGTGAGCCTTCTGCCTGGGAACCCCCGCAGAAGGTTCCAACAGGAGTCTGTGGACCCTTGCCAGCAGGGACGTTAGGATTACTTCTCGGCAGGTCTAATTTAAATTTAAAAGGGGTAAAAATACATACAGGAGTCATTGATTCAGACTACAATGGGGGAAATTGAAATTGTTATATCTACTTCTGTTCTCTGGAAAGCAAAGCCAGGAGAGCGTACAGCACAGCTCCTGATTGTGCCGTATGTGGAAATGGGGAAAAGTGAAATGAAATGAACAGGAGGAGCCAGGCTCGGTGTCTCATGCCTGTAATCCCAGCACTTTGGGAGGCCAAGGTGGGCAGATAACAGGGTCAGGAGATCAACACCATCCTGGCTAACACAGTGAAACCCCGTCTCTACTAAAAAATACAAAAAAAATTAGCTGAGCGTGGTGGCAGGTGCCTGTTATCTCAGCTACTGAGGAGGCTGAGGTAGTAGAATGGTGTGAACCTGGGAGGCGGAGCTTGCAGTCAGTGGAGATTGCCCCACTGCACTGCAGCCTGGGTGACAGAGCAAGACTCCATCTCAAAAACAAACAAACAAACAAAAAAATGAACAGGAGGATTTGTAAGCACAAATACACAAGGTAAAGCAGCTTGTTGGGTGAATCAAATTACTGATAAACATCCTACCTGTGAAATAACTATTCAAGGAAAGAAATTTAAAGGTTTGGTAGATACAGGAGGACATTTCAATCATTTCTGTACAGTAGTGGCCATCCATGTGGCCAATTCAACCCACTCAATTTAACACAGTTGGAGTTGGCAAAGCCCCTGAAATATATCAAAGTAGTTATATTTTGCACTGTGAAGGGCCCGATGGACAACCTGGGACTATTCAACCAATTATAACTTCTGTACCTATAAATTTATGGGGGAGAGATTTGTTACAACAATGGGGAGCACAAGTTCTAATTCCAGAACAATTATACAGCCCTCAAAGTCAACATATGATGCATGAAATGGGATATGTCTGTGGTATGGGACTAGGAAAAAATTTGCAAGGTTTAAAGGAACCACTTCAAGGGGAAAGACAAAGTTCCTGCCAAGGTTTAGGATATCATTTTTGATGATGCCATTGTTAAGTCTCCAGAACCTATATCTTTAAAATGGTTAACAGAAAAGCCAATTTGGATAGAAGAATGACCACAGAGTAAAGAGAAACTGAAGGCTTTAGAGGACTTAAAATTGGCCTTTAATAGTCATAGATTTAAAGACTGTTTCTTTACTATCCCCTTAGCTGAGCAAGACTGTGAAAGGTTTGCGTTTACAATTCCTGCGGTAAATAACCTGCAGCCTGCTAAGAGTTTTCATGTTCCACAGATGGGTCTAGTAAAGGTAAAGCTT